>NC_000005.10:103859807-104484807 GCF_000001405.40 Homo sapiens | reverse complement strand
AAACTGTTTTCTTGTCTATTTCTTTGTCTTTGCTCATGCCCATGGACAAACAACCTACTCACTATAATCCACAATTTCCTAACTCTATAAATAAGGGGGCTGGACTATTTCACCTTTAAGGTGCTCTTTAGCCCTAAAATCCCATTTTTCTACAGCTTTCAACTGATGGACTGTACAGAGAGAGGAGCACTTTTGGAATAATCCTCACAGCCTAAAGGCCAATGATGACACAGATGGTGATGTTTTTAAGGAGGTGATTGATAGAAGATATTTGATCCCTTTGGTTTGGAGTCTACCAACTGAGATAAAGGAGAAGAGCTGAGAAGCCTTGTAACATTAGTATTCTTTGTCTCTTTGTGGATGACCCTTTCACATTAATATCGACATCAGAAACTGAATTCAAGAAAAGAAAGGGAGAGTCACACATTCTTTCAATAATCCTTTGTCAGTGAACATTTGAGCACCATAGGAAGCCAAATCAGACATCACTTAAAATAGTTTTTGGGTCAAGATTACAAAAAAAAGGAAGACAGGAAAGAACAGTGGAATCAGCAGGAATGTGTCCCCTAAAGTCCCTTAAACTAAGTTGGAACACAACCCAGAGCAAGTTAGCTAGAGCACTTCTCAGTGGGATCATGCCCACTGAAAGGCATTAACCACAAATTGTTCTCAGAAAGTGTTTCCTTTCAAAACTGAAAGTCATTGGGAAAAAGGAGGTTTCTTGCTAGGAAACTTTAAATGAAACATGCATACCAAATTTTACTGTTTATGAAATACGTAATCAAACTTGAAAATAAGGATCTTAAATTGTGGAAGATCAGTTTTAGTGCGATTCTTATCTCTCAAGGTCATATGTATGGTAATTGAAAACCTATTCTATAACTGTTGACTAGTGTTCACAGGTTTTACCAATGTGTGGGAAATTTTTTTAAAAAGTAATAATAAACAACATTCTTCTGTTTTTGTTAGGGATTAGTATTTTTCAGTTGGATATAGAGTTAATTTTTAGAGTCACAAATGTGACTATGGCTATCAAACACAAAATAAAGAGCTATTTATATGCAGAGAACTTTTCAGTTCATACAATGAAGAGAAAAATAAAATTTCAGCATCACATGCATCTTTGACACATCTCTAATAAACTGTTCAGTATAATTCACATATTCAGTAGACCACAATATTTACTATTTTTCTTCAGAGACTTTCCTATTCACTTCCCTTATGTCGATTTTAAATATTCAGGCTGTTTGTTTATTTTTTAAATGTCTATCCAAACTCAGATACACACTATGAAAGCAAAATAATGTATGTCCAGTATTTTATCAGTTAATTTGAATTTTAATTTTTTAAAGATTTAATTGCTCCAATGGCAAGTATAATTTCTTATCATTTAAAGAATATTAAAAACTATATAAACTAGATAAAATTAATTAATTAATTAAATTCCTATACAGTTTTCATAAAGCTTGTGCAAATTATCTTACTTCATAGAAATTGGGAAACAAAAACGAATGTGAAAATATGGTTCATTTTATTTTACTATTGCAACTATGTGTTTTTAACTGACTACCTGTAAAATAAAAGCTTAAAAGATTGCATTTTAGATGTAGTTGAATTAATTTCTATAGTTTTTAAGTTTGTATTTAGAATTGGAGAGCTATTTGTAGTCTCAAACCATAAATAAGATTTGATTTCATTGTTTAGCAGACTGTACAATGTAAAAAAAATTATCAAAAAAATAAAAATTTTAAACTAGCATATACTTTTCTATAATCAGTTTTATGTCTGGATTAATTTTATTGACATTTTCTTTCATTAAACATGTCATAAAAATAAGATTATTGTTTTGTTTATTGTATTTAAGAAAAAATAAGAGATAGCTCATACATTTAATACATCACAGAATAATGCTATCCAAGTGATTGACCATGGAAGCAGTAAATTTTGGAGTTGACAGTTTTATGTGACTGGAATCCATATGCACTTCTTTTTCCTTTCACGTGTGCAAAAACTCATTCTAGTTTCAGTACTTTGCTATCTTATCACCCTTCCAGAGTTTGTTTCAATATAAACCCCCTCCAAAGTTACTTAATCATTGATATCTGCTTGCTTTACCTAGTATGAAGCCTCCATTTTAACAATTAACTTTCTCTTGGTTTTATTAGATCTACATTTAAGTAAGTTATACATTCACTAATATAAATTCCCTTTCCAAAGTACATTTATTAGACTTTAAATAGAGGCAAATATACTTTAGCCATGAAAGAAATGTTTTGTGTTAATAAGTGTTTCAATTGCATAGGGATATGTTGATCCATTTGTTGGAGTGTGATAGGCATAGTCACAGACTATGTTTAAACAAGTTCAAACAAGCATGTTAAAACAGAAAGGACTGAGAATTAATTTTTAACAATTCACCAGTATAAATAACACATCTGAACAATTCATGTTTTAAAAAAGGTAACACAATACAGAATTTGAAAACTTACTGTTGGGTTAATTTTAAAATGCCAATTTGTTGCATATTATGCAGATATGGTGAAAAACAAATAACAAAACCACAGCCTATCCAGCTAACATTTTTGAAAAAATATCCTAAATTAAGCTAAATGATCACTTCATTTTTATCAATAAAATGGGCTTGATATTTTCATCAAAAAATGCTTTGATATTAGGTTGACCAAAATTATCAATTGTTCAAGTTTTACTTTTTTATATATATTGACATCATTTTAGACTTACAATGTTTTAAAAAGCAGAATTTGGTGTGATTATTATGTCCAAACAATAACAAACTTAACAATCAAGTCTTCCGAATCAGAAAAATAAAATGCACATTCAAAATGCAACGAAAAGAGGCAGATTTCTGGAATGACATAGTGAGGTATTCAGCAGGACCTCTTCCCTGCTATACAACCATTTAACTGAAGAAAATAATTTTTATAGATGGTGTTGGGAAAACTGGCTAGCCATATGCAGAAAACTGAAACTGGATCCCTTCCTTACGCCTTATACAAAAATTAACCCAAGATGGATTAAAGACTTAAACATAAGACCTAAAACCATAAAAACCCTGGAAGAAA
This sequence comes from Homo sapiens, assembly GCF_000001405.40. Taxonomy (NCBI): domain Eukaryota; kingdom Metazoa; phylum Chordata; class Mammalia; order Primates; family Hominidae; genus Homo; species Homo sapiens. The sequence goes on along the minus strand of NC_000005.10, from coordinate 104,481,724 downwards.
ACCTAGGCAATACCATTCAGGACATAGGCATGGGCAAAGACTTCATGTCTAAAACACCAAAAGCAATGGCAATGAAAGCCAAAATTGACATATGGGATCTAATTCAACTACAGAGCTTCTGCACAGCAAAAGAAACTATCATCAGAGTGAACAGGCAACCTACAAAATGGGAGAAAATTTTTGCAATCTATCCATCTGACAAAGGTCTAATATCCTAAATCTATGTGGAACTTAAACAAATTTACAAGAAAAAAACAACCCCACAAAAAGTGGAAGAAGGGTATAAACAGACACTTCTCAAAAGACATTTATGCGGCCAAAAAACATATGAAAAAAAGTTCCTCATCACTGGTCATTAGAGAAATGCAAATCAAAACCACAATGAGACAGCGTCTCATGCCAATTAGAATGGTGATTATTAAAAAGTCAGGAAACAACAGATGCTGGAGAGGATGTGGAGAAATAGGAATGCTTTTACACTGCTGGTGGGAGTGTTAATTAGTTCAACCATTGTGGAAGACAGTCTGGTGATTTCTCGAACCAGAAATATCATTTGACCCAGCAATCCAATGACTGGGTATATACCCAAAGGATTATTAATCATTCTACTATAAACACACATGCACACATATGTTTATTGCAGCACTGTTCACAATAGCAAAGACTTGGAACCAACCCAAATTCCCATCACTGATAGAGTGTATCAAGAAAATGTGGCACATATACACCATGGACTATTATGCAGCCATAGAAAAAGAATGAATTTATGTCCTTTGCAGGGACATGGATGAAGCTGGAAACCATCATTCTCAGCAAACTAACACAAGAACAGGAAACCAAACACTGCATGTTCTCACTCACAAGTGGGAGTTGAACAATGAGAACACATGGACACAGTGAGGGGAACATCACACCCTGCAGCCTGTTGGGGAGTCAGGAGCTAGTAGAGGGATAGCATTAGGAGAAATACCTAATGTAGATGACAGGTTGATGGATGCAGCAAACCACCATGGCACATGTACACCTATATAACAAACCTGAACATTCTGCACATGTATCCCAGAACTTAAAATATGATAATAAAAAACAGGAGAGTATAAAAGTGAGGTTATATCATTAAGAAAAAAATAGAGAATAATTTTTAAAATAAAGTTTCTAGATATTGTCATATGGCATACAGTAAATGGATAAACATTCATTCAAACTAATCTCCTAAATCTCAGTATGAAAATTTACTGTATTAATTCCTTTTCATGCTGCTATGAAGGAATACCCAAGACTGGGTAATTTATAAAGAAAAAAGGTTTAATTGACTCACAGTTCTGCATGGTTGGGGAGGCCTCAGGAAACTTGAAATCATGGCAGAAGTCACCTCTTCACTGGGCAGCAGGAGAGGGAATGAGTGCCCAGTGAAGGGGGGAGTCCCTTAAAAAAACCTTCAGATCTTGTGAGAACTAACTCACTATCACAAGAAAAAGTATAGTGGAAACCACCCCCATAATTCAATTATCTCCACCTGGTCCCTCCCACAACATGTGGGGATTATGGGAACTACAATTCAAGATGAGGTTTTGGTGGGGACACAGTCAAAACCATATCATTCCACCCTTGGCCCCTCCCAAGTCTTATGTTCTCACAATTCAAAACACAATCATACTCTTCCAACAGTCGCCCAAATTCTTAACTCACTCCAGCATTAACTCAAAACTGCAAGGATAAAGTCTCATCTGTGACAAGGCAAGTCCTTCTGCCTATGAACCTGTAAAATCAATAGCAAGTAAGTTACTTTCTAGATACAATGGTGTACAGGAATTGAGTAAATACACCTGTTCCAAATAGGAGAAATTGGCCAAAACAAAGGGACTGCAGGCCCCATGCAAGTCCGAAATCCAACAGGGCAGTCATTAAACCTTAAAGTACCAAAATGATCTCTTTTGACTCCTTGTCTCACACCCAGGGCATGCTGATGCAAGAGGTGGGATCCCATGGCCTTGGGCAGCCCTGCCCCTGTGGCTCAGCAGGGTACAAGGTACAGTCCCCCTCTTGGTTGCTTTCACATGCTGGTGTTGAGTGTCTGTGACTTTTCCAGGCACACAGTGCAAGCTGTCAGTGGATCTACCATTCTGTGGTCTGCAGGACGGTGGCCCTCTTCTCACAGCTCCACTAGGCAGTGCCCCAGTGGGGACTCTGTGTGGGGACTCCAACCCCACATTTCCCTTCTGCACTGCCCTAGCAGAGATTCTTCATGAGGGCTGTGCCCCTGCAGCAAACTTCTGCCTGGGAGATCAGGCATTTCCATACATCATTTGACATCTAGGTGGAAGTTCCCAAACCTCAATTCTTGACTTCTGTGCACCCACAGGCTCAACACCACATGGAAATGACCAAGACTTGGGGCTTGCACCCTCTGAAGCAGTGGCCCCAGACATACCTTGGCCCCTTTTAACGCTGACTGGAGCTGAAGCAGCTGGGATGAAGGGCACAAGGTCTCAAGGCTGTACAGAGCAGGGATGCCCAGGGCCCCACCCAGGAAACCATTTTTTCTTCCTAGGTCTCCAGGCCTGTGATGGGAGGGGTTGCCATGACAGTCTCTGACATGCCCTGGAAACATTTGCCCCATTTTCTTGGTGATTAATATTTGGCTCATTCTTACTGATGCAAATTTCTGCTGCTAGCTTAGATTTCTCCCCAGAAAACAGGGTTTTCTTTTTATCATATCGTCACCCTACATATTTTCCAAACTTTTATGCTCTGCTTCCTTTTGAGCTCTTTTCCACTTAGAAATTTATTCTGCCAGATACCCTAAATTATCTTTCTCAAGGTCAAAGTTCCACAGATCTCTAGGGCAGGGGCAAAATGCTGCCAGTCTCTTTGCATAGCAAGTGTGATCTTTACTCCAGTTCCCAACAAGTTTCCCATCTCCATCTGACACTACCTCAGACTGGACTTCATTGTTCATATCACTATCAGCATTGTGGTCAATGCTATTCAACAAGTCTCTATGAAGTTCCAAACTTTCTCATCTTTTCCTGACTTCTTCTGAGCCCTCCAAACTGTTCCAACCTCTTCCTGTTACCCAGTTCCAAAGTTGCTTCCACATTTTCCAGTATCTTTGCAGCAGCACCCCACTACCCAGTACCAATTTACTGTATTAGTCCATTCTCACACTGCTATGAAGAAATACCCAAGACTGAATAATTTATCAAGAAAATAGGTTGGTTTGTTTTTCTGTTTGTTTGTTTTGAAATGAATTCTAGCTCTGTTCACCCAGGCTAGAGTGCAGTGGCGTGATCAGGGCTCACTGAAACTTCCACCTCCCAGGTTTAAGTGATTCTCCAGCCTCAGCCTCCCAAGTAGCTAGGATTACAGGCAACTGCCACCATGCCCAGCTAATTTGTGTATTTTTAGTAGAGACTGGGTTCTGCCATGTTTTCCAGGCTGGTCTTGAACTCCTGACCTCAGGTGATCCTCTTGCCTCAGCCTCCCAAAGTGCTGGTATTACAGGTGTGAGCCACTGTGCCCAGCCAGAGAAGAGGTTTAATTGACCCACAGTTTCACATGGCTGGGGAGCCCTCAGAGTACTTACAATCATGGCTGAAGACACCTCTTCACAGGGCAGCAAGAGAGAGAAAGAACGCCCAGTAATGAGGGAAGCTTCTTATAAAACCATCAGATCTGGTGAGAACTAACTCACTATCATGAGAATAGGATGGGGAATTTGCCCTATGATTCAATTATCTCCACATGGTCCCTCCCATGACACATGGACATTATGGGAACTAAAATTCAAAATGAGATTTCAAAGGGACACAGCAAAATTATATCATCATTTGAGCCAGGACCTATTCTTTTCACTCCTCCTGCATCTCAGTATTATGGAAACTTAACACTGGCCATTCTTTCCTAGGCAGTTAACATAAAAAAGACTAACTTCTCATTTCCCTAGATCCCAGTGTAAGGCTATAATTTCTCCCTGGAAGGGAAGACCACTGATGCTTTTTATTCTACAAGCCACATGCTACAGTAGCTCTATTCTGAGTGGGCATGACGAAAGAATTCTTTGCTACCACCCATCCCCTACTTGTAATGGAAAGCTTTACTCCAATTGTGGCAAGATGAGAATAATGGGATACAATTGCCCTTGTCTCAGTTTGCTCATGGGGTGAATGTTCCATGCACAGAGAGGCAAACCAAGAAGGCCAGGGCTCTTACTACCTCAGGGTCCACTCATTTAATAGATGTGTCATTCCAGGAGAATATCCTCCCCACAATTCCTGTGTTCTGGTGCAGAGGTTCTTCCCAGGGAATGAGACAGACAATAAGAATAAAGAACTCTGTATGCCTGATGAGGGGACAGTCATTATTTGAAACAGTACATGAGAAATTCTGTATCTAAGGGCATTGGTGAACACAATGGAGATACTGGGAAAAAAATAAGAGAGGATTATGGTAACTCCATAATACTGATAGCAATAAGTAAAAAGGCAGAGTGACCAGAATTTTCACAGAAAATTAGGAAAATAAACAAGTAAGAAAAGTCCTTCTGAGATCAGGCTATCAACTCTGAAGTTATGAAAGTTAGTGAATATGTGCTTGGCTGCATCCACTCAGGAGCATTCAGAGCTAGATATGGGGCAATTGGATATGGAAAATTATTCCCCACACTGCACTTAGATCTATCAACAAATGGCAGAAACCTAACCAGCAATATGGGCTTAATCACAACTTTGGATGAAACACAGGCTGAACAATAAGTTTCTCTGACCGTAGGATGACCCTAGGAAAAAAATAAATTTGCAATTATCTCTGGCAATATGGAAGACCTAAATAAATGCCAAAGTTTGCACCCTCCCAAGACTGATCAAAGAGGGATATCCAACCTTCTAGTCACTGTCTGACCATGAAGCAAAAACACAAACTCCTTAAACCGTACGAGCAAAATTCAAAGCCAAATACCAATCCAATGGTAAAGGGTAAAAACATAATGGGCCAAAATGGCTTAAACATAAATTTTAACAAACAAGTGACTCATACTGATCTAGGAACCATCTCTGGTTGTCCAGGCTAGAAGATAATATCAAGAAAGAAAAATCTGAGCAAGGCTATCAGAGGCTGCACAGTACTGAGGGAGTATATTCCACAAACTAGGTCAGCCAAATCTTATGCAGACATGCACATGACCAAGTAAATAATATATGAAATGTCTAATTTTCAACAAATAATTATGAGATATACAAAGAAATAACAAAGTGAACCACACACAGGGGGAAAATGCAGGGAATAGAAACTACATTAGTGGGGTACAAGAGCTTGGACTTAGGAAACAAAGACTTCAAAACAGCTATTATAAATACGCTCAAAGACCTAAAGAAATTCACATCTAAAAATTAAAGAAAGGCATAATGGTACTGTCTTATCCCAAGAAAATAATGAGATAAACTACAATAAATAATTAAATGGAAATTCTGTAGTTAAAAAGTACAACAAAAAAATTGACTAGAAAGGCTCAGAAGTAGGTTTTAGCTGACAGAAGAAAGAATCAATGAACTTAAAGATAAATCACTAGAGATTATGCAATCTAAATAAAGAGCAAACAAAATGAAGAAAACTGAAGAAATCCTCAGAGAAATATGGGATACCATTATTAAGTACACCAACACCTGCATGATGTGAGTACCAGAATAATAAGAGAAAGAAAAAGGGGTTCAAAAAATTTATGTCTGAAATTTCCCAAATTTGGTGTAAATCATAATTCAACATATACAAACTAAACAAAATTCAGTATAGAATAAATGCAGAAAATTTTACCCCCTGACATAACATAGTGAAAATGTTGAAAACTTTAAAAGTAATGAGAAAAATTACTCATAGTCACCATATACAAGAAAACCCCAATAAAATTAATAGCTGTATTAATCTGTTCAAGCTGCTACAACAAAGTGTAGACATACTTTGATTTATTGTGCTTTCTGTGCTTTCCTTTATTTTACTTCACAGATAATTTTTTTTAATTTTATTTATTTATTTATTTATTTTTACAAATTGGGCAACCCTGCAACAAGCAAATCTATTGGCACCATTTTTCGACAGTATGTTTTCACTTTGTATCTTTGTGCCACATTTTGTTAATACTTGCAATCTTTCAAACTTTATTATTATGATGTCTGCTATGGTAATCTGTGATGAGTGATCTTCAATGTTACTATTGTAATTGTTTTGGAGCACCACAAACTGTGCTCATACAGAATGGCAGACTTAATCTACAACTGTCTGCATTCTGACTGCTCCACCAACCAGCTGCTTCCTCATTGCTCTATCTCTCCTTGATCTTCCCCACTCTCTGAGACAAAACAATATGAAAACAAGTTCAGTTAATAACAGTACAATGACCTCTAAGTGTTCTAATGAGAGGAAGAGTCATGTGTTTTTCACGTTATATCAAAAGTTAGAAATGATTAAGCTTAGTGAAGAAGGCAGGTTGAAAGCTGAGAAGGGTCTAAAGCTAGCCCTCTTGTGACAAACAGCCAAGTTGTGAATGCAAAGGAAAAGTTCTTTAAGGAAATTTAAAGTGCTACTCTAGTGAACAAGTGCTAAAAAAGTGAAACAGCTTATTGCTAATATGGAGAAAGTTTTAGTGGTCTAGATAAAAGATCAAACCAGACACACTATTCTTAAGCCAATGCCTAATTCAGAGCAAAACCCTAACCCTCTTCAATTCTATGATGGCTGAAAGACGTGCAACAGCTTCAGAATACAAAAACTGCAATTACTTTTGCACCAATCTAATAGTTTGAAGCTAGCAGAAGTTTGTTTATAAGGTTTAAACAAAGAAGCCATCTCCATAATATAAAAGTGCAAGGTATTGCAGCAACTGCTGGTACAGAAGCTGAAGGAAACTATTCAGAAGATTTATCTTCTCTACAGAGAAGTCAATGCCTGGCTCAAAGCTTTAAAGGACAAGCTGTCTTTTATTAGGAGGTAACACAGCTGATGACTTTAAGTTGAAGCCAGTGCTCATTTACCATTTGGAAAATCATAGGGGCCTTAAGAAGTATGCTAAATCTACTCTGTCTGTATTCTATACATGGAACATCAAAGCCTGGATGACATCATATCTGTGAGTAGTATGGTTTACTGAATATTTTAAACCCACTGTTGAGACCTACTGCTTAGAGAAAAAAAGATTCATTTTTAAATGTCACTGTTCGTTGACAATGCACTTTGTCACCCAAGAGCTCTGATGGAAATGTACAAAGAAAATAATGCTATTTTCATGCCTACTAAGACAGCATCCATTCTGCATCCCAGGGATAAAGAAGCAAATTTGAATTTCAAGTCTTATTATTTAAAAACACATTTCTAAGGCTAGAGCCATCATAGTGATTCTTGTGATGGATCCAGGCAAAGTAAAAACCTAAAAACCTGAAAAAGATTGAAAACCTGCAAAGGATTTGCCATTTTAGATGCCATTATAAACATGTGATTCATGGGATGATGTCAAAATATCGATATTAACAGGAGTTTAGAGGAAGTGTATTCTAACCCTCACAGATGACTGTGAGAGGTACAAGACTATAGTGAAGAAAATAACGGCAGATGTGATAGAAATATTTAAAGGACTATAAATAGAAGTGGAGCCTGAAGATGCGTGATTGAATTGCTGAAATATCGTGATAAAATTTGAATGGATGAGGAGTTGCTTCTTATGAATGAGCAAACAAAGTGTTTTTTTTTTTGAGATGGAATCTACTTCTGTTGAAGGTGTTGTGAACATTTTTGAAGTGGCAGCAAAAGTTTTAGAATATTACATAAACTTAGCTGATAAAGCAGCAGCAGGATTTGAGAGGGCTGACTTCAGTTTTGAAAGATGTTCTACTATGAGTAAAATGCTGTCTAACAGCATTGCATGCCATAAAGAAATCTCATGCAAAAGAAAGAGCTAGTCCATGCAGCAAACTTCACTGTTGTCTTATTTTTAAAAATGTCCACAGCCACCCAAATCTTCAGCAAACACCAACCTGATCAGTTAGCAGCCATCAAGATCAAAGAAAGACCCTCAACTAGAAAAAATATTATAACTTACTAAAGGCTCAGGTAATTATTAGCACTTTTTAGTAATAAAGTATTTTTAATTAAGGTATATACAGTTTTTAGACAAATGCTATTTCACACTTAGTAGTCTACAGTATAGAGCAAATATATCTTTTATATGCACTGAGAGACCAAAAAATTGTTTGATTGCAATATTTACTTTATTGTAGTGGTCTGGAACCAAAGCCACAATATTTCTGTGGTATGTCTGTATCATAGACTGGGTGGCTTAAACAACAGAAATTTACTTTCTCACAGTTCTGAAGGAGAGAAGTTTATAATCAAGGTGTAATCAAATTTGGTTTCTGGTAAGGGCTCTATTCCTAATGACAGACAGACAGCTACCTTTTTTCTATGTCTTCACAAAGCTGTTCCTCAGAATGTACACACACATAGAAACAGAGAGAGAAAAAAATGGGAGAGAGAGAAAGCTCTCTGGTGTTTATCACTATAAGGACACAAATCCTACAAGTTCAGGGGCTTACTCCTATGACCTTACTTAAACTTAATTGAACGTTAATAGACCCTATCATATGCACTGGGGATTAGGACTCAATAGGCTCTATCATATACCATGGGGATTAGGACTTCCATACACAAAGTATGGGGGACACAGTTCAGGTCATAAAATAGCTGATTTACCTTCAGAAACAATGGAGGTGAGAAGGCAATGTGATAACATATTCAAAGTGCTATAAGTCAAAATATGCAAGAATCATATACACAACAAAGCTATCTTTCAAAAACAAAGGTGAAGTAGACATTACGAGATAAACAAAAGAGGAGAGAATCTATTGCCAGAGGATCCGCCTTGAAAGAAATTCTAAAGAAAATTCTTCTTGCTGAAAGTAAGTGACAACACATTCATTTAATCCCTAAGAAAAAACAGAGTGCCAATAAAGAAAATTAGGTAGACATTATAAAAGACAATATAGTTAAATTTTCTTCTTTTTTCTTTTCCTAACTGATTTTAAAAACAATAGCTTAAAATATATATTTAAATGTGTATGTGTATATATGTATTGTTGGAATCATAGCATATAGAAATGTAATATATTTGATAGTAAGAGCAGGAGACAATTGTGAACAAACCTTTATTGAAGTAAATAATAACAGATGGTAATGTGAATTCAAATGAAAAAATAAAAAGTCAGAGATTATAAATAGAATATTAGTTTAATCAACTGCAAATATTTATGTGCCCCCTTTTATTTTCTCAACTTCTTTAAAATATGTAACATTTTTAAAAATGGTAATTACAACAATATATCACTGGTTTTGTGACTGACAGGCACAGTATATATATATTTTTCTATTTTTTATATAAATAAAATAGATTTTATTTTACATTTAGATATATGGATCTAATATTTTATTTTAGATACATTTTATATATATAATAGAAAAAAACGGGAGAGAAGGGAAGGAAATACAGCTATATAGGAGTAAAGTTCTTATAATTCACTAGAATTGAGTTAGTATAAATATGAAGTAAACATGAAGCAGTAAAAATATAAAATTAAGATGGTATAAACATAAAGTTAAAATGTATTTTATAAAACTAGAACTGAGAAAAAATACAAAAATATAATTAAAAATTATTAAAGTATTTAAAATTAATTTAATATTACACTAGATAATATTCACTGCACACAAAAGAAGGCAGGAAAAACAAAACACAAGTACAAAAAATAAATGAGACATAGAGCCAGGTGCGGTGGCTCACACTTATAATCCCACCAATTTGAGAGGCAGAGGCGGGTGGATTGCCTGGGGTCTGTAGTTCGAGACCAGCCTGGCCAACATGGTGAAACCCCGTCTGTACTGAAAATACAATAATTAGCCAGGCGTGGTGGCTTGTCTATGTAATCCCAGCTATGCGGGAGGCTGAGGCAGGAGAATAGCTTGAACCCAGGAGGCAGAGGTTGCAGTGAGCTGAGATTGTGCCACTGCATTCCAGCCTGGGTGACAGAGCGAGACTCTGTCTCAAAAAAAAATAAATAAATACAATAAAAATAAATAAAAAACAAATGAGATATAGAGAAAACCAAGAGCAAAATTAAAAATGTACATTCAGCTATATCAATATCATTAAATTTGACTGAAATAAATAATTACTTAGAAAGATTATCAAATTTGATTTTTAAAATGATTCAACTACGTGCACATTTTATATATAATAATATAAATAGTTTGAAAGTAAATGATAACAAAAATATACAATGCAAATGGCACCCATAAGGGAGTTGAAGTATAGTAATAAAGAGTTTTCCACAGTAACAAAAAAGTGCTACTGTAGAAAAAAGAAGTATTTAATGATTATAAATGACTCAAATATTTAGAAAAATCTCACATATTTCTTGTTTTATACTGTAAGTATATATTAAATATACACATACACAATAAGTGTATTTTGTACTGTAAGTATATATACACACATATATATTACTGAGTATTATATATACATTTTTATATATAAGAAATATATATATTGTTTTATAATATAAGTGTGTGAGTGTATATATATATAAACATATATATATATATCTGAGTACTTCTTTAGCTGCATTGCATATATTTAGGTATGCTGTGTTTTTATTTTAATTCACATCAAAATATGCACGTAACACAGAGACTCAAAATGTATAAAGTAAAAACTAATAATTGAAAGGGGAAATGGAAAATTAAACAATTATTATTATAAACTTCAATACCCTACATTCAATGATGAAAAAGCAAATAAGCAGAAGATCAAGAAGGAAATAGAAGACTTGAAAAATACATCAACTAGAAATAAGGAGTATCTATAGAAGAACACTTTACTTAACAGTAGTAGTAGACTATACATTCTTCTCAGGTGCACATAGAACGTTCCACAGGAGAGACCATGTGGTAGGCATCAGACAAGCTTCAATAAACTTAAGATTTGAAATCATACAAAATATGTTTTCAAAAGCAACAGAAAGTCTGGGAATGGTGGCTCATGCCTGTAATCCCAGCACTTTGGGAGGCCAAGGCGGGTGGATCACCAGAGATCAGGATTTCAAGACCAGCCTGGTCAACATGGTGAAACCCTGTCTCTACTAAAAGTACAAAAATTAGCTGGGTGTGGTGCCGGGTGCCTGTAATCCCAGCTAGTCAGGAGGCTGAGGCAGGGAGAATTGCTTGAACCCGGGAGACGGAGGTTGCAGTGAGCTGAGATAGCACCATTGCACTCCAGCCTGGGCTACAGAGTGAGACTCCATCTCAAAAAAAAAAAAAATGGAATTAAACTAGAATTTAATAACATAAGGCAATTTAGGGCATTTCTAATTATAATCATACATTTCATAATAACATTTCATTTAATGATGGACTGCAAATACCAAAGTGTTCCCATAAGGTTGTAATACTGTATTTTTACTGTACCTTTTCTATGTTTAGATATGCTCAGATGCAGAAATACTTGTCATTATGTTACAGTTGCCTACAGTGTTCAGTGGAGTCACATGCTGTACACACTTGTAGCCTAGGGGCAATAGGCCACACTGTATAGCCTAGGAGTGTAGCATGCTATACCGTCTAGGTTCATGTAAGTGTAAACTATGATGCTCACACAGCAAAACTGTCTAACAACAAATTTCTCAGAACATATTCCCATCATGAATGTTTGCATGACTACATGAAAATTAACCAGCACGAACTCCTGAATAACCGAGTTTTAAAAAACTTCACATCAAAAATTAGAAAATTAGAAAAAATACATTATACAAATGAATTAGAAAATATTTTAAGATAAATGAAAATAAAATCAGAACATCACAGAATAATATACAATGTAGCTAGAGAAGTGCTCTGAAGGATATTTATAGCTATAAAAACCTACACTAAAAAACAAAAAATCTCAAATCAATAACTAAAACTGCAACCTTATGAAATTAGAAAACTAAGTGAAAATTTAACTCTTAATTTTCATTTAGGAGGGAGTATTAAAAACTAGTAAAAATAAATAAAATAGAGAATATAAAAACAATAAATACATAAAATTAATGTAACAAAAAATTGGCACTTTAATATGTCATCAAAATTGGCCAACATTTATGTACATTGACCAAAAATACTATAAAGAGAGGGAAGACTCGATTTACAAAAAAAAAAAAAAAAAAAGAAGGCATGACAATTACTATGGAACTTAGAGAGGGTTAAAGAAAAGATTATAAGGATATACTATGAGCATCTTCTGGCTAAAAATGTATATTAACTAAATGAACTCTAGACAAGTCACTAGAAAGCCATAATCTACCAAATGTGACTAAAGAGAAAGAATGATATGGTTTGGCTCAGTGTCCCCACTCAAATCTCACCTGGAATTGTAATAATCCCCACGTGTCATGGGAAGGACTCAGTGGGTGATAATTCAATCATGGGGGCAGGTTTTTCCCATGCTGTTCTCATGTTAGTGAATAAGTCTCACAAGATCTGATGGTTTTATAAAGTGACATTCCCCAACACATGCCCTCTCATCTGCCACCATGTAAGATATCGCTTTGCTCTTCCTTTGTCTTCTGGCATGACTGTGAGGCATTCCTAGCCATGAAGAATTGTGAGTCCATTAAACCTCTTTCCTTTATAAATTACCCAGTCTTGGGTATGTCTTTATTAGCAGCATGATAATAGACTAATACAGTAAATTGGTACCATGAGTGGGGTGCTGCTATAAGGATACCCAAACTACTGGAAATAACATCAGAATGGGTGTATAACAAGTGAAAAGTTTTAATTAGTAACGAATAACTTCTCCCAAAAGCAGGTGTATGGCTTCGCTAGTGCATCCTACTAATATTTAAAGAAGAGTTAATAACAACTCTTCTCAAAATTGTCAAAAAATTTAAGAGGAAGGAATATTTCCTAACTTATACTATCAGGCCAAAACTGGTACTAAAACTAAGAAAATACAAGAAAAGAAAACTATAGATCAAATGTCCAGTACATTTAGATATAAAAATCCTCAACAAACCACATGAAATCAATTCCAGCAACATTTAAATGAGATTATACAATATGACCAAATGGGATATATCTGAAAAATGAAAGGTTGGCTTAACATAAGAAAACCAGTCAATGTAACACATCATATTAATAGAATAAAAAATTAAAAACATAATTATTTCTATAGGTGCAGAAAATTCAATTGGCAAAATCCAACACCTTTTCATTATAAAATAGGACCAGAAAATAACTTCTCTGACCTGATTAAGTGTATCTATGAAAATCCCACACTTGATATCATATGCCATGGTGAAAAACTAAGAATTTTCTTCTAAAATCAGAAGCAAGTTAAGGATATCCACTCTTACTACTTCTGCATAAGGGAGGTACAGCCACGGCAATTTTTCGAGAGAAATAAACAAGAGTCATAGAAATTACTTATTGCTAGATGCAGATGACATGATCTCATATATAGAAAATCCTAAGGAATTCAATTAAAAATATTAGAACTAATAACCAAATTCATCGAAGTTCCAGGCTATATGACGGAAATTTAAAAATAAAAAAAAATTTCTACACAGAAGAAATGAAAAAAGTACAAAATGGAGGAAGCAATTCTATTTCTAATAGCATCAACAAGAATAAAATACAGGAATAAACTTGACAAACAAATGCAAAATTTGCATACTGATTACCAGAAAACATTGTTGAAAGAAATTAAGAAGATCCAACTAAATGAAAAGGCATCTCATGTGAAAGAATTGGTAATTTAATGTTAAAATGACAATATTACCTCAAATGTTCTATAGAGTCAACAAAATAGTTACAGATATGCCAGTTGTCTTTTTGCAGAAAAAGTCAAATTGATTCTAAAATACATACACAAGTGCAAGAGATGCATAATAGCTAATACACACTCAAAAGAGAAAAACGAATTCAGAGGACTCATATTTTCCAATGTCAAAATGTACTACAAACCTACACTAATTCAGCCCATTTAGCACTGGTGTAAGAATAAACATACATTTCAATGGAATAGAATTGAGAATCCAGAAGTAAATCCTTACATTTAACATTCATTGATTTTCAATGAGGGTGACAAATCAATCCAATTGGGAAAAAATTGTCTCCTCAGCAAATGGTGCTGGGATAACTGGATATCTATAAGCAAAAATGTGATGTTGACTGCTTATTTTATATCATACATAAAAATTACTGAAAATGTATCATAGACCTAAATGTAAGAGCCAAAATTCTAAAACTTTTAAGAACGAATTCATAGTAAGTCGTGATGAAAGCTTACACAAGATTTTCTTAGCTATGACAAGAAAATCCTAAGCAACAAAGGAAAATAGATAAATTGAACTAAATCTAATTTTAAAATTTTTGCGCTGAAAATAACTGCATTGAAAGTGATGAAAGAGAAAAAACACAAAATACTACTATTGCAAATCATACATGTGACTGTCTTGTCTCCAGAGTATATAAAGAATATTTATAGCTAAATAATAAAAAGACAAATAACCAATTAAAACTTGAGCAAAGGATCTGAATAAACATTTATCCAAAGAAGATTTAAATGGCCAATAAGTACAAGAAAAACTGCTCAAGATCATTAGTCATTAAGGAAATGTAAATTAAAACCACAAGAGATATCACTTCAATCCTACTAAAATGACCATAGTATAGTATAATATACTAATTTCTTAGTGAGTTTTTAAATATAAATCATTCTGTAATAGGATTATGCATTCATTGATTAAAGATGGTTTAAATTTCATAAAATAAATATTGTAGAAATAGTACAGGTTTTATACACCATTCCAGTTGGCTAGCAGTATCCCCTTAATTCAGTTTTAGAAAAGTGTTGTTTTTCATTTCTGTTATGCCAGGATTCCACAAATTCCCTGAACTGTAATGTGCACATTGTATCCTATTCCAAATACCTTACATAAATCCTTCCGTTTACTTTTACTCACTGATAGCAACCTCCTCTATCCTCCTCTAAAAGTGATAAGATCTTATATTTTAAAGCAAGTGAATATTTAAAGATTACAAACACAGTTTATCTCATTTCTACTGTATTTTTAACAATGTGAATACCATGCTTCTGGAAGCAACAGGGGCTCAAAAAAATCACAATGTAGACTATAAATCTGTAGAACATATCATGTGGCTATTTCTTTTATTAATATCTTTTGACAGGGAAACTGCCTCTCTTCTCAGTTTAAACTATAGAGCCAGGCACTGTTCTAACTCTTTAAAGATTATCTTTACCTACTTTTTTCCCCCCTCAATGCTTTCCTTTCATCATCCTTTTCCACTAAACTATAAAGTTTCTGCTGACTCCTCTGTCACTCAGATAGTGTTTATTTTGGGACTTTAATATCCCTTTCTCAATCTAAAAATGTTTCAGTCTCTTCCAACTCTTCCAGGGTTATAATTTCAAATCTACAGATCAGGGAAATGCTGATTTTCTTCTGAGTTGTGTTAATCTTTATATTTTTAAGTTCAGCAAGCTTTGTCTGTTACTAAATTTCCTATCTTTCTTCATAGAAACCATAATCAACAACTAGCATCATATAGCTAAAGCTGAAACCTCCTGAGCACTGTGAGTAATAATTGCCACATATAGTCACCATTAATTCTTCCATTTTTATATGCAGATGCCACTTCTTCCATCAAGAGCTCTTGTCTATTTCTTCCCCATAGATTCTGGGCTGGCCTTGGGATTTATTTTTATTAATAGAATTTTTATCAATTGACACTATTGCAGTGTCAATTTCAGTATTGTCCTTGAGAAGTCTTGCAGCTTTACATTTCAATTTCTTGGAACCCTGAGGTAACATGTAAAAAGGTATAGCTTCTGTGCTATAGAAACTAAGCAAAGAAAAGCATGAGTTCCTTGGCCAGCTCATAGCTGGGCCAAGCATAGCAGCGGAGGCACCTGTTATGTGAGCAAAGACCTGTTAGCTATCTCAGTTCCAGTCAAGACCCCAACCAAATATGCTGCATGAATATCCCAGCCAATCATGTGGAACAAAAATTAGCCCTGCCCACATTGCAGATTCATGGGCAAATAAGTGGTTGTTATTTTTGACACTAAGTTTCAGAGTATTTTGTTAAATAGCAATAGATAAGCAAAACAGGCACAAAGAAAGAACTCACAAAAGAAGATAATTTAGAATGTCTACCATAAGAACTACCATAATTAAGATTTTAGAAACTTAGAAAAGAAACTTTACATTGACCCATTGGCTTTTAAAATAAGATTATATACATATAAAAATACACTATAGAAAATCAGTGAAATTGGAACATAATGCACAGAAAGATCATGCTGATGTTTTCCCTTAAAAATTTGAATCATTACAGTCAATACAAAAGTGAAGTTAAATTAAAAAAAAACAGTATATATGACAGAGTGGTTGATTATCTATTGATCACAATGTCACAACAAACTTTTTCAATCTAGCAAAGAATAACTGGAGAATGAAAATGTATAATAAATTTATCTATAGGTTAACTTTGCTAATTACCAGGATGTAAAGAAATGAGAGCTGAAGCAAATGGAAACCTCTCATTTATTATTTTTCTAGAAATGGCAAGATAGCATTTGATTTTTTCTTCTCAATTAGAAGCTTTTGTTCATCTTAGTAATTTTCAACAATAAAAAATAACATTCTTGATGATAAAATTAGTTATCAATTGCTGCATAAAAAATTGCCCCAACACTTTGTAGCATAAATCAACAAACATTTATTATTTCATGGTTTCTGTGGGTCAGAAAACTCAGCTTGGCTTAGCTGGATGCCTCTGCTTCAGTGACTCTCCTGAAGTTGTGGTCGAGGTATCAGCCAGGGCTCATTCTCATATGAACACTCTATGGAAGTAGGATCTGCTTCTAAACTCATTCACATAGATGTTGACGGGATTTTAAGCCTCGTGAGCTATCAGACTGAGGGCCTCAACTCAGTGGTTATTTGGTCAAAGAGTTTGTTTAGTTCCATGTCCTGTAAGGCTTTACAGGGCAGCTACCTTCCTTCAGAGTTAGTGAGTAAAAGCATCAGTGTGCATGCAAAATGGAGGTCACAATCTCTTTGTAACCTTTGCCAAAAAGTTACCTTCCATTACTTCAGCCACATCATATTTGTTAGAAACAAGTCAGTAAGCCTAGCCCACGTTTAACGGAAGGGAATTAGAAAAGATCATGAATACCAGCAGGTGAGGATCATTGAGGCCATATTAGTACTGTCTAACACAAGGGCTTCCATACACACGCACAAGTCTCCTAATCATGTATCACCAAAAAGCATGAAATGCTAAGTTCAATTTAGCAAACAAATTAAAATGAGTTATTATATAAAATTTAGTTTATATTTTAATAATAATAGGATGTTATCTGTTGAGAATGTTAGGTTTTATCTTTTATAATTGATCCAAGTAAAGAATATTATTTACTTTTATATAGAGATTTATAAAAATTGTATTAAGGTACTTGATTTTCAGTATATACCATATAAAGTTGTCTCAGTTTAAGAAATTAAAATCACAAAAATTCAGACAAAAAGAAGAAAATAGTCATGTTTGGAGAAGACCCAAACTTTAATATTTATTATTTTTAATACGACAGATGTAGATAGTTGGAAAATAACAACTTCCATGTTTTATTTTGGAAGTTGTTGTTTCCCCACCGTCTACACATTTTGGTGCATTTTTACACATTTGGTTGTGAAGAACAGAGACACACTTAAATTATTTCAGGTAATAAAGAAATTGATTTTCAAAAATATGTAAACCAGAAAACAATTAATAAAATGACAGGAGTAAGTCTCTGCTTATCAATAACAACATTAAATGTAAATGAATTAAACTCTCCAATCAAAAGACGTAGAGTGGCTGAAAGGTTGGAGAAAAACAAGATTCAATGATTTGTTGCCTACAAGAAATACAGAACCTATAAAAATACACATAGGCAGAAAATAAAGGGATGGAAAAAGATATTTCATGCCAATGAAAACCAAACAAAGTAGGAGTAGCTATACTTAGACAAAATAGATTTCAAGATGAAAAGTGTAAAAAAAGACAAAGGCCATTACATAATGATAAAAGGGCCAATTCAGCAAGAGGATATAATGATTGTAATTATATATGTACCATACATTGTAGCTCCTAGATATATAAAGCAAATATTATTAGGGCTAAAGCAAGAGACAGATGCAAATACAATAATAGTTGGAGACATCAACACCCCATTTTCATCATTGGACAGATCTCCTAGATAGAAAATCAACAAAGAAACATGAAAGTTAATCTGTGCTATAAAAAATTGGTTCTAATAGAGGTTCACAGAATATTTCACTCAACATCTGCAGAGTACCCATTCTTCTCCTCAGCATATGGAACATTCTAAAGGATAGATCACATGTTAGGTCACAAAACAGGTCTTAAAACATTAACAATAATTGAAATAATATCAAGCATCTTCTCTAACCACAAAGGAATAAAACTAGAAATTAATAACAGGAAGAATTTTGGAAACTATACAAGCACGTGGAAATTAAACAATAGACTCCTGAATGATTAGTGAGTGGGTCAATAAGAAATTAAGAAGAAAATGGAAAAATTTTTGAAATAATAATGGAAAGACAAACTATCAAACCTACATGCTATACAGTGAAAGCAATACTAAGAGAAACATTTATGCCTACACCGAAAAAGTAGTCCCTACATCAAAAAAGAACAACTTCAAATAAGTTATTTAATAATGCATCTTAAAGAACTAGAAAAGCAGGAGCACACTGAACCCAAAATAGTAGACAATAATAGATATTAGAGTAGAAATAAATGAATTTGAAATGAAGAAAACAACACCAAAGATTAATGAAACAAAAAGTTGACTTTTTGAAAAGATAAACAAAATTTACTAATTTTTAGTCAGACTAACAAAGAAAAAAAGACAGAAGCTCCAACTAAATAAAACCAGAATTGAAAAAAGGTTACATAACAACTGATACCACAGAAATTCAAAAGATCATTAGTGGTTACCATCAGCAACTATGTGCCAAGAAACTGAAAAATATAGAAGAAATGGATAAATTCCTAGACACATACAACCTACCAATATTGAATCATGAAGAAATCCAAAACATGAACAAACCAATAAGTAATGAAATTGAATCCTTAGTAAAAAGTCTCCTAGTAAAGAAAAGCCTGGGACCCAATGACTTCACTACTGAGTTGTATCAAACATTTAAAGAACTGATACTAATTCTACTCAAACTGTTCTAAAAAAATAGAGGAAGAGGGAAAACTTCCAAACTCTCCAAGGCCAGCATTACTCTGATACCAAAACCAGACAAAAACACATTAAAAAGTAAACCTACAGGCTAGTATCTCTGAGAAATATTGATGCAAAAAATCTCAACAAAATACTAGCAAATCAAATTCAACAATACATTTAAAAGATCAGTCATCATGACCAAGAGGGATTTCTCACAGGGAGGCAAGGATGGTCTGACACACACAAATCAATAAATGTGATATGTCATACCAACAGAATAAAAACCACATAATCATTTCAATTGATGTTAAAAAGCATTTGATACAATTCAACATTCCTTCACAATAAACATTCTCAAAAAACTGGGTATAGAAGGAACATACCTCAACATAATAAAAGCCATATATGACAGAGCCACAGCTAGTGTCATAGTGGGAAGAAAACTGAAAGCTTTTCCTGTTTGATCTGGAACATGGTAAAGATGCCCACTTTCACCACTGATACCCAACATAGTATTGGATGTCCTAGCTACAACAGTCAGACAAGAGAAAGAAATAAAGGGCATCCAAATTGGAAGTGAAGTCAAATTTTGCTTGTTTGAACGTTGTATTATCTTATATTTGGAAAAACCTAAAGACTCCACCAAAAACCTACTAGTACTAATAAATTCAGTAAGTTTTAAGGATACAAAATCAACATACAAAAATCATTAGCATTTCTATATGTCAACAGTGAATGATCTGAAATAGAAATTTAAAAAGTTATCCAATTTGCAATAGCAACAAATAAAATTAAATACCTAGGATTTAATTTAACCAAAGAAGTGGAAGATCTCTATAATGACAACTACAAAAAACTGATGAAAGAAATTAAAGAGGACATACACAAAAAATGGAAAGGTATTTTGTGTTCACAGATTAGAGGAATCAATTTTGTTAAAATGTTCATACTACCCAAAGCAATCTACAGATTCAATTTAATCTCTATCAAAATACCAATGACATTCTTCACAGAAATAGAAAAAACAACCATAAAATTCATATGGAACTACAAAGGACTCAGAATAGCCAAAGCTATCCTGAACAAAGCGAACAAAATTGGAGTAATCACATTACCTGATTTCAAATTGTACTTCAGAGCTATAATAAACAAAACAGCATGGTACTGGCATATAAACAGACACATAGACAAATGGAACAGAATAGAGGACCAGGAACCAAATCCACATACCTGCAGTGAACTCATTTTCAACAAAAGTGCCAAGCATATACACTGGGGAAAAGACAGTCTCTTCAATAAATGCTGCCAGGAAAACTGGATATCCATATGCAGAAGAATGAAACTGGATTCCTATCTCTCACCTTATACAAAAGTCAAATCAAAACGAATTGAATAATTAAATCTAAGTCTCAAACTATGAAATTACTACAATAAAACATTGGGAAAACTCTCCAGGACATTAGTCTGGGCAAAAATTTATTGAGTAATGCTCCACAAACATAGGCAATCAAAGCAAAAATGGACAAATAAGATGACATCAGGTTAAAAGGCTTCGGCACAGCAAAGGAAACAACCAAGAAAGTGAAGAGATAACCCACACAGTGTGAGAAAATATTTGCAAACTGCCCATCTGACAAGGAGCTAATAACCAGAATATACAACGAATTCAAACAACTCTATAGGAAAAAATATAATAATCCAATTAAAAAATGGGCAAAAGGTCTGAATAGACATTTCTCAAAAGAGGACATACAAATAGTAAATAGGCATATGAAAAGGTGCTCAACATCATTATCATTAGAGAAATGCAAATTAAAACTACAGTGAGATATCATCTTTCTTCAGTTAAAATCGCTTTTATGTAAAAGGCAATAACAAATGCTTGTGAGGCTATGGAGAAAAGGGAACACTTGTACACTGCTGGTGGGGATATAAATAATAGAGCCACTATGAGGAACAGTTCAGAGGGTCCTCAAAAACTAGAAATAGAGCTACCATACTATCCAGCAATCCCACTTCCGCATACATGCTGGAAAGAAAGGAAATTAGGATATCAAAGAGATATCCGCAGTCCTATGTTTGTTGCAGCACTGTTCACAATAGTCAGGATTTGGAAGCAACCTACATGTCTATCAACAGATAAATGAATAAAGAGAATGTAGTACATATGCACAATGGAGTACTATTCATTCCTAAAAAATGAGATCCTGTTATTTGCAACATGGATAGAACTGGAGATCATTACGTTAAGTGAAGCAAGCCAGGCACAGAAAGACAAACATCACATGTTCTCACTTTTTTGTGGAATCTAAAAATCAAAACAATTGAACTCATGGACATAAAAAATAGAAGGGTGGTTACTAGAGACTGGCAAAGGTATTTGTGGGGCAGGGTGGAGGTGGGGATGGTTAATGGGTACAAAAATAATAGAAAGAATTAATAAGACCTAGTATTTGATAGTACAAATTAGTAAGCCCTAGTATTTGATGGTACAACAAAAATAATAGAATTAATAACACATAGTATTTGGTAGTATAGTATGGGGAATATAATCAGTAATAATTTAATAGTGCACTTTAAAATGTCTAAAAGTATATAATTGGATTGTTGTAACTCAAAGGATAAATGCTTGAGTGGATAGATACCCAATTTTCCATGCTGTAGTTAGTACACATTGCATGCCTGTACCAAAATGTCTCATGTACTCCATAAATATATACACCTACTATGTACCCAACAAAAATTTAAACATTAACAAAATTTGTAATATGTTCATATGATGTCTATATGTAGGAATGAGGAAAGTGAGAATTTGATGCACAACTATGAGGAAAAAAACACGCTAGATCTCATAAACAAATGATTTGTCTTTTAAAACTGAAAGGATTTATTATAGTTCCAGAAACTTTAACAGTAAGAATTTTTAGACCAGCCCCCTAATGCTCTGCCCATTATAATTTGACTATAAGTCTCTTCCATTCTCCAGTTCTTTGAATACAATTTTTTACTTTATAACTTCTCTCTAAACCATAATTTTGCCTAATTCTCATCCTGACTTGTTCTCCTACTAAATTCCCAAATGAGGGAGAATATGACTGGCATGTCTACCTTTTCAAACAAGAGCAGGCTGCATTTGACTTATGGGCCTATGGATTTGCTGACCTTGGGTAAGGGGCACAATGCATATCCAATGAGCTGTGACTGAGGATGGAAAGTGTGGTGCTGCAAAACACGGGTTCTGATGGAATCTGTTTCCAGGGAGGGCCTGTCAACACTGCAGTAATTCTAATTGGCAAAATAAGTCTAGTTCATTACTAGTTCTTAACCTCTTTTGCTAATTTAGCTCTGGTCCTGAAAATTACACATCAGGAATGGGACCTGAGATCCTCTCTATTTACACATTTCTAGAGGGCCTATTACATTCAATTATATTTTAAAAGGAGGCACACCTCTTATCAGTGGGCATATTAGTTGTCAGCTGTCTTCTAGCAGGTATTAACGGAAATGGCATTTAAGAGAAGCACCAGGGCGGGCACAGAGGCTCACACCTGTAATCCCAGCACTTTGGGAGGCCGAGGCGGGCAGATCACGAGGTCAGGAAATTGAGACCATCCTGGCTAACACAGTGGAACCCGGTCTCTACTAAAAATACAAAATAATTAGCCGGGAGTGGTGGGGGGCGCCTGTAGTCCCAGCTACTCCGAGAGGCTGAGGCAGGAGAATGGTGTGAACCTGGGAGGTGGAGCTTGCAGTGAGCCGAGATCGCGCCACTGCGCTCCAGCCTGGACGACAGAACCAGACTCCGTCTCAAAAAAAAAAAAAAAAAAAAAAAAATCAACAAAGAGGAGGACACGTTACAACATAGACTCAAGAAACAGATAAATGATGGATGGAAAGTTTTGCTAAGCCAAGAGTATGAGACAAGAAATATATGTGTATATAAAGCAAGCAAATTAATAAAGGATAGTAAAGTATCAAAACCCCTATTTGCACGGAAAAATATATAAACAAAGCATGGTAAGATTGCTAAACTATAAATGTTACAAATAAGGAAAATGGAATATTCGCGTGGGTAAAGTAAATTTAGTAGTGTAAAATGAAGAGTTGGGGTTAAATAGTTGGAACCTATATTCTTAAGTACAAAGCAGACGGTTAGTTCTATGGTAAAAACTACACTCTGGGAGATTAGAATGCAAAGTAGGAATCCAACCAAGGTTAGGAATAACTATAATATTGAGCAGATGCTGATGTTGTTATTAAGCTGATTATTTGTAACCCAAAGCTCATTTTATTTCTATATACATAAAATGAGAGCTGTCTGGGCTGGAACTGATCTACCAAAGTCTTAGCACCAATATCAGTTACAAGTCAGAAAGACAGATGGCCTTTGGGGTCATTCTGAAAATACTTGGTGGTCTCAGTCTTTTTCTCCCAGCCCAATTTAGCTCCCATAGCAGTATTTTTTCACTGGGATAAGGGGACAGGTTCATATCAGATTTAGAACAGTTACTTTGGACATGTGCAGAAAGCAAAGGAGACTTTCTGCACTATGCACATCTGAATTACAGGGAAAGCTGCTTAAAAATCCCAGCAAATCTATTTGCATATTGCTGCCCAGTTGTCAGATGGTGTCTCAGTTTATAAATGTAAAAATCAGAGCAGATTTTATTTTCATCAGGATTTTAGACTTACCCATTGAAATACAGCATATCAACAAGCCTCTCTGAGTTTTCGTTATCATATTTGCATAGCACTGGACTCAAATGTATGTAGAGTTGGATACAGGCAGCAGTCTTTCCACCTGAGAAAAGTTTCCAAACATGACATCTTTTCAACAAATTAGTTTAAGTTGGAATACTTGACATAAATATTAACTTAGGAGAGGGATTAAAAACATTTCAAGCAAGCAGTGCAAACTATGAGGAATGTAGGAAATATAATCAAGAAGTATTTTTAAGAGCTTTCCCTCTTACCAACTGACTGCCTAGGATCCATTTACAGATATTCCTCCCTATATCCTTCTTGCCCCACATTTGTTCCCATGGATGCTAGAACATGGCATGATCTCTGCTTGACCAATTGTTGAGGGTGTAGCCCCAGAACCCATGAAACTTACAGTCTAGTTGGGAATATAAGTAGTTGAACAAATATAATCATTTGAGAGTAAAATATCCACCTGTTTGATCAGTGATGCGAGAAAGGTATAATTTACTATGTGAACGCAAAAGAAAGAGGTAATAATTCTAAATAGGGGAATTAGGAAGAATATGTAAAGAACACCACTTAAATAGGACTTGGTAAAGTTAATAGAGTTTTCTAGGTAGACTTATGGGAGGAAAACTATTAGTGAAAATAAAAAGATAACAAAAGATAGTTAAGAAACCTCAGGACCTGTAATGCAGTAACAGTTTGATATTACTGGAACAGAATATGTACATACATACGGAAAAGGATGGAGATATTTAATGGTAAGCCTAGAAAAACAGACTGGATACACCATGGAGGACTTAGATGGCTGTGTTAAGAAATGATAAGAAATAGGATGCCAGGGAAGGTTTTTCACTAAGGAATTAACATGTTTATAACTGTGCTTGAGAAGCACTACATGGAAACTCAGAGAGGTGTGTATGTGTATAGTAACAATATTAAGGTGGTCTGCAGCAATGCTGCTATGCATTTATGCGTGTCCCTTTTTGCATAACTACACATGGATATGGCTACAACATTGAGTTCATGTATATGTCATACGAATGTTATATACGTTTGAATATATTTATTTTACTTACAGATAAAAATAATATTTTAGTCAAAGTTATTTTTTTATTTTTTAGAATGCCATTTACCGTATCATATTGTATTTCTGCTTAAAAGAGATTATTTCAATTCTATTTTATTCGTATACATTGGGGAGTTTAAGTGGTGTAATACCAACCTGGGCCATATTAGAACTACTGGCTTAGAAATGAACATTGGCCAAAAGTCATTAAAAAAATGGATAGCTGTTTAGTGGTGTGTGGGAAATGAGTTGATGGTCACAGTCCAGTTCCTACTTAACAGGTGTCTACCTCATAAAAAACCACCATCATAATCAGCACTTATTGGCACCCTTATTGCCAGCGTGAGGAAAGAAGCCAAGATTTAAGATTGCTTTCTCTTCTCTGTCAGTCAGGACTGTGTGGGGAGCTTCCTTTCAACCTATTACAATGATTTTATGTTTTCTTTTGTACGATATGAATTTCTAAAATAAATTTACTCTCTAAGAAGTCATCTCAAGAGACTGTCATTGACTTCTTAACCAGACAATAATTCATTTTAGAAAGAATATTGTTAGAAGGGAAACATAGAGCCATTATAAAAGGATATAATGAGAACATTTGAAGAGGTACCATTTCAAATCAGCAGTTTTAAAGACAGACATATGTTCCCACCACAGGGACCTGTCCTACTGCTTGAACACCAGAAGCAAATTCATTACTTAAGATCATTAAGGGATCACATTCAAACCTAATCATGATTTACAGGGTGAAATCCACAGCTTTACTCAGTGTTGCTTGATTGTGATATTGGATGCCACTCAATTGACGGAGAATTTGTTTTTCCATGCTTGCTAACATGTCATCTCCCATATTTATGATTTACGCATGAAATCTAGTTACAAAGAAATAAGAAATATTCAAACCAATTCATTTGCAATAGAATTATTTAGAACATTCACTTATTGGAGACAGTGTCAAAATTCATCTTTTGCACAAAGCTGCTTTCATAAAAAAATATTTTATACACATTTTATTGTGTATTTAAACACGATTGCTCCCACTTTGAAAAGATGTTTGCTGCAATGATGAAACAATTGGCTCCTTTTAAATGACTTTGCGTTATGTTTTAATGACAGTTGTTTCGGGGTATCTTTTGAGGAGTGAAAGAATTGTGGACTTGAATGTATTCCAATAATTTTTATATTACACTTTAGTTGGCCTTTCAATTTTCAGGACAGGAAGAGCAAAATTGCCTGTATAACAAGAAAATGCATTCAAATATATTTATATGTATTACACAGAAAATAAAAATCAGAGAAAAATTCATAAACATCTATATGTACAATGGATTTTATTCTATATAGAAAATTTATACAGAAAGACTAAACAAAAGAAGTTCCAGAATGGAATTTAAACTATGCAGCATTTACATTTCTCCCAATAAAATTTGTACAATTGACCCTTGACAGTGAAAATTGTCAACAATGGAAATATTAAGAATATTCAATAAAACAAAAAAGAAACCCATTTTGAATATGAAATATGAAATATACAGTTGCTTGCTAATTGAATTATTTTTTAAAATATAGAAACACACAATTGTTTTTCATAACCCTTTCCTTTTTTGCATTGTTTTGTGTTTGTTCTTCATCCTTGGCTACAAATATAATTTTTTAAGAACATGAGATCGAGTGCCCCCACAAAAATTGGTATTTTAAAATAGCTAAAATGAAATTCCATATATTGGCTTAAATTTTCACACTATTGCTTCTCCATAAAGAGAAAATACACATATTTTAAAAGAAAAGGAATTTCAAAAAATCTCATTTGCAAGTAAGAAAAATTGTCCAAGGTTATAAAACGACTTAAAAGAACAATCAAAATGAGTATCCATGTTTACAGCTTCCATTGTATAATAAAAGAGAAGACCTTTTAAATAATATTTTTGTAGCATGTTCTTTTTTGAATTGATCATAAACCAAATTAGACAATTCTTCAAGTAGTCAATTTTTTAGTCTGTGACTGTTTATCTTTCCAACGCTTCTAAAAAAACAAGATCTCCTTTACTTAAATCTCAGGAAAACTTACTTGGTGTAAGTTTGGAAATCCACGAAAGATTGAATTGTTTCAATATTATAATCTTATTTCGGGGTGCATTAAAACATCTTGTATTTAAACCTTTCTCAACTGAAGTATAAATAACCTGACAACCTGAGCACTGAGACCATCCCTTACACATCTTTGATAAAAAACCTCGCATTGACCACTATTCCTGACTTTTAGTAGAAACTCAATAAAGGTATATTAATTTTATGTTTTAAGACACAAAATATACAGAAATTCTTCCAAAAGTCACAGGTAGTACTCCAAGTGGAAGCAAAGAAAGACACAAATCTCACTTGGCTTTAAAATTATTTCTAGGCACAAGGGTAGAAGCACATTTATTAATTTTTCTCTTAAATAAGTTGAATATATTATTTTAAAATGTTTTTCTTGCTCAAGAAAATAAGAGCATGAAACTTTTATATAACCCCTTATTTTGTGATTGGTCCAGATTATCTTTTCAATTTATCATTTTCTGTTCTTTTTTAAGAGGGAATCTCCTGAAAGTACTATTAACTTTAAAATTTAATTCTGGAAGCATATTCTGAACATTTAGTGTGTTTCTATGCTTAGCAGCTAAAATAGTACTTAAATGATACAAAATACTTCATAAAATGATGTCTTTATTCTGATTATCATAATTCTATTCACTGAACAGTTTCCTGTAACTAAAACTTATACTTCTTATCTGACTTGATATGAGCATGGACAGGAGAGGGTTCATAATGCACAGAGACAAAGCAAAAGCATGCAATTAGTAGAATTAATAAATCTGAAACATTACAAAGATTTCACAAAGCTGGTGAGATCACAGATTCTTAAAAAATATTTCAGCAGCATTTTTTATGCTCTTCAAACTCTTAATTTTGTACAACTATCATCCATATTTTCATCTGAATGCCATTCTATGCATTGCTGATCTCTGAAACTTTCCAAAAGTGGAAAATATTTTAAGGTAGTTTAAAGGCAGCTCAGCAAAGTGATATGCTGTGAAGCACTTCAATTTAACTTCTTCAGGCTTGTTTTGCTCTCTACCCAAGCACACCTCAAATGCTGCACCATTCATTGCTATCACTGCAGTATATCCTATGCCTCCTCAAACACTATCACCACCTGTCAAACCTGGCATGAAATAGTTCGCAAGGTTTTTATGTTGATTTTAAGGAATTAGAAGCATCAAGCATGTTATTTATTCTGGGTTTATCTCCAGTGAGGTATACAGTTACCAGTAGCACTGGATTGCATCCTGAATAATCTTTTCAGGATTGGCTGCTGAACTATTATATTGTTGTCTGGATTAAGGTTGTCTATATATTGCACTAAAATTTGCTTTTATTTAGAAAGACTTCAGGCTGTTAAATAAGTCAGTAGGAAATGTAGCTTCTGACAATTAAAATTTAAAAGGCCACCTCCCCAAATTAATGCAGAATATTTAGCGTCCTAGTATTTCATAAATGTACTTACCAAATTAGATTATAATCTCTATTCCTCTTCCAAGCAAAAAAAAGTATTTCCTGTAGATTTGCTTTCAATGTTAGTGAAAAACAAAGAGAAACAACCACACGAGTATATAAAACTGAGTAGAGTTTTGCAAAATAATTTTGGCAGTGAAAATTTGACAGATGCAGTCTCAGTATCTTGTATATCAAAAAGTAAAGTAAATTTCTGCAGTGGGAGATGGGGTAATACAACAAGGAGGAGTGAAGAGAAAGCAAAGCAGACACCTGAGTGCCAGGAGAAGTCTGAGTCCGTGATGGTTTCTCCCACAAGCTCTGTGCTTTGTCCTTGCTTTCTCTGAGTCTAGTGCTCTTTTCTCTAGGCAGCACTGACCCTTCCTCCCAGCAGAAGGCTGAGTGCTGGCCAAGGTCTCATAGTTGGTCTGTTCATAGATCTAGCAACAGATCCAGGTCTCATTTTTCTCACAGGTGAATTTAGAGATTGAGATTAGATTAATTGTTCTACTATCTCTTTGAGAATTAGAAGAAAGTTTTGGAAACTTCCTCTACAAAAAAACAAAAGCACACAAAACATTTTGGATGAGTTTTAAGCCTATCCATGGCCTCCAAGTTAAGAATCCAGAGATCAGAATACTTTTAAAACATTATATGTGTTTCCCCGGGGAAGGAGCCAAGATGGCCGAATAGGAACAGCTTCCGTCTACAGCTCCCAGCGTGAGCGAGGCAGAAGACAGGTGATTTCTGCATTTCCATCTGAGGTAGCGGGTTCATCTCACTACGGAGTGCCAGACAGTGGGCGCAGGTCAGTGGGTGCGCGCACCGTGCGCGAGCCGAAGCAGGGTGAGGCATTGCCTCACTTGGGAAGCGCAAGGGGTCAGGGAGTTCCCTTTCTGAGTAAAAGAAAGGGGTGACGGACGCACTTGGAAAATCGGGTCACTCCCACCCGAATACTGCGCTTTTCGGACCGGCTTAAAAAGCGGCGCACCACGAGATTATGTCCCGCACCTGGCTCGCAGGGTCCTACGCCCATGGAGTCTCGCTGATTGCTAGCACAGCAGTCTGAGATCAAACTGCAAAGCGGCAACGAGGCTGGGGGAGGGGCACCCGCCATTGCCCAGGCTTGATTAGGTAAACAAAGCAGCCAGGAAGCTCGAAGTGGGTGGAGCCCACCACAGCTCAAGGAGGCCTGCCTGCCTCTGTAGGCTCCACCTCTGGGGGCAGGGCACAGACAAACAAAAAGACAGAAGTAACCTCTGCAGACTTAAATGTCCCTGTCTGACAGCTTTGAAGAGAGCAGTGGTTCTCCCAGAACGCAGCTGGAGATCTGAGTACGGGCAGACTGCCTCCTCAAGTGGGTCCCTGACCCCTGACCCCCAAGCAGCCTAACTGGGAGGCACCCCCCAGCAGAGGCACACTGACACTTCACACTGCAGGGTATTCCAACAGACCTACAGCTGAGGGTCCTGTCTGTTAGAAGGAAAACTAACAAACAGAAAGGACATCCACACCAAAAACCCATCTGTACATCACCATCATCAAAGACCAAAAGTAGATAAAACCACAAAGATGGGGAAAAAACAGAGCAGAAAAACTGGAAACTCTAAAACGCAGAGTGCCTCTCCTCCTCCAAAGGAACGCAGTTCCTCACCAGCAATGGAACAAAGCTGGATGGAGAATGACTTTGATGAGCTGAGAGAAGAAGGCTTCAGATGATCAAATTACTCTGAGCTATGGGAGGACATTCAAACCAAAGGCAAAGAAGTTGAAAACTTTGAAAAAAATTTAGAAGAATGTATAACTAGAATAACCAATACAGAGAAGTGCTTAAAGCAGCTGATGGAGCTGAAAACCAAGGCTCGAGAACTACGTGAAGAATGCAGAAGCCTCAGGAGCCGATGCGATCAACTGGAAGAAAGGGTATCAGCAATGGAAGATGAAATGAATGAAATGAAGTGAGAAGGGAAGTCTAGAGAAAAAAGAATAAAAAGAAATGAGCAAAGCCTCCAAGAAATATGGGACTATGTGAAAAGACCAAATCTACGTCTGATTGGTGTACCTGAAAGTGATGGGGAGAATGGAACCAAGTTGGAAAACACTCTGCAGGATATTATCCAGGAGAACTTCCCCAATCTAGCAAGGCAGGCCAACGTTCAGATTCAGGAAATACAGAGAATGCCACAAAGATACTCCTCGAGAAGAGCAACTCCAAGACACATAATTGTCAGATTCACCAAAGTTGAAATGAAGGAAAAAATGTTAAGGGCAGCCAGAGAGAAAGGTTGGGTTACCCTCAAAGGGAAGCCCATCAGACTAACAGCAGATCTCTCGGCAGAAACCCTACAAGCCAGAAGAGAGTGGGGGCCAACATTCAACATTCTTAAAGAAAAGAATTTTCAACCCAGAATTTCATATCCAGCCAAACTAAGCTTCATAAGTAAAGGAGAAATAAAATACTTTACAGACAAGCAAATGCTGAGAGATTTTGTCACCACCAAGCCTGCCCTAAAAGAGCTCCTGAAGGAAGCGCTAAACATGCAAAGGAACAACTGGTACCAGCCGCTGCAAAATCATTCCAAAATGTAAAGACCATCAAGACTAGGAAGAAACTGCATCAACTAACGAGCAAAATCACCAGCTAACATCATAATGACAGCATCAAATTCACACATAACAATATTAACTTTAAATGTAAATGGACTAAATGCTCCAATTAAAAGACACAGACTGGCAAACTGGATAAAGAGTCAAGACCCATCAGTGTGCTGTATTCAGGAAATCCATCTCACGTGCAGAGACACACATAGGCTCAAAATAAAAGGATGGGGGAAGATCTACCAAGCAAATGGAAAACAAAAAAAGGCAGGGGTTGCAATCCTAGTCTCTGATAAAAGAGACTTTAAACCAACAAAGATCAAAAGAGACACAGAAGGCCATTACATAATGGTAAAGGGATCAATTCAACAAGAAGAGCTAACTATCCTAAATATATATGCACCCAATAGAGGAGCACCCAGACTCATAAAGCAAGTCCTGAGTGACCTACAAAGAGACTTAGACTCCCACACATTAATAATGGGAGACTTTAACACCCCACTGTCAACATTAGACAGATCAACGAGACAGAAAGTCAAAAAGGATACCCAGGAATTGAACTCAGCTCTGCAACAAGCGGACCTAATAGACATCTACAGAACTCTCCACCCCAAATCAACAGAATATACATTTTTGTCAGCACCACACCACACCTATTCCAAAATTGACCACATACTTGGAAGTAAAGCTCTCCTCAGCAAATGTAAAAGAACAGAGATTATAACAAACTGTCTCTCAGACCACAGTGCAATCAAACTAGAACTCAGGATTAAGAATCTCACTCAAAACCGCTCAACTACATGGAAACTGAACAATCTGCTCCTGAATGACTACTGGATACGTAATGAAATGAAGGCAGAAATAAAGATGTTCTTTGAAACCAATGAGAACAAAGACCCAACATACCAGAATCTCTGGGACGCATTCAAAGCAGTATGTAGAGAGAAATTTATAGCACTAAATGCCCACAAGAGAAAGCAGGAAAGATCCAAAATTGACACCCTAACATCACAATTAAAAGAACTAGAAAAGCAAGAGCAAACACATTCAAAAGCTAGCAGAAGGCAAGAAATAACTAAAATCAGAGCAGAACTGCAGGAAATAGAGACACAAAAAACCCTTCAAAAAATTAACGAATCCAGGAGCTGGTTTTTTGAAAGGATCAACAAAATTGATAGACCACTAGCAAGACTAACACAGAAGAAAAGAGAGAAGAATCAAATAGACACAATAAAAAATGATAAAGGGGATATCACCACCGATCCCACAGAAATACAAACTACCATCAGAGAATACTACAAACACCTCTACGCAAATAAACTAGAAAATCTAGAAGAAATGGATAAATTTCTTAACACGTACACTCTCCCAAGACTAAACCAGGAAGAAGTTGAATCTCTGAATAGACCAATAACAGGAGCTGAAATTGTGGCAATAATCAATCGTTTACCAACCAAAAAGAGTCCAGGACCAGATGGATTCACAGCCCAATTCTATGAGAGGTACAAGGAGGAACTGGTACCATTCCTTCTGAAACTATTCCAATCAATAGAAAAAGAGGGAATCCTCCCTAACTCATTTTATGAGGCCAGCATCATTCTGATACCAAAGCCGGGCAGAGACACAACCAAAAAAGAGAATTTTAGACCAATATCCTTGATGAACATTGATGCAAAAATCCTCAATAAAATACTGGCAAAACGAATCCAGCAGCACATCAAAAAGCTTATCCATCATGATCAAGTGGGCTTCATCCCTGGGATGCAAGGCTGGTTCAATATACGCAAATCAATAAATGTAATCCAGCATATAAACAGAGCCAAAGACAAAAACCACATGATTATCTCAATAGATGCAGAAAAAGCCTTGGACAAAATTCAACAACCCTTCATGCTAAAAACTCTCAATAAATTAGGTATTGATGGGACGTATTTCAAAATAATAAGAGCTATCTATGACAAACCCACAGCCAATATCATACTGAATGGGCAAAAACTGGAAGCATTCCCTTTGAAAACTGGCACAAGATAGGGATGCCCTCTCTCACCACTCCTATTCAACATAGTGTTGGAAGTTCTGGCCAGGGCAATTAGGCAGGAGAAGGAAATAAAGGGTATTCAATTAGGAAAAGAGGAAGTCAAATTGTCCCTGTTTGCAGATGACATGATTGTATATCTAGAAAACCCCATTGTCTCAGCCCAAAATCTCCTTAAGCTGATAAGCAACTTCAGCAAAATCTCAGGATACAAAATCAATGTATAAAAATCACAAGCATTCTTATACACCAATAACAGACAAACAGAGAGCCAAATCATGAGTGAACTCCCATTCACAGTTGCTTCAAAGAGAATAAAATACCTAGGAATCCAATTTACAAGGGATGCGAAGGACCTCTTCAAGGAGAACTACAAACCACTGCTCAAGGAAATAAAAGAGGATACAAACAAATGGAAGAACATTCCATGCTTATGGGTAGGAAGAATCAATATTGTGAAAATGGCCATACTGCCCAAGGTAATTTACAGTTCAATGCCATGCCCATCAAGCTACCAATGACTTTCTTCACAGAATTGGAAAAAACTACTTTAAAGTTCATATGGAACCAAAAAAGAGCCCGCATCGCCAAGGCAATCCTAAGCCAAAAGAACAAAGCTGGAGGCATCACACTACCTGACTTCAAACTATACTACAAGGCTACAGTAACCAAAACAGCATGGTACTGGTACCAAAACAGAGATATAGATCAATGGAACAGAACAGAGCCCTCAGAAATAACGCCGCATATCTACAACTATCTGATCTTTGACAAACCTGAGAAAAACAAGCAATGGGGAAAGGATTCCCTATTTAATAAATGGTGCTGGGAAAACTGGCTAGCCATATGTAGAAAGCTGAAACTGGATCCCTTCCTTACACCTTATACAAAAATCAATTCAAGATGGATTAAAGACTTAAACGTTAGACCTAAAACCATAAAAACCCTAGAAGAAAACCTAGGCAATACCATTCAGGACATAGGCATGGGCAAGGACTTCATGTCTAAAACACCAAAAGCAATGGCAACAAAAGACAAAATTGACAAATGGGATCTAATTAAACTAAAGAGCTTCTGCACAGCAAAAGAAACTACCATCAGAGTGAACAGGCAACCTACAAAATGGGAGAAAATTTTCGCAACCTACTCATCTGACAAAGGGCTAATATCCAGAATCTACAATGAACTCAAACAAATTTACAAGAAAAAAACAAACAACCCCATCAAAAAGTGGGCAAAGGACATGAACAGACACTTCTCAAAAGAAGACATTTATGCAGCCAAAAAACACATGAAAAAATGCTCATCATCACTGGCCATCAGAGAAATGCAAATCAAAACCACAATGAGATACCATCTCATACCAGTTAGAATGGCAATCATTCAAAAGTCAGGAAACAACAGGTGCTGGAGAGGATGTGGAGAAATAGGAACACTTTTACACTGTTGGTGGGACTGTAAACGAGTTCAACCATTGTGGAAGTCAGTGTGGCGATTCCTCAGGGATCTAGAACTAGAAATACCATTTGACCCAGCCATCCCATTACTGGGTATATACCCAAAGGACTATAAATCATGCTGCTATAAAGACACATGCACACGTATGTTTATTGCGGCATTATTCACAATAGCAAAGACTTGGAACCAATCCAAATGTCCAGCAGTGATAGACTGGATTAAGAAAATGTGGCACATATACACCATGGAATACTATGCAGCCATAAAAAATGATGAGTTCATGTCCTTTGTAGGGACATGGATGAAATTGGAAATCATCATTCTCAGTAAACTATAGCAAGAACAAAAAACCAAACACCGCATATTCTCACTCATAGGTGGGAATTGAACAATGAGATCACATGGACACAGGAAGGGGAATATCACACTCTGGGGACTGTGGTGGGGTGGCGGGAGCGGGGAGGGATAGCACTGGGAGATATACCTAATGCTAGATGATGAGTTAGTGGGTGCAGCGCACCAGCATGGCACATGTATACATATGTAACTAACCTGCACAATGTGCACATGTACCCTAAAACTTAAAGTATAATAATAAAAAAAAAATTAACTAGAAAAAAAAATATATGTGTTTTCCTAATATATATAAATAGTGGGCTTTTGGATAATGATAATAATTTCTTTGGTCTTTGCTTTTCTGTAATTTGCAAACTACATCGTGCATGCATTTAAGGTTGCAGCCCCAGAAAGCAGACCACCTAAGTAGCAATCTTCGTTCATCCACAAACTTCCTGTGGAACACTGGCCAAGGTACCTACCTTTTCTTTCCTTCGTTTGTTTCATTGGTATATTGTGGATAACAGCATTTACAGTTACCTCATATAGATTTGTAGTTATTAATTTAGTGTAGCACGTGTGTGTATGTATGTGTATTAACATGGCCAGGAATTTATATCTATCATGCTTAGAACAGGCCCCGGAATATGACAATTGTTCAATATATCTTAGATAACACATGGGTATTTTTTAAATTCTATAAATATGCATAAATATAAAGATAAAATACACCTTTCATAATTTTATTTAGGTGTTTTTTCTAGAATGTCAAGATCTAGCTTCATATATTTGAAAATTAACCATATTATCTACTTTGCAATGTGATATCCTGTGCATTTTCTGTACAGTTTTGTTTATGGTTTCTAAGGAATGCAAAAAGAAATGAATAGTTTTATATCTCCACAGCAAAGAATCAGTAACGTTTTCCCAGTTGAAAAAAACACTGAAATAAATATAATCAATAATGCTTAATGTCTGTGCAATGACTTCATTTGTAATTAGCATTCTTCACTGTATAATGTGTCTTGCGATCATGTTCCTCTTTCCCCTTTTTAAAAATAATGTCTATCAAGTTTCCTTATTCATGTGGCTGGTGTAAAATTTCTTACATTTATATGTGAGACTCACTGTTTAATGAGTCTTTTCTAAAAAGGCTTTCCTGACTGAGCTAATTTGTTCCCATTCTTAAAATAAGTTTTAAAATAAGTTTTTCTAAACTGAATATACAAAATTAATATCAACAGATTTCTAACCTATTTCTTTATCTATATGTTTTACAGCTCACAATCAGATAATACTTTAGATAAAATTTGGTTCAAAATTGTTATACCAGATGCAATTTACTTTCTAATCCTAAGTCCTTCAATATCTCTTTTTCCTTTTCCTCATTTGTCCACTGGTGAAGTGTGACAGATAAAATGTCATTTCTGTTAAACAAGAGCACCACTTTCTAGCCCCACTTTTACTTACACAGATAATGAAACTAAGTAAAATAAAAACATGGTTGGAAAGGGAAAGCCACATATATTTTCAGCTTAGTAAAACAAAACTGTTCTGTTTTTCTCTGCAACCATATTTCTTGCTGGACCTATATTTGTTCTTTTCAAAAGCAACTATTACTTTCATTATTCACTTCACTCCTTTTCTGTGGTCAATTATTTTTCAGGCCCTATAGTTTTGCATTTTTAAAATCCGAATATGAGCCCCTCCCTCCCTCTGGCACACATACATATACACTCTATTTTAGGTGCCAGGGCATGTCAATAACATCAATCACCATTCGCACCATCGATCATGCAGCTACGAAGCAGTTGGATGACATCTGCCATAACACCCTTCTGTGCTACGGTAATGCACTTGAATTTTGATGCAGGAAGATATTGGTTTGCAGACTTGTAATCAATCACAGCATCTTTTCAAGCAGAATATCTTGGAGATATAACAGAAAGTTAATCACATATTCTTTGAGTATGTTTGGGCATGAATATAAGAGAGCTCCACATTTGTAGACTAATATTAAGTAATTAAAATACAATTTATAATTCTCCTAATAGCCAACATCATATTAATTACCGAAACAATATTTTGCTTTTTAAACATTAACGCTTTTCTCCACAAAAGTATTTTAAGGTTTTTCTTTATTATAAAATTTGAGGCAACATTTGTGTCATTCGAAAATGCAAAGATAAAGACAAAGCAATCCCCTATTAGTATTCCTGACTCTAGTCAGGACCACTTAGTGTATGCACATTTTATACAGCAATATATTTATTACACTATTGGTGGTGGTCTTTGATATATAGGAAAATCATATCATAGCAAATGTGAGTAAAACAGCAGATTTTATAAATAGAAGCAATTGAAATAAATTAAAAGTAAAACACAGTATCTGATAGCATTATTTAACTTGATTTTATTTGAAACTTGATCATTATGTCTTAATATGAAGCCTTCTATAATAACATGCTTGCTAAGTTTTTTAGCTTTTAAAATGTAATTATTCTAACATTTGGTAAAATGCTTTTTTTGGTTGTTGTTGTTAGACGGAGTCTAGCTCTGTCGCTAGGCTGGAGTGCATGGCACGATCTCGGCTCCCTGCAACCTTTGCCTCCGAGGTTCAAGAGATTCTCCTCCCTCAGTTTCCGGAGTAGCTGGGATTACAGGCGCGCGCCACCACGCCCAGCTAATTTTTGCATTTTTAGTAGAGACGGAGTTTTGCCACGTTGGCCGGGCTGGTCTCCAACTCCTGACCTCAGGTGATGTGCCCCCCTTGAAAAGTGCAGGGATTACAGGCGGGAGCAGCGGCGCCCGGACGCATTATTGATACTTACATGTTTCTAATACAAAAGATGTTGTTACAGCAAAATAACATTTGGTTTCCTGAAAAACTTAGAAATTTGGGGAGAAGAGATAGTGTTACTCGAAATAGAGTTCTTATGCTCGTCAACACAATAGCAGAAAACCTGGGAGAAAGCAGAGATATGTTTTGCCCAAAGGGGACATTTTATTACATTAGACTTCTAGGAAGTAAGAGTAGAATATAGACTCCGAAGGAAGAGGAAGACAGTTGAGTCCAGACCCTAGGGTTCTGCCTCCGCTTCCTTGGGTTAGAAGTTTCTAGGATGTTGTGTGGTGTAATGATGCAGAGGGTCTTTCCTGACAGTCACAATGCCTGTCATTTGGGGAAAGAGGAGGACAGGAGATTTCTTATAAGGTGACAAAAAAAAACCAAAAACTGTATTTTTATATTTGATAAGTTCAATCTTTTAAAGAAAAGTTGGAAATTGTATTTTATGAGATTTGTTACTTAAAATTGGCTAATATTTTAAAGCACTTTGAAGATATATACATGTATGTGTGTATAATATTGAACAGCGGTTTGTCAACCACCAACTGCTAATCTCAGTTCAAATCCACAAGAGTTTTTCAGTCCGAAAACTCTGTGCCCTCTCTGTTTTAGTATTTGTGTTTAATTTCATGAAATGAGAAATATTTACTAAATAATAACTTAATAATTAGCATTAATTTTATATGCCCCACGGTTGCCTATCTATCCCTATGCTTTTTCCCATACTTTTTTTTCTTCCCTCACAAATTCCCTCTTTCAAGGAATGCTCACTTAATAACCTACTTAAGTTATTCTTATCTTTCAAGGCCTGTTTTAAATGCAACCAACTCCATGAAAACTTTCAGTTTCCTCTTAAGAGAATTAAGCTGTTTGCTTTATACCATTTTCCTCTTTCTACCATCTTGCAATTACACACTCAGAAAAACAATCATTAAATTAAATCAGTTGCATGTAGAAGATACAAATAACTTTCTTAATAGTTTTGTGGTTTGTGAGGCTGCAATATGTTAATCCACGTAACAGGCCTAGTGTAAAACTCTTTGTCTCACAAATATACTGTTAATTTTACATTTAACATGATGCCATCTGCTTTAATCTTACATGATCAGAGAATAAAGTGGTCTAATTAATCAAATACTCTGTCCAATAGATGCAATAAATAAAAATATCTGTATGTTTGTGTACATGTATACACACACACAAGCTCACATCAACTCATGACATAACCACTAAACAACAGGATGCCTAAAACACACTTATCACAATCCATATCATACTAATTAATTATCCAAAGGAATTTCAAAAATATTTTTCATATGGGCTATATACTGCACAAAGTGGTTAACGTGTTTGGGAACTAATCCACATTTTCTTATTTGTTTTGCCCAAATTTTGGTCAGTCTGGTCTCAGATTCATCCTTTTTTTCCAACGCAACATGCATCTATATCTGTTTATAAGTAAAGACCTCAAGCAACTGGTAAGGTGAAGCAATTTCAATCGGAAAGCATCTTCCCATCATAATAGAAAAATAAAGGCAAGGAGTTTTTTGCTTCAAAGTGAATATGTCTACTTCGAATACATAAAGTACAAAATCAGTTCAAGCTAGATCAAACTTGTAGGGTTTTTGCTGAAAAAGAAATCACCCTGAAAAACAAGAAAGATTTTGCTGAAAATCTATTTGAGTTTTATGAACTAATCACATTATATTATAATTATTTCTTCATATGTCTACACCCTGCTTTAGATATTGAGCTGCACCTGAATATTCTTTAATTTCTGTTTCCCCAGCACCAAGTTCAGGTATAGGACTCTAGGAAATACTCACCTAAGCACTGAATGAATTCATAGATTAATTAACATATGAATCAGGGTAAGGACTGTTTGACAGCAAGTAAAATTTTCCTTCTTGACTCTGTTTTAACACAACTGAGGCAAACTACAGTAAACTCTACCCATGCTACAATTTAGAAAAATAGTGGGCAAATAATATGTAGCCTGAAGTTTTCATTGGAAAAATTATTCAAGAATATATTTAAATACTTACTCATTTTTATTCATTGAAACTACGATGATCTATATCGTGCCTTTCATGGGTTAGGTACTGTATTTAAGTGCCAAGGGCTACCACAAGACATAAATCAGAAAGACATATATTTAGAGCAGTAGCTCTCAATTTGAGATAACACTGGGCTTTAGGGGACATTTAAAATCTTTTGATACGTTCTGATGTGAAATTTGGGGTAGGGTGCTATTGGGTAAAGATACAGATTGTTGCTAAACATCTTACAAGGAACAGGAATGCCTTTCACAACATAAATCTGCCCAACTGAAATGTCAATCAATAGTGCTGAGATTGAGAAATTCTGATTTAGAAGAATCATGAAGGAGTATAATAAAGACTTAACTTATTTTGTGCTGAAATTTTATAAGCAGAAAGTTATCACCTCTACTTTAGGTGGCCACGGAAGGCTAACAGAAGAGAAACATTCAGAGTGGAGGCTTTAAGTATGTTTTCCAGGAATTAAGTTGATAGAAGGCATAGGAAATAAATCAACTTTATGCCCCAATGGTTGGGGCATAGGGTAGTTAAGATTGTGTGGAATGATGCTGCAGAGTGACACAGGGGTCACCTCAAAAGAGAAGAGAAATATTATCCTTAGTATAACACATTTATACACAGTCATATGACATGAAATTCTTGTTTGTCATACGTAGGAGAATAGATTGCATTATAAAGACAATAAGAGAGATGTTGAATAATGTTTTAGCAAAGAAGTAAAATGGTGGGAGGCAAGGTTTATTTTAAAATAAAACTTCAGGGAAATTATCATTGTCCAAACTAAGGATGTGGCAGCAAGAACAGAGTGAAAGGAATAAATTCAGGAATATTTAGGAAGACCAAATGAAAGTAGTTGTAAAAATCATATCTTAGGTGGAAAGTTATTAAAGAGTTGAGAATGATACCTATGATTCTGGTTTGCTCTATTAATTAAGTATTTACAGTTTGTGATAAGATGATTGCACTGGGTCCAGTCAAGTACATGTTGAATTTGTGGTTACTAGACGTCATTCAAGTAGAAGTGCTCAGTAAGTATTTGGATGTAGAATTCAGGATGTAGTCTTGGTGGAAAAAATTGATTAGGGAGTCATCAGCTTATGGGTAGACATCAGAAACATAGGGATGTATACATTTATCTAAGGAAAATATAAAAAATAAAAGTACAAAATATCCAAAACGATGTCCGTTGTGACGGGGTCACTTTCCAGGAATCCAAACTAAGCCTATGGAGGTTTAGCAGGAGCCTTGGTAACTAGATGCAAGAAGTTTGGTATCAACAGGATAAACAAGTTATAGCTGACATCTTTTCATTAAATTCATTTTAATAAATAGAACATTAACAGTAAATGAATATAATGTGATTTTAAAGTACACAAGTGATACTTTATACTTCTACATATGAGTTGAATAAAAGGGACAGCCACTCTATGCTAAGAAACAAAGAGAGGGATGTCTGGCACGTTGTAGGTGGTTAATAAATATTTCTGAAATGCAGGAATATTTGTAACATGTACAAGACATATAGCAAACCCATAAAGTTTCTATTAAAGTGGAATGTTAAGAAGTTAAGCTACCTGTGGCCCAGGGTAAATTTAATCTCCTACCTGAAATCATCCCACAGCTCTGTGTGTATGTGTGTGTGTTTTTAATTTATAAACACCAAAATTCTTTGGAAACAGAAGAAAAAAACTGGTTAGCATAAGATTATAAAAAAGTAGTTGTAATAGATCTCTCAAATTTATTTATTTCTCCTGAGTAAAATGTTGTGCCCTTTGACTAACTACTCCCTACCCACACCCAGCCTCTAGTAATTACCATTTTACTCTCTAGTTCTATAGCTCAATTTTTTTTTTGGATTTCACATCTAAGTGAGATTTTAGCTACATTTAACCATCCCACAATGGATACATATTTAAAAACAACATATTGAATATGATAAATATATACAAATTTTACCTGTCAATTAAAAAATATTTAATAAGTAGTAGATTCAGGATCTTTGCTTTTTCTTATCTCTACTTTTTTAAATCTCTTTTACTTTGGATTAGAAGAGAGGGGCTTAAATCTATTTTATATGATGTAAGTGAGAAATAATAGTTCCCTTTAGTTTTTCTTTCATAGTAAACAGTACAGCTGACTTTTTGATGACACAGGTTTGAACTGTGTGGAACCACTTATAGGCAGATTTTCTTCCGCCTCTGCCACCCCAGAGACAGCAAGATCAACCCCTCTTCTTCATCATAACTACTCAACGTGAAGATGACAAGGATGAAGACCTTTATGATGATCCACTTTCACTTAATAAATAGTAAATATATTTTGTCTTCCTTTCTTTACCTTCCTTATTGGTTTTCTTAATAACATTTTCTTTTATCTGGCTTACTTTATTGTAAGAATACAGTATATAATACACATAGCATAAAGATACATGTTAACAGTCAACTGTGGGCTATAAGTAGTTAAGTTCTGAGGGATCCACAATTTATACACACATTTTCAACTGTCTAGGGCTCAGCACCCGTAACTGCTGTGTTGTTCAAGGATCAACTGCACTTTGTTTGAAAGTAAAGCAATCTCAAGTTTCAAGAGGTGCCTTCGAATTCCAAAATTAAATAACAGAATCTATACTTTTCATGTCTTGAGATATTTTTATTATTTACCTTAATGACCTTGATCTTTTCAGACAAAAAGTGGTTTGTGATTTTTGTTGTTGTTTCATATCCTCAAATGTCAGTTCTTTCCTATAAACTTTGTCATTGTCATTGTGTGTGTGTGTGTGTGTGTTTTTTTTTCCTAAACCATCCCATTATTTCAGGAACTTGGTTCCTGTATACTTTTTCTCTCCATTTACTTTCAAATCTTTTGGGAAAACAAATAAAGTGAGTCATTTATATCATAGTGTTCATCTAAGATTAAATTAAAGTATAAATTAACCCATATATTAATATATCTATTACTAATATAACTAATGAAATTATAACTATAGGATAAATGCTTCTATTTTCTAATGTTTAATGCATCACTGAAACTGTTGATGCAATTTCACTATAGTAATTGCCTGTGCAGTGAGTGCAACAAGAGGGGAGAATAATAATTTTGGACACTAAAATCACACTATGCAATTGTTACCAAAATTGTTTTCATTTAAAGGTAATTAAATAAGGTTCTTTTCTGCTCCAGTTCAGGAGGCAACTATTTAATTATGTTTCTCCTATAAAAGCATTTCCAACCTAAGTGGATATATCTCCAAAGAAGCAGTCTATTTTTTAATGTGTTAGTAGAAATGTATGCTATTTCTCTTTGTTCTAGAACTTTCGTTATGCTTCGTGATTTTCCACATTGCCTTTCCTCCAGCTACACACACACAAACATACATGCACACACCTTTTGAACAAAAAGAGCCTTCATTTTTCTCTTACAAGCAGGAGAAGGCCTTTAAGAGGTAATTTATCCCATGCATTTTATTCAGAGAAATGTAATCTAGCTTCAGACAATTTTGAATTTTTACCATTATTACATAAAATTACATTTTATTATAAGTCAGTATTTTTGTATAATATTTTTGGGACATTTAGTTTTTTAATCCTGAAGTTTTAAATTAGTAATTAAACCCATTTTATTAAGCAAATGAATTTATTATTATTCTCCTAAATATCTGACTGTTCAGGAAAAATGTCCTCTTTCTGCATAAGACTTTTCTTATGATTGAAAATGAGTTTTTACGTTTCTAATAGACTTTAAATGGCTTGTTTCATATGCATTTAATACTTAATCAAACCTTTAGACCAATGCTGTCTGATATGGAAATGGACAGTGTGATGATGAACATGTCCCACTATGCTGTCCAATATGGTCTCCACTAGCCACACGTGGCCTTCAGGTACCTAAAGTGTAGTTAATGCAAATGTGCAAATGAGACAATACATTTTCAATTTTAGTTAATTTTAATTAATCTATATTCATATTTAAATAGCTGCATGTGGCTAGTGGCTACTATATTGGTCATCATAGCTCTAGCTGATTTTGTCACCCACTAGGGGAAAGTTCTTTTCATTGCCTTTTTGAGATTCTAGGGGATACATGCATTATTGGCTCCTGGACTGACCTCTTTCAAAGCAAGCAGTGTAGCACTTTCAGATCTGCCTCTCTCTCTTTCTCTTTCTTCCTCCTTTTTCTCACCTCTGCTATTATTGTCACATCTACCTCTGTGCCACTCATCCTTCTGCTTTTCCTCCTATAAGGACCCTTGTGATTACATTGGACCCAGCTAGATAATTCAGAATAATCTCACCATCTCAATATCTTTAATTTAATCATGTCTGCAAAGCCCTTTGCCATGAAGTTAACATATTCAAAGGTTCTGGAAATTAAGACATAAGCATCTTTGGGGGACCATTGTACAGTCTACCACAACATGCACTTTATAACTTCTTAAAATATAAACTTTTAGTGCTGTTTTGAAACAGTTTATCAT
This sequence comes from Homo sapiens, assembly GCF_000001405.40. Lineage (NCBI taxonomy): Eukaryota > Metazoa > Chordata > Mammalia > Primates > Hominidae > Homo > Homo sapiens. The sequence goes on along the minus strand of NC_000005.10, from coordinate 104,437,263 downwards.
ATTTGCAAATATATATGCACATACATATCCATTCAAAAATATAATACACTTCTGAAAGACTTGTATATATATGCACATAATATGTGTATATATAACAGTAATACAAGTTAACATACAAATGAATAACTAGATATTTGATATAATGATTGATGTATTAGTCAGGGTTCTCTAGAGGGCAGAACTAATATGATATATATGATATATATATATATATCATATCATATATATATGAGATATATATATATAGGAGTTTATTAAGTATTAACATGATCACAAGGTCCCATAATAGGCTGTCTGCAATCTGAGGAGCAAGGAGAGCCAGTCTGTGTCCCAAAACTGAAGAACTTGGAGTTTGATGTTCAACAGCAGGAAGCATCCAGCATGAGAGGAAGATGTAGGCTGGGAGGCTAGGCCAGCCTAGTCTTTTCAAGTTTTTCTGCCTACTTTATATTCTAGGGGCACTGGCAGCCGATTAGATGGTGCCCACCCAGATTAAGGATGGGTCTGCCTTTCCCAGCCCACTGACTCAAATTTTAATCTCTTTTGGCAACATCTTCACAGACACACCCTTTGCATCCTTTAATCCAATCAAGTTGACACAGTATTAACCATTCACAATTGTGTACCTGTTCTTATGTTTCGTTATTTTTGATGTATTATTCAAAAATGGTGCTTGGAGATTCCTGATCAGCTCACATAATTTCTGACACCACGTGTCTCTTTGTTTTTTGTTTTTTGCATCCTTCTAATTATACTTTTTAATACTATTTCTAAAAAAAGACAGTATTTAATAATGCCTTTGGCTAGTAGTTAGGTAATTCAAGTTGTATTTTATCAGATTTATTAATATGTAAGTAGTATGATATAAAAGTCTTGCTACAGATAAGAAATATTACATTAATCACATTAATTCTGCATACCTGACCTATTATTTTGAATCTAGATGTCTAAATTAGTGTCAGAATGAAAGCTTTCAATCCAAAAACATAATAATCTAGACGAACATGCCAAACTGTTTTTACTTTATGTGGATCTAGTTACTTTTGTCATGCAAATGTGTGATCATACTCTTACTTCAATTTTTTTTAAGTCACTTAACACTGAGTAATGGAAAGAACATTGGTCTGGAATCAGATGGATGTTGGTTTAAATCCTGGCTTGGTCAGCTGGTAGTCTGTAAGTTTTGGGTCATGTCTTCCGCTTTTTAAGTTTTAGTTCTCTCATCCATAAAATTGAATTAATAATATTTAACTCTATAGTCCCCAACAGTGGCTGTCTGACCCAGTGATATTTTAAGTAAATGAGAGCAGGTTTGGTCACAATTACCTTTAACAGTGGAAAGAAAAGGACAAATTGTAGAGCATTAAGTTGGTTAATCAACAGAAAATCAAAGAAAATAAAGAGATAGAGACAGATATATTATTAAATATTAAGCTAGGAAATAATATTATCTGAGCAATTAGATACTAAGTATTAGGCACATTTCTATGTAATATACAGTTTTGTCTATACAGAGACCTTGGGTTCAATTTTTAAATGGTCTCAGTATGTTTTTTAGTTTTATTATTTGCCATTTAGCAATCTAATTTTCCTTTGATTGTAAGGACATTCAGTATTTAGATTTGAAACTCATGTTATTTTTTCTGACCTCATATCATTTGTGAGAGCCATTCTTACTCTTTTCCTTTTACTCTAAAGATCTTTCTTTGTATCAGTCTTTGTTATGGTGTTATGCATTGTAACAATAAAGCAAAAAAACCACCATTAGGTCATTTCAGTTTTAATTCTAACATTTACAACTTCATGCCCATTTTATTTTATATATATTAAACTATATACAAATACACATGTAAGCAAATGTACACAGCTATTATATATGTGTATGTCTATGTGCATACATGTATGTTGCATATATAAAGCTAACAGATAAAGTATTTACATATATAATGTTAAAACAAAAAGCATACATACAAAGTTAACACATGAAGTTGAATATATATACATAAAGCACAAAACATATATATTTACATTTATGAAGTTAATACATAAACCTATCACATGCATACATATACACACATATAGAAATATGCACAGTATGTAAAAGCATACATATTTGTAAAAACATAGGAAGGTAGACATTTTATTGATGCTTTAAAAATTGTTAAATAACAACACTATTACTACTACAAATAGTAGCTGACAAAAGGACTGACCCAAATTATTTACATAATGACTGTTGAAATATCCTCCTATATATATTCCTTGTTATCAGCCTTCTTATGTATTCATATGTATTCTAATCAACTTTATTTTTCAAACTGTCAAGATAGTAATGTTTCTAATAATGTATATTTGATTCTTACGCTTAGGTTAAAACCTAATTTTTAAAAATTTCTAATGGAACTTAGAGAAAGTTTCATGAGATAACAAGATGCGATAATTTTGTGGCATGGCCTACAAACATCTTTATAATCTGGCTCTCCTGACTTCTCAAACTTAATCCCTGGGACTCATCACTAATCTCATCACTCAAAGCCAAATCATACTTGGTGTTTTTCCCTAAAAGCCATTCAGCTGTTTTTCTCTTTTATTTAATTGTCCCTCTATCTTTACTATCTTCTTGAACTGCCTAAAATAATTTCTGTGCATCCATCAAGACTAATCTCACTATTCTGTTCTTCTGGAAAGTTTTCCTTAATTTGACTAAGCAGCATTAATTATTCTCCCTTTATGTCAGTAGGTTTTTAATACCTTCATCAACTGTAGCATTTTATTACTATTTTTCCTTAATGTGCATGATTTTTTTCACCTTACCCAGACTTTATGATGCTGCAGGCCATATGTATTCACTTCTAGCACAGTGCTCCTGACATGGCAACTATAGAGGTTATGTTTTCGTCAATGTGTAAATGAGCAAATGAATGAAATTGGTTAAGTGGGTTTATACTTTAAAATTCAATTAAAAAAAACTAATAGTATAAAATGTATGCTTATTCTAGGTAAGAAAAGAATATTCCGGCCAGGCGCGGTGACTCACACCTGTAATCCCAGCACTTTGGGAGGCTGAAGTGGGTGGATCACGAGGTCAGGAGTTTGATACCACCCTGGCCAATATGGTGAAACTCCATCTCTACTAAAAAAACCACAAAAATTAGCTGGGTGTGCTAGTGCACACCTGTAGTCCCAGCTGCTCGGGAGGCTGAGGCAGGAGAATCGCTTTAACCTGGGAAACAGAGGTTGCAGTGAGCCGAGATTGCGTCACTGCGCTCCAGCCTGGGCGACAGAGTGGAACTCTGTCTCAAAAAAAAAAAAATAATAATAATAATAATAATATTCCCACCCTATTTCTATCCCTAGAGACACTGCTATACATAAATAATTATATAAACCCACAGATTTAGATTTTCATTTAAATCGTTATACAAATAACATATTCTAGAAAATGTATCTTGCTCTTATTTGTTCAAAACTGTATATTAATGCTCTTCTTATAAGATTATAAATAAATCTACCTCATTCTTTTTAACCAGAAACATAACCAATACTATGTAATTAGCTTAATTTATTAAACCTATCCTCCGTTAATGAGCATTTAAATCATTTCTATTGTTTTTACTACAATAATGTTACTGTGAATATCTTTATATATATACATGCACACACATGTATAATTGCAACATTGTGAACACAAAATTTAGATCTCTTGAAGTGAAATTATTACACCTAAGAGCATGCATTTACAATTTGGATACATAATGCTATATAATTCTTCAAATTTTAATCAATAAATAAATATCTGTTCATTACAACCAAAGAATTTAAGAAATAAATTAATGGAAAAGACTCAGATTCAGTAAAATTCTTCTTAGTTATTCACTGCCCCAAGAAAACTGGCAAAAGATTATTATAATTACATTTCAAGAGGTGAGTAGCATTTTCCATCTCCCAAATAATCTAAGTCTACATAATGTAATATTCAAATAAGCATAGTTTCATTATTACTGACTCATAGTATACTAACAACTAAAATTACACTATATTCATATTTAATGAAATTGGCTATTGACTGTATTGATAGTATAAAATCAGGTGTTTGGATTTAAAAGTATTTTAAACTAGTAGCTTTATAACAGATTTAGGGTGCATAATTAACCATTTTGGTCAAATTGGAGAATTAATAGGTTTTTGGATTTGCCTTAATATTAAGGTGCTAAATATTCAACCACAGAAAATTTTAAATTTGGGAGATCTTTCATATTCACTATTTCAACAAATTTGGTTTGAGCAGTATGGAAAGAATCACTTGAGTCAAGTAAAATGTGCTGTTTTATGATCAGAGAAGAGAGTCGATTTTGGTGCATACTATATCAATTTTAAGAGCTATAATAGGCTAGGAGTTATTCTTCACATTTTAGGCAATATTGATAAATTATATAACCGAAAAGAAATTACTCACCTTGTGCAGGCATAAATCATAAATCTAATTGGCTTTAAATTATATTAGTCAAATCCATTGTTTATTTGGCTTAGGAAAAAACAATTCCACTGAAAAACAGCTGATGGATATTTGGGAGTTATATCTTTAGTTATAATACTCAATTATATAACTGGCAGTCAGAAAAACCAGCGATTGCTAATACAAAAACATTATTTCTTACCTTGTTTAAATGTAGAATTTATATTCAGTTGGCAAGGATGTTATCATGCAAAATATCAATAAAATAAGCATATTGAAAACAGACTGAAAATTCACATTCGAATTCAAGATTCTCAGTGTTCTGATTCATTTAGATAATAACCAACCAGCTGCCTAGGGATTGTATGGAGGATGTCGGTTAATAGTGACATATCTACAAGTACAGGGAGATACCTAATTTTAAACTTTGCTGTAACCTACTGCCTTTGACATTTAAAAAATATTAAAATGTCTTATATTGCAAAAGCAATCTCATTGGTAGTAAGTTGCCAATTCTTTTTCTCTTTTTTTTTTTCTGGCAACCGTGAAACCCAGATGCTAAGCACTGGAAGATATTTCTTCCAATAGCAGCATCTGGCGTGCTGGCAGACTCCATAAGCAATTTTGTTTTACGGCTTTAAAGCTGCTTCTGGGTCTATTACGTGGTTAATCTGATGGGCTGTCTGGGCTCTCTTGTCCTCCTGGATGCCATATGCCAACAGCTAGAGATGCAGTGAACTGTCTGCCCATTAGGGATGCTATAAAGAGAACACCTGAAAAAAATCAGCTGCAAAGAGCATGCTCTACTTCTATTCAGCTATTACAGTACCAGTGATGAGTGACCTGGCTAAAATAGTGCTAAAAACTTGCCAAAAATGTTCAATGCCCTCTGAACACCAGGGAAGACGAAAAAACTGGAAATAATAAAATATTCAGTGTATTATTTTATCATTTGATACTGAAACAAGCATTTGCTTTTATTCGCCTTGCAAGAGAAGGAACAGGAAATGAAAAGTAGAATTGTGAGGGTGAGAGACACAAATTTGATTGCTGCTCTTCTGTGGCAAATGGCTCATGAGAGGTTGGTTTCCCCGATAGAGATTGTGTCTAATTAATTTTTATAATTTCAGGGCCTACCAAGGTATTTGAATGTGGTAGAACTAGAGTAAGTTGTGTTAAATAAATAAAAGCAAATAAAATTATTAAACTATTGCAATTTTGCAATATATTTTATAATTTTTAAGCCCTTTGCATAATTGATTTCTTATTCTTTTGATACTATATCCTACATTACTTCTTCAGATGAAATTTTTCTTATTACCCAGATTGGATTGAGTCACTCTTTAGTACTCCCTAATACCTGTAAATACATGTTTTTACACCCTTTAACAGCATGCTTGTTTGATCATAATAAGTTGCATTCCAGTCCTGTGTTTTCAATTAAAAAACAGATTATTTTTGTTTTACTTTAAAACATGCCAAAAGAAAAATATTTTGATTTTTTTTCACGTGATAGCCAAGGCACACTCTTTAGTTAAGCGGAGGTTGATTCTGAATTTCTACTCCATTTGATTAATGATTTTCTCTCCCATGAGACTTAAGCTCCATGATGGCTGGGTCTACATTTTTTCACCATATATGTCATAACATCTGGCTCTATCTCTGTATAGTCACGATGTATGAGTTCAATACATACTTGTTGGATTAGTTATACTTATTTCTTCAAAACTTAAAAGTTCATATATTTATTCCTTTTTCATTAGCCCCCCCATTCTCTCATGCTCGGTCATACTGCAGCCTCATCCTCCTAGGCTCAGGACATCTACCCACCTCAGCCTCCTGAGTAGCTCGGACTGCAGGCTAGCACCACTGTGCCTGTCTAATATTTTGAATTTTTGTAGAGATGGAGTCTCACTGTACTGCTCAGGCTGGTCTTGAGCTCCTGAGTTCAAGCCATCCTCCTCGCTTGGCCTCCCAAAATGCTGGGATTACAAGTGTGAGGCACTGCACCTGGCCTGGGTAAGCAATATTTTAAAACAGTTAACCATAGACTGCCTTTTGCCAAACAGAAAACATAAAATATGACAATTTATTTTGTTCTTAAAAATAATACTAAATACTGTTAAGGGGATGAACATTTCTTTGGCCTTATACTCTGACTCTTCAGTCTACTTTTATTGCTGTACTGTTTCAATATTTTGTTATAATGAGAGTCATTTTAGATGACACCAATGAATTGGAAGTAAGTTCAAAAGTTCCTTAAATTAAAGTGTTTATTAAAGATTAGTTTACTCACAAAGCTTCACTCCAGGTAAAAATCGAACAAGCAAACAAACAAAAATCTGAAAACAAGCACACAGCTAGCAACATAACCATCTTGTTCCACTCCTTATATTAAAAGATATGTTATTGTGCTAAAATATATACACAAAGAAAACCTATGAAAATCCATCTTTGTTTTGTTAATTAGTCAATGGCAGCTATTAGGCAGTTCAAAAGAGACTTTAAGAATTGTAGAAGTTTTCTTTTAACATTTTTTGAGTTTTAAAATATGAGCTATATTTTGAAGCCAATTTTTATGGGAAATTACTAAGATACATAGAAAAAGCATGTCTTTGTGGATCATAGGTGGAGTTCATATCTTCCATTACTACTCTCATGCTGTGCTTTGCCTATGATTGATAGCCCAAAGCCATCATTTTGAGTGGAATCATATTGTTTAGGAGTAGTAACTCACGCTGTCATACTGCAAAACAATCAGTAACACACATTTCAATTGGACAGGAGAAGAAAAAAAAGAGGTAGCTGAAATGCTATTATTTCTGATAATAAGAATATTAAGAAGGGGGACATTGAGAATGGCATTATATTATCTTTTATGAAATATTTTCTACACACATACTCATGGCCTAATAATCAGAGCTTTATGGAGTCAGTTGATTAGTGTTAACCAATTTAAATCAGATTACAGTTAGCTATACTTATGCACATCATGTTTTTTGCTATACTTTACCTATATCCAAATATATATCTTAATTGAAAGTAAATTTAATCTAATTTAAAATTTAATAATATGTTACTTGAAGGTAACATATATATTTGGATATAGGTAAAGTATAGCAGAAAACATAATGTGTATAAGTATATATAACTATAATTTGATTAAAATTGTTTAACACTAATCAACTGACTCTGTAAAGCTAAGTTATACAAACCCAAAGATGTTTATACTGTTTTCTTATAAGTTTCCCCAATAATATTACATGTATTCCACATGGTTAGGATTATTTTATACTTTGTCACAGACAGTAGTTTGATAATTTGATTTTATTATTTGACATTTCTTAAGGCTTTTAATGCCTTTAATGTAAACATGAGAAACAAAGTCAGGCAATTGCAATTTATGAACAATATCCAATTCCCAGAGATTAAGGATTTGCTTAAAATTAACCAGTTTTGATTAAATAAACTTGATTCATAAAGCTTAGAGAATAATTTAAAATAGAGTATAAACGAAAACAAGTCTGGAGGTCAAGAGACCTAGTTTCAAATTCTGATGATGACATTTATAAATCTGTGACTTTGGCTAAGTCCCCAAACAACTTCACATGCCATACATTCTTCTGTTTTTAAAATAAGGATATCTAGCAAAGTGATCTTGAAGTCACATCTTGCTGTAAAATGTTCTGTCTTATATCTACTTGCTAACATCTATAATCTCAGTTTCACGTACCTTAAGTCTACACTGAAAAAAATCAAGTGGCAATTAATTTTTTTTAACAGAGTGGATAACCATCTAAACAAATTCAATGTTGAATATTCACAGTCAACAAACCAAAGAATCAAGCACTTCTATGTATCTTTCAGCAAATCATGTACTTTACTAATTATTACATTTACATTGAGGCATGCTTCATCAGGCAACCTCTCCTAATACAAAATTGCTTTTGAAAAATTACCAAATAATGTCATATGTTATAACATAATTTGTTTTAATGCCATCTTGACCTAGTGTTGAGGCCCTGCTAGAGAGAGGCTGGTCAGTTCCGCTTTTTGAATAGTTGATCAAGTCCACACTTAACCTTATATCTGGTTCTCACATTCCTGGGCCACCATGCATCATTTCTAAACACCCTGGTGTCAAGTACCAGACAACAAGGGTCAGCTCCTATGCCCCTGAAACCAAGAGAAATTGTTCAAATTAGCCCATCCATCAGATTCCAAGAAAAGAAGCTCACCCTACACCCCTTGGCATACGTGAGCTACTCCTTATAGCTCCAGCTTGCTGTTACCCTCTCCCTGGGTACAACCCCCTTTGTGGCCTTGTCTGCCAATCTTCTTTCATTTAGAACTGTAAATAACAGAGTCTTGCTTTTCTTTTATGAGTGTCATTCATTGTGTTGTGTTCTCCCATAAGATGATCTTTAAATCTTATAAAATACCCACAGCTGTGACCAGGATGGCATGGCCATGACCACTGACTCCCGGATAGCTTCATGGGAGAACTGCGCTTTTTTGCCTTACTAACTGATTCCAAACCATCACGAAAGCATTGTGGGGTAGAACTCCTGTGGGCTTTGTTGTCATTTTTCTCCTTATCCAAATGGGAATATTCAACAAAAATAGCATTACTTGGCTAAACTCCATGGGCTAGATACTAGTCCAAGTGAGGCTCACCTTTGGTCAGTAGGAACAATAAGCCACATAAGCGGCACTTTCTCAGATCTGACTTTCAAGTATGTTTCACATCACAACCTGTGTTTGGCAGAGACCTATCCCAGGGCTCTGTCACTTCTTGAGTGTTGGTGTTTCTTTATTATTGAGGGCAGAACCCCGGTTTGTCTATGTCTTTTCAGTGACCTCTATGGAGGAAAGTGTTGGCTGGGCTGCCCAATGGTGAAGAAATGGCACCCTGATCTCCATGTTTGTGTTGTTCAGGTGAGGGAAGTGGCCTGCCTGTCCTCTTTACTGGGGCAAATACTGCCACTATTGCCAGCAAGCTTCATGCTTCCCAGACCCTCAAAGGCATCATGGGGCCTCAGGCTAACAAACCACAGGAGGCACGTAAGTCATCCCCACTTCCTCCTCCAAAAACTGGGTACCTATCAAAAAATACAACAAAGTTCTTGGAGCACTAAAATGCCTGCCACACTGCTAAAAGAATTCCAAACATTCCAAACAACAAACAAAATAAGTCTGTCCAGAATAATCCCTTGTGTCCTTGAGAAATCTCCAATTTCTCTAATGTACACAAGCCATTTCATCAGATATAGTTTGTATTTTAAATTTACTTAAACCTGATCCTAGTCTTCTCTTTGCTTTGAGTAGGAAAATGTGTTACTGTTTTGAGATATTCTTTAAGTTTTTATGCTATTTGAAGGACACATTGCCATTGAATTTAACTGAATAATTTTAATTTCTTTTCATATTTTAGCAATCCACTCTAATATCTAAAGTAAATTTCTAAACCACACATGTTTTCTTATATTTTTATATCACTCACACAGGCTGTAATCATTAGGAAATAATTATTTTTGCTATATATAAAAGCAGACCATCTGAACAAATGTATTCATAGAAATCGAAGTTCTACAGTACCAGTTATTAATATTCCATGAATAAATACATTCATGAGAATATGATTTGAAGCCATATTTCTCAAAAAAATAGACAAATAAATTGATGGTTATTCATTTCAGTTTCTATGAAAGAATAATTCTAATATACACTGGGATGAATGATCTTTGTAAAAGTACTGAAGTGATACTTACCCGAGTATGTAGAAGTTTTTTTTTCTGTCAAAGCGATAGATATTCTAAGCCAATATGTTAAAATATCAAATAAAATTTCATTCTCATATAAAATCTCACCCATTCACAGTTTCAACATATCTCTGTTAAGATATTAGAAAAAATTCTAACAAATATCTACTTTTCATTTATGTAATTATGATGCCAGGTAAAAGAAAATACAGAGTATAAATACTTAAGTACCTAGGAAGCTAAGAAAATTAATTAATGTGTAATTTTGTTAAGTATGAAATTTATTATTTAACTCATATATGTTACTTTTCTGAATTACACTTCACATATGAAATTATTTTAAAAATTCAATGGCAAAATTAACAATATATTGCAGCTTTTTACTCTACCTTTCATTTAAGCAAGCATAGTTCAATGTTCTTCAGTTTAATAATTGTAATTTAAACATTACTTGAGGTAAACTACATTCATGTAAATTTCCTCAATGCACATATTATCTTATTTAATAATTGCATATTGTATTAGCATTCTCTAGAGAAACACCCTCTAGCCAAGAGGGTGTGTGTGTGTGTGTGCGTGTGTGTGTGTGTAAAAATTTAGTTTAAGGAATTGGCTTATACAATTATGGAGGCCTGGTGAGTCCAAAATCTGATGGGGGAGGCTGGCAGGTTGGAGATTCAGAAGAGTTGCAGTTTGAGTCTGAAGGTAGACTACTGGTAAATAAGAGCTGGTTCGGCAGATGAAGTCTCAGATTATGGGATACATTACCTATAGAACAGTTAACATCCTGAAGAAGTGTTTTATAAAATATCCACAGAAGTATGTAGATGTGGTATATTCAAATTATCTTTCTTATATTACAATACTGCACGTTCTGGTATCTCAACTAGTCATCACAGTATTGAACTCTTCTTACCCTACAATAATTATCCATTCCAGACACAAAATATGAGAAACAATCCTCATATTTATTTCCACTACATTTTTTTCTTGATGTACAAAATTATCTTCACTAACTGTTCTTGTCCCTGGTCTGCTACAAAAATGCCTCAAAATTCTAAAAGTTAACTTTAGTTTCCCCAGACCATTCCTTTCTGATTTAGGGTTTTATCTTGTTTTTGTATTTGACCCTGGACACTAAAGTAATCTACACAAACTTCATTATATAAATGTTTAATCTCAACTTTGTAAATATTTTGTTAAATAGTTTATGTTTCTATTAAATCACAGACTTTGAACTGGAACAGCAGCTCTCCCTGGGTCCCCAGTCTGCCTACCCCTCCTGAAATTTGGACTTACTAGCTTCCATAATTGTATGGGACATATCCTTATAATTCATACATATAGGTACATGTATACACATGTATACATGTGTATACATAGCCTGCATAACCTATTAGCTCTGTTTCTCTAGGGAAACATATATAAGGTTTCAAAACTATCAATTATTATTACAAACATTATGTTGTGTGCAAAAGGCTTGGATGATTCAAATATAAATATTACTCAGTTTTATTGATTATGAGCTTGTAAAGAAAAAAGATCATGCTTATTTAATGCTTACTATATGACAACTCTTTTTCTAAGCATTCTTCTAAGATGCTTCTGGGGCATCCAACACAGTAGCTATTAGCCACACTTGGTTATTTAAATTAAAATTTTTAAAAATTAAATTAAATTAAATTAAAATTTTAACCCCTCATCCACATTTCAAGTGCTCAATAACAATATATGGCTAGTGACTACCACATTGTACAGCTCATGGTTAGAATATCATCATCACAGAAACTTTCAGTGAACACACTGCAATATCTTCTGAACAGGTCTGTTTGTTTCTGTGCTTTCTGACCTGGTTTCTCTTATCTACACAGGAGCCAGAATAATTTTTAAAAACTGTTTATTTTTAAATTGTTTGTACATATATGGGGTATTGTGGGGTATGATGTGATATTTCGAGGTATGTATGTATGTACGTGTGTGTGTGTGTGTATAGATATAGATATAGATATAGATATAGATATAGATATAGATATAGATCAACTACTACAAAAGTTTCAGTTAGACTGAAGGAATAAGTTTTGGTGACTGCATGGTGACCATAGTGAATAATAATGTATTGCACATTTCAAAATTGCTGAAATAGATTTTCAGTGAGGTAATTCATTTAAAATAAAACCTAGAACCATTGTTCTTCTTATCAAAAACCATTCAGTTGCTGTTATTTTACCCAGAATAACTGTCCAATTCATTACACAGCCTACAATGCCTAATATAGACTTACTTTTAGCTGCCATTCTGTCTTTCTCTCCTACACTCTCGCCCCTGCTCACTCAGCTCAAGGCACAGCACACCAGCCTCCTTAGTCTACTTGAGCTCCCCAGGATGCTCTGCTCAGGGACTCTGCATTTCCTCTGATGCCTTTCCCCCATTTGGCTGCATTGCCAGGGTGCTCACTTCTTCAGAGTCTGTGACCACCCAGTCTCAAAATAGCTCTATTGATGTCTTGAAACCTTACTTTATTTTTCTTCCTAAAACTTATCACTACCTGCCATATTTTATATTTGTTGGTTTATTATCTGTCTCCCATTACTAGAATGAAAATCTGAAAGCAGGTATTTCACCTGTTCACCACTCTATGCCTAATACCTAGCACATCACTTTTTACAGTATTAGTGTTCAGTAATTATTTTTTGTATGGTTGAATGTATTAATTAATTTAATCCTTTAAACTACTCTATAAGTTTACCCAAAGTCAGCCTGTTGGAAAGTGGTGGACCTGAAAGGCGAACCCACACAGCCTGCATCCTGATCTCACACTTTTAATCTCTAAAATGCTTAGGATAAAATTTTTAAACCTCATAAAAATGTGCAGTCATCCATATTGTATTGACAGATACATTTTATTGACATGTGGTCAAGTAAACAGCTAAAATATCATTGGTATCTACCATTCAAATCTAGTAACTATGTATATTTTCTGTGATACATTTTATGGAGTTAAAAATACATTTCTAAATTTACTAAAGTACAAGGATAAGGAGATTTCTGACATCTCTTTTATTAATTATATAATCTGATATACCTGTATCTGCATAGCTGAAATTGATATACAAACAATTTTAATACATTTGTTACAAAAACTATAGAATCACTCACAGAACATTCTTCCATTTAGTTTTCCATTCCAATATTAAAATTAGAAGTAAATTTAGAACTCAAAATTTTTAAATTAAGTTCATATTAGAACAATTACATATGTTCTACAAAATGAGAGTAATTTATTCTAGTAAATATGCTTCTACTTTGGAACATTATAGACTGAAAATTTAAGTAATTTATTCTTTCCAGAAGATACACTTTCCCTATGTTTCCTTAGGTCTTGGAGTAATAATCTCAGACACCAAGTTATGATACATGTGTGGCAATATGAGTGTCTAAATAAAGTCTAAAAGTCCAGCCAAGAACTTTCTCTGCTAAAAGATGGTAAAAATGGCATGTCTAAATTTGATTCTATTCTTTCTTTATTTAAACAAATTATGTTCAAAAACAATTAAAAATATGCACATCTAGATGCATTTAAAACTCACTAACCAAAACTTAGAATAGGAAAATATAAATTAAAATCTCAAGAACTAAAAATAATGAAAGGGAAACTGCCTTACATATATATAAAGGTAGCTTCTAAGTACATCCAGACTAACGTGTCCTCCTCCCCACCCCATTTGGTAGAATGAAACCTTAAGTATGAGATTTTTTTTTTAAATCTTTAAAATCTTAAATAATTTAAAGATGAATTAAAATAGTGTTATAAGTGGGAAATTCTAGAAAGATAATTACCTCAGAACAATTTTTTGAGGAAAGCTTAACCCATTGAATAGAACTAGGCTGGTTGGTAGAATAATGTCTTCTTAGTGTCAATGATCATTTAAAATATAGTTTTGAATTGATAAAAATAGGCACTGTTTATAGACAATCATTTGCAACAGAATATTTTTATAAAAAATATTTTTCTATTAGGGAGAAGGTTTTAATTAGTTTTTAATCTCAAACTCTAATACATCTAGACTTTTGAAAATTTAAGATTTAATAAACAAGAGATTTAATTTAAAATATGAAACACATTAATGCATTAAACTTTTTTTTTTAGTTTCAGGAACAAAACCTTAATGCATTGCTTAAATGGGAAGTTATTGCCTCACAAACGTGAGAAAAACGATTTATGGCAGACATGTTTTGAGATAGCTTGATTCGAGATTTAAATGATGTTACCTTGATTCATATCTATATTTGAAGTGTCCAGCCTTTAATCAAGACAAACTTAGGTTGTTAAGAGTACAGCTGAAGTATCATTAATCTCTACTATCAAAATATAGTAACTATTTATAAGTTCTGTATACAGTTGACCCTTGAACAACCCAGGTATGAACTGTGCAGGTCTTCTTATACACAGATTTTCTTCTACCTCTACCACCCTTGAGATAACCAGACCAACCCCTCCTCTTTCTCCTTAGCCTACTCAAGTGAAGACAACAAAAATGAAGAGCCCTATGGTGATCTACTTCAACTTAATGAATGGTAAATATATTTTTTCGTCCTTATGATTTTCTTAGTAACATTTCTTTTCCTCTAACTGTAAAAGTATATAATGCATATGACACACAAAATAAGTGTTAATCAGATTGCTTATTTATGGATAAGGCTTCTGCTCAATAATGAGATACTAGTATTTAAGTTTTTGGGGACCCACATGTATACATGGATTTTCAACTGTGTGAGGGGTTGGTGCCCCTAAATTCCATGTTGTTGAAGGGTCACTGTATTCTATTTTACCTGCGAATACTGACAGCTTTTTATTCACATTGCAAGATGGTAACCAGCAACTCTCAAGGCAAGATAATTCTGCTGTAAATTTGAATAAAAGAAATCAATTTTGTTGCATTAATCCAAGCAAAAATCCTGAAATTCACTTTCTTTAGGAGGATGTCAGTCCATTTGTGTACTACTATGTAATAAAATGCCACAGATTGAGTAATGCTTAAAGATAATACATATATTTTTTCATAGTTCTGGAGGCTGTAAAGTCTAAGATTAAGGCACCAGCAAGTAGGGTGCCTCATGAGGGCCTGTTCCCTACTTCCAAGATAGCACCAAGTTGTTGTGTCCTCACAAGTCAGAAGAAAGGAATGGGAAGAAATTCACTCTTTCTAACCCTTTTATAAGAACCCTAATCCTAACCTTGAGGGGCTCTGTTTTCATTACTTAATCACCTCTTAAAGGCCCAACATGTTAATACTACCACATTAGCTATTAAGTTTCAACACACGAATTCAGCCAAACACATTCAGATCATAGCAGAGAGCTTAATTCTTGTGCTGACTCTGAATTAATAGTGGATAAACTTAGCTGAGGATTACTTGCTACTCCCCTGGGCCCACAGTGAGAATCTACGTTCCACAAATAGCTTGAGTTAAGAATGTGGCGTGATAGTATCGTCCTAAAACCTCAGAGTACTATTGCCTACTCAGGAATGGAGAGTAATTTCTGAGTGCTATGGCTGACACTGTTGGCTATGGGAAAGCTATGCTGAAGAGGTAAAGATCCAACAAGGCCACTGAAACATTGGAAGAACAAATAGCTGGTGTTCTTCATTTTTCATGGAGTACCTATGGGGCCCCTTTGTCTCCCTAGCTGCACAGAAAAGTTCCCAGTCACGATTTCTTTCCACCTCAAACACAGGTGTCTTTCTACTTCTTTTCCTGAAGGCTCTCTCCAATGCCATGGTAGCTTAATCAACCCAAGGTCAGGGTAACTCACAAGTGCAGAAGAGTGAATTCCTCCAGGGGCAATCCTCAGATAGTAAGCTATGGAATTTAGTAGATAAGTGTTCCAGTTTCCTGTTCCACAGTGGGGTAATTTTGAGGTGTATAAGATTCCTCAGAAGATCCCTATGGAACTAAGTTCTAGTTGCCCTTGGCAAAAACCTATTCACCACATATCCTTTGCTGACCTTTTTCTTTTCTTCCTGTTTTTACTTTTCCCACTAGAATTACTTTACAAATATACTGCCTGCACCCAAATCATTGTCTCAAGGTCTGCTTTCAAGAAAAACTTAATTAAATAATAGAGTCTTTTGAAGACCTTCCAGTTCAATTTCCCTCCTTTACTGGCAAGAAATTAAAGACCCACCAGGGGGTAAAAGTAGCCAGCACCACTAAATCTGAATCAGAACTGGATTTTTTGCCTTCCTTGTCAAACCCACTGTCTCTGCATTCCATGTATCTGGAAAGTGGCAATTGCCTCCTAAGTAGTTATTATTTGTACTTCTAGGCATGCTTCTCTTCACACTGTCTCCAAAGTAATGCTAAAGTTGTTTTCAAAAGCACTAACTGAAATATGCTCTTGCTGTCTCCTTAGTATAAGATTGTTGTGACAATAAAGATATTGAAGAAAGAAAAGTTCTTGTCAATGTTGGATATTAAATGAACAGTAAATGTTACATCTGTTATTATTATTAGTTATTATTCAGAATATACAGATCACATTTCTCTCTGAATAAAACTAATTTTCTTGTTATGGCACATAAGGTCCTCCTAAATCTGATTCTTAAGGACCTCTGTGGATCAACTCCTTCTGACTCATGATTGCTCTTCTATTCTCCTACATATGGAATCATTTTCACGCCCCTGAACTTGCCATTCAATTTTAAGATTCAAGGTTTTTCTGTAATATAGGTCCTCTGCCTATACTGTACTTCTTTAATTCTTTGATGGATATATCTTTTATTCCCACATAACTCAACTCAAGCATGTGCTTGTGAAGCCATCCCTAACTGATGTAATGATGATCTCGTCCTTCTCTGCCTTAACACAGGATTCTAGGAAAACATCTAAAAATGCCATCATTGGTTTACAATTTGTCCTCTATAATGGGCTTAAACTTTTAAGAACAGAAATTTTAAACCTTGTCTCTGTATCAACCAGCATACTTTTGGTTTATATAAAGTGTGTTGTAAATGAGTGATATACAAATAAATTAATGACAAACTTAGGCTTATGATTACAGTTCCTGCAAACTATGCCAATATTTTATATATCTTTGGTTATATCAATAGCTTAAATATTAACATAGGATAAGGGGTAGAAGAGGATTATGTATGCATAACTAAAAAATAAATAAGTAAATGCATTTATATAAATGTATAAAACAACTATATTAGAAGAAATTTCTTGCAAAATATTAATCAACAACATGATGTCTTTGACAAAGAGACATTTATTTTACCTTGCCAGTCAGGCCAAATCCCTCCAATTGCATTCTTGCCCTCCACCTACATCTTTGACCACAACCACTTAGATATCTGAATTACTTATATAATAAAAGGAACTATTTAATTATTAAATCTGCCCTTCAAACTGCAAAAAGGAAGTATGTACCTATGTAACTACATTGAATTAAAGCAAGCTTGTCTAAGGGGGTCAGTTTTATTTGGGAAAGCATGAGTGGCAGGGACCCTCTCCAAGGACCTGGACAGAAGTTTCATTGCTCCCATAAGCTGACCTAAACTGCTTCAATAATATATTTTATGGCTCTAAGTAGGAACGATTTTGATCATATATTAATGTCAAAGCGTTTGCTTCTATGCTTCCCATTGGTAATGGCTCTTTATGGTTTCCTCCATCCCATTTATGAAAAAGTTGTTCTCAAGTTTTCAGATATAATTTCATTTTAACTTAATTAAAAATAACATTTCATATAAGAATTATAAAAGGGCACCAAAGTGAAAAATTGAAAGCAGGATTCCAAGAAATACAATTTTAAAACACATTACCAAAGCAATATATGCTGCTTATAACAATTTGATAATATGGAAAAAAAATTAAATATAACTCACCTGCATTTCTACCGTATTATTCTGAGGGTTTAAGTCCTTAATTCCTTCCTTCCTTTCTTCTTTTTTTTTTCCTTTTTAACAGATAAGCCCAACTTTGTATAATACATTTCACTAAAGTCACCTAGCGTAACAAAAGCATTTTTCATGTTTGAAATATTAACATTATCTTGAAAATCTACATGATAATCAACTAAGAAATCAGTAATAATAATTTATCTCTTCATAAGTTTTCTGTTGAGCATTTGATCTAATTCCTCTTATTAATGATGCTAAGTTGAATGTCTCTAGGGATTTAGGTTTTTTTGAATAAGATTTTGTATTTATTTTGGTACAATTTAGTTATTGTTCTTGTGTATTTAATATTCTAATATATCTCAGAAAAGTAAATTGTGTTTTTATCACAACAATTTTGATTGTACTGTAGAAGTTATTTTATGTGCTACTGCATACTTAAAGCTTTTATTTTCTATTTTTTTAACATTTCAGCTCTGTTTTTGTGTTTCAAACTAATTTATTAAATATGTCCAAGTGCTTTTGGACATTTTGAAACATTCAATTCAATTTAGATCTAACAACTTTGCTTAGCTTTCTGTTTTTTGTTTGTTTTTTGTTTTTTGTTTTAGAATATTATCAGCGGAGTTTGCAGTGAGCTGAGATCGTGCCACTGCACTCCAGCCTGGGCGACAGAGTGAGACTCTGTCTCAAAAAACAAACAAACAAAAAAACAAATAAAAAAACTTTTTATTTTAGGTTCAGGGATACATGTGCAGATTTATTATATAGGGAAACTTGTGTTATGGGGCTTTGTTGTACACATTATTTCATGATGCAGGACTAAGCCTAGTAGTTCTTTTTTCTGCTCCTCTCACCCTCCACCCTCTGATATGTCCCAGGGTATGCTGTTCCCCTCCATGTGTACATGTGTTCTCATCATTTAGCTCTCACTTTTAAGTGAAAACACATGGTATTTGGTTTCTTGTTTTTGTATTAGCTTGCTAAGGATAATGACTTCCAGCACCATCCATGTTCTTGCAAGGACACGATTGTGTTCTCTTTTATGGAAGCATAGTATTCCATGTATGTGTTCCACATTATCTTTACTTGTTCTTACAGTCATGAACATTTAGGTTAATTCCATGTCTGTGCTGTTGTGAATAGTGCTGCAGTGAATATATATGTGCATGTGTCTTTATAATAAAATGATTTATATTCCTTTGGGTATATACCCAGTAATGGGATTGCTAGGTCGAATGAAATTTCTGTTTTTAGCTCTTTGAGGAATTGCCACACTGTTTTCCACAATGGTTGAACTAATTTACATTCCCAAGAGTGTATGAACATTCCCTCTTCTCCACAACCTCACCAATATCTATTATTTTATGAAGTTTTAATCATAGTCATTCTGACTGGTGTGAGATGGTACCTCATTGTGGTTTTGATTTGTGTTTCTCTAATTACCAGAGATGTTGAGCTGTTTTTCATATGCTTGTTGGCCACATCTATGTCTTCTTTTCAAAAGTGTCTGTTGCCCACTTTTTAATGGGATTGTTTGTTTTTTTTCTTGTAAATGTGTTTAAGTTCCTTATAGATGCCGGATATTAGACCTTTGTCAGATGCAGGGTTTGCAACAATTTTCTCCCATTCTGTCTGTTGTCTGTTTACCCTGTTGATAATTTGTTTTGCTATGCACAAGCTTTTTAGTTTAATTAGAACTCATTTGTCAGTGTTTGCTTTCGTTGTAATTGCTTTTGGCACCTTCATCATGAAACCTTTGCCACCTTCATCATGAAACCTTTGCCAGTTCCTGTATCCTAAATGGCATTTCCTAGGTTGTCTTCCAGGGTTTTATAATTTTGGGTATTATATTTAAGTCTTTAACCCATCTTCAGTTGATTTTTGTATATGATGTAAGCAAAGAATCCAGTTTCAATTTTCTGCATATGGCTAGCCAGTTATCCCAGCTATGGAATAGCTATCCATTTATGGAATAGGGAGTCCTTTCCCCATTGCTTGTTTTTGTCAGCTTTAGAAGATCAAATGGTTGTAGGTGTGCAGCTTTATTTCTGGGATCTCCATTTTGTTCCATTGGTCTATGTATCTATTTTAGTGCCAGTACTATACTGTTTTGGTTACTCTAGCCCTGTAGTATGGTTTGAAGTTAGTTAGCATGATGCTTTCTGCTTTGTTCTTTTTGCTTAGGACCTTGGCTATTCGGGCTCTTTTTTTTATTGGTTTCATATTTTAAAATAGTTTTTTTCTAATTCTCTGGAGAATGTCATTTGTGGTTTAATAAGAATAGCATTGAATGAGTAAAGTGCTTTGGGTAGTATGGTCATTTTGATGACATTGATTATTCCTAACCCCGAACATGGAATATTTTTCCATTTGTTTGTGTATTCTCTGATTTCTTTAAGCAGTGTTTTGTAATTCTCATGAGCCTGGTATCCTTTTCAATTTGTTTGTTTATCTTTAATTTTTTTATCAGTGTTTTGTATTTCTCCCTTTAGAGATTATTCAGTTCCATGGTTGAAACTATTCCTAGATATTTTATATTTTGTGTGGCTATTGGAACTGAATGATGGACTTCAGTTCTCATTTAGTTCTCAGCTTCAATGCTATTGGTTTATATAAATGCTACAGGTTGTTGTACATTGACTTTATGTCCTGCAACTCTACTGAAGTCACTTATCAAGTCCACAGGAGTCTAGGATTTTCTAGGTATACAACCATGTAATCAGTGGACAAAGATAATTTGACTTCCCCTTTTCCACTTTGGATGCTTTCTATTTCTTTTTATCACTTGATTTATCTGGCTAGGGTTTTCAGTGCTATGTTGAATTGGAATGGTGAGACTGGTCATCCTTATCTTGTTCTGGTTTTTAGGAAAATACTTTCAACTTTTCCCCATTCAGTATGATGTTGGCTGTAGGTCTGTCACATATGGCTCTTTTTATTTTGGATATTTTGCATCTATGCCTACTTAATTAAGGGTTTTTATCCTGAAGGGACATTGGATTTTATTGAATGCCTTTTCTGCCTCTATTGAGAGGATCATATCGTTTTTGTTCTTAGTTCTGTTTATGTGGTGGATCGAGTTTATTGATTTGTGCATGTTGCAGACTATTTGATCATGGTAAAGATCTTTTCAATGTACTGTTGAATTTGTTTTGCCAGTATTTCGTTAAGGACTTTTGCATCTATGTTCATCTAGGATACTGGCCTGTAATTTTCTTTTCTTTTTCTTTTTTTTTTTTTTGTTCTTGGCTGATTTTGGTATCAGGATGATACTGAATTTGTGGAATGAGTTAAAGAGGGATGCCTCCTCTTTGATTTTTTGGATTAGTTTCAGTAAGATTCATACCAGCTGTTCTGTGTATTTCTTGTAAAATTCGGCGGTGAATCCATCTGGTCCTGGGCTTTTTGTTGTTGAAAGGATTTTTTTTATTACTGATTCCATTTAGTAACTTATTATAGGTATTCTCAGGATTTCTATTTATTCCTAGCTAAATCTTGAGAGGCTATATGTTTCCAGGAATTTATCCCTTTTCTCTAAGTTTTCTAGTTTGTGTGCATAGAGGTGTTTGTAGTAGTCTCTGATGATCTTTTGTATTTACCTGGTATCAGTTATGATGTCAGCTTTATAATTTCTGATAGTACTTATTTGAATTTTCTCTTTTTTCTTGGTTAGTCTAGCTACTGACCTGCCAATTTTGTTTATCTTTTCAAAAAACCAACTTTTTCTTTTCATTAATCCTTCATATGATTTTCTTGATCTCAGTCTCATTTAGTTCTTGTCTGATCTTTGCTATTTCATTTCTTCTGCTACATTTAGTTTTTTTTTTCTTATTTGTCTATTTGTTTGAGATATGACATTAGCTTGTTAATTTGAGATCTGTTTTTTTGATGTTTGTGTTACAAACATTCCTCTTAGCATTGCTTGTGCTGTAACTCAGAGGTTTTGGAATGGATTTTTTTTTCTATTTTCACTCATTTCAAATACTTTTTAAGGTTTCTGCCTCAATTTTCTCGTCCATTGAAAAGTCATTCTTGAGCAAGTTTTTAATTTCCATATACTTGGGTAGTTTTGAGAGTTCTTCTTGGTTTTGATTTCTGATTTATTCCACTGTAGTCCAAGAAGATATTTGATATGATTTTGATTTTTGTGACTTGAGACTTGCCTTATGGCCAAGGATATGGTCTATTTTGGTGAACATTCTAAGTGCAGATAACAAGAATGTATATTCTGAAGTTGTTGGATAGAATGCTCTGAAGATGCCTATTATGTCCATTTGGTCTATAGTCCAGTTTAAGTCCAGAGTTTCTTTGTTGATTTCCTGCCTTGTTGATCAAGCTAGTGATGTCAGTGGGGGTGTTGAAGTCTTCTGCTATTATTGTATTGCTATCAACCTGCTTTTTATGTCTAGTGTAGTATTTGTTTAATGAATCTGGGTGCTCAATGTTTGGAGCATATACATTTAGAATAGTTAAATCTTCTTGTAATTTTGAACCATTTATCATTATATAATACATTTCTTTGTGTTTTTTCACTGTTGTTAAAGTCTGTTTTATCTGAAGAGAATAGCTACTTCTGCTCACTTTTGTTTCTCATTTGTGTGATGTATATTTTCCGTACTTTTAACTTTGAATCTGAAAGTGTCTTTAGCCGGTAGGTGGGTCTCTTGTAGACAGCAGATGGTTGAGTCTTCTTTTTTTTCTGATCCAATTTGCCATTCTGTGTCTTTTAAATGGGGAATTTAGGCCATTGACATTCAAGGTTAATATTGATTTGTGATGTTTTGCCCCTGATGTAGTGTTGTTAGCTTGTTGTTTTGGAGTTTCAACTATGTAGTTGCTTTATAGGATCCGTGAGCTTTATACTTATGTGTTCTTTTCTGATGATGAGTATCATCTTTTCATTTGCATGTTTACAACTCCTTTGAGCATTTCTTGTAAGACTGGTCTAGTGGTAAAAGATTCTCTTAGCAATCGCTTATCTGGGAAAGGCTTTATTTCTCCTTCATTTATGAAGCTTATTTTGGCAAGATATTTCATTCTTGTCTCGCTGTTTTCTCTTTACGGAAGCTAAAAGTAGGCCTTCAATCTCTTCTGGCTTCTAGGATTTCTGTTGAGAAGTCCATTGTTAATCTGATTGGTTTTCCTTGTAGATGATTTGATTCTTTTCTCTAGCTGCTAAATGCAGGCGCGAAGATATTTTTCTTTAACATTGACCTTGGATAGTCTGGTGACTATATGCCTTGGTGGTTTTCATTTTCTATAGTATCTTGCAGGTGTTCTCTGAATTTCTTTTGTCTGATTTTCTATCTCTCTAGCATGATTAGAGAAATTTTCTTGAATTATTCTATCAAATATTTTTCAGCTTGCTTTCTTTTCCTTCTTCTCTCTCAGGAATGCCAATAAGTCATAGGTCTGATCACTTTACATAATCCCATATTTTGTTTTTTTTTTTACATTCTTTTTTAAATTTTTGTCTAACTGGGCTAGTTCAAAAGATTGGTCTTCAAGCTCTGAAGTTCTTTTTTTTTTGGCTTGAAATAGTCTATTGTGGAAGCTTTCAATTGTATTTTGGAATTACTTAAGTGAATTTTTCAATTCCAGAAGTTCTGATTGATATTTTAAAGAAATTTATCTCTTCCTTCACTTCCTGAATTGCTTTTGTGGTTTCTTTTATTGATTTTTAATCTTGTCTTGGATCTCATTGAGTTTCCTTGCAATCCATACTTTGGATTCTTAATATTTTATTTCTCAGTTTTCATTTTGGTTAGTATCCACTGCTAGAACATTCTGATTTTGATGGTGCCAGAATTATTATACTGCTTCCTTCCCATGTGGAGTGGCTGGTACTTCAAATTTTTTATACTATTTTCATGTAGACAGGGTTTTTTTCCTTTTCCATTTTTTTTTTTTTTTGTCCTCCTCTCTTCTCCCCTCTTCAAGGGGAGTGACTATAGAATTTGTTGGGTAGGGCCTTTTGTCTTTGCCTCTGTAGCCCTACATGCCTCTTTCAGCAGGTTTTATATTAGCCTGTGCTGTTCAAAGTGCAGGCCAGTAGGTGGCACTTATAGGCAAAAGCCAGCTGTGGCACAAGCAGATGAGTAGTACTTGATCTTTGTCTACTATGGGGTGGTTTCTGTTGCTTCAGTTGATGGACAGGACAGTGGAATGCCTGGTGCCCTGAGCTTCCTCTTCAGTGGGGCAGGGGGACACAGCTGGGCTTGCTCATGAATACCCCAATAACAAACACAGGCACCAGGCCTAATGAGTATGGCTAGGGGGAGCTCCTGGTGAAATGCACTGAGGTCTTCATGGAGGGTGAGGGGACTGAGCTGGCTCCACATCTTAGAGAGGCAGTAACGTGATCTGTTTCTTTATTATACTCCAGTCCCAGGACTCATGACTATCAGTTCAAATATACACTGTAGTATATTTTAAGATATCTTTTAAAGCTATAAATATTCTTCTAAGCAATTCTTAAGTTGTACCATACAAAGTTTATGTTGTCTATTATTAGGGTTATGGTTAGATTAGGGTTTTCATTTAGTAATGTAAAGTGTCTCCTAATTTCTCTGTACTTTTTTTTCATTTATCTTGGTATTAATTAGAAGTTTTAAATGATTTGGGTAATTTTTAGATATCTTACTATTATTGCTTTCTAGTTATATTGTGTTGTGGTCAGACATCATATTCTGTAAGATTTGCTTTTAAAATATTGTGACTTTTTAAGTTTAGTTTTTTAAGCATTCTATGTGTACTTAAAAACATTGTATATTCTATATTTATTGGCTACAGGCTTCTATAAATGTTAATTTGGTCAATTTGATTAATAGTGTAATTCAAATCTTCTATATCCTTATATTTATTTGTTCTATATGTTACTAAAAGGCGGGTGTAAAAAATAAATCCATGAATGTGTATTTTCCCATTTCTTTCAATAGAACTGGTAGTTTTTGCTTCATACATTTTAAGACTTCATTATTAGGTGAATGCATATTTCAGATTGTCAATTCTTGATGAATTAATTTTTTTGTCATTCTGGTATAGGCCTTTAAATCTCTGTGAATATTATTTCTACTAAAAGCCACATTTTTTCTGTTAATATATTAATGCAGACTTTATACAAATAATTTTCATATCATGTTTTTCCATCCCTTTGCCTCTAAGCTTTTTGTGTATTTATGTTTAAATACATACAGATAACATATAATTGGGACTACTTTTACATACTGTCTAACAATTTTTATTTTTATCTGGGGTATCTAGTCAATACATATTTAATATAAAAATTGAGATATTTAGGTTAAAGAATACTGCCTTTCCATTTGTTTTGTATTTGTCTTGTTCATTTTTTAGGTCATTTGTTTTTTATTTCTGCAATTTTGTGGGATAAGGTCTTCTTTTTTCTTTGAGTTTTAATAAACTTATTTTTTTATCGTTATGTTTTTGTATTACTTTTCTGGCATTACTCTAGGAAATAAAATATACATTTTTGAATATAAAGTTAATATTGCAACTCTATATATAAAATGCAAGAAACTTTCATTTGTGTAATTGCATTTATACTTCTGTATCCTTTGTGCTATTATGACATATTTAACTTCTTTAAATACTTTCTCTTCCCCAAATACATTTTTTAAATTTTCAATTACTAACTTTTGTGGGTACATAGTAGGTGTATATACTTATGTAGTACATGACATATTTTGATACAGGCATGCAGTGCATAATAATCACATGAGGGTAAATGAGGTATCCACCACTTCAAGCATTTACCTTTTGTGTTACAAATAATCCAATTATACCTTTTAGTTCCAAAATGCAATAAAAATACTTTCTCTTAAAATTATTATTGTGTTTTAAAGGATTTAAAAGTACAAACAGGTCTCTTATGTATTCCCATATATATAACAATTCTTTAGCTCAGTTTTGTTGCTGTATAGCAAAGTTTCCATCTAGCATCCCATTCTTCGCATCATAAGGACATTAATTAGCATTTGCTGTAATGAAAAGGTGCTAGAAATGAACCCTTTGTACTTCTGATTATGTGACACTATATTTTACCCTCATTTTCAATGGATATATATTGCTAAATGTAGAATTCTAGTTTGGCAGTTTTTTTTTTTTCTTTTCCCAACACTCGAAAGATGTTCCATCATTCACTGGCCTCTATTAGTTTGACAAAAAGCAAACTGTTTTCAAATTGTAATGCACCTTTTTGTAACATCATCTTTTTCTGATGTTCTATTTTATTCTTACTAGTTTAACTACAGTGTTCCCAGATTCTCAGTGTGTTTGTTTATTCTGTTTGAGGTGCCGTGTGTGTGACCTTCTATGATCTGTGCATTTGCAGATGCATTATACCACAAAAGGTAGGTTTTTCACTATTTTAAAAAAAATCTTTGGCTTATTTTTCAGTTATTTTTATCAGTCCCACTTTTCTCTTTTCTTCTTGTGATATTCATTCGTACATGTGTTAAACTAAGAGATATTGCCCCACAGGTCAATAAAGCTCTGTTTAATATTTTTCTTTAATGTTTTATGTCCTATTAATCTGTCTTCAAGTTCACCGATTTCTTTTTTTAGTCCACAATCTTTTGCTAAGGATCTTCTGTGATTCTTTTTAAACATTTTGATATTGTACTAATCAACTATAGAATTTTTATTTGTTTCTTATTTAATGTTTCTAGTTCTATGAGATTTTTTCATCTGATCATTCACTATGCCTACCTTTTCTTATTTACTTGATTATATTTAAAACAGGCATTTTAAAGTTCTTGTCTTCTTATTCTAACTTACAAGTCATGACAGAATTGGCTTTTATTGACTTTTATTTCTCTTGTTTAAGGATAATATTTTATTTATTTCTTCACATGTCAAGTAGATTTTAATTGCATACTAGACATTGTTGATGATACATTACAGATAATGTTTTTATTACCTTTTTTTGAAAAGTATTTACTTTTGCTCCAGCAGGAATTGAATTTGAACTACCAGTAGATTTTTCTTTATCCTGTTACTCATCATCATATTATTTTTTTTTTTCTAGAGCAAGTCTACTGCATGCAGTCTTGCTTAGTTCTCTGCAGTTCTGCTTAGTTCTGTGATATTGCCTTTACTCTATAGCATGTTGCTTATTTTTAAAGTTCTGGTCTCAGCCAAATGCTCTCTTATTCAGAACATGGTAGGCGGCCTAAAATTCCAACTTCTTTCAGCAACATGTTACCTCAGGAATCTTGATGTATTTTTTATCCCAGCAACACCTACTCTCTCCTCAACCTTGCAGAGAGCCTCACCCTGTGAACAAACACTGCAGACATTAATCATGAACTTATGTGGAAGCCCTTCTTGAATTTTTATCTAACCTAACTTCCTCAGCAACTCTTTTCAGAATTCTGCCTATGAGTTTCAGCTGCTTCAGTTTCCGGGGAATCCTCTCTATGCCTACTAACATCAGAGAGATCATCACATTCTCTTGGGCTTCTCTTCCAGGGGCCACAGTCAGAAAAGTGCTCCCAGGCACAAAGCTGGGTAAAAAATCTCACATATTTCCCTTATATAAAGAATTACAGTCCTATATTGACTCTTGTCCAATGCATAAGAAAGGGTAGCTACATATATTTTGTCTACTTCTGCAGTATTTTAAAAAATTTTGAGTGGCTAAGTCTTGTATCAGTTATTCTATTTTAGGCAAAGGTGAACTATGTTTTTGAGTTTTAAAAAACGGCTCTAATTAAATATCTCACCTGCTCCTTAGGAAAATTTTCAAAGGAGTTAAGACAGGTTTCCTTCCCTAATATACCTCTACTTCAAGACTAAAAAATGGAGAGGCTATTAGAGTTGTTTTAGATATAGTATTCAAATACATATAAAATTCTTACATTTCTTAAAATTCTTAAATTTTAATCCATAACTTTTTTCATATCTTCATTTGCTTTATCTAGTACACCGTAGTGTTCTCTACGTGTGCAACACACTGTCATCTACAAATCATAATGTTAACGTTTTCATCAAAAATGATTTTAAACATTCAATTGCTGAACTTTTTACTTAATCTTCTTACTTTCTTCTAAATGTGTATATAATTAAGGCATCCTTAAAATGCTGGCTTTCTCACTATCACTTTTTTAACTTTTCCATTTTTTAAGTCTCTGACAGAAACAATAATTATTGAACCACACAGTACAGGCAGAGATGCTTATTTCTTTTTAAACAACTCTTACAGTGAAATAAAATAAAATACCTATATTAGTGTTATAATAAAAATGTGAAATTATTGAAAAGGTAAATCTTCATGTTTGTGTATGAAATTTGAGATGATGACCATATACTTTGCTTATTTTTTCTTAGTAAGTTGTTTTCTGTCTTTATTATTTTCATGAACTGCTCCTTCTTTTATTTTATCCCTCCAGCTATTAGCAACCTAAGACATTATAAATCGTTATAGTTATTTTATTTTTGTTATTTATTAAGGTAACAGCAAATTTCTTCTGTCACAAAATTCCTCCTCTCTTGCATATTCAGAAAGACTCTTAAATTCCATCACAAACAAAAACAATTTGTCCTTGGTAAAGATTACATTCAATGCAAGTGGTCTGCAAATTGTATCCCAAAAAACTGTAGGGGGTAATTGCAATTTCCCTGCAAGTAAACAAATTCTTCTGTCTCATACCCTAGTTTCTAGGGATTTACCGTCAGTAGGTTTCACAGCATTGAGCTAGAAATACATAATGAAATGGAGGAAATAAAGAACCATTTAACTTATACTGATCAAGGAATAGAATCATATTTTTCTGCACTACTGCTATTTCTCAGCAGGTTACATATGTACAAGCTGATATACATTGCAGATCCCACAGGCTCTTGAAACTTAAAGACCTCAGTGTCCTTGGCCTGCTTATGACTTACAAGAGATATAAATATGGTTTGGGGATTAGGGATAGAGGCATTGCATGTTGCAAATTTTAAATTGTCAATTAAACAGCATCATTGAATTCTGAATAGAACTGCCAAGGGCATGTTCGTCTAAAAAAGGGTGGATTAACACAGACAGTCCCCAATGACATTTAAGATACATATCTGTGATTTAGGACACTTGAGGATGTGTATCTGAACAATGTGACCACATTTAAAGTGCTGAAAGCAATTTTTGTCTTAGTAAACTGAAAAATCCTCAAACAAAGTAAAACTCTCAAGATATACTTAACTTTGTAAACTGTTTGTCAGCAGCATTTGCATTCACTATTCATACATGTGATATTAAGCAGGTACAAAAATACAGGTCCCTTGTCTGTAGTTGTATTGAATATAAAAATAAAAGACTGACTGCCATTTCCGTGCTTCTGTGGCCTGATTGTTTGGTGAAGATGGTTTATTTGCTTTTTTGAGAATAGAGATTAGCAAGTAGAAAAGTATAAACTATTTAGCTGACAAAGATTTTGGAGTGTTTCATGTTTCTACTTACTATTCATACTAATTGTGTTTTCTTTCACAAAGAGATATAATAAATATAAAAATACAAAAAATAACATCTGCAAAATCAAAATCATAATCTGTGAGCTTCTAAAAAAGGCTAAAAGTTTTCCTGTTTTATTCTCTTAGGAACTTCTAATACCATTCTTTCCATGAATTGAAGAAAATTGATAACATTTATTTTTAACAATGTTAATTAAATTTTCACTTGTATTTGTATAATTCAGTGACATCACAATGATATAAATAGTACATACATGATATATGATAATAATATCTATGTCGTGTGCACACACACACATGCACACATATACACACACACACACACCACAATGTGATGAATTATTTGCTCTCTGCAGTGAAAAGCATTAATACATAATTTAAAGTAGTTTTCAAGGAGATTATGAAAATGTAATTCTTAATAAAAATTAGCTTCAATATTTCAAAAATATATTTTTATATTCATGTAAAGAACATTGATTTCTTTATATTCTAATGTCTATGATTTATAATGCCTCATGAAATCAAAATTTTTGGGAAAAGTGTTTTACCTTTATAATGTTGGCATTGATGACAAAACAAGTATGATCTTTTGGGACTGTAACAAAAAGCTAGAGAGGTCACTAAAGAAAGAAAGCAGTGATGATCTTTATTTATAGAACATTAGACTGCATCTTTAGTTTTCCTCATTGAACCACATCCTGGTGTTTACACACTGATAGACACTTGTCTCTGTGACTTTGGCCACATCTTATGACCAGCTTTTACCAATAGAATGCAGCAACATTGACACTCCTCCGGTTTCAGAATAAAAACTTAAGAAAGTCTAGCAGTTTCCACTTTTCTTGAAAGCCAGCCATATTGTAAGAAGTTCAACTACCCTTAGATCACCATGTTGTGAGGAAGCTCAGGCAGCGGCAAGGTGATTTACAAATGGTGGGGAACTAAAGCCCTTTGCTACTAGCACCAACTGAATTCTCAGCCAGAAGCCAGGATCAGTTATCAGTCATGTGAGTGATGACATTTTAGACTTTCCTTTCGTGCCACAGTCTCAGCAGAAATGATGCAATAAAACAGTAGAACTCACTAGTCAATCCAAAAGAACTGTCATAAATAATACATTGTTATTTTAAGCTACTAAATTTTGGATTGGAAAAACTTTAACAATTGTCATAGAGAAAAAATATAGATACAGTTACCATATTAGTTAAAAATTTGCTTCAATTCATTTTAGTTGAAGCATTTAAGTACCAAACACACAGGAATTTTACCAGAAGGCTTCAGGCCTACCAAAACTTTTCTTGATGCCTGAAGCCTTACAAGAGCCAGATAAATCAGGGTCACCTGAGAAAAATGACTGTCGCCTGGGTAGGCTAACAAAACTTTTTTTTTTTTTTTTTGAGACGGAGTCTTGCTTCGTTGCCCAGGCTGGAGAGCAGTGGCGTGATCTTGGCTCACTGCAAGCTCTGCCTCCCAGGTTCATGCCATTCTCCTGCCTCAGCCTCCTGAGTAGCTGGGACTACAGGCGCCCGCCACTACGCCCGGCTAATTTTTTGTATTTTTTTAGTAGAGATGGGGTTTCACCGTGTTAGCCAGGATGGTCTCGATATCCTGATCTCGTGATCCACCCGCCTCGGCCTCCCAGAGTGCTGGGATTACAGGCGTGAGCCACCGCGCCCAGCCACAAAACATTTTTATGCTTACTGTATGAAAGGAACAGCAAGATACAATAAAATGTAATTTTAGAAACAATTTGCTATCCTCCTCTAAATATTCAAAAAATTATTTGCTTATAAAATTCTGCTAGAAATTTTTATTCATAATAATTTTTCAAATGAGAAACAAAAAATCTTGAATTTAAATTTATAATTTCTATATTTAAGTTCAAAACAGTTTTGTCATTCATTCTTAGCCTTCCTCCCAGATCTAGAGCTCAGTACTTATATAACTGCAATAATCTCTCTACCTACACTTCTTCCCATCAACATTCATTTTTGTATATCACTAAGTTAATCTTTATGTAGATAATATCTTATCATGGTATTTTCTTTGCCCAAAGACCTATACTAGCATCCACTTTATCACAGAATAAAATCTAAAATCATGTGTAAATGGTCACATGAGTGATATATAGATTTTTTTTATATATAGTGGTGTAATATATAAGTGTGTATATCTTATGTGTGTCTGAGTGTGTATACATACCTCTATTGCCTTCATAGTCAGTCAATTCAAACCAGAACACTGGGGCTTCTTGCTGTTCTCTGAACGTAAAAGACTCATTTTCACATTTTGTCTTGTCTTTGATTACAACTCATTCTTTAAGTAAAATATCCTCCAACAAGTCATCTTGTTGCTACCTGTCAAAAACATTTTTTTGTACACAGTGGTCTTCAGTTAAGTATCCTTAAAAGAAGGAGGAAAATTAATGTAACCACAGTACATTTAAACTTGATTTTAAAAGTCATCATAAATTCAAATATATGAAAATGATAGAATTTCCAGAATATCGTATGTGTTGCTATTGTCAAATAAAATGTTGAGGTAAGAATTTAAAGAGCATCCAAAGTAATCTAAATATCTATTGATTTTTAAATCCACCCTTACACATTTTAAATATAAATATGTTTCTCCCTAATCATTAGAATTTTGCATCATATTTTACTCATAAATTCATATTTCTGCCTCACTTGTCTCACAATGTATGTTTTCTAATATTATATAGTACATTTTTACTTGAATTATAATTAAAAAATAAAACACAAGGCTTCTACTCTGTCATGAAGAAGTAACTCACAGGAGATTTGTCCTCTCATCATTAAAAAAATAAATAAATGAACACAATTTTAAAAATAACATTGGACAGCCGGGCGCGGTGGCTCACGCCTGTAATCCCAGCACTTTGGGAGGCTGAGGCGGGCGGATCACGAGGTCAGGAGATCGAGACCATCCCGGCTAAAACGGCGAAACCCCGTCTCTACTAAAAATACAAAAAATTAGCCGGGCGTAGTGGCGGGCGCCTGTAGTCCCAGCTCTTGGGAGGCTGAGGCAGGAGAATGGCGTGAGCCCGGGAGGCGGAGCTTGCAGTGAGCCGAGATCCCGCCACTGCACTCCAGCCTGGGCGACAGAGCGAGACTCCGTCTCAAAAAAAAAAAAAAAAAAAAAAAATAACATTGGACATTGGGTATTACAAGAGTGTAATACCTGGAAAAAGAGAAACAAAGGGATTTTCTAGTAATTTAAAAGTAAAAATAATAAAAAGTCACCTATATGATGTCTACAATTAAATGCACTTATTATTTAAATTAAAATTTAGACTTTACAAATGGAAGAAAAAATTGTTTAAACCCTGATTATGAGACATCCAAACTCACCATGTTATTGTAAGACAAAGTGGCAGTTATGATATAGTACTAAGATAAAGGAGTGTTTAGTGATGAAATAACTAGTTTCAAAAGTATACTCTTAAAATATGTAAAAATACAAAATATGTGTATACAAAACAATAAAGCAAAATATAAGAAGAAAAACTCGAGACCACTTTCAGGAGAAATGGAAAAATCCATAATAATTGTTGAACAATTCAAAATTAATCAGTAGAAGTACACCAATAACTAATAAACATATAGAAGACCTAGACAACACTATCAACGATTTGACCTACTTGACATTTGTAGAACATCATAGCTAACAACAGAATTCACAGTCTATTCAATTGCCTATGGAACATTTACCAAAGTATATTATATTTGGAGTCAGAGAACAAAGTTTGAAATAATACAAAGCATGCTCTCTGATCGAAATGAATACAAATTAAAATCAGAAACAATAATGAATCTAGATTATTCACAAATGTTTAGAAATTAATACCCTTCAAATAATACATTTCATATGAGAAAATCATAAAAAAATTAGGAAACATTTTGCATTAAATGAAAATAAATTCACCA
Source organism: Homo sapiens (assembly GCF_000001405.40). NCBI lineage: Eukaryota > Metazoa > Chordata > Mammalia > Primates > Hominidae > Homo > Homo sapiens. The sequence goes on along the minus strand of NC_000005.10, from coordinate 104,403,720 downwards.
AGATATATTTGTGTAACGCAGCTAAAACAGTGCTTAGAAGACAGTTACAGCTTTAAATATTTATATCTGAAAAGAAAAAAGGTCTAAAATCAATGTCCTAAGCTTCCATCATGAGACTCTAGAATAAGACGATCAAAGTCAATCTAAAGCTAGTAGAAAGAAGGAAATAATAAAGCTGAGGGTATAAGTCAACAAAATGGAAAACAGAAAAGCAATAGAGAAGAAAAAAATGAAACTAAAACAGGTTCATAGTTAAAAAAGCAACAAAATTTATAACATTCTAGCTAGACTGATAAAAAGCAAAATAAAAAGGACAGTATCAAATTTAAGAGAAACCATCACTTCAGATTATTCCGACATTACAGTGTAAAAAGGCTGTATTGTGAATAATTTTGTGGTAATAAATTCAACTACTTACATGAAAACTGCAAATTTCTTGGAAAGCGCAAGTTGTCAAAGTTGTCAAAGAATAAATAAAAAAGCTGAATTGCCCTATATGTTTTACAAAACTTGAGTCTGCAATTCATGATAGTCCCTCAAAGGAAACTTTGAGTCCAGATGGCTTTTTTATTGAAGTCTATCAACACGAAAAAGGACATAGTGCCAAACCTACACAAAATCTTCTGGAAAATAAAGAAGGAACTACCTTTTAGCTCATTTTATGATGTCATTGAAAGAAAAGATAGCTACAGGTCAATATTTTTTAGGAACACAGATGCAAATATCCTTAATGAAATATTAGCAATTTTAATCCAACAATATATAAAAATATCATACATCTTGACTAAGTCAAACTATTATTTCAGCAACTGCAGAAAAAAACATTTCACCAAATTGACCACTCTACCTTGACAAATGCCAAATTTAACAAATAGCATGAAAAGTATATGCAAATCTTACTGACCTATCTATAAATAAGCAGGTGTAATGTAAATTAATTAATTAATATTTTATTTATTGTACTTGAAATTTTCACGTTATTTTCAAAATTAACTTTAACTTTTAGTGAATCTCAAATCAAATTTCATTAGGGGCTGCAGGATGTTATTATAAATATTAATCACTTATAATTATGCTTTAAAATATACTAAAAGTATGAATCATTCATGATTATTTTGAAACCATTGATGGTAAACAACAGTAAATATTTCAACCAAATATAATTATGAACATATATTTATTAAGGCCAAAAGAGAAAATTAAGCTTTTTATGATATATAACCAAATATCAGAAATAAAAAATATCCTAATGTCTCAGATTTAACATAATTTTCAGAAATACCAATAAAGTGCCAGGGTGGCTCAACATATCCCTCTACTAGGAGCTCAAAACTTTATTAAATGAATACTATAATGTAAACTCCTTGAAGACACAAATTGCATCTTTTATAACCTTCTATCTAATTGTAAAACAACGTAAGTACTGAACGATTTTAAAGCTACAGCTTAATCTAAAACCATATGACACAATTTTGTTTGTTTATTTTGTTTTGATTTGATTCTTTTTAAAATATTCCAAATAGAAAATCCACTTAATTCTAGAATAAACCTCACTTGCATCTTGTATTGTTTACTAGTCTGTGACTTGTTGCTGGCTTATCTTTTATTCCATGGATTTAATTCTATCCAATAGGCACCTGAGCACTCACAATATATTGAACAGGACACTACCTTTTATTCCAGTGGGCCCCTAAGTTGCTATATTAAAGTTTTAGCAAGAGCTTGGGAAAAAAAAAAACACTTTGACTTCATCATTATTTTTAAATCATAGAGCAACAACCTAAATGTTCATGAAGTTGTACAGGAGATGAAATATGACAAAACAAAGCAGCCCCAGGGAATTTGTAGTCAAGTAGCTCTGACATTTCTAGTATTAAACAAAACAAAAGCATGACTTGTCTAGTTTCTTTGATGTTTACCTATGAGATGTAATTAATGTTTTCATTCAAACACTTTTCACATGATTTAGCACAGCCTGATTCATGATTTTAAATCCATCTGTACACGACACAATTGTTGTAAACTGATTTACCCTATGCAAGCCAAAATATAACTGCAGTGATGCTTACAGAGTATGCATTCTTGTTCCTGAGGCATTAGTTTCTTCATTTCCCCCATTGATTATTTGATTACAAGCAGAGAGGAAATTTTGTATTCTGTAGATAATTGAAATTTATAAACTGACAGGTAAATAAGTTTACAATATGAAAGGCAAGGAAGGAATTCTGAGAGAAATGGAATATTTTGGGTAGGCTTTTAAAATAAACTCAACCCTTTATTTCCACCTTTTCTATTCTTCTCTGCTTAGAAAACAGTACTCCATGGAAGTTGTCCGTGAAATTGAACCATGCATCATAACATACTGTTCTAGCCAGGCCAGTCACTGCCTAGGTGCCCAAGAGAAGATTCCCCACTGCAAATTCAAACTGCATGACAAGTAAAGAATCACCCTGTCAGGATTTCACCCTAGCTCACACAAATTGACAAAAATTTTCTGAATTACACTCTTCCAGGGCTCCTGCATTGACAGGAGGCAGTCAAGCCTGACAGCCCTTTCCCTCTTGTCTGTTATCGTGAAATCAATTGCACAGCCTGATGCACAGAATAATGGCTGTGGACAATTCTGTAGGAGTTGGCCCATCTGGTCACTGAGGAAGACGGCATTGCCGGCTTCCTATTGATCTGGGAGGAGCATGCTGCTACACAGAGGTGACTTCCATCTCTCCACCTGGCCCTGCTATTGAGGAAATCAGTTTCACAAGTGTGCTCACTCAAATGAAAACAATTTTGAACCAAGGCGTATCTATCTTTGTTTTTAATTAAGAGCTCATGTCTCCATGGGATTAAATAGTCAGGTATAAGCAAAAGAAATGGTATGAATTTTATGTATCCGAAAACTCATTTTGGGTAAGTCCCCTAGTTAAAGCCTTGCAAAGATTAGACATTTAAATAAAGGAAAAAATGAAGTTGCCTACTTTATGAAACCCCATATATGCCACCTTTGAAGAAAAATATATTAGTGAAATATTATTTTTATTAGCAAAATTGACTAATGTTACTGAACAATTATTTCCCAAGTTGGTTCTCCCAGCGAAATGATCGATTTATACTTAATTGTTTGAAGTGGATTGCACAGCCTATCTGTTATACATTTTAAAAGAATTACATTACTGGTGAATTATAACAAATGGACCCTGAGTCTATGACAGCTACAAAGTGCCCCTGACTTCTTTATTGGAAAGCAAGAAGAATGCAAGGAAACAAGAATCTGAGAAAATGAAAAATCAAGAAAGCAATAGTGCTTCTATGCTCAGACAAAAACCTCCACATGGAGGTTTTTAGCAGTTTTACTGTAAAAACTTAAAAGCAGCCAAGTTGTCCTTCAGTAGGTCAACGTATAAGTAAACCATGGTACATCTAGACAATAGGATATTATTGTGTTGTAAAAAGAGATGAGTTTTCAAGTCTTGAAAATACATTTAGGAGCCTTAAATGCATATCACTAAGTGAAAGAAACTAACTTGAAAAGGCTGTGTACTATATGATTCCAACAATATGGCATTCCGTAAAAGGAAAAACTCTGAAGACAGTAAAACATCTCTAGTTGCCAGGGGCTAAAGTTGAATATTCAGAGCACAGGATTTTTAGGTCAGCAGAACTACTTTGTATGATATGACAAAGATGGATGCAAGAATGTGAGAAAATGAAAAATCAAGAAAGCAAAGACAGCAAGCAAGCAAGAAGACTGATTTTTATATATTTTTTCCATTTATTTTTATTCTGCATTTTTTTATTATTATACTTTAAGTTCTGGGATACATATGCAGAACATGCAGGCATGTTACATAGGTATACATGTGCCATGGTGGTTTGCTGCACCCATCAACCCATCTTCTACACTAGGTATTTCCCCTAATGCTATCCCTCCCCTTCCCCCGAGCCCCCCGACAGGCCCTGGTGTGTGATGTTCCCTTCCCTGTGCCCATATGTTCTCATTGTTCAACTCCCACTTAGGAGTGAGAACATGCAGTATTTGGTTTTCTGTTCCTGTGTTACTTTACTGAGAGTGACGGTTTCCAGCTTCATCCATGTCCCTGCAAAGGACATGAACTCATTCTTTTTTTATGGCTGCATAGTATGCCATGGTGTATATGTGCCACATTTTCTTGATCCAGTCTATCATTGATGGGCATTTGGGTTGGTTCCAAGTTTTTGCTATTGTGAACAGTGCTGCAATAAACATATGTGTGCATGTGTCTTTATAGTAGAATTATTTATAATCCTTTGGGTATATACCCAGTGATGGGACTGCTGCATCAAATTGTATTTCTAGTTCTAGATTCTTGAGGAATCGCCACACTGTTTCCACAATGGTTTAACTAATTTACACTCCCACCAACAGTGTAAAAGCATTCCTATTTCTCCGCATCCTCTCCAGCATCTGTTGTTTCCTGACTTTTAAATGACTGCCATTCTAACTGGCGTGAGATGATATCTCATTGTGGTTTTGATTTGCATTTCTGTAATGAACAGTGATGATGAGGTTTTTTTAATGTGTTTGTTGTCCACATACATGTCTTCTTTTGAAACGTGTCTGTTTATATCCCTTTCCCACTTTCCAATGGGGTTATTTTTATCTTGTAAATTTGTTTAAGTTCCATGTAGATTCCGGATATTAGCCCTTTGTCAGATGGATGAATTGCAAAAATTTTCTCCCATTCTGTAGATTGCCTGTTCACTCTGATGATAGTTTTGTTTTTGTTTTTGTTTTCTGTGCAGAAGCTCTTTAGTTTAGTTAGATCCCATTTGTCAGTTTTGGCTTTTGTTGCAGTTGCTTTTGGTGTTTTAGTCATGAAGTCTTTGCCCATGCCCATGTCCTGAGTGGTATTTCCTAAGTATTCTTCTAAGATTTTATGGTTTTAGGTCTTACATTTAAATCTTTAATCCATCTCGAGTTAATTTTTTATAAGGTGTAAGAAAGGGGTCTAGTTCAGTATTCTGCATATGGCTAGCCAGTTTTCCCAACACCATTTATTAAATAGGAAATCCTTTCCCCATTGCTTGTTTTTGTTGGATTTGTCAACGTTCAGATGGTTATAGATGTGTGGTGTTATTTCTGAGGCCTCTGTTCTGTTCCATTTGTCTATATATCTGTTTTGGTACCAGTACCATACTGTTTTGGTTACTGTAGACTTGTAGTATAGTTTGAAGTCAGGTAGTGTGATGCCTCCAGCTTTGTTCTTTTTGCTTAGGATTGTCGTGGCTACATGGGCTCTTTTTTCGGTTCCATATGAAATTTAAACTAGTTTTTTTCTATTTCTATGAAGAAAGTCAATGGTAGCTTGATGTGGATAGCATTGAATCTATAAATTACTTTGGGCAGTATGGCCATTTTCATGATATTGATTCTTCCTATCCATGAGGATGGGATGTTCTTCCATTTGTTTGTGTCCTCTCTTATTTCCTTGAGCAGTGGTTTGTAGTTCTCCTTGAAGAGGTCCTTCACATCCCTTGTAAGTTGTATTCCTAGGTATTTTATTCCTTTGTAGCAATTGTGAATGGGAGTTCACTCATAATTTGGCTCTCTGTTTGTCTATTATTGGTGTATAGGAATGCTTGCGATTTTTGCACATTGATTTTGTATCCTGAGACTTAGATGATTTGTTTATCAGCTTAAGGAGTTTTGGGGCTGAAACAGTGGGGTTTTCTACATATACAATCATGTCATCTGAAAACAGAGATAATTTGATTCCTCTCTTCCTATTTAAATACTCTTTATTTCTTTCTCTTGCCTGATTGCCCTGGCCAGAACTTCCAATACCATATTGAATAGGAGTGGTGTGAGACGGCATCCTTTTCTTGTGCCAGTTTTCAGAGGGAATGCTTCCAGGTTTCCCCATTCAGTATGATATTGGCTGTGGGTTTTTCATAAACAGCTCTTATTATTTTGGTATGTATTCCATCAATACCTTCTCCTCGAGAAGAGCAACCCCAGGACACATAAATTTCCCTCAAAACACTGCTTTAGCTGTGTGCCAGAGATTCTGGTACAATGTGTCTTTGTTCTTACTGGTTTCAAATAACTTATTTATTTCTGCCTTAATTTCGTTATTTACCCAGTAGTCATTCAGGAGAAGGTTGTTCAGTTTCCATGTAGTTGTGCAGTTTTGAATGAGGTTCTTAATTCTGAGTTCTAATTTGATGGCACTGTGTTCTGAGAGACTGTTATGATTTCAGTGCTGAGAAGAATGTACTTCTGTTGATTTGGGGTGGAGAGTTCTTTGGATGTCTACTAGGTCTGCTTGGTCCAGAGCTGAGTTCAAGTCCTGAATATCCTTGTTAATTTTTCTGTCTCATTGATCTGTCTAATAGTGACAGTGAGATGTTAAAGTCTCTCACTATGATTGTGTGGGAGTCTAAATCTCATTGTAGGTCTCTAAGAACTTGCTTTATAAGTCTGGGTGCTCCTGTATTGGGTACATATATATTTAGAATAGTTAGCTCTTCTTGTTGCGTTGATCTCTTTACCATTATGTAATGCCCTTCTTTGTCTTTTTTGATCTTTGTTGGTTAAAGTCTGTTTTATCAGAGACTAGGATTGCAACCCCTGTTTTTTTGTTTGTTTGTTTGTTTGCTTTCCATTTGCTTGGTAAATATTCCCCCATCCCTTTATTTTGAGCCTACTGTATTTTTGCACATGAGATGGGTATCCTGAATACAGCACAGTGATGGGTCTTGATTCTTTACCCAATTTGCCAGTCTGTGTCTTTTAATTGGGGCATTTAGCTCATTTACATTTAAGGTTAATATTATTATGTGTGAATTTGATCCTGTCATCATGATGCTAGCTGGTTATTTTGCACATTAGTTGATGTAGTTTCTTCATAGTGTCATTGGTCTTTATATTTTGGTATGTTTTTGCAGTGGCTGGTACCAATTTTTCCTTTCCATATTTAGTGCTTCCTTCAGGAGCTCTTGTAAGGCAGGTCTGGTGGTGACAAAATCCCTCAGCATTTGCTTGTCTGTAAAGTATTTTATTTGTCCTTCACATATGAAGCTTAGTTTGGCTGGTTATAAAATTCTGGGTTGAAAATTCTTTTCTTTAAGAGTGTTTAATATTGGCCCCCACTCTCTTCTGGCTTGTAGGGTTTCTGCGGAGAGATCTGCTGTTAGACTTAGGGGCTTCTCTTTGTGGGTAACCTGACCTTTCTCTCTGGCTATCCTTAAAATTTTCTCCTTCATTTCAACCTTGGTGAATCCGATGATTATGTGTGTTGGGGTTGCTCTTCTCGAGGAGTATCTTAGTAGTGTTCTCTGTATTTCCTGAATTTGAATGTTGGCCTGTCTTGCCAGGCTGGGGAGTTCCGGATAATATCCTGAAGTGGGTTTTCCAACTTGGTTCCATTCTCCCCATCACTTTCAGGTACACCAATCAATCATAGGTTTGGTCTTTTCACATAGTCCCATATTTCTTGGAGGCTTTGTTGCTTCCTTTTCATTCTTTTTTCTCTAATCTTGTCTTCATGATTTATTTCATTAAGTTTATCTTCAATCTCTGATAGCCTTTCTTCTGCTCGATGGATTCGGTTATTGATACTTGTGTATGCTTCATGAAGTTCTCACGCTGTGTTTTTCAGCTCCATCAGGTCATTTATGTTCTTCTCTAAACTGATTATTCTAGTTAGCAGTTCCCAGAACATTTTATCAAGGTTCTTAGCTTCCTTCCATTGGGTTAAAACATGCTCCTTTAGCTCAGAGCACTTCATTATTACCCCCCTTCTGAAGTCTACTTCTATCAGTTCGTCAAACTCATTCTCTGTCCAGTTTTGTTCTCTTGCTGGTGAGGAGTCATGATCCTTTGGAGGAGAAGAAGCATTCTGGTTTTTGGAATTTTCAGTATTTTTGCGCTGGTTTTTCCTCATATTTATGGATTTATCTACCTTTGATCTTTGATGCTGATGACCTTTGGATGGGGTTTTTGCGTGGGCATCCTTTTTGTTGATTTTATTGCTTTCTGTTTGTCAGTTTTCCATCTAAAAGTCAGGGCCAGTTAGAATGGCGATCATTAAAAAGTCAGGAAACAAGAGATGCTGGAGAGGATGTGGAGAAATAGGAACACTTTTACACTTTTGATGGGAGCATAAATTAGTTCAACCATTGTGGGAGAAAGTGTGGTGATTCCTCAAGGATCTAGAACTAGAAAGATCTAAAAGTGACACACTAATATCACAATTAAAAGAACTAGAGAAGCAAGAGCAAACAAATTCAAAAGCTAGCAGAAGACAAGAAATAACTAAGATCAGAGCAGAACTTAAGGAGATAGAAACAGGGAAAACCCTTCAAAAAAATCAATGAATCCAGGAGCTGGTTTTTTGAAAAGATTAACAAAATAGATAGACCGCTAGCCAGAATGATGAAGAAAAGAGAGAAGAAACAAGTAGACATAATCAAAAATGATAAAAGGAAAATCACCACTGATCCCACAGAAATACAAACTACCATCAGAGAATACTATAAACACCTCTACGCAAATAAACTAGAAAACCTAGAAGAAACGGATAAATTCCTGGACACATACACCCTCCCAGGAAGAAGTCGAATCCCTGAATAGACCAAGAACAAGTTCTGAAATTGAGGCAGTAATTAATAGCCTACCAACAAAAAAAAGCCCAGGATTTTTATATTTTAGTACAAATTTTGGATTCTTATATTTCTGCAGATTGATTGAATAATTGATTGATTTTTAAAGACTTTACTTTTAGAGTAGTTTCTGTTCACAGCAAATTGAGAGAAAGGTACAGAAGTTTCCCATACACTTCTTATCACTACACATGAATTGCCTCCACAATTATGAACATCCCTCACCAGAGTTATACATTTGTTACAATCGATTAACCTACATTGACACATCATTATAACCCAAACTGCATAGTTTACACTAAAGTTTACTCTTGATATTGCATAATGTATGGGTTTGGACAAATGTATAATGACATGCATCCACCTGTATCATATTATATAGAATAGTTCTGTTGCCCTAAAGATCCTGTGCTCTGCATACTCAACTTTAGCCCCTGGCGACCACAGAGTTTCTACTGTCTTCATAGTTTTTCGTTTTTCAGAGTGCCATATCGTTGGAATCACATAGTACATAGCCTTTTCAAGTTAGCTTCTTTCACTTCGTGATATGCATTTAAGGCTCTTAAATGTCTAAGACTTGAGAGCTCATCTCTTTTTACCACTTAATAATATCCCATTGTCCAGATGTACCATGGTTTATTTATCCATTGACCTACTGAAGGACAACTTGGCTGCTTCTAAGTTTTTGCAATTACGGATAAAACTGCTAAAAACCTCCATGTACAGGTTTTTGTCTGAACACAGATTTTCAATATTTTGGGTAAATACCAAGAAGCACTACTGCTGGATCTTATAGTAAAAATATGTTAAGTTTTATAAGAAACTGCCAAACTGTCTTCCCAAGTGTTTGTACCATTTTGTATTCCTACTAGCAAAGAATAAGAGTTCCTGTTGCTCCATATCCCTGTCATCATTTGGTATAATTATGTGAAAAGATATTCCACATAAGTTGCCAGGAAAATGGAAATGAAAATAGCATTGAGATATCAGTACACACATATTATTATAGAATGGCCAAAATCCGGGACCCTGACCACACAGTTTTATTTTTCATAATTTGGGTTTTTAAGGTTTTTTTAGTTTTAAAAAAATTAGTGGCTTTTACAAAATTTCCTCATATTACCACTCTGTCAATTGCCATGTAGCGCTAATCATAAACCATTACAAAAATCTGCTCATTGGATCTCCTGCCCCATTCTTGTCCTTCTACAGCACCTTCACTCAGTTGCTAAAGCGATCTTTTATAAACAAAAATGAGATTATGCCCCTTTCTTGCTGAAAACCTTCCAGTGCTTCCCATTTCACTCAGAATAATAACCAGATTTGCTCCTTTTGCAAGGCCTATACAATCCATTCCTATCTCTTGTCACTCAATAGTCTCTACTGCAGAGCACCCCTCTCTAAATGTGCTACTGCTTTTGCCTCAGGCCTGTACTTTTCATCTAACTGTGAAGGCATGTGTTGAATTCATTGGGTCACCGAATGCTTATTAAAATACCCATATAATCTCATAGATTACGAGCCCTTCTGAGACATCAATAATTTTTTTATTTCCTGTTTACCAAAAAAGTTTTCTCTGTCCTGTATTTATAGTCCCTAATAAAGTATATGTTCAATTACAATAATATTAATCATTCTTTTATCTCACATAAACTCTCTGAAGACAAGGTATAAATGTGACTAAAAGTGTTTTGTTTGTTATTACACTCACACTACCTTGGGCAGTTTTTGAAAATAGAAGTTAATAAACATTTGTTGAATAGACTTAAAAAATAAATCTATCAGTATAAATACAATTGAAAATGAGAGCAGAATTCAGGATAGTCACAAAAATTTCAATATTATGGTCACTTTAATTTAGAGATAAATTAGAGTAGTATCATTAATAAATTTACACAGTTTAGAGTTGTTGTTTGCTGATAAAACAATGTAATTTAGAGCACGAGGTTTTAAGCTTTTTATATCATGGTCCAATATTGCCTCTGCCATGTATTATTTATGTGACCTTGGGTACATTAATTAAGTTAATTCATTGTCTTCTTTTTCACAAATGATAATTAATATGTTAATGTGACAACATCAATAAACCACTTGTTGGAATGCTGGCATATTGTAAGGAGTACAAAAAGTCATCTATATATCACCAACCTAAGTATTATATAGTCTACTTTTATGTCTGAATGATTGTAGTTGTATGCTTCAGTGATTTAGAAGTGCTTTTGAGGCCCTGCTTGGGCCATCTATTTACAGCTACGGAACATAATATCTTCTTTTAAGTAGGGTGCAATACTGAAAGTTAGGCCGTGGTAAGAGTAGAAGTAAATTCCTGGTAGTCATTCTGCCTACTGGGATTTGTATGCTGTCCTGCTCCCTGAAATATTATTCACCAGACGTTGCATTAACATAAGAAGAATTAAAATCCCTGTGTGCCATCCCCAACCCGCACTGCCACCCCCAACACACAAAACCAACAAAAAAAAAAACACATTATTTTTCTGTCTTGGATGAACTTAAGAATGAACCCCAAAACTAGCACCTTTAATTAACTTATATAAAATTTGACATTAATAAAGTTTTAAGAAAATGGTCTACTGTATGAAACTAATTCACTTTAGACCCAGAAATTTAATGAGCAGAACTCTTGGCTTCAAGGTCAAAAGAACACAGAAATACCAGTTCTAAAAGATTCACAAATAGGTTTTGATACTATAATACATGCTCATTATATTTGTGACAGCATTCTTTCCTTAATGATTGAAGAGAATATATCATGAAAGAAAAGCCTATCTTGACAAAATAAACTAGTCAAGATTAATTTAAAAGTTATCAGTTTATTTTATGTCACATAGAATCCAATTTTGATTAGATTCTAATCTAATCAAAGTGAAGAGTGAAGACAAGATGTTTCATGTTCAAACAGTACAATGCAAAATACTTCAAAATATTGCATTAATTAGAAATCATAAATGACCAGGATGGAAATTGGAAAGTCAACTACCATTATGACCCATGAAATGGAAAACAACAAAGACATTTTATTTTGCTCTTGGAGACCATAATAATTCTGGGAGCCTACAAAGAGATTTTTGTAAGGTGACTATTTAAAATCATATTTTATTTTTTGATTTTTTTTCTTTTCAATTTTTGTTTTAGTTTCATGGAGTAGACAAAAGTTCATATTGTTTGTCTAAGAAAATCTTGAGTAGATTTTTTCCCCCTGGAATTACCACTAGAGCCTTTAGGTAAAAGAAAACCAAGGACACCAATTATCTGCATTCTAAAGCAAGCCACCTGTATCTGGGGCCAGATAATTCTCATTCAAGTTGTATTAAGAGGTAGAAGAATTCACCCTATCACAATCACAATACATAATCAACTTTCTTCTACTTACAACATTTAGCCAAAATATTGAAAGCAGAAGATGAGGAGAAGGAGGAAAATAAGAGAAGAGAGAGGTTAGAGGAGTTATTATCCTCAGCTATCTGATGAGTACAATATTCTTATATAGTAATACTGCTTTCCTTCTAAATGGGATTTTAAAAGGTGCTTTATTTTCCTGGAGGACAAATGAGGAAAGCTTTATTAAAAAAAATCATTCCTAGAGATAAAGTGTTGTCTCAAGTAGAATATTCTGCCTTTGGGTCTAGATGGAGTGGGTATTGGTTGAGGAGGAGGAAAAAAAAACAGGACAAAACTACATAAAATTGTTCAATCGGAATGAGAGAAAAAGAATATGAAAGAAAAGCTCTTCCACTGATGCGCTTCCCAGTTTGGCATAGAAAGGATGCATGAGTTTCCCGTTGGTTAAGGCGGACGTCAAAAGATGGCTATGAACCATCTCACTGGTATCTCACTTAACAGGTTGCCTGCTCAATAATAGAATTCTATAAAAAGTGAAATGCAACAGAGCATCTTGGTGGAAGATGATTGGTAGTGGAAAATGTTTAGATAGCCAGATCTTCTAAATCAGTGTCCTGTGTAAAGAGGTGGCTAAGCAAGTTTCTCCTCACTCACTCTCCCCATGAGAAAGCCAGAATAGAGATGGATGGTGTGGTAGTACTTTTCAAGGTGCACCTTCTCCATCTCCCCTCCAACCTCAATGAACCATTTCTCCTGTTCTCATGCTCTTTATTGTTCCCTTCATCATTGAATCCAGCACAGTTCTCCTTAACCAGTAAAACATAGCAGAAGTAAAACTGAGTAACTTCTGAATACAGATCATAAGAACACACACGAATTCTTGGTCTCTTGGAATTGTTCTGTGGATGTCAGACTCTATGTAAGAAGATTGAATATCCTGGATCTGCCATGCTGTAAGAAAGACTAAGCTAGACATATTGGAGAATACGTACAGCAAGACATATATTCCTTGCCAACCCAGAGCTGCTCCATTAATCTCAGTGGAGGTGCCAGACAAGTGAATAAAGAAGCCATTTTGAATATCCCAGCTCCAGTAAATGCCACATGGAGAAGAAATAAGATTCCTAGCAAAGACCAGAACCACAAGATACTAGATATATGGCACTGGTTGTTTCACGATAGCATTTTCCAGTTTTATAAACCAGTCTAGCTAAGGCTAGGATACCATGGAATATTAATATGTATAAGCCATTCCCAGTGTTCTGCTCAAATTCATAGCCAAAAGAATTATAAGAATAACACAAATTATTGTTTTAATAAACTAAATTTTGAGCTGTATTTCTACTAAGCATTATGTAATAGGAACACTGACAAAATAGTGATAGCTTGTGAAAGAGAGACAATGAATAGAAAATGATTGCAATAATGCCTAGTTATTAAATTTTTATTATACTTTAAGTTCTGGGATACATGTGCAGAATGTGGAGGTTTGTTACATAGGTATACAGGTGCTATGGTGGTTTGCTGCAACCATCAACCCATCATCTACATTAGGTATTTCTCCAGTTGCTACCCCTCCCCTACCTCCCCAGCCCCCAACAGGCCCCGATGTGTGATATTCCCCTCCCTGTGTCCATGTGTTCTCATTGTTCAACTCCCACTTATGAGTGAGAACATGCAGTGCTTGGTTTTCTGTTCCTGTGTTAGTTTGCTGAGAATGATGGTTTCCAGCTTCATCCATATCCCTGCAAAGGACATGAATTCATCCTTTTTTTATGGCTGCATAGTATTTCATGGTGCATTGTGCCACATTTTCTTTATCCAGTCTAGGAGTACCCAGATTCATAAAGCAAGTCCTACAGTTATTAATTTTTATTTTACCTTTAAACTCTTAACACTTGTAGAACTAGGAAAGTGATAGGCAATATCCTTTATTACAAATAGTATATAATCCTTTATTTATGACTTTGAAATTAGCTTATATTTCATTGCAATAAGAATAACATATAGAAAAAATTAAATATTCAAAATAAAAAGAATCTTGAAAATAAGTAGTAAATATTGTTCACTACAGTTGATAGATTTTCAAAACACTTTGTAGGACATGGTGTTCTTTACAAATATTATCAACAAAACATCAAGGGACACTAGACTATATCTATAATGTATCACCAATCATAAAGGAAAAATATAAAACAAAGGTGATATGATTGATGCAGAGCCAATATGTCAGTACTGCAATTGCACATTGAAGAGACAGAATATACAGGATTAATAATTTATTCAATAAAATCAGGAATGGTTTTCTAATACTTAACTCTTGTATTTCACAACAATCTTCTCCTCAAGTACTGGATTTTCATTCATATTCTTGTAAAACTTTCAATGCTATTTTGTGCTAAAGTACTACTAATATGTATTTGTGTTTCAAATAGTCCCAATGAAGTTATGCAGGATAATTATTGTGACTAAGTATTTCATAAATGTCAGGCTTTCTTCCAACCTTGACTACTGCCCATAGTGCCCTCCAGTAATGGTGATAACTGATTTTTTAAAGTACCCATGAATTTCTAGAATGTTTACTAAAAGATGTCTGCTGCTCCAATCATTGAGAATGGTTGAGATAGAGCCCATATGTGGCAGGGTATATTATCCTCAGAGGCATACCCCACCAGACACGCCTTTCCATATCAAGTTCCTGGAATGGGAAAGAGGGAAGAGTAGAGTAAATTATGGCACTACGTTCAGTGCATGTTTCTGGAGCTAAGGTTGAAGTCTGCACCTAGGAAGAGAGGAGAAACTAAGATTTAAATCAACTTTGAGTTTAGCATTGTAAACATATAGATTATTACAGTTGAACAAGAAAAGATGAAATCTATCAAAAATGTTATTAATCAATAAAAAGTGGTGATTCCACAAAACACAATTAAACACAATGATTGGAACAATTGTTTCTTCTTTATTCATCACTATATTGAAACTGTTCAAAATAGTTACATTAGTATGAACTTAATCATTAAATTATGATTTGGTCAGATATTAGATGGGAATAGCGCTAAATCCATTAAAGTACTTTAAGTCATTCATTTTGCCTTACAAGAAACTTTTATATTGAATAATGTGCAGAGATGACTCCTATATTTATTGATTATATCAGGAGCTATAGGCACTTTGCATACACTATCTTTCAGCAATTTCAAAGAACCCCATCAAGTAGTCTTTATTATCGCCACAAAAACTGAGACACAGAGCACACTGGTAACATTCAGGATTATATAACTAATATGTGACTGATTGAGTTTGACATTACAATTATTGTTTCTTTATCTAAAATGTCAGTCAAGTTGTCTCTCATGTTCAACTCAAAAATTTAAAGATATTCTTGTGTCCCTGAGAAAATTTACCCACTTGACTAAAGAAGACACAACAAATTATTTTCTTTTCTGGTACTTCTACACCATGTAATTTACGAAGTAGAAAAAACACTTTCTGAAATTTTAGTTCAGGGACCAAAGTTTACATTTATGCTACCATTTCATATTTCCAATATGGAAATTTCATCTTAAAGAATCCTATCACAATAAAAATACTTCACATGAAAGTGGTTGTTATTGAGAAAAAATGAAGTTTAACCAATAGTACAGAGATGACTGTATTTCCATTATGATGAAGTGATAATTCAAACACAAAAATTCATCTTAACTGCTCTACCTGATCTGCATTACATGGCTCTTAAAAATACTCTACTCTTACCAGAAGTAAAAGGAGGGAAGAAATAGAGACATATAAGCAATTTTTTACATGCATAAATAATTACACAGCAAATATAATTTGGTCAGTTTATATATATTTTATATTACTGATATCATTATGTGTAATACAGTTTAATATTAATATATATTTAAGTGAGAAATTGTGGCCATCAATATAAACAGTAAAACGAGATTTGAATTTATTGCTTAACATGGTATCAGATAGCTTTATATAGAAATAGAAATATTTCCCTAAAAATTGACCCATAGGTTTATGTGGGAATCTCATGAACTTGCATTCCCAGACTTAGATTACATAAAATATATACATAAAATAATGTTTTATTTTCTTTCTTGTATAATAACAATGATGTCTCATTGGTGTTAATAAAGTATTTACTTTAGAAAAAAAGGAATTTCTACTCCACACATCAAATTTTGTTTCAATTTCAGTTATTCTGCATTAAGAGTAATATTGCTATCAATTTATGCTACACTTCTCAAAAATTTATTCCTGACCGGGCTCTGTATAGCATACTATTCAGAATAAAATTTTTAAAGTTTTAAAGCCAAGGATGTATTGAATAACTACAAATACTGACTACTCCAAAAAATTGTCATTTCAAAATTAAGTGTAAGTGATGACTCTCAGCTCACAGTCTAGTGAAGAGCAAGGTGTCCCAAGAATAATGTGCTTAAATAAATGCCTTTAGTGTTTATGTGACTCATTATCTTTTCCTCCTTTTTAATTAATTAATGAAAATTAATTAAAGTATCGCTGTTTATTTTATACCGTAGAAGTGGAATCCTTCAGACTTAAGATGATGTTGTCCAACAAATTCTGATTTTTCTTGATGACGGGTAGGTAACAGGGAACTCTTCCTTATATTTATTTAGATACTGCAACTATAGGAAAAATGTTTTAAATAAGACAAAAGGAAGCAAAACTACAATTAGAAAACAGTAGAAGATAGCATGTGGAGTTGAAGAGCTCACAAGGAACGTATTATCTGTGGGAACACAATTAGACATAACTTAAGAAATATGCATGCAATGTAGAATTATTTTTGCCAACTAGCTAGTTTGGGTTAATTATCCAATAGAAGATATCTGGATGTCTAGAAAAAAAAATCAGTCCAAATCATGAAGGAATTAAATAACTAAAAAGATAGCCAAGAATTACTGGACCAGAATCCATGGAAATATAGAGGTGTTCACTTGCCATTCGATTCATTATGAACTAATTAATGCTTAGTGGCCTAAAACAACAACCATTTTATTATGTCTCCCAATTACCCGAATCAGGAATTATAGCATCATAATTTTTCTGTTCCATGTGGCATAAAACAACAATATGGCTGGGTGATTAATTTGTTTCACCTGGCCTTGACAGCGGTCGCTTGATGTTATTTAGCTGGATGATAGGCTACTCTTGAGGATTCAAGAAAATCATCTTCTCTCACTTGTCAGGTGCCCTGGTTAGGATGTATGGATGGCTGGTAGCTATTGGGACTATTGACTGGAGTGTCTAATATAGTCTCTCTTGCATGATGGATTTGGATTGTAATAATTTTATAAAGCAGCTCAGTCTCCAAAAGTGACTGTACCAGCTGACAAGATGGACAGGATGACATTTAATTAACTAGCCTGAGAAGTCATGTAGCTCCACTTTCCTTTATATTTTGTCAAATAGTAATGACAAACCTGCCCAGATTCAAGGGAAACAGAAAAAGACATGTTTTAAAAGAGTAAACATCAAAATGTTTGAGATAATGTCTTAGAACTACTAAGCCTTAAACAGCAGCCAAGTTATGTGATCCTACAGTCTGGGCCCTTTCCTGTTAAAACCACCGGGTCATTGTGCAGAAGGCTGAGACGTGTCACATGTCAGACAGGTTCACAGACATTGCACATCATGACCCTTCTCTACTTCCAAGAAGTAAGAGTAAATCAAACAGACCAGCTATCCACAGTGATGAAATCTAGCTTCAAATGATCTCAATCCCTGATTTTGAATTAAAGAAATACTGCGTCACTAATACTGAAAATTAGAAAATGAAAGGTAAGAAGTCAATACATACATTTTGCAGTATATTAGACACAGCTAAAGAGAATATAGGTCAGAAGAAAATACACAAAATGAAAAAGAGGCACAAATGGTTGGCAGATAGAGAAGAAAAGATAAGAATCTCAAAGGATTTAGTAATAAGAGGTAATATTGTGGTCATTTGAATTCTAGATAGTGGTGAAGTAAGAAAGAATCAGAAGCAATATTCGAAGAGATAAGACTAACAATTTACTAAAGTAGATTACAGATGTCCACAAGGTAGGAAATTTATAACTGAGATATGGAAAGAAACATACAATTTGGCATATTCTGCATAATGACTGTAATAAAAGACAAAGAGAAAATTTTAAAAGCAGCCAGGGACAAATAACATAACAAGGTATCTTCAAATGACTGAAACCTAGACTGAAATTAATTCATTAAGAGAAAAAAAAAAAACACAAGCCAGAAACAATGAAATGTTAATCTTCAAAATTCGGAATAAAAAGAAAACCTCCTCATCTGGAATTCTATATCTAGTAAAAAATCCATAGGTAATGAAAATGTAAAGTAAATAAAGATAAGGGAAAAGAAAAAGAAAATCTGGAATAATTTATTATCATCAGGTTTGTACTAAAAGATATTCTAAAGGGAGTTGTTCAGGCGGAAGGATATTGATCACACAGGAAGCTAAAATAGAGAAAGAAAGGAAAAGTAATGAAGAGTAAATATGTGGTAAATATAGCATTTATTGTCAAAATATTTAGAAGAATAAGTAGGAAGAGGAGGGAAGAGGAGATGGAAAAGGAGAAAAGGACTCATAAGAAAAATGCATAATTTTAAAGCTAATAGGCAAATGAATAATAAAATATGTTGCAATCACTAAGATAGTAAAACATACAAAGAATGGGTGAGAACCACAAAAGAGAAAATTGAATAATGTATCCGAAAATGTAAACTTTAAACATTGATTAAACAAACATAATATAACACTTATATGATAGATAGGGTTGAGGAAGAGTGTATGTGTGTGTGTGTGCATGCGTGTGTGTGTGTGTAATGCTGAGAGGAAATCAGTACACATATTTTTACTCTTTACCTATCCAAATAAAATCTTTATTTTTTTCTGTGCCTTAGTAAAGTGGTTCTCAAACTATTTTGTCTCAGATGCTTTTTCTTCTTAAATATTACTGAGAACCCCAGAGACTTTTTAAGTGTGAATAATATTTATTAATATTTACCAAAGTTATAGCTGAGAAAATTTTAAAATATTTCTTATTTTAAAAATAATAATCTTTGTTATTGTGAATAGTGCTGTGATTAACATATGAGTGTGTGTGTCTTCTTGGTAGAACAATTTATTTTCTTTTGAATATATATCCGGTAACTGGATTGCATTGAATGGTGATTCTGTTTTAAGTTCTTTGAGAAATCTCCAAACTGCTTTCCACAGTGGCTGAACGAAATTACAACCCCACCAACAGTGTATAAACGTTTCCTCTTCTCTGCAACCTCAACAACATCTGTTGTTTTTCGACTAGTTAATAATAGCCCTTCTGACTCGTGTGAGATGATATCTTATTGTGGTTTCTATTTGAATTTATATTATGATTAGTGATGGTGCCCATCAAAGGTGGACTGGATAAAGACAATGTGGTATATATACACCATGGAGTACTACACATCCATAAAGAAGAACAAAGTCATCCAGGCACAGTGGCTCACACTTGTAATCCCAGAACTTTGGGAGGCTGAGCGGGGGTGGATCATCTGAGGTCAGGAGTTCAAGACCAGCCTAGCCAACATGGTGGAACCCTATATCTACTAAAAATACAAAAATTAGCTGGGCATGGTGGCTCATGCCTGTAATCCCAGCTACTTGGGAGGCTGAGGCAGGAGAATCACTTGAACCCAGGCAGCAGAGGTTGCAGTGAGCCAAGATCGTGCCACTACACTCTAGCCTGGGAGACAGAGTGACTCAAAAAAACAAAACCAAAACCAAAACAAAACAAAACCAATAAAGACGAACAAAGTCATGTTCTTTGCAGTAACATGGATGCAGCTAGAGGCCATTATCCTAAGCAAATTAACACAGGAACAGAAAACCAAATACCACGTGTTCTCACTTGTAAGTGTGAACTAAACATAAGGTACTCATAGACATAAAGATGGCAACAATAGACAATGGGAACTGCTAGACAGGGGAACGGGGGAGGGAATCAAAGGCTGTAAAGCTGCTTATTGGTTACTACGCTAGGTACCTGGGTAACAGGATGGTTCATACCCTAAATCTCAGCATCACACAATAGACCCATGTGACAAACCTACACATGTAACCCTTGAATCTAAAATAAAAGCTGAAAAATAAATAAATAAACAATAATAATATACTTTCTAAATGGCATCATGAAAGACAGATCAAAATTTGTCTTCACTTCTTAGATTTCAGGTTGTATGTACCACTCCATGAATCATATTGACTCCAACACTTAATACAGTTGAGTTACGAACTTCTATTTATTTTCTTCTGAATTTTCAGACTTCCTTTGGCCTGGAGGCAAACTTAGGAGCTGCCTTTCAGTGTCATCTCAGGAGCATCCTTGAAAGAATCAGGGAAGAAAGTGCAGAAATCAGAGGACAGAAGGCAGCCATGTCAACAGCAACTTGGAAAGCACGTGGTTCCACTTTGCAGGCATTGAAGTCCAAGGCTCTCAAACACCATAGACCAGCCAGATCTCACTGATGGGATTCCACCCCTAAGTCAATTGTCAACTGGAGGGCTGCATGTGGAGGAAGAGAATTTCATTTATCCTAAGAATGACACATACAAGTAAAGCTAATATATCAACCACACTCAGGAGCTCTCTGCAAACCTGTAACATAAATGGATGTCTACGATGCTCAGACCACTCAGGACAGACCCATTGCCTTATAGTCATGGCAGGACAATGTACCTGCACAAAGTGACCATCATGATAGCCTGACTATCTGGACTAGTGCAGAGACAGCACACTCAAGACTTGCAGAGATGGCACACACTGGAGAGCAGAGTGGCTGGGACACAGGAACTGACTTCATTTATTAATTCATCAGAAAAGCTGAACCTCCTATATAAAGAAACTTTTATGCACAGTGTTCAACCTGGAAGATACAGAGTCTCACAGATATACCAACCACCCAGCTGGCTGAGGCCAAAGTGTGGGAACTTAAATTTCCCTCTTTTCTCACAAGTGTGATGGTTTGGAAGGTATCATGCATCCAGTAATAGGTATACATCTTAACGATACAGCTATGACAGATGAATACTCCAGTGTCGTCCACATTTGTATTAAGACACAGCCAATTTTCATCACACCAGAAAGTTTGCCTGCTCCATCCCAATGTTGCACAAGGAGCAGCCAGGTTTCATTTTCATATTTTAGCATAGATTTGGTTGCCCATTCTAGAACCTCACTGAAGTTAAATGATACAGTACATAGAAAGTAATAACAGTAATGAAATTATTAACATAAAGAAGTTTAGTTTTTGAAAATATACATGTGAAAAATAATTGTGGTTTTCAAAACAAAGAAACACAAAAACACTAATACAAAGTGTGACCTTATTTTGCATGTTGGCAATTCTCTTTCCTGCCTGGCTTAATTGAAAAAAGCGGAATTCTCACATTTGCTTCTGCTGTCAGTCTGTTGTGTAATTCAAGTCAGTGTGAGTTGGTAAAGCAGAGCTCTGAAGAAGAAGCCTTAATATCTAGTTTTGCTAATTTATTGTGGTGTGAATATTTATTCATGTCCGTTCAAAGTTATTAATGTGAAGTCACTGAAAGTGGACTTTAGAAAAGATATATACCCAGTTAGATAATTTCTTCACGTCTATCTCTGTTTACTAATTATCTCTTCATTTGTGTCTTCTGCTCTGATTCTATACACTGAACTCTTATTTGAAAAATGGAATGCATACATTTTAAGATATTCTATTATAATCTTTTCTTCAGATCTGCTTATTGCTAACAGTATTGTTGTTATTGTTTTAGTTTCATTAAATGCATTTTTAAGCTATATTTCTTTACTAAAAACATGGGAAAGTTCATTTTCTATATTATTACTGAAAATTGTAAAATCTGAATTTTTGCGGGGGTGGGACAGGAGATATGTTTGCTCCCTCTAGTATTTACTTTTTCACTCACAGGGCCTCGATTTCTTGTGTTTTTGTAGAATTTGTCTGCTACTTTATCTTTCATTGGGGAAATATTTGTGTAGATTGAGATTATTTGAGATCTGGAATGAAGATGCTTCCTCTACAGATGTTTGCTTATTTTAGGTGACTGATATTGTTTGGCTCTGTGTCCCCACCCAAATCTCATCTTGTAGCTCCCATAATCCCCATGTGTTGTGGGACGCACCTGGTGGGAGATGATTGAGTCATGGGGGCGGGTCTTTCCTGTGCTGTTCTTGTGATAGTTAATGGGACTCATGAGAACTGATGGTTTTAAAAATAGGAGTCTCCCTTGCACAAAGCTCTCTTTTTGCCTGCCACCATCCACATAAGATGTGACTTGTTTCTGCTTGCCTTCTGCCATGATTGTGAGGCCTCCCCAGCCATGTGGAACCGTAAGTCCAATTAAACCTCTTTCTTTTGTAAATTGCCCAGTATCGGGTATGTCTTTATTAGCAGTGTGAAAATGGACTAATACACTGACCAAGGACACTAGTAATTTAGGAATACCTTAAGTTAAATGGGTATCATTTTTATTACTGCCAGTGTGAATTTAGATGCAAATCCTCATGAGGGTTGCTTACTCTTATTTGGTTCTTAGGGAACTAGGGAATGATTACATTGCTAATTCACTATTAAACCTGAGGTAGCTGTTTTGGGTCTCAACTTCATACATGAAGAAATTGCTATTAAACTGAATACTTTGTGTTGACCCTAGGCTTAGTTTCATTTCCAGAATCAGGGAATCAGATATTTATGTTAAAAGATTATGTTAATTCTCCCAATAGAAAGCTAATTTTAGTACACCTTCCATTTACTGGGTCAATGCCTTCAACTGACTTTGGCTTGATAATTCTTTTTTTTTTTTTTTTTTTTTTGGTTAGTCAATTTATGCTTTAGAGACCTGAAAATATTAATTACTAATTTTAGTATTCAGGAAAAAAGTACACAAGGTGGTGTTGGAGCTTCTTGTAGCGCTAGAAAGTAGTAAGGAATTGCTAAAACACATAAAAGGTATATATCATCCACCTGATGGTTTTGATGCTGGGCAAGTGAGCCCCCAAACAGGGGCTTAGCCTGGAAGGGTTTTTAGATTCACCTAGGAAAGAATTCAAGGGTGAGCTGGTATGTTAGACAGCAATTTTTATTGAGGTGGCAGTGTGCAGCCACAGGTATTGCTCCTTGCACAGCAGGGCTACCCAATGGGCAGTGTGCCCAGAGTAGGAGCTCAGAGGCAGTTCTGTGGTTATATTTATACCCACTTTTAATTATATGCAAATTAAGAGGCAGATTATGCAGAAATTTTTAGAAAGATGGTGGTAAGGTTGTTGTTATGGAAAGGTGTGGTAACTCATGAGTGTTGCCATGGAAATGGTAAACTGTCATGGCACACTAGTGGGCATGTCTTATGGAAAAGTACTTCCACCCTATCCCTGTTTTAGCTAGTTCTCAATTTGGTCTAGTGTCCAAGCCCCACCTCCACAGTCAAGTCCTGCCTCCTGCTCAGTTTTATTGATGTGAAAATTAATCACATGAGTGAGATAGTGTTTGTCAGGATTCTTCACTGTAAAGTTACTCTTCTGTCCTTGATCATATACTAGTCTTTCAAAAGAAGGCCTTATATGCAGCTCACATTTAAAGAATAGTAGTGATGTCTTGAAGAGTAGATTATCCATGTAAATGTTTTGGGAATTTTTCTATGTAGGTTTGTCTCTCTGCTCCACTTTTTATTCTTTCAATCATTTATTAAAATAAGTGTGGAATCATGGGTATTTATTTTTATTTATATATTATTATAACAATTAGTATTGTATTGTTACAATCCAATACTAATTCATTTTCGTTCTCAGATTGTTCCAGCTTTTGCCATTGGGAGCTCTTTTAGTCAGCTCTGTTTCCCTCTGATACAGAGCCCTATCATTGTGTTTTTGTGTTTTTAGCAATTCCTTACTACTTTTTGGCATTACAAGGAGCTCCAGAGCCATCTTGTATACATTTTTCCTGAATACTAGAATTAGTATTTTTCCAAGAACTCCTAGTTCCTTCTATTGGGGAATGATTTTAGAAGTCAAGATTTGAATGCTAGAAATATTCATTGCTAGTACAGTGTCATTGCCTTTAGGCCCCCTCAGCCTACAGAGCAAGCAAATATATGTATATTACTCATATATATATATATATATATATATATATGTATACACACACACACAGACATATATCTCAGTCTATATATATATCTGCATTCATCTATATATGTATTAAGCTAAACATGAATTAATATTGATGCTTCAAATGCTATTCCATTACCAGATACATCATTAAAGCCTTCTTCTCTTTGACTATACCCTCCCACTCCAAATTGAAAACACTGCCTGCCAGAATATGCCAACCATTTACTTAATTATTGAAATCCAATATAAATATATTGTGGGCATGCAAATTTTTAAACCATAACCAATATCCATATTCTGAAGACTTGAAAATGTTTTTATCCTGCATTATTTGTCATTTAGAGATATATTATTATTAATTTATATTATATAAGTATTTTAGCTGACCCCTTTAAGCATTCTTAATAAAATACTCTAAAAATACTCTAAAACATATGGACTGAGGGAACAATGTTAACAAGGAGAGTACAGTGCTTATGTATAGTTTTCGTAGCCTTTAGTCCCTAGCTTTCTTCTTTGTAAGAAACTGCTGAACTGTCTTCCCAAGTGCCATGCCCACTTTTTAGGTTTAATTTTATTTTATTATTTGCATTCCCATTAGCAATAAATGAAATTTCATATTTCTCTGAATCCTTGGCAGCATTTGGTATTGTCAGTAATTTGGATTTTTGACATTCTAATAGGTGGCCTGTGGTATCTCATTGTAGTTTTAACTTGGTGAAAAAATGATGTTGAACACCTTTCCACATGCTTCTATATCATCTGTGTATGTTCTTTGGTGAGATTTCTGTTGAGATCCTTTTATTGCTTATTAATTAGGCTGCTTGTTTTCTTACTATGTAAGTTATAATCATTATTCCTGTACTTTGTCTATAAGTCTTTAATGTGTTTTGTAAATATTTTATCCCAGTCTATGGTTGTTTTTATTTTCTTAACAGTGTATTTGGGAGCAGAAGATTTTAATTTTAATAAAGCCCAGATTCTTATATTTTTCATGCATCATGCTTTTGATATTATGTCTAATAACTCATTAGCAAACCCAAGCTAACTTACATTTTTTTCCATATTAGCTTATAGAAATTTCATGGTATTGTATTTTACGTGTAGGTCTATGATCTAGTTTGGATTGATTTTTGTGCAAACTGAAAGGTTGATGTTTTCTTCTTTTTTATTTTTCTTCTTCTTTTTTGCATGTATATGTCCAATTTTTCCAGCAGTATTTGCGGAAAAGTCTGTGCTTTATCCATTGAATTGTCTTTATAAGGTGACTATATTTGTGTGGGTCTATTTTTGTGCTGTTCATTTTGGTCTATTGATCAATTTGTCTTCTCATTTCTCAAATGCCACATTGACTTGATTACTGCAGCTTTTACAGTAAGTATTGAGGTTTGGGTTTGGTTAGTCCTTTGACCATTCTTTAATATCGTTTTGGCTCTTCAGGACCTTTGAATTCTGTATTAGTTTGCTAGTGCTGCCATAACAAAATACCAGAGATTGGGTTGCTTTAAACAACAAAAATTAATTTTCTCACAGTTCTGGAGACTGGAAATCCAATATCAGGGCGTTAGCAGGTTTTGTTTCCCCTGAGGTCTCTTTTCTTGGTTTGCAGATGGGTATCTTCCTGCTGTGTCCTCACATGGCCATCTGTGCATGCAAATTCTGTTATCTTCTTCTAAGAACATCAGTCCTGTTGAATTATGGCCCCAGTTTTATGACCTCTTTTAACCCTAATCACCTCTTTAAAGGCCCTATTTCCAAATAAAGTCACATTGGCAGCAAGGACTTCAACAGATGAATATAGAAGGAACACAATTCAGTCCATAACAACTTTCTATATAAACTTTAAAATCTATTTATTGATATCTGCAAAATAACTTGCTGGGATTTCAACTGAGACTGAAAGAACTAACCTCTTAACATTAAAACTTTCTAATAAGTAACATTCCATATTTGGATCATTTTTAATTTCTTTCATTAGAGTTTTATACTCATATAGGTCCTGTATATATTAGATATATATACCAAAGTATTTCTTTTTTTAAATTCCAAATTTCAATTATCCAGTGCTGGTATATTACAAAGCAATTAAATTTCGTCTATTAAGCTTGGTTGTCCTGGATAGAAGTTTATTAATTTTATTGCTGTTTTCAAATAAACAGCTTTTGATTGCATTTAATGTCTTTCCTAATTTTCTATTTGCAATTTCATTGAATTTGCTTTAATTTTTACTATTCACTTTCTTCTTGATTTAGGCTTACTTTAGTTTATTGATATTAGAATTTTATTTTTTTCTAGTATATGTTTCCAATGCTATAAATTTTCCTCCAAAATCAGACTTTGTTGCATCCTACAAATTTTGGTAGGTGTATTTTTGGTTTTTCTCTAGCTAAAATTATTTTAAAGATTTTCTTGAGGCTATTTACTTGCCCTATGTGTTATTGAAACTATGTTGTTTCATTTCTAATTGTAGGGATTTTTAAATTTTTTATGTTATTGATTTCTAATTACTTATGGTGTGAGAGTTACTTTGTGCGGTTTTTATTATCTCAAATTTAGGAAGGTGTATTTTATGGCCAAGCATGTGATCTATCTTTAGAAGAGATCACGTGCTGTTCTTGGAACACTAGAAGCTGAGTTTCACATGAGCTTTAGAAGAATGTGTGTTCTGTTGTTGAATGAAGCATTTTGTAAATGACAGACACAGCTGATGGATTGTGTTATTTAGTTCATGTATATTCTTAATTATTACCTGATCTGTCAATTGCTGGTAGAGTAGTGTTGAAGTTTTCAACTATAACAGTGTATTTATCTATTATTCTTAACTCTTCTATCAGTTCTTATCTTATGTACTATGATTCTCTGTTGTTACATGTGTATAATCTAAGGATTGCCACATATTTTTTGGAGAAATGACTCCCTTATTATCATGTAATGTCTCTCTTTAATGTAAACTATTTTTTTCTGAATACTTTTTGGTTTGAAATTAATATAACTACTATAGCTTGTTAAGGTATTTCTCTCTCCATCCTTTTACATTTCACCTATTTGAGTCTTTGTATATGTATATATTTTTTGTTTGGTTGCTTTTTGTTGGAGAAACCATATAGTTGGGTCTTGCATATAGTTGGGTCTTGTGTGTTTATATGTGTATGTTATCAGCTATAACAGGTTCTGTCTATAGACCATTCCCATTTAAAGTTTTTATTTATATAGTTGGATTAACACCTACCATTTCTGTTACTGTTATTATTTTTTATTCACTGTACCTGTTGTACTTCTTTTTTTGTTTTTTGTTTTGCCTTATTTTTGGCTTCTCTGATTTTAAATGTGTATTTTATATGATGCCAATATATCTCCTCCATTAGCATATTAACTTTAATAAAAATATTGGTGCCTTAGATATATTTACAATTTTGCAAGATATATTTACAATTTAATTAATGCCACCTTCAATTAACACTATTCTGCATCACCTGTAGTAAAGTAACTTAGAGTATTTCCAATTTCTCCCTCCCACTGCTGTCATTTATTTTACTGACCTGCATGTTATATCACCCAATATATTGTTGGTATTATTATTTAAAGTTAACGGTTATTTTATGTAATTATAATAAAATATAATACTTTACCTTTATTTTTGCACATTATTTTTATTTCTTTTAATATTATGGTCAGCACACTTAACATGAGATCTATCCACTAAAATTTTATGTGCAAAATACAGTAATGTCTTTCTTATTTTCTTGTCTTTCCACAGATCTGAGTTTCTGACCTATCTCATTTTCTTTCTACATTAGGAATTTATTTTAATATATCTTATGGTGTAGGTCTACTGAGGATAAAATTTGCTTCTTCATTTGTCTGAGAATTGTCTTTATTTCTCTTTTAATTTTGAACAACAATATTCTTAAATGTAGAATTTTGGGTTGTTATGTTAGCTTTCTTTTTTCCTGTCAGCACTTTTTTCCTTCCTCTCTTTTGTCCACGTTGTTTCTGACAAGGAGTGTGCTGTAATTTATGTGCTAGTAACTCTGTAGGTAACATATCAACTTTCCACATCTAGCCTCTTTCACTATTTCCATTTTGCTTGGTTTTAGGTGGAATATGGTAAGCCTAGGGTTAGGTCTTGGTTATTGTTTTTGTTTTGTTTTCTTGCTTGCTTGCTATTTTTCTTTGCAGTTGTTTTGTTAGTTTGTTTATACTATTTGGTGTTCCCTGTATTTGCACTATTAGTTACTTCATGTTTGTCATTAGTTTTGGAAAATTCTCATATATGATAACTTTAAATATTTATTTTGCTTTATACTTTTCTCTCTTCTCTTTATAATTATATGTACATTACAACTTCTTTGGATACTGTCTGACAAGTTTTTGAAGTTCTGTTTCTGTTCCTTTTTAAAAAAATTATTTTCCTGTTTATATTTCAGTTTGGGAAGTTTCTATCAACCTATCTTCATCTCACTGACTCTCCAGCCATATATGGCATAATTACGGGCCCATTGACATATCTTTTCTATTATAACTATTTTTACTTATAAAATTTTATTTTTATTCTTTCTTAGAATTTCTATCTCACTTTTTACATTATTTGTTGATATCTACTTTTTTCAATAGTATGTATCTATAGTTATATATTTATTATTGTTACTTTAATTTTCCTGTCTGATAATTTCATTTTAATATTCTTTAAATTTAATTTTCCAGTTTTGAAAATAAAATCTTAAATAGATTTTGAGAGTTGAGCTGTAAACCCTTTTTCTTTCTCTTTCTCTCTCTTTCTTCTACTTTCCTCTCTTCTCTACTATTGAATGTCAATAGAGGCTCATAAAATAAATTAATATGGTTTTCCTGATCATTCTTTCTTCTCTTGCCTGTTACATTTATGTATTTTTTTCCACCTTCTAATGGTCCCTTTCTAATTTTTAGCCTACAGTACTGCCAGATATCTATGGCCATTCTTAGACTTACGGTTGTTATTAGCAATGAAAACGTTTTCAGTTCACAGTTGTAACTTCAATTTGGATAAATGTTGGGTGAATCACAAGGAAACATGAGAGCAGTAACAAAGGAAACTAGTGCAGCAAATCCTAAAACACATATTAGGACTGGCTACAGCTTCAGTGATAGTGCAGTCCTCTCAGCTTAAATACAACTAGAGCCTAAGAAGAAGAAGAACTTGCTGTTCCCACCATTACATCAGAATTTTTTTCTTATTTTATACCTTAATATTCACTTTTTCTTGTGAATTTGCATCTATCTCAAAAATGTATAGTATAGTTTTTCAGTATGAAACACTAGGTTATCTGCATCCAAAGTAAGAAACATGCACTATCAGCTTTGAAAGTGTTCTGCTTACAGGACAGTTTAAAAGAATCTGGTGGATTTGTTTGACTTTTTAGTCCTAGTTGCTGAAATTTAAGAATAAAATCATTGCCAAATAAAATAAATTAGCTTGTAATTATGAAATACACATGAGATGCATTGTTGTTGCTTTTAATTCAATGTATCTGTTCCCTTGGCATTTTTTTTTCCTGGAAAACAAAAAGGAGCTGTTAAAAGCATATGTGTATTAGATATGTTTTGTTCACTGAAATAATAAGACATCCAGTAAGGTTAATAATAAAAAATTGATGTAAAATAATTTATATTATAACTTAAAAATTTTATGTGGGTACATTATTCCTAAACTAAAATAAAGTTACATTAAGTTCTGACCATTACATTGTTTGAGTTGGTACAAATCATGACGATTCTCTTTTTTTTTTCTATCTATTTAAGGCAAAACATTTTTTGTGTGGGTCTACTTGAAACAGTGAATATACTGATATATTATTTTGTTTACTTTATTTTCTCTGCTCCTCCAGATAGAGATTATCCACTTAAGAATTAAAATACATTCACGTGTGAGATTATACATGTGCTTTTTCGTCCATTAGACTATAAGCCACAGTGGCAGAATCTCCCTGTATTCTTTTCTCTTGTAAATGTGTTCAGAAACTGAAAAAAAAGAATAATAATAAACAAATAAATTATTCAAATGACTAAATTTGATGAATGACTTCTGAGAAAATTACCTAAGCTCCAGAAGATTTTTTGTTTTGTTTTGTTTTTTAAGGACAGGGTCTTTCTTTGTCTTGCTCACTTTAACTTCCTCTTATGATGCTTAGCATAGTGTCATTGAGAGTGTCAAGCAATAATACCAGAGCACATGGACAAGTAAAAAAAAAAACAAAAACACTATATTGTTTTTCAAATCCAAGTTAGATAAGAATGAACTGTCACTAGCCATTCTCTTCATATTTCAATTTTCTATCTTAAAGATATTATGAAAACTAAAAAT
Source organism: Homo sapiens (assembly GCF_000001405.40). Lineage (NCBI taxonomy): Eukaryota > Metazoa > Chordata > Mammalia > Primates > Hominidae > Homo > Homo sapiens. The sequence goes on along the minus strand of NC_000005.10, from coordinate 104,373,198 downwards.
TATATAGAAACAGTCCATTGTTTCTTTTATTTGCTTTTTATGTTCTCAATGGGAAATTTTAGCAATTAATCTGACTTCCCAGACACAAGTTCACATATTTCTAAAAAAGAAGGAATTCGACCCCTTAATGATTATCATGTCTCTTTCCAACTTTAAAACGTTATGATTCTTAAGTCCACTGGTTATCTGAGCTATGTGTTCTGACTCATTACTTAACAAATTTACTTAACAAAACAGGGATGAGTTAAAGAAAGGAAATGTACTGTACCTTTTTACCCTTGAGAAATACATAGAAGCTCTGAGATTTATGCTTTTAAAAAGTGGTACTACATTTAAATATCTATCACAATTCAGAACTTAGGGATAGAAGTGCTACATTAAGTGGAAATGTGTAAATTGTGGAAATAATGTCCTTATTTTAGGTTTTTTGAAAGCAGTATAATAAAAGTGTTTCCCTGTCCTGACCTTTCATTACTAAAATCTGGGTGTATTTCCTGTTTAGTCTCAGAGGATGGGACATAAATCACTCTCCTTGGCATTTTGCGTGGTCTGCCATGCAGGCAGCCAACTTTTACAGATGTCCTTCCTGGCTTCAAAAAGCAGAAGCCCGCAGGTAGCAGAAAATGCCAGGTTTCTTCTCACGCCTGAGGAAGTTCTGTTTGCCGTGGAAGAAACCTGTGTGCTGTGATGAATGCCACTGTGCCGAGTCAGCATGGCGGACAGTTTAACTCCATGACCTTCCGCAGGTAGACAGCCTCCCTCGTAGATTGTCTTTGACGCAACCTATAACATCGAATGTCAACACCAGTCTCACAAGGGGGTTCTGTATTCATTTTACTGTGAGACAACTGCTTCTCAGTGTGCAGCTCAGGTACCTCACATTCTTCAAGAATATTTCTTATACCTTATTCTTGTTTTCATTAGTCCTATATACATAAAAACTTCATTTATGAGAGCTTTCACTGGGTTACTCTTGTTCTGTCGCTTTACATCTCAAGTGAGTCACGGCCTAGGACCTAGTTTCTAGAATCAGCTTGTGAAAAGATTGTTAAGTGTTATCATTACATTTTCTATCTTCATAGTCAATGGAAAGCTCCTGATTCCATGACTGTGACTGTTTCTTATTTAGTTAAAATAAGTGAATCTTGTTCCATTCAAGTGTCAACAACTGATATGGAGAAAGAAAGAAGAGGAACCACACTTGGAGGAAGTTGATGGGTAAAAGGTAGCTGCTGGCTGGGCGCAGTGGCTCACACCTGTAAACCCAGCACTTCGGGAGGCCAAGGCGGGCAGATCACCTGAGCTCAGGAGTTCAAGAGCAGCCTGGCCAACATGGTGAAACCCCGTCTCTACCAAAAATACAGAAAAAAAAAAAAAAAAAGTAGCCAGGCATGGTAGCAGATGCCTGTCATTCTAGCTACCCAATCTCTACTAAAAATACAAAAATTAGCTGGAAAAATTAGCTGGCCTGGTGGCAGGCACCTGTAATCCCAGCTACTCGGGAGGCTGAAGCAAGAGAATCACTTGAATCCGGGAGGCAGAGGTTGCAATGAGCCAAGATCGCACCACTGCACTCCAGCCTGGGTGACAAGAGTGAAACTCCATCTCAAAACAAACAAACAAAAACAAAAAAAGAACGGTAGTTGCTGTAAATTAGAGTTCATCTTAACTTTTTCCACAGGAGAGAAATTATGAATCTTCAAGGCAATTTTTCCACTTTTTCTTTGTTTTGCCTAGCTTTATGATCTTTGTAATGGTTCCGAAAAAAATTTATTTTAAAATCATAGCAGACTCTATGCATTTTAAAAAGTTTCAGAAATCAAGATATTCAATTAAAAATACTAGTACCATTTTATTACTGAGTTATACAATAAAGTGTGAATTTATATATGAAACATTAGTGTAAAAAAGGAAACTCTCTGGAAATTCATGTTGAAAATTCACTGTACTTTTATGTATTTTAGAATACCCATCCAGGAGCCAACACAATACCTCACATGCTACATTCATTCAGCTCATCTTCCTTTCTTGCATTTTAGGTAGTGTATGCCCAGTCCTCTTTACTGTCATCTGCAAAACATGTTATTGCCTTTATATTATGGAGGGTGCAGACTCTCTGTCTTATACTCTAAGGTGAGGTTTGAAAAACTACATTTGATGATCCAAATTCAAATGCTACTTATTTTTATAAAGAAGATATTATTGGAATAGAACCATGCTTATTCATTTATAGATTGTCTATGACTACTTTCACTCTACCATGCCCAAGTTGGGTAGATACAACAAATACTGCATGATCTACAATGCTTAAAATAGTCCTGCTCTTTCACATAAAAGTGCCAATATCTGATCTAAGGTTCTGCCCTCTGTCACAAAGTAGCTGGGTTTTCTTGGTGAGACATTTAATATTTCTTGTCCTTGTAAAAATGAGGATGTTGGACTAGCTAGCTTCTACAGGGTGATGTGACTCAGCACCGTGGGCTCATCCAAGTTTGCACAAGTTTGATAAGCCTTCTACTCAATTCTAACTGCAGTTCTGCCACTTGTTTTCCTGGTTTTTCTGCAGTACACTATGCAGTTTACATGTTACAATGTACTTTATGTATTTAATTTAATTAGTTTAATATAATTTATGTTATATTTTTATCTATGTATTTGAGATGTTTGGAAGGAAATATGACTAAGCTGAAGCATGAAGGATAAATATAAATTAGGTAAGAAATGGGCTCAGGAGAAAAGAAACAACATGAGCGAAGACTTTTGCCAGAAATAACATTTTCATTAATTATACAGTGCCTTAGATTTTTAACATGTCACACTATTTTATGAAATATGAAGAAAGATAAAATGCTATAATTCATTTGTAATATGACCTTGATTGCAAAAGGTATGCTAGTTTCAGAATCTGAAAAGGAAAAGCTCGTGTTGCTACTGATGAAAGATAACAATATTGCACATTTGGAGAAGATTAATATGATTGCAGCACAAAGACTAAAATGATCCATAGTATGGGAAGAGTCAGGGAGAAGCTCAATTTATATAGAAGTTGTAAGAGTTTTGGGGATTGTAGCAGAGAGATCTATGAGAATATAAACAGAGGAACTGACTTCAGATAAGAGTACATATACTTCCTCTATCCTAACAGAAAGGTCAGAATTGATGATGAGTTTAGATGCTGGTATTGTAGCAGGGATGTGTAAAGAATTTCATGACTGGTAACTACTATTTTCTGTGTGAGGTATGATATAATAATGTAGTAAAAAGTTTAAATAAAGTGGAGAAGATTTAAAATTCCTGTGGCACGGAGTAGGAAATCAGGCCAAGTAATACATTTTATTAGGATACCTGCAATGTATTGTAATGTCTAGATAAATTTGATCACATGGGAATTTCTTGTGGTATAGAACTGTGTGTTGAGTACCTGGTGGTTACAAAATTTAACATAACTAGAACGAAAGCAGCCGCATGCTTTTTATATGTATATCTAAGGACGCTAAATGTGATGCTTTCTACAGTTTTAGGAGCAAGAGAAAAATTTTATTACCAAGCAGTCCTAAATTCTAGAAACTAACCATGAAGATCTTGGAAAGAATTATTTAAAAAATGTATTCTGGGGGCCGGGCACAGTGGCTCACGCCTGTAATCCCAGCACTTTGGGAGGCTGAGGTGGGCAGATCATGAAGTCAGGAGATTGAGACCATCCTGGCTAACACGGTGAAACTCCATCTCTACTGAAAGTACAAAAATTAGCCAGGTGTGGTGGTGCGTGCCTGTAGTCCCAGCTACTCGGGAGGCTGAGGCAGGAGAATTACTTGAACCCAGGAGGCAGAGGTTGCAATGAGCCAAGATCGCACCACTGCACTCCAGCCTGGGTGACAGAGCAAGACTTTGTCTCAAAAAAACAAAACAAATAAACAAACAAAGTATTCTGGTAGCAATAGACCATCAATCAGCACTAGAGATAATCAAAAAATATTTTAAAAATAGAAAGGAAAGAAGGAAGGAAGGAAGAAGAAGGAAAGAAGAAAATATTTCACTGGGAGATATAGAGATAGAGAAGAATGGACTACTCTAAGGAAAGTGATCAAGATACTATGCACCCTCTTCAGAGAGGAGGTTTCTGTCTAGGGTCAGTATGAGCTGACTTCAGCACACTGCTACATACATCCACATAGGAAGAACTGTAGTGTCTGGTGGTCAGTTTAACACCCAAGAATGACTGGAAAAACTCTAGGACTTACATAATATATCATTGTGAGAGCCTGGAGTAACACACCAAAAGAAGTTTTGCGGGTATGGTGATGAGAAAGAATAAAGCTCTGCTTGCATCTAACTGAGACCAGCTTATTTACTAAGGCAGTTACATTTATTTTACACAGTCAAATTAAATCTTTAATCTGCTATATACTCGACCCATCATGATTGCTAGGAAATTCCGTCTCAGTTATTATCATGCTTCTCCCTTTCATATTGGTTGCACCATCTAAGACAAGATCTAAATTGGAATAGCTTTTGAGATAAGCTTGAGAAAAGAACAGGAACTGAGTCCATCATGAAAAGGATGAGTTTTGGATAACTGAAGTTATTATTCCAGAGAGATCATATAGATCAAGGGCACTACATATACCTGTCATTTTCCCCATTGCTATAGTTAATTCACCATTATAGCCTACTGGCATTATTGAATAAAGTATACCATAGGGTATAAGGTAGAGAAAAAGTTTTTTTTCCTGGTAGCTTTTATGAGTTGGTGTTATAACTTGGCATGGAGGCGTACTGACTCTATTGTTCTCTTTGCACTTTCTTACCCCCAGAGAGTGCCAAAAGAATTAAGATGAGTGAAGAGATTATTCTGCCACATATAATCATTACTATTTCTCTTGATTTTCACCCTTTACCATAGCTGTCATCTTAGGGTAGATTTCTTCTGTTAAAAGAAAAACTTTTAGAAAACTAAATTTATCAGAGTTACTTTGAGCAAGAAAACAATTCATGAATTGGGCAGCACACTGAATCAGTAAAGGTTCAGAGAACTCCACTCAACAACTTAGACCCACAGTACTTATACACAGTATAATGAAGTGACATACAGAAATAGCCTGATTGGTTATAGCTCAATGTTTGCCTTATTTGAACATGCCTGAGTGGTTTGCAGCATGTGATTGCCTGAAAACTTGGCTGTTGTGATTGGCCAAGCTTTGATGACTTGTTAGAAGAACATACTCTCAATTTAGCTTGCAGTTTGTCTACATGTAAGTTAGATTATAGTTTGCTCTGTACAGAGGCAGCTTTAGACCAAATTTACTTTTAAAATTTGTTCCTTTTCATCAACTTCTCAATTTTGAGACATTGACGAAAACCTTGGACACTGACCCCACTTTCTGTCACCATCATAATGGATGTATTTGGTCTTAGTATGTAATTCACAATTACGATATCAAATTAAGTGAATGAGTCTGTATGCTTTCTTCATGTTTTTGATATTCTAACCCTAATGAGATTATCTAATGTGCAAAAATGGCTGCACACAAGCAATTAAGACTCTTGAGAGGATATAACATATCAGGGGGACTATTATGATGTCTGTAAATAAATACTAAGAAACTAAAGTACACCTCTTAACAGGAGTCTCCATAAACCAAACTAAACAAAATAAAAAAATTCAAAGTTCAGGCAATAAATAGAATTCAACAGTATTCAAGTCCAATTGGTCACAGTCTTTATTTGAGAATTAAGGATCACGGTTTGCCATAAAATGGCCTGACTTGAAGAAGTGTTCATCTTTGTAGTAAAACTGGTAATGAAAGTCGTAGTAACTTTGAAAGTCACAAAAAAAAAACATAAAAATGAGTAAACTTTTTAGAAGAGTCAAGCTAGCTATTCACCATTCAGAATGCCTGCAAACCAAAATTTAGCTGCTCCCACAAACACATTATGTCCTCCTTTCACCTCAAAATTTTAAAAATGTATTAAGTGGCGTTGTCTAGAGAAACATCTTAAGCTTTCTGTAGTAGTAATAAAAGGGGAAAGATAAATGCAACGTTCAGTTTTGTTCAACACCTTACACAAGCCCTCAACATGGACAAAAAGGGGATCTCAAGCTGCATAATATTCCATTAAGTGTTTTTGTTGAACACCAGTGTTTTCATTCACCTTTTGGAGAGTGGCTTCTACTTGTCTGAAACACTGGGAGGTCTCATTGGCACAGAATCCCAGATTTTCCTAATTTACGAATTAGCTTGAAGATCCATATTATTAGTATCTCACTACTGCCAAGAGGTAGCCACCAGGAGCCCCACTGGAATCTTTCCTCAGTGGAAATTAACATCTTCATCTACTTTGAGATTGGTACTAATTTTGGTTATAGACTGCTATAAACTGTGATTATGGAAGGTACTATTGGAACTTGCAGGAAAAGCTGTTCAAAATGCAGGAATGAGCCAGGCCAAATAGCAAGATCTCAGGTAGTCCCCAAGTCTTGAGTACTAGATGATTAAAAGTACAATATATTGTACATTTTGCAGGCACTACTTGGATAGGTTTTCTATATTTGGTAGTGATTAGGTTATTAATTGGAAATGTCAAGGTACTATTTCTAGTGGTGGTAGGAGAGCAAGAAGCAGTCTCTGGTTTCTTGATAAAGCCTTCCACAGATTATGGTCCCAGAGATTTTTCTGCAAGAAAAGGTTAGTGATAAGGGCAACAGGAAATAGGAATTAAAGGTAAAAATAAAAGACTTTTATGATGACAGACCAGTCTTGATCCAGGATCTTGGAAAAGCTATCCCTGTCTAGTATGACATCTCTGTTTTTGGGAAAAACTTTCTTAATAGTCTTTACCTGAAAGTCTCCAACAGATGAACAGTTCCAGGAATATAGATGGGTCTTTTGAGTTGAGACTTGTGGATCCAAGACTCCAGACCCTAAACTTCTACGAAAAATCCTGGAAAGGTCCCTTCCAATGGAGTTCAAGGCAGTCTCTCTGATGTCATTTCTAAGAGACCCAATCTCTGGGTTCTAGTTTGTGAAAGGTTTCGTTATCATCAGTTGGTAGGTCACAATGGGTTTCTTTAACCTGGTGAAAATATGATTTGGCATAATGCATGAAAGCCTTGCACTGTTGGGTCATGCCAGAGTTTATGAGTGAGAGATACATGAGGTTCTATTGTTATGGGGATAGGACATCCAGTAACTATTTCACAGATGTCAGTCTATGTTTTCAAGTGGGCGTAAATCTGATTGCCACCAAATAGTAATACCTTTGAACAAGTCAATCCAATTGATTCAGTTAGCTTTGCCTAATGCCATTGGGCTTGTAATGTCTTATTTAACTTTTTACAATTGTCCAGTGTAAGTACTTATATCACTGGAGATATCTCCAGAAATGTCCTGTGAGGGAAACACATTTTCTAATAACCTTTTAGCTACTGATAAACCATCAAATTCCTGCATAGGAAATCTTCCTGTGAATAGGAAAACATCCTGCATTGGAAACGTGCATTGATGATGGCAATTGAATGGTACCCATCTGAAAGTGTTCAAGTGATCTTGCTAATGCCAGAAATGTCACCTAAGGTTTTTAATTGTCTTGCCAGAATTATGAGTTTGAAAAACCAAACTTGGTTATTATAAACCATTTTGGCAATTTTGAAACAATCACCCCACCATTTTTTTCATGATTTGGATCATTTTATCTTTTCCATGATGAATCATAGAGTGCAGAGCTTCCATAATAATGGAAGATTTAAGGACTCAAGAAGGACCAGGTGGCCATCCAGGCTCTACTTGAGTCCACGTTAATGTTAAATTTGCATCCTATTAAATAAAAATTTTGTTCCTCCAAGTGAATAGTTCTGTTTTTAAATAGGTTAACATAGGTTAACACAGGTTATTTGACTGGGATCAATGTTCAAATCTTAACAATTTCAGTACTGGCTCACTTAGCATCCAAATCTGCCAAATCATTTCCTTAGTATTTAATCAATTATTGTTCTGCTTGACATTGGGTTAGAAGTTTTATAAATTAGTTCATTTTTTCAAGAGAGCTCTGAGAATTCTTAGTCAATGGTATGATCTTAAAGTTATCAGAAACCTGTACTTGTCAGATACCTTTTCAGTATTCTCCTTGAAGACAAACCACTTTAGGCTTCTTGTAGTTCAGGAAAGTACCAAAGTAAACAATTAACTGTTTATGAGTGACAAGACTTAAATGGTCATGTTTAAAATTTGAGGAGTGTTCATTAAATAATAACACAATTGACCAATAAATTTAGTTATTTCTGTCACATAAAACATTTTAAGAAAATAACTAGAATTATTACTGATAGAATTATACCAGGACTATTATATTTTTATAAATTTTATAGAATTTTAAAAACCCATATTAATACCACATTCCTACAAATATAACTCAAAGAACATTTAGCGTTTTATACTTATTATGTGATAATTCTTCCCATAACATAAAATATAATAAGCCCAATTAACATATCTCTTTTTATACAGAGATATTCTTTTGACATTTTCCAAGGGCCAGCCTAGAAAAAGGTTTAAAATATTTGATCAAAATAGGATCAGAGGCCACTGTGAACAATATTCATGTATTTAACCAAAGTGATAAATTTAAATACTTTAAGTACAGAAAGTTACACAGTGCACCAAAACCTCAGCTTTTTTTTAAATTTAATTAGAGAGGACTCAGTTTTCTTAAGTTATCAAAAGCCTAATAAAGACAAAATTAAGCAAAGAAAATTTTCTTGGTAAAACACAGAATCTTTGTTTCCTGGACTAATTACTTAAAAGGATGAAAAAAAAATCTTCACAATTTTCTATTAAAAGCAGGTCAATACTTCAAGAAAACCTTGTTGTTATGACAGAGAGGATCAAGTTCTAGTTTTTCATCAGTGTATTTTTTTATATGAATGTTCAACTTTTAGAAAAAAAAATTTTTTTATCTTAGTTTGAATACTTTGATTACACATACAATTTCTCTCACAAAATTCACCTTCCACAAACTTCCTACCACTTTCTCATCCCATTAAGTTTTTCTCCTACGCTTTTTCTCTTCTAATTTTGGAACAACCAGTCATTCTAATTTAGGACAAAAATTATTATTTTTCTCAACATAACAAAACATCTTCATATCTGATAGCTTTTTTTATGAAACATACCTATTAGCTAAGTACATTTGCATACAGAGTTTTCTCTTATGATTTCTAGTAATTTTAGTTACATATATTAATTAGAATTCTTAACCCTTCTGATCTTAACTTCCAGCAAACACTAGGAAACAAACAATTGCGAACTGTCTATCACACCAGAAATCTGTAGCTTGGCATATCTATGAATCATAATTTCTAGAAGCATGAGCTTTCTCTTAGTAAATTTGTCAATATGGCACAGAACATGTTTACTAAGAATCCCAAATATCTTCAGTTTCTCTTTAACAAGAAATTGTGGAGGAGGCAAACTTTTACGTTGGTTCTCGTAGGGTTTGGTTTTGGTTTTGGTTTTTATGCTAGGCCTGAGAATGAAATTGTTGTTTATACAGATTTCCCACAGCTTTAATTTTCATTCTTGATGATGAGAGTGTTAAAACTTTCTGGTACAGGAAGGGCAAGTTTTACATGAAAATTTTATCTTACTTAAAGCTATTTAACTGACTTATTTTTTAAAATTATGTTTGGATTGCTTATAAAGATGAGACATAAAATAGCTAGCCATCATCTAAAGTTATTTTTCTTAAATTTTGTAATGTAGAAAGATCATAAGCTTTTCTTCCTGTAAACCTAGGTAGAAAATGTCTATATTATAATTCAGGCTCAAAACCCTGAAGATATGCCTGTTTTAATCAAATCAATGATATTCTTGTTTATCAGAAATTACCCAAGTCATGTGAACTAGAAAAGCATTTGGATTATTTCTTATTCTCCTGAGGGAATGTTGTATTAACATAAGCACTTATTTTTCTTAAGCAAATTAAATAGAGCCCTTTTACCATTTAATTTGGCAAGATCATAAATAGATAGAAAAATATATACATAGATATCATCCATACAGACATACATAAACATATCAACAGAAACAGATCTTATAGCTTTTATTCTTAAATTTTAGTCATGTGTCAGAATAATACAAGCTTGTCAATTTATTAAAGAATATCTGAATCATAGTAATATTTTTTAAAAAACACTTTAAGATTTGTTTTTCATTTGCCTTTTGTAAGAAACCTTTTAAACAGATACATTTTGGTTAATTTAATATTTTAGATGCCTCTGTACACCAACTAAAGAATGCATCCAATTGCTTTGGTGATATTTGGGATCCATTCTTTTCTAAAGCACTTTGCAAGTGAACAATTTTATCTATATGAAAAAATTCCCCATTGTAGTCACTGTAATTCTAAGTTGTCCTTAGGAAGGTTAATCAATTTTTCCAAAATTACACAAGTTCTGGTCCCTCAGTTTTTGTAGATTAAATCAGCCAGTGTCCAGAAAGTGGAGTCCTGGACTCCTGGAGTTTCAGATTTCTTAGATTTAGACAAGCACATTTTCAAAAATGGATTACCTGAGGCCTCTAACTGTATCCAGTCCAGTCAGTTATGGCCTACCTGAGGCCTGTAACTGTATTCAATCCACTTAATTATCAGATCCAAGTCAATTCTACCTAGTCCAGTAAAAATTGCTCAAATATTCAGAAAGCTCAAAAGACAAATCTGTGGAGCTCAAATTTGATAGAGATTAATGGGCACAATGGGCCCTGGCAGATAACTTGGCTTTCTCACTCAGTGTTCCTAAGGGTCCCTGGAGGTTTACTCTGGATTTGACTTCTGATGCCAATTTGTGAAAAGAAAAACTTTAGACAAATTAAATTAGCAGAGCTTATGTGAACAAAGAAACAGTTCATGAATCAGGCAGCACCCTGAACCAGTAAATGTTCAGAGAGTTCCACCTAGCAATGTGAGCAAACAGTATTTACCGAGAGAAAAAGCAAGTGACATACAGAAATAGCCTACTTGGTTACAGTTTGGCATTGCCTTATTTGAATACATCTGAGCAGTTTGTAACTTGTGCTTGTTTAAAAACTCAGCTGCTATGGGCCAGGCGTGGTGGCTCATGCCTGTAATCCCAGCACTTTGGGAAGCTGAGGTGGGTGGATCACGAGGTCAGAAGGTCAAGACCATTCTGGCTAACATGGTGAAACCCTGTCTCTACCAAAAATACAAAAAAAATTAGCTGGGCGTCTGTAGTCCCAGCTACTCGGGAGGCTGAGGCAGGAGAATGGCATGAACCCAGGAGGCGGAGCTTGCAGTGAGCTGATATCACACCACTGCACTCCAGCCTGGGCAACAGAGCAAGAATCCGTCTCAAAAAAAAAAAAAAAAAAAAAGCTCAGCTGCTGCTATGATTGACCAAGACTCAGTAACTTGTAAAAAGAATATATTCTCAAGTTAGGTTGTAGTTTGTTTACTTATTAAGTTAGGTTACAATTTGCTATGTACAGAAGCAGCTTTAAGCCAAATTTAATTTAACACTTCACTTTCAGAGAAATAATAAATTAAGAAAATAAGAAATTTTAAGATACTACTCTAAAGATAATGTAAATAAGACATTAACATCAGTATATCTTTGAAGTCAACAGTATAGGATCTGGGGGCAATTTGGGGGGGCCTAGCTGGCTCACAGTAATTGATAGTCTTATTTATTCAGTGACTTTCTGTATTTCTCACCATAACTCATTGAACTCAAGTGAACTAGTCAGTTATTTCTCTGAAATTTGTAATAGCAAGACTATTGATTAGTTTCTCATTGTTGCTACATGTATAATACATGAAATGAGAAGTGGCTTTTCAACTCCTGTGAATCCACATGGGTAGAATAGCAGAAACTTAATCTAATAAGAAAGAAAATTTATGAAATCTAATAGGAAGAAAAGAGAGACATACTATGAAAATATATTACTCTATGTTCTTATTCTCCCTTAAGCTAGCTTTTAACTCTGCTCTTGGCAGATACCTCTTGAACCATATATAAATATTGTATCTGAATTAAGAGTACTTATACCTGAAATATTTTGTGTTTAAATTCCAAACCTCACTACTGCATGATAAAATAGGAAAAATTTCTACATTAATAAGGAAAGTTTCCAGGCTTATCTTACAGAAATATTAACTATTTCATAATTCATGAACGTTTGATTTAATTTCTTAAATTTCAAATATATAGAACCAATGCTTACATGCAAATGTTCACGAAGATCTGCTTGCTAAATAAATTATCATCATTTATATCACAGTAACTAACAAAGCTAATTATTATAATAACTAATGGTGTTGCTATTAATAATATAACTCTTCAAGCATGTTTCCCTGAATGGAAAGCAATTCTCAAGTAAGTTTTGAACAGTACAAAATACAAAAAGAAATTTAGAAATTCCCTAATATATTGCAATATATTGGTCCTAAATCTCACTTCTTATTTTAGTGTAAACTCAAGGGGCCATTTGCAAGTAAACATCCATAGAAAAGTATAGTTTTCAATAAAAGAAAAATTGAGGTCTTTGTAGCAAATGTAGAGAGCAGAGGAGGAAGGAGATAACCTTGGAAAAGGAAAGAAAATAAAATCATGTCATCTGCAAACAGGGACAATTTGACTTCCTCTTTTCCTAATTGAATACCCTTTATTTCCTTCTCCTGCCTAATTGCCCTGGCCAGAACTTCCAACACTATGTTGAATAGGAGTGGTGAGAGAGGGCATCCCTGTCTTGTGCCAGTTTTCAAAGGGAATGCTTCCAGTTTTTGCCCATTCAGTATGATACTGGCTGTGGGTTTGTCATAGATAGCTCTTATTATTTTGAAATACGTCCCATCAATACCTAATTTATTGAGAGTTTTTAGCATGAAGGGTTGTTGAATTTTGTCAAAGGCTTTTTCTGCATCTATTGAGATAATCATGTGGTTTTTGTCTTTGGCTCTGTTTATATGCTGGATTACATTTATTGATTTGCGTATATTGAACCAGCCTTGCATCCCAGGGATGAAGCCCACTTGATCATGATGGATAAGCTTTTTGATGTGCTGCTGGATTCGGTTTGCCAGTATTTTATTGAGGATTTTTGCATCAATGTTCATCAAGGATATTGGTCTAAAATTCTCTTTTTTGGTTGTGTCTCTGCCCAGCTTTGGTATCAGAATGATGCTGGCCTCATAAAATGAGTTAGGGAGGATTCCCTCTTTTTCTATTGATTGGAATAGTTTCAGAAGGAATGGTACCAGTTCCTCCTTGTACCTCTGGTAGAATTCGGCTGTGAATCCATCTGGTCCTGGACTCTTTTTGGTTGGTAAACTATTGATTATTGCCACAATTTCAGCTCCTGTTATTGGTCTATTCAGAGATTCAACTTCTTCCTGGCTTAGTCTTGGGAGAGTGTATGTGTCGAGGAATTTATCCATTTATTCTAGATTTTCTAGTTTATTTGCATAGAGGTGTTTGTAGTATTCTCTGATGGTAGTTTGTATTTCTGTGGGATCGGTGGTGATATCCCCTTTATCATTTTTTATTGTGTCTATTTGATTCTTCTCTCTTTTTTTCTTTATTAGTCTTGCTAGCGGTCCCTGTTTGCAGACGACATGATTGTATATCTAGAAAACCCCATTGTCTCAGCCCAAAATCTCCTTAAGCTGATAAGCAACTTCAGCAAAGTCTCAGGATACAAAATCAATGTACAAAAATCACAAGCATTCTTATACACCACCAACAGACAAACAGAGAGCCAAATCATGAGTGAACTCCCATTCACAATTGCTTCAAAGAGAATAAAATACCTAGGAATCCAACTTACAAGGGATGTGAAGGACCTCTTCAAGGAGAACTACAAACCACTGCTCAAGGAAATAAAAGAGGATACAAACAAATGGAAGAACATTCCATGCTCATGGGTAGGAAGAATCAATATCGTGAAAATGGCCATACTGCCCAAGGTAATTTACAGATTCAATGCCATCCCCATCAAGCTACCAATGACTTTCTTCACAGAATTGTAAAAAACTACTTTAAAGTTCATATGGAACCAAAAAAGAGCCCGCATTGCCAAGTCAATCCTAAGCCAAAAGAAGAAAGCTGGAGGAATCACACTACCTGACTTCAAACTATAATACAAGGCTACAGTAACCAAAACAGGATGGTACTGGTACCAAAACAGAGATATAGATCAATGGAACAGAACAGAGCCCTCAGAAATAACGCCGCATAACTACAACTATCTGATCTTTGACAAACCTGAGAAAAACAAGCAGTGGGGAAAAGATTCCCTATTTAATACATGGTGCTGGGAAAACTGGCTAGCCATATATAGGAAGCTGAAACTGGATCCCTCCCTTACACCTTATACAAAAATCAATTCAAGATGGATTAAAGATTTAAACGTTAGACCTAAAACCATAAAAACCCTATGGCTCAGGACATAGGCATGGGCAAGGACTTCATGTCGAAAACACCAAAAGCAATGGCAACAAAAGACAAAATTGACAAATGGGATCTAATTAAACTAAAGAGCTTCTGCACAGCAAAAGAAACTAGCAGTAGAGTGAACAGGCAACCTACAAAATGGGAGAAAATTTTCGCAACCTACTCATCTGACAAAGGGCTAATATCCAGAATCTACAATGAACTCAAACAAATTTACAAGAAAAAAACAAACAACCCCATCAAAAAGTGGGCGAAGGACATGAACAGACACTTCTCAAAATAAGACATTTATGCAGCCAAAAAACACATGAAAAAATGTTCATCATCACTGGCCATCAGAGAAATGCAAATCAAAACCACTATGAGATACCATCTCACACCAGTTAGAATGGCAATCATTCAAAAGTCAGGAAACAACAGGTGCTGGAAAGGATGTGGAGAAATGGGAACACTTTTACACTGTTGGTGGGACTGTAAACTAGTTCAACCATTGTGGAAGTCAGTGTGGCGATTCCTCAGGGATCTAGAACTAGAAATACCATTTGACCCAGCCATCCCATTACTGGGTATATACCCAAAGGACTATAAATCATGCTGCTATAAAGACACATGCACACGTATGTTTATTGCGGCATTATTCACAATAGCAAAGACTTGGAACCAACCCAAATGTCCAACAATGATAGACTGGATTAAGAAAATGTGGCACATATACACCATGGAATACTATGCAGCCATAAAAAATGATGAGTTCATGTCCTTTGTAGGGACATGGATGAAATTGGAAATCATCATTCTCAGTAAACTATCGCAAGAAGAAAAAACCAAACACCGCATATTCTCACTCATAGGTGGGAATTGAACAATGAGATCACATGGACACAGGAAGGGGAATATCACACTCTGGGGACTGTGGTGGGGTGGGGGGAGGGGGGAGGGATAGCATTGGGAGATATACCTAATGCTAGATGACGAGTTAGTGGGTGCAGTGCACCAGCATGGCACATGTATACATATGTAACTAACCTGCACAATGTGCACATGTACCCTAAAACTTAAAGTATAATAAAAAAAAATAAACAAACAAACAAAAAAAGAAAATAAAATTATTTTCTTGTGTGAACTTCTATTTCCTCTCCCATGTATGAGAGACCATGATTTTGAGGGGCAAACACAATCAGGGCAGACTTATGGAAAAAGAAGTCTGATGAACAGTATAGTCTGTCCTGAAGTTTAGATCTTATACTACAAGGGGAATAGAAACTTTTTAGGAAAAGTATATGAAAATTTTGGAGCAGAAGATTAACAGACATTCATTCAATAAATATTTATGGAGCTTATATTGTGGTGAAGATAGATTTTAAAATATTTTGGAAGTGATAAGTGCCATGAATAAAAAGAAAGTGGCGAGTGTTAGGAAATGTCCTCTTATATGGTGATATTTGAGTCAAGATTTAAAAAGAAGTCAGAAAGATTATCGTGAAGAAAGCCAAGAGTTGAATAACAATGTATTTAGATAGGGGAGTGAATCATGAGAGAGAATAAAAGAGAGATATTTAGAGAGGAGCTGCCACGACAGATAAGTTTTGAGATTAACACAAACTTTGCTATGCTAAGCATGTTTGAGAGATTTCACTAATGATACAAATTGCATTACAAATTTTTATTAGATGCTTTATTTTTATTTGACTGAAACATTTATTTTGAATGTAAAACCATGATGAAACTGACCGTAAGTTGACCCATATTTATTTGGGTTGCATACCAATTGTTTCAAAACAAAATTTTTAAGATATATCACAGGCTTCTGCACACCTGCTGCTGTCCATAGCCACCTGTGTTTTACTTGTGTTGAGTTTTTATTTTCTTGTTTGTTTGTTTGCTGAAGTACAGGGTTTCATATTTACCTTAGTTATACTTCAACTTGAGAAGTAAGCATGTAATTTCAGCTAAACAATTTCCTTTGATTCTGGTTCCATCATCCAAACAATCAACTAAAATTTCTTTTTCCATACCTTCTGCAAGTTCTATAAGCTTAAAATCTGTCTTCCTTCTCTCTGAAAATGCATCATGAAAATTTGAATAATAATTTTTTATATATAGTCAGGAGTCACATTTCCCTCAAAACTCACTTTCAGGTTGAAATAAAACTAATTATATAGATCACTAGTAAACTTAGTGATTTATCTGCTTCCTATGTAAATCAATAATGTATCATATTTTTCTCCCTTGAATTATTTGTTTATTTTCCTAATTTCTCCAAGACTTAGTAAATTTAACATAGTAATTCATAAGCCTCCTATATAGAATTGCATCATAAAATGAGATGGGATTTATCTAACTTTTAATTGAAGTTAACCTAAAAAATTGCTTATTTATCTTAGGCATCATTTCCATATTACCCTCACTTGCCTTGCCTATTTTAGTTTGAAACCCACTTCCATAGTAGATAGAAGGAAATACTAAACAAATATGACAAACAATAAAAGGTTTAACATTAATAAATACAAATAGAGTAGGTTAGTATTGATATGAGAGTATAACTTGAGATGATACAGACTTCAAAATAATTCTAAAAAGACCTATCTATAGTTTATATTGTACCAGTCTGTACTCTGTTGTGGGGAACAAAGTAAGAGTGGTCTACCAAGATATAAAAAATGATAAGCCCCAGTGTGTTGAAAGATACCTATCGAAACATATGATCAGATAATTCCCTGTCTGTCTTGCTGGTAAAACAGAATTTATGAAGTTACACTTTTTTTGAAGATTTTACAGAATAACATTTAAAGAGATGACTTGCTTATATTGTGTGCTGAAAAAAATTTTATAATCAATACCTAAGATATCTATGACTATAATTGCTGCAAAACAGTTCAAGTCCTGAACATTCTGGTTAATGCTCTCTTGCAGTATTTACAACAATGCACCTAAATCTATTACTTTACAAATAAAAATCTGTATTTTGAATGTTCTTCAACTGAGCATAAGCATTTAGAAACATCCATCTTTATGTATGAAAATCGTTCATATATAAAACAGGCGTGTTTCTTCCAGAGCTATCATTGCCCCAGGCCTCTCACATAATTGCTGTACTATTCCCAACTATCCATCCTGCACTTCGGGTTTAACAGATAACACTGGTTGGTGGAAGAATGAGTCTAGTGACAAAACAAAAGGGCCCTATTCAAGTGTGACGTGAAACTCCAGCACTCATGTGAAGATCAAAGTTCCAAGCTGTCTTAGTATATCTTTGATCTTTAAATAGGCACATTTAGGTTGTGTCCTCATGGGGCTAGAAGATTGCCTATTTTGACTAAACTGGTGGTATTTGTGTCATTTTTCTTTTAAACTTACTTGAGTCTCAGCCAGTCAGTTGAGTATCTGACAGAGTTTGCTCATATCATTGTTTGTTTGTTTCTTAAAAAACTGATAAGAAAAAAAACTATACTTAGGCAAAAGGCGATGAAGCAATTGTTTGGATTTTTAAATGCCCTATAGATATTGTCAGAAAATATCAATCTTTTCTCACATTTTGCAACTGGTTTCTTGTTGTTATATTTTCTTAAGGCAGATTTTATTTACAATTACTGTAATACTTTCATTTCAGTAAACTAAAATTTTAGTTGACTGCTGAGTTTTACTTTCCTCAATAAATGAACATAAATATATTAATCCTGATAAAATTTTCATTTGTCAATAAATGTAACTTAAATAATTAAAATTATTTCCATTTACCAAAATAATTTTAGGTTTAGGCTTTTGCAGGTAAATGAAAAGGAAAATACTAGTCAAAGTACTTTTCCCAAAAAGTTATTGAATGGGAACACTGTTAGCTTCCTCCTCTTCCCATCATAAAATAGATCAAAGGATTTTGAAAGCTAAGAATAATGCAGCTCACATTTAAGGTAACTACTGGTCACAGGTACCTTAAAATCCATCTCTAACAGTCCGTAAAATGCTCTATTGGGTATATACCCAAGGACAGTGATCTGCTTTCATCTTATTGGCAGAAAATCACAGTGAAGACATAAAGTATGACTATTAAAAATAGTTATGCTTTTAACTGCATACTACATATATTATATATATTTAAATATATGTATAGTAATTTACAAACATGTAACGTTTGAGTAATGTTGTAATTTAATCCTCAAAGGATATAAACGTAAATGTACACCTTTTACAAAAGTTCCTTACATTCATCAATCAATAGTATCATATTTCTTTCCTAAAGGGAATGTAATAATTCCTCATTTAAAAATAAACTTTTTATTATTTTAGAGGTTATTATACATGATTTAGAAATCACTGAAACATTAAAAGAAGTAAAAATCTCCCATAAAATCCTAACTTCATCATCCAGAGATAAATAATATTAATAGTGTGGTGTATAATTTTTTAGTTCTCTCTCTCTCTTTCTCACCATTTATCCGTATAAGGTATATTTTAAAAGAAAATGGTTATGTTTTTAACATACCTTTTTATATAAAATATATCAACATTGTTTCATGTCATCATATATTACTTTGCAACTTTATTTTAATCATAGGATTATGTTGTACCTTATAAAGCAGCTTTAACAAATCATTTAAATTTATTTCCATTTTGAATAAAACTTATTGTCTGTGAATTAAATCCACAAGATAATGTTATGGAGAAATGATAAAAGGAAATGCGGTTCATTTTTTATAAGTATTGTTGTTTCCTAATTTTGTCTAAACTTATTGTGGTTGATTTAACAAATATTATATGAATACACGCATGCAATCTCACAAGAACTTAGGAAATTTACTTTTCTTTATAAATATATAATCCTCTTTTTATACCAGGGAGTAAAGAGCTTAGAGTAAAACAGCAAAAGTTTTTAAAATGGAAAATAGCATGGTTACTTCAAAAAATAAAGAAAGGAAATAAATTCAGCATGTTTTTATTTACTGCATCCATAGGGACTGAGTCTGATATTCTCCCTAAAGAATATACATCTGCTTTAAATAGCTTTCTTTGATTACGACACCATCTGATATCCTGAGAAACTCAAAGTCTTCCCTTCAAAGTTATTATGCCTTTCACCCAAGATTCTCAGAGTTCAGTGAAAGCACTTCCTTGCCTTTTACCCATGGGTCCTTCTAATCCTTCTGTGCAAGTTAGGGAAACTGTCAGGAATTATGACGTCATTGATACCTTCTCCAGTTTCAGAAACCACAGACTCACCTAGTTTACCTCTTCCAGTTATTTCTACGTTGTCTTCTTCAGAAGCTCTTTTGAAATTCAGCCACATAGGCACACCCTGGCTCATTTATCTCTTTTTCCTTTCCCTGTCGGTTTCCCTGTCATCTCTATATTTGTGTTTCTCTCTGTTTTGTCTGTTGCTTTCTCTGTTCACATATATACTCTATGTTATATTTGGGCCACAGGTGGACATACCTTCTCTGTGTTTCTGTCCATCCTTTTATTAAGTTCAACTTATTTCAGACTAACCTAACACTCAAACCAGATATCTTTATTAAAATATGTCATCACCCTGTATCTATTTCTAAGGCCACACTTCTTTTATTTCACACAAAATAGGAATAATGCTCCTACCAGCTTCTTGTTTCTATGACTAATTCTTCTATCAACATTGTAACTTTTGCTATAAACTGTGGAATGTAATTAATATTTTCCATATTCTCAGATTTTATTCATGGCCTGCGTGTGTGAATTTGATCTCTCTTCTTTATTTTAAATTGTTAGGATTAAGAAGTTAAATCTCATTTATAGAGGATAGATAAAAATAATGTTTTAAAATATAGGAAATGTTTATTTTATATAAATACAATATAATTTGTTTATTTTTATACATAAAAACACAAAGTCATATAAGTAAAGTACAGTTTTTTGTCACTACTAGTTTACTCTCTATATCTACAAGGATGTAAACTGAAAATTAATTTTACCATGCTTCTGAATTGTATTGTTAGGAATTCTCACAGGAAGATACTATCACCTAGGTAGGTAAATATCAAAGAGCATTTTATATTTTCACAGGGTATAAATGAAAGGTATGGTTTTTTAAATAGCTGTCTTTTCATCACACCTCTTTATTCCTTCCAGAGACCCCAGTTGGCCTCTGCAAAGGGCAGGCAGTGAGACAATCTCCATGGATTACGTATAAAGCAAGCTCATTGCAGAAGCTCATGTGGAAGGAGAGACAGATTTACAAGACTGAGAGAAGAATAAGTTGCTTTTCCTTCACAACACATCCTGGCATTGGTTATTAACCTTGGTGCATTTTACCTAGGTTACTTGACATAGAAACAGAGATAGGTATAGAGGTCATGCAAGTAGGCTTTGGAGTCAAACTGGATCAGACTGACTTACTAATAATTAGCAGTCTCATAGACTTGGCCACATCATTGAACTCCTCTGTACTTCAGTCTCAGCTCTGCAGAACTGGAATAATAATAGCATCCTTCTTAGCATTGCTCTGACAAGTTAAAAAGTTAACCTGTGAAATACATTCTACCATAGTTAACTTCTCAGTGAATGTCAGTATTATTTGTCAATCCCAAATAGAGAATGTTTCTCTTAAGTATCTGAAGATGTAAACACCAGGCACTAGAATGGAGATGATTTTTATTCACTTCCTTTCCTTAATTCACTCTTTAGTGACCCAAATGTCATTGTTTTGTTTTGTTTTTAAGTTGCAAAATGGAAACTTTGTCAACACTGTCATATTTATAAGACTTTCAATTCTAATCTTATTCAACAGTATTTTACTAACTGCCCATCTTGCTCAATTTGGATTTGTGTTTCCAAATGTCAGCAGGCCCTATGTTCTTTTTTTTTCTATCTGTTAAATCCAAATTGTACTGTGAATATGGTCATAAAAGACCATATAAATTAAATTTTTACATTTTCCTATTGATGTAGGACCCACATTTACAGTTATGGTTACCATCTCTTGCTGTGTGACAGAATCACCTGGGGAAATTGTAAACATAGCTCTGTCCTGGCCCACACTCCGACAAATTAAATCATAATCTTGACAAGTAGGTCCTAGAAATTGTGACTTGCTTTCATATTTATAGGTAATTCCAATGTGCTGCCAGAGTTGAGAACCACTGATGGAGTCCCAATTGAAAAGACCGCCTATCTTTCCAAGAAGGATTCAAAACATTTCAACAACTATTCATTATGCAAAATCTTTGAGTTTAACAAGACAGGAATTGGGATATTGAAGACTCCACAACAACCAGATAGCTTTAAAACCAAATAATCCAAAAGAAAAACTATTTAGGCTATTCTTCAGTTATTAGAAATTTTAAAATATTTTTAAAAATGTAGAAACACTGCTATATCTTTAATCCAGCTATATTACAACAAAAACCAAAACAGAAAAATAACTTTTCAGTGCAACACAAAAATATGCTTCAGAGTAACTTCCAGCTTCTTTTTCTTTCATGTTTTGGGCTGTATTTGGAGCAGGCCCCAACCATGTATGTTACAATTCCATTTTGATTAGTGTATGCCTGGTGTACATTTGTGCATCATAAATAATGAAAAAAGGACAAACTGACTTTATAGATAACATAATTACCTACTTTAGGACCAATTAAAACAGTAAAGTTGTTAAATTTACCTGATGTTCCCATTAATTTGGTACATGGTCCCAAACAACTAAATGGCACTGTACAAAAAGATTCAATTTACCATATGTTGCAATTCTAATGTAATTGCCATTGATCACTAAGTCACTTTCTCTTTGTTGCATGATTAACAAGTAATACTCTATTATTATAGAATCACCACCATCATGTACAGTATGAGTGTCAATTCTTATATATTGCTGAACAAAAAATATTTAAGAAACCATTTACTCTGTCAATGGTAACCACAAAATACATTTTAAATTTGAGCCCACTTATCTACTTTTTCTTGATTAATAATTATTTATTCCCATTATTCCTATCTCTTCTATTTGGGGGAAAATAGGATAATTTTCTATGAATTACAATAACCCATTTTCAGTAAAGATTTAATGCATAACACATATTCTTTGGAAAATATTTTATATCACAGCAATAATAAAATGAATCAACTCATCTCCAACTGAATGGTCTCCCACTGTATCAAATGTACAATGACTGCTAATATGCAGACAGCCCAATTTAAGAAATCTGCTGCAATATATGAAATGTATGATTGCCTCTGGATCCCATGTTTCTATAGTAGTTAGTCTAGGTTCAGTTAGTACATTTTACGGAGTTCAAAACTGAAATTTAGGAAGTCTTATTACCACATGTGTCCTTTTCCAGATCTTCATACCAAGTTACTACCGTCAGTATACAGTTAGTTGAGGAAAACTATCCCATAAGCTCTAGCTGAAGGAATAATTGGCAGTAGCATGTGCAAGTGATCAGTCACACCTTTTGAATCAGTTCACTCTTTGTGCTCAACTGAGAATTCTGCAACTCTCCATTATTAGCGGGTGAAGGAGTCCAAGGAGGCCTGCATATGGCCAGCCGGCTTCATTGAATCATCCTGTGACTGCAACAGCAGCTAGGAAAAAAGAATCCCTGACTTAACGTCTGTTCTTTAGCATTAAAAAGAGTGAGTGTTGGATTTTAAAAAGAAAAGAAGAAAAGAAATCTAGCAGGCTTTTCAGCTAGCATCTAACAAGGCAAGAGGACCTTTGTGGGGTTACCAAATCCCACAGCTATTCCTGGCTTTACAGGTAATAAAACTCAGTTTAGTCAGTTGACCCACAGATGATTCAATGTCTCCATTCCTTGGTTAAGTGTGGGTCCTCATTTTCAGATTCTTCTTCCAGGCTCCCAGAATTCTTCGACCTAAATTACTGCAATACCTTCATCACTGCAACAAGTCTCCCGGCTTTGTGCAGGTCTCTCACTCATCCATTTTATACGCTGTAATCTGAATGACCATCTGAATTTCATATCTGATCATGCTATTTTACTTGTTAAATATTTATAGCCCCCAATTTGCCTTTGCATAAAGTGCCATAGTATTACTAAGGTTTACAGGGCACTCTTATGCAGCTTCATTTTTTACTCGTTCCTTCCTTACCCACCCTGTTTGATCTAGATATATGGAATCATTTTTCGTTCTCCAATCACACCATGCCCTCCCTCAGGGAACCTCACAAGTGTTTTTCCCTCTGCTTAGTCCTGCTTTTTTCTTACCTGTATATCTCCCACTAAGTTTTCTCATTCTCACACCTTCTTCCGTGTGGTTCTCTTTGCTCTTTTTATTTAGTTCTATAGCTCCCTGGGATTCCTATTTCAAGACACTTTCGTGACTCTGTTACAATTACCTTATATGTTTCCATTTTGATCTCTATCAATAATTATAAGTTCTTTCAGGGCTTATGTTTGTCACTGCTAAGTCCCTATGACCTAAAATAGCATTTAGTACACAGTAAGTGTTCAATAGAAATTTGTTCAAAGCAAAAAAGAATGAATGGGTAGCATGTATTTGACAAGTCAAAATGCATCAATGCTTCTAAAGTTCTATTTATTAATAATGTTTCATAAAACTCTAGCATTCATATGTATTCTCAGGCCAGATGCTGTTGTAATAAACAAAATAAAGCATTTTATTATAATTAGTTATTAAATATGAAATATATTTTACTAAATTGAATTTCTTATTAAATATATTCTTTTTATTCTGCATTTTAACCTAATATATTAATTTTTAATTTAACCAATTATTGAAAAATAACTGATACTTAATGGGTATTATATATTATACTAACATGCAGATATACCAAAGAGTATTTAGGTTATTTCCAATTTTGAACTATTAAAAATAGCATCTGGATATTTATTTATTGCTTTATTAAGTACTAATTTAAATATAATTTAAGCTTTTCTAGAAGACAACATAATGATCTTTAACTTCAATTATTATATAAGATGGCAAAGCAGATTATGCTTCTAGCCAAGAATTATTTAGCTTTCTAAAACTATTCTTACACTATATTGCCTGGAATTTGTTGAAGTGCCTATGTGTGATTTTTTTAAATCGCTTTTTTGATTTGACACATAATGTATGTTGTATCACTTCATGTTTTCCTGCGGGCTTGCCTACAATTTTTTATTCATTGCTTTTAATCCACTGAGGGTTTAAAAGCCAAACCACGAGGCTTGATAGAACTACATGTAAACATAAATGTGTGACCTTATTGAAGAATTGGTATAATGCTTAAAATTTTATTATATTGCTTTGTAAGATATATACAGATGTACATATACACATATATGTTATCCAAGTATACATTCTCAGGTGTATTTGCATCAATTTTATATATTCTTATGCTTTGTTTGAATTGCTTTAGATTGAATGGAAATATTTGAATTGGTTGAAAAGGTTTATAATAATCATTTAAATTTGCACTTATTATAATGAATGCTTCAGAGCTTGATAAGGCTTGGCTCTGTTTCCCCACCCAAATCTCATTCAGTAGCTCCCATAATTCCCACATGATGTCGAAGGGACCTGGTGGGAGATGATTGAATCATGGGGGCAGGTCTTTTCCATGCTGTTCTTATGATAGTGAATGGGTCTCATGAGATATGATGGTTTTAAAATTGGGAGTTTCTCTGCACAAGCTCTCTCTTTGCCTGCTCCCATCTCTGTAAGATGTGACTTGCTACTCCTTGTCTTCTGCCATGATTATGAGGCCTCCCAGCCATGTGGAACTATAAGTCCATTAAACCCTTTTTCCTGTATAAATTACCCAGTCTTGGGTATGTCTTTATAGGCAGCATGAAAATGGACTAATACAGAGGTATAGGACTAGTACAAATAGCTGCCTGGTGATTTTAATAGAGTTTAATAATTTTCCAATGGTAAAGTTCTTTTTGGGAAAAGGTGTAGATTACTTTACAACTTCTATTGTCTAGTCATAGAAACACATGTTTGAAATTACTTTGAGAATAATCTGGAAGGTATTTAGAAATCAAATTGTATTAGATAAACCAAGTTGTATTTAAGTCATTTATGAATCAACATGTCAGTATAGAACCTACTGCTTCTTAAGAAACATGAATGAAATTTCCATCTTCTTTTTAACATTTTACATTCTCTAGGCTTTAGTAATGACTAAAGAAAGCAATTGTATATGAATTATGCTTGTGAAAACATTCTTATGCAACCACAGTTCATGGTAGCAACAACCATCTTATACCTGTCCTACTAAACTGCTGTGACATATAGCAGATACTTGGATAAATGGGTAAATTGTGCATCTTTAATAGATTCCAGAAAAGATGCTATCCTACTAAAACACTTTTTCATAAAGACCTGAAATGAGAAACATCACCACATTGTCTTTAACTTCTATTATCATATAAATGCTTGCATATAATTTTAGTTCGAGACACATAAGATGAATTTAATACTATCCAATGCTTTGTGTGGCTTTGCTGCCCCCTTAAGACAAGTAAACATAAATAAAAAGCTAGTAAAAATTTAGTTTCCTGAATTATTTAGACATCTGTTCCTACATGTCTTCAACCTGTGCACACACACATGCACACAGACACAGAGAAACTCAAATGAAGAAATTGATTGACTAGCAATTATTGGACAATTAATCAGTATTTTGCTCGATTCTGCTGCAAAATCAATGAAAATACTACTTTTATTTATTGCTCTGAGAAACCCATGTTGTTCTCTCAAGGCAACTAATATACCAGTATATTTAAGTTTGATAAAGTTTGAAATTGAGTACTTATATTTGTCTAATATAGTTTTATGATCTTTCTTGAGGTATGTCATTGAGGAACATGATAGCATATTTTCATTTTATGCCTTAATTATAAAAATTAAACTAATGCCTTTAATATAAGCTATAAACTTTAGCCATCTGAACAAAAATATATATGCCTCATAAATGTTTTGGTAGCTATTATTTCAGGAGATGAAATAGCACATTTAAGATAATGCATAATACATTCTAAATTAAAAAATCAAAATTATGTTAACTGCTTATAAATTTTGAAAGGGGGCAGGTTACAGTGTGATATTTGCTATTGGATTTACTTATAACAAATATTAGAATAATTCTGGGAAACATTTATAACAAATATTATTAGAATAATTCTAGAAACAATTTACCTTTTAAGCTAGATGTTCTCTACACAGCCTATTAAATTTTAAGAAAATAATATTTTTGTTTTATTTAAAAGAAGTAAAATAATTTAATCAGTAAATAAACATTGAGCAAAGCATTATAATTGAGACTGAGTTACTGTAAGTCATCCCCACCTTTATCAGAAACATGATCGAATTCTGAAGAAATGTGATCTACAATTAATAAGACAAACTGAAATTTTCCAAATTCTACAATATGCTATAGTTATTCTGGTAAAATTAGAAACCAGGTTTGTCTTATTTTTCCTTCAGCTTCAAAAATTTAGCCTATTTTTGATATAAATGGGAATATTCAGTAAAAATGAAACAAAAGACACCATGTTTTTTAAAAAGTTAAACCTTTGTAACTTTTATTTTGGTTGATGTATACATGGAGTAAATATTAATAAATTTGAAAGTCACTCAAAATATGTAGTTCATTATGATAAGTACTAAATTTAATGTTGTATGATGTATGCTTTTTTTAATTGCAACCACAGGATTTAGGCATAAAAGCAATTGCAACTTATGACTGCCAAAACATCTCCTTTGTCATTTCTGCTCTATTATCTAAATAATTCTGTCATGAATGAAAGGAATGTGATTTATATCTATTGCTCAAGCAGAAATATCTTCAGAATAATTTGCTTCATAATTTCTTGCTGAAAATGAATAGAGTGACTTAGAAAGATGTGTGTGTGTTTGTGAGTGTGTGAGTGTGAATGTGTGACTTGAGGAGGTAGTACACTGAGCAGAGCTAGAAAAACAGTAATGTGAAAGTTCTCAGAGTGGAACATGTCGACCGGAAGGAAGGCTCACTCTTCAGAAAGTTTGGCCCCTGCAAGGGGCTAGAAGGCCAGAATAAGCCTGATTCATAATGGTCATAGGGATTGATGGTGGAAGTCAAACTAACTTGAATTATAGTTGTCCTGGATTTTCTGATTTTTAGGTTCAATCCCTGTGGTGAAACCACTATCTCCTTACTGCTGTCATTGCCTCTCTCTTATCATGTGCAGAAGATTAAAAACGACTGTCAGAGCTGGGCATGCCCAATAACCACAGGCAGGCTTTGACTGCAAGCAAAAAGCTATATCTATTCCCCTTTACATCTGCATCAAGTACCAGAGAGCAATCAGATGCATCAGCGGGAAGCCTCACCTCGCTGTGAATAGACTGACCAGTTCAAGCAGGATGATTTCTGCAATGCCGTGCCAGAATGTGCAGGGCAGTCAGTGGGCTTTTCAGCTCTACCACTAAGCTGATACTCCTCAAAATGATCTGTTAGTTCCCTCCGTGGCTGTTTCATTTTCTACACACAAAATTTTAATGACTCAGTTGTGAAATCAATGTATTATTTTGTATGAAAACAGTATTTTTTGACTCACAATTATTTATATGGTTAGTATAATGTTTACTCAGATTTTAATATATGGCAGTCCTTCCATCCTCTGTTTTGTTTTCCATGGTTTCAGTTACTCACCATCAACTGCGGTCTGAAAATATTAAATGGAAAATTCAGGGAATACACAATTCATAGGTTTTAAATTGCACATTGTTCTGAGTAGCGTGATGAAATCTCATGCCCTCCCACTCTGTCCTGTCCAGGACATGAATCATCCCCTTGTTTGGCATATGTCCTCAGAGGATCACCAGGAGCTTAATTCTAAGTCACAATGCCTATGTCATTCACCTCATTCAACTTATGATGTAGGCATTGTATAATTTTATATCATCACAAGAAGGGTGAGTATAATATTTAGAGAGAGAGAGAGAACACATTCCATATAACTTTTGTTATACTGTTATACTTTTTCTATTTTACTACTAATTATTGTTGTTAATCTCACTGTGCCTAATGTATAAATTAAACTTTACCATAGGTATGTATGTAGAGGAAAATATATAGCAGTACCTATAGGGTTCATTATTATCCATGGTTTCAGGTATCCAATGGGGGTTTTGGAATGTATCCCCCATAGATACTAGCTGCATATATGATAAAAAGTTTCTGTCATTGTTTCAGTAGTGAGAAGAAGAAATAGCAAAGAAACTTCTTAAAATGGAAATGTAAAACATATAAGTCAGAGCCAATAGCCTCCAGAATAGAAAATACCTTTCTTTGTCTTGACCACCGTATTGGTCAGACTAAGATAAATTACATTGTGGTAACAAATGACCTCAAAAATTTTAGTGAAATTCAATAGTATATGAATTTGTTTCTTTTATCTCCCTCATGTTATATATCTATCACGGTTCAAATGCTTTTGTATCAAGACCTATGGGACAATCTTATCTCCATTATTGTTGAAGGAATCAAAGATTGTAGAAAAAAATGATGACTCTTCACCACCCTGCCCAGAAGTGGCAAATACTTCTTCCATTCATATTTCACTTGTCTAGCAAGTCACATGGACAAAATTGGTATCACTGGAGTGGGATGAGCATCATCTTCACAGGAAGGGGCATTATAAGTCACAGGGCAAGGTGGCCATGCCTGACATCTACAAGGTGAGAAAATATATTTTTTCCACAGGGAAAGAAGAAACCTTTGAGAATAGTAATATAATTGTTCACAATCATGAAGGTGTCAAGAGAGTCAAGAAATAATTCCTAATTCATGCATATCAGGACAGGATCCTACATGTCAAGGTCGGTTTGGATTTTGAAGGAACACAGGTTAGCTAGATGACTATAAATTCGTGTCACAATTTGAAGCTTAACACAGAAATGTTTGAAGAGAATCAGTTGAATCTGGGTGGCATTTATGTTACCAGGAGCATGCTTGATATGGTAAGTGCCAAAACTCTATTTTAGGAGCCCTAGTATTTAATAGATACATGATTTGTGCCTAAATCTCTCTTTTTCTTTACGGTCTTTAAAAAAGTCCTTTGGTAGTTTAAAATGTCTTCTATGAAAGCAGTTTTGGTGTACTACTGGGGCAGACAGTTAAATGGTGAATTGTGCATCCCAGGCAAACTGCTTGTTAATGGCAGAGAAAACGAATGAAAGGCATCAAGAGAAAATAAATTGCAGAATGACAGAGCTAGTGCCACTTGCTCCACCTACTTTATTTCTGGAAATCCTTCCTGTGTTAAACATAAGAAAATGTAGGTTTGATTTTATTAATAGAGGCAGCCTACCCTTGCACAGCCTCAAGGATTGAAATGGACAGCAGAAGCATGTGGGGATACATAATTTTAAGCATAGCATTTTATAACATATTTGCATTTTTGAAATGGTATTTACAGAAGATTAATGAAAATGTATATATATTTTGGCTTTATAATAATTATTAGAAAATATAGGACTCTCGTAGCATTTTTAACATCTCTGTATTTAAAACAATGACTGACAAGGCATAGGATATTATAATTTAATTGGCCACATTAAAGCAAATTCAAATAGAAAAGCCTATTTTTGTGATCTTGCTTTTTTTTTTTTTTCCAATTAGAAGTAAACTCAGGCTTCTATCACCTCCAGGCTCGAGGTTCTTATGAAATCTGACAATCATTTTCATTTTCATCAGGGCCAAACATTTTCAAGTGCTAGTGCTCAGGGAGTTCCCTCAGCAGAGCTCTGTTCTACCCTCCATATCTTTCAGGTTTTAATCCTCTTTTGATACAGTTGCTGAATGGAATGAAGCTCATAAAAATGAAACCTGGGAAGGTCTGTGTATAACTCACACTGAGGAGTATAATTGAGCTTAGCTTTTCACACTGTTCTAATGATATGTATTCGGTTTTCTTGATGAATAGAAAACTTGGAACTATGAATCCAGGCTATTTTGCCAGAAACATAGATACTTCCCAAACATTCATATCATGATAAATAGTGCATGTGTCTGTATTAGGCATTTGGAAGGACAACTATGTAACTTTTAAAACAAATACATATATTTTATATTTATATATATATTTGTTTATATTTATATTTATATAACAATTATATATTTAACCTTTAAAACAAATGTGTGTGTGTGTATACATATATATTTTATACTTAGCTCTGCACTGATCAAATTTTAGTTTCCAAGTTTTGAATAGGCAAGTTTTGTCAAATGAAATCAAAGGCACTTCACAACAAAAAATAATAAGAATATTAAAATGTAATTTCATATTTGTACTTTTTTCATCTGATTGTAAACTTGTGATTTTATTAAGAAATAAATATCAACAAATGAAAAAGTGTTATAAATATGATTAAAAGTTTGATATGGAAAGGAATATGTTTGCATCAATATTCCTTAACATAAAATGCTAATCAGTGTTGCGTAGAAAATATATTATTGTAAAATTCATTTTTTAAAAATGTGCTCAACAAATATTGCTGAAGAACATCTTATGTAACTATTTTTAATACACATTATATTTTTCAAAAAGAAGATGTACATTGCAGCATTTCCCAAATTCCTCAGGCCTTTTCTTACAAGATTATCTTTGCTACAAAACAATCTTTGGTAAACACTAGTTTGGAAAAATATTATGTTCAACCACATTTCATATCCATTTCTAGTGATGACACTCCAGCTTGGCTTCAGCTCTAGATATTGGAGAGGCAGGGAGTATGTGAGAACCCCTCTGCCTCAGAGAGGACATGGAGTGTTGGAGTTGGGTCAAGGATACTGGGAAGGTCTGGACTTAACCAGGAGTGGTTGGATTGAATATTCTACTTTATTCTAAGGCAGACCAAGTAGTTTCAAACTTTGTCCTCTTAACTGGCATTCTTATTTCTCTAGAAGTAGACCTCAACCTTCAAACCCAGACTAAATTGCTCTAGCTTTTTATTACTTTGAAATGATCTTACAAGAGCTTCAATGTATAGTAATTTCTACTTTCCTTCTATTTCTGCTGCATCCACCAGTGGTCTATACTACTTACTCATTAGAGCTTATTATATGGAAACCTGAGTTAAAATTATTCCATGGTGATTAAGAGGACACATTCTCTGGATTCACAGTTTGACTTAGAATTTTAGTTCCACCACTTATCAGCTACATAGTAGTGAATCCATGACTTAACCTCTCTAGTCCCAGTTTTTTTTTTTCCTTCAAAATGGGTATCAGATTTTCAATAGGAAAAATGAGATAGACAAACAAAATAGCCACAACAGTGCTTTATTAACTGGAAGAAAGAAGCATACAATTATGTGGTATCAAAGAAATTTTATTTTAGTATTAAATTGTTGTATAATCCTCCAATTAATAATTGATATTAAATTACTCCCTCAATAGTATACGGATAATACAGCTCTAAGAATACAGTTTGGCTTCTTATTATATGCAGTGTTCAATTTTGTTCTACTGTTTCAGATAAATGTGAAACAAAGAGAAACAGAAAAAGAAATTAGAAATTCAGCCGATACTATTTGTTGTATATGCATATGTGTGACTAACGGGTGATGAAGGGAATGCATATTAAACATTGGTGTGTAACAATCGTAGGAGAAAAAGTCCTAATTTAATATTTTTTATAAGTTAGAAATTATAGAAATAAGTTTAATAGAAATATAGAAGTTTAATAGAAAATATAGAAATAAGAATAATAGAAATAAGTTTTTCTATTATTATAATTAATACTTTATATGCATAAAATATTATATCTATTTAAAATAAATATCCTGTTTACAGAATATTTAATTTAAATATCCTATGATAGTTTGTATTAATATTTAAAAGATTTTGAAAAAATAAAACAAATGGCATTAAGTTTATTCATTCATTAATTCATGCATTCACTCAATAAAGATTAATGAGTATTCCTCTATACCAGGCACTGTATATATACAAGAAATCCACTGAGAATGAGACATGCAGGGCGCCTACCTTGAAGTCTATTTTTCAGTGGGTTGTTACCCTTTGATGAGTGCCTGCTTTATGATAAACATTATGCTTAGCCCTGAGACACAGTAGGTACCTTCCAACAACAGACAGTAAACAAAAAATAAGTTTGTGTAGGGTCATTATGAAGCTAGTAAGAGAAGCACTTGGAGACTAAAATCATGGAAGTGTTTCCTGACATAACTGAGGTATAAAAAAATGAATAGGAAATCTCCAGCATAAGAAAAAAATAAAGTAAAATAAAATAAAATGTTCCAGGCACTAGGGTCAACACCAAGGAGAAGGAGCCAAATATTAACTCACATTATTAGGCATTCTTCAAATGCTTAACATAATTGGGTCATAGAGTTCAAAGAAAGGCATTGGGAGAGACATAACCAAATCAGGGTAACCTTCCCAGTTACTCCAAGGGTTTTATTTTGAAACAATAGTAACCCACAGAGATTCTTAAGCTGAATATCATTTGTATATGTGAAAGACCATGCTGACAATTTCATAGTGTCTGGATTGGAAGTAAAGAAGTGAAAATAGAAATATAGTTGTTTGTTATCTGTCATTCAAGTGATAAACAATTGGGATGGGAACAAAGCCAGTAACTGGAAAATGGAAAGAAATGAGGAAAACATCAGAAAACATTTAGGAATGAGAGTTGAATCCCATGGGGTGAGAAATAGAAATTAATGGTTGTTTCAAATTTGCTAATATGATAAAGACAATTTCTTCCCCTTGTATAGTTATTAAAGAGCAATCAAAGATCTTGCAAATCAAAGCTAATTTGGAACTTAGAGCAAATGCATTATTTACAACAAGAAAGAGGAAGGTTTACTAGTGACCAATTAGACTTGAAAGATTTTCTGCTTCTGATCTCAATATTATTTTGTTGAAAGTATTCATGGTATAGTTTTGACTTTTTAAGTGCAACGATCAAAGGAATGACTTTAATAAATTCTACAAAATAGTATTAAACAATTTAATATATTTAATCAAATCTAAGTGACCTTGTTCAAGGTGTCTTCCCTTTCATTGATCTATTTAATTTTTAGTTCTTTGCCTTGAAGTCATATTTCAGACATGTGCACAGATACTTCTCTTTTTCCTCTGTGGCAATGACAACATTAGGACATGAAAGAAGACATTAGACATGAAAGAAGACAGGAAACAGTTTAAAGCCAATTTTATTTTCAAGTCCCCATTTGATAGTCATTCTCGCTGACTGTTCTGAACCATGAGAAAATGCCCAAGTGTGAGGCAGCACCTGTGAAAAATCAAAGGAAGGACTGCAGCTTCTAGTATGCAACTACCTTCAAGCCTAGAGTCGGGGCCTCAGTAAATATGAGCTGAGGCTAGCCAGAAGTAAGCACAATGGACTTTTATTGTTTTAAGACTTACATTTATAAAGCAGTTTTATATTCACAGCAAAACTGAGAAAAAGTTACAGAGATTTTTAGTATTTCCCCTCCCTGGAAACATGCATAGCCTCTCCTATTATCAATATCTTATATGAAAGTGGTACATTCGTTACAATTGATTAACCTACACTGACACATCATTATCACCCAAGCACCATAATTTACATTAGGGTTCACTCTTGGTGTTGTATATTCTATGGGTTTGTACAAATGTATTATGACCTTATCCACCATCATAGTATTATCAGAGTGGTTTCACTGCCCTAAAAATCCTCTGTGCTCTGTCTATTAATTCTTCCCTCTCCCTTAATTCCTGGCAACCACTGATCTTTTCAGTTTCCATAGTTTATCCTTTCGCAGGGTGTCATATAGTTCAAATCATGCAGTATGTAGCCTTTTCAAATTAGCTTCTTTCACTTAGTACTATGCATTTAAGGTTTTTCCATGTCTTTTCATGGCTCAATAACTTATTTCTTTTTAGCACTGAATAATATCCCATTGTCTGGGTATACCACAGCTTACTTATCCACTCACTTACTGAAGGACATTTTGGTTGCTTCCAAGTTCTGACAATTTTGATTTTTTTAAATTTGCCAATAAATAATTGCTATATTAAGTTGTTTTAATATGTATGTTCTCTTTCATGGCATCCAGGCAAGATCGCAAATTAAATAATGTGTCTGGGAAAAAAACACTGGGACAGGAAGCACTGAAGTACAACTTTACTATGACTATTCCCAGTGATAACTGGATGAGTGATGTTATATCTAAAACAAATATTAAATATAGACCAAGGGGCACCCGGTTAGTTGGCTGATTAGGTAGTTCTTTAGCATAGTAAAATTATGTATTGGGTCTGGCTGCCTCTGTCTGTCACTAGGACTGAATCAATTTCACACTTACTATGTGTTGCAGAGTAAATTTCCATTCATGGTTCAGTGAAGAAAGCAAAAATGAGAATATAAGGTCTGGGTTACCACAGCAATTTCTAGTCACAACAACACAATTTTTCAGGGGATTGTGTTAGGAGGGACAAAGATGGAGGAAGATATGAGAAGCTCAAACTTAAATCCATAGTTGATCATTGGCAACACTGCGTTTTGTACTGAGGATGTTTATAGCACACTGTCTTAACATGATTAAGGATAACGGCAGGTGGGTATTTTGTTGAGTGGTAGAAATTTATCAAGCTGAAAAATTCTGGAAGTGACCGAAAAGACTTTAGAATCCGTTAAATGTTACCTGCACTAGAAGAAAATATGTTCAAAACATTTTTTTTTACTTAGCAAATTTTCTATTTCTGTTTATATGTATATATGGAAGTGTCTGTGTGTGTGTGTGTGTGTGTGTGTGTGTATTTAAGATTCTAGGATGACTAACAAAGATTTCCTGTATCAACCATTCATGAAACTATATAAATTCTTTTATATACTTAGAGTAGCAAGTTCAATATGATTGCATCAGTATGAGTTCTAGATAATATCAATTTTCAGCTGTGAATATGGTTAGACTACCTACAGCTTCACATCCGGAAAATGTTGCCTCTTGTCTTTTGTAATTAATCTGTTCCATAAGTAGGTGCTATCAAAGTTCATGAAATCAGGATGCTTTCTCAAATTACATTGCCAATTTGAATAGTCTTAGTAAAAAAGTTTAATATTTTCTTGTTTAACTCAATGAATAATTGATTTGTAAACAGGGATACATTTTCAATCTGAGTTGTAATATTTGACATCAAGTAAAACTTATAATTTAATTATAATTTTTTTGAATGAAGCTACATTTGCAGCTCATGCTATTGTAATGTAATAAATACAGGAAACTTTATTTATTTATTTATTTTTAGAGACACTTTTCCTGCCATTGGCCCTTTCTATTACATTTTACTATTTCAGATTTAATTTCATTCAGACAATAAATTGAAGGCCAGACAACTGGAAATATTTTGAATGACAAAATGATAAAGGCTTTAAAATAAACTATATTTGGAAAGATAAGAATTTTTCACAATTTAGACAGGTTTTCTATAAAAACATGGTTGCTAAAAGACAAAACAAAATAAGAAATCAGTCCCACTGTTTAGAATGCTTAATGATACTACCATCTTTACCATTTTAGGTTATTTACACAATATCAACTTTTTACTTTCCAATTATTAAACTGTGATATTTCCAGGAACGTATTTGTCCTGCCATTTTAAGCACTCCTGATTATCCATGACCCAAACACATGCCTGCACAAAAAAATAATTTGTTAATAAAGAATTGGTTCTGAGTGAATAATAAATAATTTCTTTAAATTGTTCCAATCTTTTCCTTACTTTTGGAGCCTTAGACAGGTAACTCCATTTTGTTTATGTTTTAAGGCTTACTGATGTGCTATTCACTTTTGAATTGAGGCTAATTGATGTTAACTTATATGCCTTGCAGATTGTCATTGTCTAGGGAGGAAATTATTCTAAGGTGGGTATATCAGGAATAAACAACATTCTTGGCAGAAAAAAAAAAGAATATCTAAACCTGGGAAGATGCTTTATTCTGTCTTTTTATTCTTAAAATGTTTAAACTAGGGAAAGCATAAGTTGGGTAGGTACAGCATATAAAAATTCCAAAAAGCTCAATGTACTTTGGACATAAGACACATTGAAAAAGAGGGAAACACATGTAAAGAAAAGAAAAAGTAGTAATTTCAGCAAGTACTTGACATGGAAAGGACCTAATCTGAAGTGGCCAGAGACTGAGTAGATCTTCAAACTCATTTTCAATGATCAAGATGGCAAAGGGATTCTACACTTTAGGAATCTGAATGAGAACTTCAGTCTTTTTCAAAATTTGTTGCACATCTCCTTGCTTCAAGATGTGCCTCTTTTTTTCCATCAGAAAATGATTCTTTCTGGATTTTAAATGAAGATATAGGGTATTTTATGTTTCTTTCTCTGCTCCACATGCAATGATGAAAATTTTCAGTCTTCAAAACACAATCAAACAGTAAGTAATATTTCTACTTTTATATTTGGGCATGTAAATAAACATATACATACATTAAAAAGGGTGAGATGCAATTCTGAGATGTGCTCCCTAATTTTCTATGAATTTATAAATATCCTGCCATAACCCACAGTAATTACTGCCATGACCTCATAGATAACCTTCAATTCAAATAATACAGCATTTTGTCTCTAAAGGGCTTTACAAATAAAATGTGGTTCCCAGTCTCTCCAACTAAATCTCATACAGGAGTGTTTCTACATGTGAAACTTACCTATTTCGTGCATTTTAGCTGCCTCCACTCTGGGAAGTCTAATTCATTTGATAAATTTGATAAATTACCAAGAGGTTAACTTAGAAAGTCAGAGACTCATAACATTGAGATTCAGAAGGGCCAATAGAGACCATCCACCTCCACCCCCCACATTTTACAGGTGGAATCATTTAGGCCTGAAAGATGTTCCAGTGGTTAAATAGTGTGACAAGAATGCCAGCAATAACATTTTATATTAAGATTTTAATTTAAATATAGATGTATCATAGAAATAATAACATTGATAATTTTTTGCCCTGGATTTAGAACAGAACAAGAATAAAATTTTGAAGTAATTTTGTTATTTATATCCACATTAAAGAAACTGAAATATACACTGACCTAAGAAATAGTATAGACAGACAGACTAACATAAGGGTCACACAACTTACATTAAAGCTATAGGTAAATGAGAAAATAAAAAATAGAAAGCCCAAAATAAGTAAAAAGCAAGCAGGCTTCCTATTATAAAAAACTACATTATTCCAATAAGTCAAAGTATATTTTTACTATAAACTATATTGTCCTCCACAAAAAATTAAATTTTGTTCCCAAGCATTTTACATGCATAGTAATTTTAAATACTATGAATACTATTTGTAGTTATTCCCATTACAATTTATTTCCAAAGTGATAAAATTCTAAATTGTTATGGTGTTTAATAATTTTTTAAATTAAATGTCTTATTTTGTAGTAATTGTAGTTCATGTGCAGTTGTAAAAATAATCAAGAGAGATCCCATGGACCCTTAATGCAGTTTCCAAAAATGGCAATATATTGCAAAATTGCAGTATCATATCACAGTCAGGAGTTTTACAGTACAGTCAAGATGCAGAACAGTTTCAAAACCACCAAGACCCCCTTATTCCTTTTTTTAAACACACCCACCGTCCTCTTCTCTACAGTGTTCCTAATTCCTGACAATCACTAATCTGTTCTCCATTTCCGTAATTTTTAAAGTCAATTTTGACAAAGGGTATGGAGATAGCTGAGAGAAAAATTAAACTTATAAAGAAAGAAATAGTGCCTTTTGTTATTGTTTTCTCAGTAAATGGAATTCATATTCTCCTAAATGTTAACTTTAAGTTAGATTGCTAGATTATCTATAAATATGCATTTATCTGTTGATATTCCTTATAAGTAAAACTTCTTTATTGTTTACATTTTCAGTAAAATTTCTAGATTTTAAGAGAAAATGTTATAAAATACAAGAGCAATACATTGAAAGTTAAGAACTGGATAATAATATTTCTCAGTAAACTGTGCTTGGAAAAGTAAATTATATCTTTGGGCCTATGTTTCTTCATGTAAAAAAATTCAACTCTTGCAATGGTCCTTAAAGCATAAGTCATGATTCCATTTATAGTAAGATAAAATAATTTATGGAAAAGGTATTTTAATATTTTCATTCAAAAACTTCTTTTTTTTAATTATAAAGCAGCAGAGCCAATGAGTATAGAAATAAATAAACGTTAAATGTGGTTGTCGTGCAGCAGGTTTGACTTGCACTCACTAGTGACTACCACTGAAATGAACACACAAAGGATGTGTCTTGCCAATTACTGAGAGGGCTCACCTGTGATTGATTTACCTATTCAAGAGTAGAATCTTCAGGAAGAGATTTCCTCCCATGAAAAGAAAAGCCAATTTACTTCATTATAATGACATTGCAAGGACATAAAATTTCAAATTTTAAACCTTATGACGTATATACTCACATTTGTGTCTTAGCACACCTCCTTTATTCACCTCCCTTCTCACAACATGGATTAATAACTGGGTGTAATGGGAGAAAGAGAACCATGAGCAAAAATAGTAATGGGACTATTCCACTAAAAAATGTGTAACATAGTCCTTTGTTCATTCAAAAATACTATGTAATAATACAAGTCATTTCTACATGCTGAGACTATTGCAGTGAACAAAACAAAGAAAATTTCCTTCCTTCTTACAGGGAAATATTAATAACACTATCAAAACAGCCTTAGTTGTATACTCATGTTGGGGGAGTGAAAACTAAGGAAGAAATAGAGGATTATTATTATTTTTTCATCACTATAGGAAACACAAATTGACTTCGATATTTTGGTAGACACTTCCAAGCATAAGTCTATTACTAATATAATTGGCCATGGTGATTTGTTGGAAATTATATGACACCTAATGGAAATTTGAACAGTGTCAGGCAAATAGTATTCATGAGTTCAGAAATGAACTAGCAAAAGTGTCTAACAAAGGGAAATACAGCCAGAAATTGTAGCTGAAGTGACTCAGGCCTTCCTGATTACAGCAGTGCCCATTAAGCAGAGTGGTAACACACTATGGAGCTGCAGTAGAATTTTTAAGAAATTGGGTACTACCAGGTACCCAATTGGACATACATGTAATATACCTTTTACAAATTCCCCAAATTACCTAGAATACTTTTTGAGTAATGGTGTTTCCAAAACTATTGGTGACCACAGCACATCTCCAGACTTTAGCTAAAGCTGCTGTGAATAATTGCTGTGATTGGTGGCCCTGTTCCCACTATGAACTCAGTACCATTCAGCTTTCTCAGCCTTTGGGCCTTGAAATGCCCAGGAGCTTGCTCAGCCGGTCCCTAGAACTTTGAGAATGTTAACACCGACAATGTACTCCACAACCAAGGAAAGATGTGAGTCATGGATGAATGTTCCAGCCTCCCATCTTTCAGAGGAGCCATTCTGAAATGCATTCTAAATGGCTTCTGAGAAGTTCTTCATCATGATAGATTCCTTGTTGTACACAGAGGTAACTGATTAATAATGTATCTTATTCCCTATCTATTCATTTTCCCCTCTGTGTATCTCCTTGTTTCATGGCAACATCCTGAGCTTACAATAAATGCTATTTGCTCTATTGGACCTAAATAAAAGTTGGGATTCCACATTATAGGTAAAGGAACTGCTAAAAGTAGTAGCTGCATACATAATATTGGGTTCATCAATGTTCTACTTTCACACCATAACAATTTAGGAATCCAGGTAAGTAATCAATCAATACTTCTGCTCCTATATACTTTGGATGAAGAAAAGAGATGTAAATTATAAGTAAATTAGTAATTTTGAAGCAAGGTTGGTTATCACACACAGTTAATGAGATCATATGTAACACTTCCCTGTAAGTTAGTTACCTAGCATGGACTGTTGTCTTGATAATGAAACTGTATGTGAAAGAAGTTAAATTAACAAAAGTGGAAAGTATTGCCTGAATTTAGAACTAATGAACTTGGAACTGAATTTGATCACTTGGAATTCACTAAGCACATTTTTATTGAATATAGCCTATGTACTGAGAAGAAGATGGAAATAAAGAGTGGCATGATTCCTACAGTTTGTACAGTACAGGCATGTTACATATGTACGAATGCCAATAAGACCAACAGTAATATATCATATATGTAGGATATAAATAGATACTTGGAAGGTCAATGTCAAAAATAGGCAATTTCAATTGCTATGTTGAAAGATGAGATGATGAAGAAGGAATCATTTGTGATGGAGTTTTGTTGCTGGAAAGAATATTGGCATGCAAAACTGCTGTAGTCATGGGAAGGAGTAGCAATAAAAGTCCCAACTTACAATAAGTCTTCAGGATATGGTGAATCAATTAGATTAATTGGAATAATATACTTATTTGGAATGATTAGAAAAGTCGTTTAAAAATTGAGAATTAAAAAAAAAATTACTGGTGTGCTACTCTATTCTAAAAGCAATGCAAAACCATTAAATAGATTTTATCCGTAGATTTAATCTTTATATAGTTTCCCCTAGGGTCAATGGGAAAAGCGGATTGAAATACAGTGAAATTTTGTTATGGGAGTCACAAGAGATCCAGTACTAGTTATAGGAAAGAGTTAGTGAAAGCCTGGCCTGGGGCTGGAAATTGACAATAAGGAGTAGTAGCTGCTGTGTGAGTGTAGTTCTTCTACAGATCCATCATGGAGCCCTGGCTATCTTGCACACTCCACATAAGCCAGACATAGGCAAGGCTCAACCACAGTCTGATCTCTGATTTGGCTGACTGTCCTGTATCTTCCTTGGAACAGGGTGGGAGTCATGTACAATTTACCTCTGTTTCTTGCAGAGGCTCTCTATAATGTGGAAAGCTGCTACAAAGATATTTCCCTTCCACTTGCCTTCCCTTTCTTATCCTTTCTTCATTGGATGAAGATGCAGAGTATAAAACTGCTTGATTGTAATTTAGAGTTGGCTACTCACTGACAGAATGAGCCACCACTTATATCAACTGGTCCGTCCCATTTGGTGCCATTCTGTGGGACTAGGAATACAGGGGGCTGACACCATGTTGGTTTTACTTTTCTCTTTTTGAAAGAAACTGTTTAAATCAACTAAAAAATGGCAGAAGATGAAATTATCCCTGAAGAAGTACAGAGTTAATAATTTGACAGAAATACTGGTGAAAGTCGACAATGGAGATGACTCAAGATTAGGAATTGTCAAGTTGGAAACTATGGTACAATTTTTTGTGTTACTTGCGTGGTACTGCAAGAACAGCTACTCATGTTTCCAAGCTTGGAAAATGATATGGTTTGGCTCTGTGTCCCCACCCAAATCTCATGTTGAATTGTAATTCCCAATGTTAAGGGAGGGATCTGGCGGGAGGTGATAGGATCATGGGGGCAGATTTCCCCCTTGCTTGTTCTCATGATAGTGAATAAATTCTCACAAGATATGGTTGTTTTAAAGTGTGTGGCACTTCATTTTTTTTTCTGTCTCTTTCTCCTGCTCTGCCATAGTAAGACGTGCTTGCTTCCTGTTCGCCTTCTGCCATAATTGTAAGTTTCCTAAGGCCTTCCAACCATGCTTCCTGTACAGCCTGAGGAACTGAGAGTCAATTAGCCCTCTTTTTTTTTCATAAATTACTCAGTCTCAGCTAGTTCTTTATTGCAGTGTGAGAGCAAACTAATATAGAAAATCAACGTGGAGATTCTGAAGTGTAAAATTTCTAGAAGATGGATGGGAGAGGGGAATCAAATTCTAAAGATTATCTTGAGGCTCAAGAAAAAGAGTGAAAAAGAGAGGTGGAAAGCAAGTAAGTGGATTGAGAAAGAGAACTCCAAGATGAGAAAAACCTAAATGACAAAATCTAAGAGCTTATTGAATATCTTATTTATTATTTTATCCCTAGTGCATAATACAAA
This sequence comes from Homo sapiens, assembly GCF_000001405.40. Classification (NCBI taxonomy): domain Eukaryota; kingdom Metazoa; phylum Chordata; class Mammalia; order Primates; family Hominidae; genus Homo; species Homo sapiens. Next base: position 104,330,860 of record NC_000005.10, on the reverse strand, counting down.
TTAGATGCTCAATATACAGCTGATAAAAGAAAGAACTAATCAATTATCCACACAGCTGCTATACAGACCTGCTTAACAATGAAGTTAGAGCCTACATGTCCGCTTGTCAAAACCTCTAGTGTCTTCCAATGCTGCGAATAATGAAATCCAAATTCATAACCAAGACTTACGTTGTCTTGAGCAGATCAGTCCCAGGATCTCTCTCTGATCCTGTCTGCCACTCCCCTTCTTATTCACCATTCCATCCAGGCAGGTCACATCACTGTTCTCCAAACTCAGTAGCCATGTTTCTACCTCCAGGCCCTGGCCTTTACTGTTCTTAGTGCAGGTAATGCTTCTCCCCAGAGATATCCATCAATATAGCTTATATCCTCACATTATCCAGGTCTCTACTTTAGATCAATTTATGGCACTTGCGCTCTCTAACTACTGAATGTAGAACAACACTCTTATCTGACTGCCAGTTTCTTACCCTGGGGTGGTGTTCTTCACAGAAATCATGACAACCAAATACATACTATATGTTTCTTTGCTTATTGGTTCTCTCATCACTGCTATGTCATCTCCATAATAGCACAGACTTTGTCTACTTTCTTCAAGAGTATCCCCATCATTTAGAATAATGGCCACTAGTAGTAACTGATCAATATATACATTGTGAATTAATGGATAAAGTGTACATTTGTGTTACATAGAAAAATAACCATGGCCACCATATTAATACAGTAAATCCTCACACAATATTGTGCATAGGTTCCTGGAAACTATGACTTTAATTGAAATTACATACTATAGAACAATTTTACTACAGGCTTATTAGTATGAAAATATTTAAGATCTGACATTGAATGCCTGGTCACAAACACATCACAAACTTGTAAATAAAGACCAAAACACATAATATTAAAGACTGAAAAAAATAAGCTATATATACAGTTAAGAAAGATTAATAAAAACAAGGTCACTATTACCCACTTATTATAGTTACTTATTATAGTTCAGGTGCCTGGGTGGCTGGAGCCTATCCTGGGAGCTCAGGGCCAAGGCAGGAACCCACCTTGGACCCACCATCCCATCACTCAGACTGTGACAATATAGACACATCAATTCACCTGACATACACATCTTTGGGGTGTGGGAGGAAACTGGAGTACCCAAGAGAAAACCATGCAGACATAGGGGAAATGTGCAAATTCCACACAGATGGTAGAACCTGCCAGGATCCCATTATTTTTCTCATCAACCTTGTAAGAAAATGATATTGAAACAACCTTATTCAATTATCTGCTATACACTGAAATTTTTCCTGCTATATTCAGATCGTGATAGAGTTGAGTCAGAGGAAACAGTATAATTGTATGACAGACTAAAAAAAATGAAGAGGAAATTAATTTTAGAAATAGGTTGCAATCACTGTGATGATTTGGCTGTCTGTTACTTCAAGGTATCACCTCTATAGAAAGGGGATAGTAGCAAAGAAAGAATCTGGAGAACTCATAAAATAAGGTTTCAAGGCTGAAAGATTAACCTGAAAAGGTGCAACTAACCTAAATTAGTAAAGTAATTACGGGTTTCTAAAATGTGAATATGTCCAAAAAATCATTACAGGAAAAATTAAATCTTCACTTGGTTAGAAAATTTACTGTTGCTGACACCATTTCTTAATCCTTGATATGTTATTGAAGAAAATTTATTCTAACAGAAAATTCGGTGAGTGTAAAATGAAAAGGAAAGTCTAGACAAAAGTGCTTTCTGTCTCAAAGAACAAGAGATTTCCCAAAAAGGAAAAGGCATCAAGAATAACATCTTAAAAACTTAAAATATATTCAGAATCAGAAAAGAGACAAATAGGAAGAAGCTGAACCCAAAGGAAAATAAACTAGTTATTCTATTAGACATAAAGTTCAAGAAAGCAGTATAATTATAATAGTTTTAAAGTATTCCTGTTGTCAGAGTAGGCATATGATAGCCAGCATATCAAATCCCAGTTTTTGTCTTCTTCCTTCATTCGTTAAAAACAATTAGTCAGTATCAATGCCATGCTATTTTTTGATAATATAATCTATGAAACATTTAAAACATTATCTTGGCAAATTATAAGCTGTCAATAAATTATCTATAATTACGTAGCAAAGCTAAGAAATCAAATATCACAGATTTTGTCATTCTCATATGAAGCATATGTACTCAAATACTTTCTTAGTCCTTGCTTACATTTTGCCGCCGTATTCCCTTTTCACACCCCAAAAACAGAAAAACACAACTACTTCCATCTTTGTTACAACAGTTTTTGTGTATTTTGATAGATCCCTCAAAAACTCAGTAATGAAGTTAAAAATCATATGTAATATAAATAGCATGAAATTTATACTATTAAAATATTTTATTGCATTTATCTCTATTGACTCCTATTGACAAAGATCTTTTCTGAGAACTTTGTTTTTCAGAATTAATAACATTTTTAATAAGATTTAGAAAAACCTTTACACCATATTATTCTAACATTCATAGCTATTGTATGTTTGTGAGCACTGGCAAGCATTTGCTGAATAATACTCATGTAACTATTGTTAGCAACAGAAAGCATGAACTCCACAATAAACAAAGTTACTGTTATGACTTTTTCTTGATGATAAAAAATAAGTTGGTAATTAAAATGAATGAATGTAGAATGTTTATTTTTACCTAAATATTTAATACATGTTAATTATTTTGACTTCTAAATATGTTACCATGTGTCTAGCTAGTTGATGCCTTTCCAAAGCAGCTTTACACTGAAGTGTTAAAGTGAAAACAAAAAGTAGTCAGTAACAAAGCCTGCAATATGACAATGCAATCTGGTGTGTGAGAGGACTTCCAGGAAAAAAGCCATTCATTCTTTGAGTAAGGCAAAATCTGAAACTCGGTTTTTCTCACTTGACAGTAGATCAGTATAATCAAAGTAAAGTTCTCTTTGGAGAGCTGTGAACATAATGGAAAAGAAAGTCACTTATTCACCATGCTATAATAGAATATTTTGTGATAACTCTCATTTTGAAGCATTGCCAAGGCTTTTGTAAGAAGCAATGGAAATGTTGTGTTAGTATGAAAAAGAAATGCTGATTCTCTCTAGTAATAAATGAATGACAGAATTCTTTATTGCCATTGCAAAAAAATTTATACTAACAAGTATTCCCATATAATTCATGGCTTGACATAAAACATTGTATTGTCTTATCAAATAAGGGAGCATTTTAATCTATAATAAATTTTACTTTATGAAGTAAATCTTCCTACAGTTTTTATAGATCATTGGTAAATGTTATAATCCGTAAAATGGATTTTTAAAAAGTTAACAATTAGTTTTCAAATAGTGTGATTATAAAAAATAAGTTGTAACTTGTAGCCATATTCTTAAAATGATAATCTGGAGAATTTAAAAAGTGAAATTCTTTATGAAAAGAACTTTCTTAGTAGCTTCAGTTTCTTAAGATTTAGGATGCCTCATATGAGTGTTGCTTAGGTTATGGAAGAAAAATAATTTTGCCATGCTCCATTTAGCAAGAATTCTACATGAAAATTATGGTGTTCATAGAGCTATTTTAATCACTCCTTTCTCCTGAATCCTGTAATGGGTACTATTAATAGAAATAGCTTATTGAATCATCTTTGATTTCAATAGTTTTGAGTCAGCAACTGTGGATTAAAATAACAGATATGCTGACATAAACTAATTTTCATGTCTTTTTTCTATAAGAACATTGCAGTGAGTTATTCCATTATAAACAGTATCCTACAAATTGCTACAGCAACTTTGTAATAAATTTTATTTCAACTTTAATGTATTTATCTGGTAGTAGGCAGGAATTAGGAACACCAATAGTTTAAACCTCTAAAAAATTAATTTGAGCAGTGTATTAATATCAATAAATTAATAAAAGGGAATTTTTTACAATACTTTGTTCAGCCTCCAACTCTCACATTAAAAATTAAGACATAAAGTTCTTATTTGACAAATGTTGGTTTTTGTAATTTATGAGTACACTTTGATGTCAAATTTAATCAGAGACAGATATATTTAAAATTTTAAAAGATATATATTTAAAATGATTATTTAAGTGATAATCATTATGATAATAAGAAAAGCATAATCCAAAGTAGAAAAAGCAAGATTGTGATAGAAAATAACTAAAATGCAAAAATTAATTATGATTACCAAGTTCAATCATAAAATATTGGTGAATGTATTTTACGGATCAAGATATATACTTAATATTTTCATTCTTTAAATTGCAAAAAAATCTGTCAAATGAGCAAAAAGCTTGATAGCATAGAATTATAAACATTTTTCTCAAATATTGTAATATGATTCATGGGATCCTTTATTATTAAAAATGTAGGATAACACTTTTTAAATACATAATTATCAGGGAATGAGTTGTTTTACACAAACTTTAAGAGAGATGTATGGTAAGATTTTAAAGACTTCCATATGCATTTTGGAAATAATCACTAGCACAGTACACTACCAACATTTTATTGATGCCTTTGCACATCGATACTAATGCAAAAATTGTTACTGAGAGGAATTTCCAAGAATTTAAGCATCTTAAATGTGCTAGGCAGAAAAATGGACCCAATGATATTCATATCAACGTACATAGAACCTACATGAATAGATTCAGTTACATGGCAAAGTAGAATTAAGGATGCAGATGCAATTGCAGTAAAACTAATTAACTAGTCTCAAAATAGAGAGAGTATTATTTTTCGTTTGGGCCCACTGTAATCTTAAGGGTTCTTAAAAGTAGAAATGTAGGCAAAACAACGGCCAGTTTCTGAAAAATGTGGCATGAAAAAGACTCGGCTGGTCATCATTGGCTTTGAAGAGAAAAGAAACCATTAGCCAAAGAATATGGGGATTTTTAGAAGCTGGAAAAGGATGGATTCTTCCCAAGAGCCCCCAGAAAGGAAAAGTCTTCCTGACACCTTGATTTTAAACCATTAAGACACACTTCAGATTTTTTTTAACATTAATGTCTCGTGAGCGTTACTAATTCTCAATGGCTATTTTTGTGTCTGTTATTTATTGTTAATGTGTACACACATATATGTATATATATAATATAGCTAGATAGATACCTATATATATCTATCTCAGATTATCTATCCATGTATCTATCTATCTATCTATCTATCTATCTATCTGTTTATCTGATTGTTATATTGGCGTGTGTGTGTGTGCACATGCACGTGCATATGCATATGTGTGTGTATTTCAAAGGCCCACTTTGTATTTCTTTTCTGTTACAGATGGGAAAGTTGAGTTTGGCAGATGGTAGCCATTCTGAGACTGAGAGTGTTGTAGTGAAAACTTATTGTTAAATTTGTCTATTCTGTGGTATTCACATATGTATATATGTGTAAATGAAGAAAAAGTAGAGAAAGAGAGAACCTAAATGTCACCCAAGTGCTGAAGATTAAGCAATGAATCAAATCAAATCAGATAGTCTTCAAGAGGCAATAGATAGGTAAATAGAACAATTATAATAAAATGAGTCACTGATTAAAAGCAGTAAATATGTCTAAGAATAGTAGGACAGATGAAAGTTACAGTGATTTTTCTAGATATGCTGGGGCACCATTTTCACAGAGAATCTGTACTCTTCTAACTTTGTAGCTTACCAGTTTTACCATCTAAAGCAAATGATACATTCTCAAAACCATTTTTTATTTATTTCTGAATAAAAATAGACAACATAAACGGGTTTATTTTCTCTGTTATTAATTATGTAGCTGATATTAGATAAGTACCCACATCTCTAGAGTCATGTCATTGATAGAATGAAGGAATTTGATGAGGTGAGCTCTAAAGTTTCTTCTGTGCTATTTTTCAGTAAGTCTATGATTCAATTATTTATCTGATGTGCAAATACATTGCCATTTGTTACTAAAAGCAGAGCCTCCTACTCCCTGATTTTAACTTCTGCACTCAAAACCAAAAATATATCTTCATCTATGTTCCTAGTACCCATGGTTCTTGCCTTCTTAGGACCACAGAGACAGAAACAGATCTGTTATGTAGATCCTTAGGTGATTTATTGAGTTGCCAGATATCCACGAAGTATGTTCCCTCAAATTGGGTACTCAACAAGGCTAAACCAAATCACATTTGAGAATTCCTCTTGTTAAAACTCCCCATTTCTCCACTGTTCCTAAATTTTTCCAGAGTGAAATTAGGCAAATTAACAAAGAACCCCACAGAAATACAAAAAGGCAAACTATGCTGATTTCATATGAATAGTCTAAAAATATTTCATTTAAACATAATGCAATGATATATTTGCTTTAAGCAGTAGAAAAATTCAAAGTATGATGCTAGATTTCCTAAATATTCCCTAGGAAATCATACAAACCTTAATTTTCACTGTCTAACGCTTTACAGAACCACTAGCACATCTCTATTTTGTTAAATAAATATGCACAACGAAAACAGTCTTTCTCACCCTCTGTAGTAGGCTAAATAATGGTGACCCAAAGATATCAGGCTTTAATTTCTGGAACGTGTAAATGTTATCTTACAAGAAGAAAAGGGCTTTGAAGATATGGTCAAAGATTTGCCAAGCCAAATATCAAGAAATCATCCTTGATTGTTCTAGTGGGCCCTAAATCCAATCACAAGTGTCTTCATAAGAAAGAGGCAGAGGGAGATTATAAGCACAAAAGAGGAGAAGGCAATGTTACCACAAAGGCACAGATTTTGGCAGTGTGACCACAAGCAAAGGAATGCTAACAGCCACCAGATGCTGGAAGAAGCAAGGAATGAATTGTCTGTTGTACCTTCAGAGAGTGCAGCCCTACTGACACCTTGATTTTAATTCAGCCCTTGAAATTGATGCGGAACTTCTAGCTTTCAGAACTGTGAGAGATTAATTTCTGTTGCTTTAGGCCACCAAGTTTATGGTAATTTGTAACTGCTGCCACAGGAAACTACTACATCCCCCAAAAGAGCTCTGCAAGTTTTTAATTATATTTAACAAATTTATTCTTTTAGATGAATTGTGGGTGACAGTTTGTAACACCAGAACTGAAGTTATATTTTAAAAATAAAATGACAAAGACTTCACTTATTAGTTATTTACATTTGATAATAATGGAATAATAATTGGGTTTGCTGTCAGAAAATACTTATATATTATTGATTCAAATTTTCCTGGTTGGTAAGTACTTCCCAGTACATCTGCAATTATTTGCAGATTTTTCTAGTATTGCAGTATTGCAGGCTAATGACATAAGACTTAGTATTTAATATTATCACATAGTATATTAGTGTTATAAAATGTTTTTAAATATATAATGTCACTGCATTTTTTGCAAGAACAAGGAACAAAATCATATAATTTATAATTATGTTCTAAACTATAACATTAAAGTCATTTTGAATTATACAAGTATGAAGATAATAGCTTAAAAATATATAGAAAAATCATCCCAATCCAATTACTCTAACAAGTTTCCTTATTGTTATAAACTTTTGAGTATAGTTTTAGATATACAGAAAATCTGCAAAGATAATACAGAGTTCCCATATACTCCACATTGAGTTTCCCCTATTATTAATATCAATATAATAATACATGTGACACAATTAATAAACTAAAATTGATATTTTAAGTCTTATTAAGTATAATTAATACTTTATTCACATTTCTTTAGTTTTTTTACTTAATATTTACTTAACTACTAAAAAAATGCTGAGGAAAATTAAATAGTATGTAACTAAATCAGATATTTGTGTTCATGAATTGAAAGACTCACCACTGCTAAAACGTCAAGTCTTTCCAACTTGTTCTATAAATTCAATACAATCCCAAACAAAATACCAGTAACTATTTTGCAGCTATGGCAAACTAACGTTAAAATTTATACGAAAAGGCAAAAGACAACATAGCCAAAACAATACCTAGAGAGAACTTTTTTGGAGGTCTCAGCCCACCTGATTTCAAGTGTTACTATAAAATAACAAAAATCAAGTAAAAACCAAGATGATGTTGTACTGACAAAAGAATAGACACGCAGATCAATGGAGCAGAACAGAGAGCTCAGAAATAGACCTACACAAGTATAGTCAACTGATCTTTGACTAAGCTGCAAAGGAAAGGAGATAATCTTTACAAAAAATGGTAGCAGAACAATTGAACGTCCAAATGCAAAAAGTTGAACCTAGATAGAGACCTTACACCTTTCACAGAAATTAAATCAAAGTGGATTAAAGGCTTATATGTAAAATGAAAAACTTTAAAACTTCTAAAGAATACAAGAATTTACACGAATTTGGAGTTCATAAAGGGGTTTTAAATACACCACCAAAAGCACAATCCATGATAGAAAAGATTGATAAGTTGGATCTTATTAATTTCATTTTTATATTTTCACTCCAGTCTTTATAATTCATCTATTTTCAACAGGTATAACATAAACTTTATATAGTATGTGTTCTGTGGTTTCCACTATTAATATATATTTTTCTGTATCATTATAGAGTCTTTTGGATTTGATGTCTTCTTTTAAAAGTGTATATATAATTTAATTACTTTTAAATGCAAGTGTAGAAAAATAACAACTGGGTTAGATGAAAATATGATTAATATGCTACAGATAAGACTCGGGAGAACTGTAATAATAAAATTGTGGTAATTTTGATATTGTTTTTGCTAAATATTATAGTTTATCTACTATATAAAATTAGTTCAAAATTGATGACTACACTCTCTTGTTACATGTGTTATCAAATACTGATAAGTAGACTTTTGTAAGATTAGGATGAGTGAAGAATGTTTCCTTAGAGAATATAGGTGACTGAAATTGCAGATGTAAATGCAAAAGTAGTACTGAATAATGTTTCATGCCAAACGGGTTCATATCAAGAGAAAAATGATGAGACTCTAAACATCTGTTAGATTTTAAAAATGATTCTAAATGTGTCTTACTACCTGCTATGAAGTGGCAATGTGGCATCATTGTGAAGAGCATGGGCTATCCATAATGCTTGGATTCAAGTCCCAGATTGCCACTGGCTAGCTGGGTAACATTCTTTCTGTGCCTTGGTTTGCTCATCTTCCAAATGGGAGCAATAGAATATCTTTTTCAGGAGGCTCCTTTGGACTAAATAAAAGAAGCCATGTTGTTAAACAATAATACTAACTACTATAGCTATACTTATTAAAATCTGTAATATATGTGCATATAATAGAATATCCAAAGTGCAAATACCTAAACATACTAATTTAAAATCACACACAATTTATGAATTTATGATCCACCAAAAATAAAGGATATCTTATTTGATATACATATACACATCACTGAAAAGCATAATATCCTCAATTTGATATACTTTCAAATAAATTAGGTATTTTTATTGCAGTGTAAGACCTACATATATTCTTGGTAAAATTATATGCATAAATTTGGAGCTAACAAAAAGAAAGCTTTTCCCAGAAAATAATTAGGTTTTCTAAGATTCTTTTGTTAATAAATTAAAATTTTGGTTACATACACTCATACTGTCTGCCATTGAAGATAATGTTTTTGAATACATTTTTAATCTATGAAGAAAAGATAAAAATGCAGTCCACAAATATTTTTAATTACATCAGTCACTTAAAATATTTCCAGATGGAACGTACAATTATATGTCTGATAATTTTTACATTCTGTCATATGAAATAATGAAGCCCACTTTCAATGGAAATGAGGTGAACACAGTTACTCTCTCTCTACCTCTGAGTCTTGCTTTAATTCTCACTCTAGTGCTTAATCTCTTTCCTTCTCAATTAAATAGGCAGGCCCAGGCTGATTTACAAAAACACCACTTTTTCCCACTTAAAGTTAATACATGATGAACATTTATTAAATACTATCAGAAATGTTGAAATAAATACATATATTTTTCTATAGAGAAAATCCAGCTGCTTAGGTGCATGTGTGCTCTGACGCATACACAGACATATCGTGAAAGAAAGGTAGCTCTATACCTTCCTGATCTCAGTTCAATGCTTCTGAAGTTGAGTAATCAAAAGAAGGAGATATGACTATATTTTTAACTCTGCTCTTCCTCTCTCACTCTGTCTATATATAGAAAGTAAAATTTCTCCATTGTCAGAATGCTTCAAGAGTGTGACTTTATTTTAATAACCAAAATATTTAATAAGTATTTAATATTGTGTTTCATGAATGGATAGGTAAAGTCACTCATTAGATGGTAAGATGATCAAATTTTGATAATGGTGCATCCCACCTTAATAAAACCACTATGGAGCGGGACGTGGTGGCTCATGCCTGTAATCCCAGCACTTTAGAAGACAGGCAGATTGCTTGAGCTCAGGAGTTTTAGACAAGCCTGGGCAACATGGTGAAACCGTGTCACTACTAAAAATACAGAAAATTAGCTGGGTGTGGTGGCAAGAGCCTATAGTCCCAGCTACCCAGGAGGCTTATGTGAGAGAATCACTTGAGCCTGGGAGGTGGAGGTTGCAGTGAGGTGAGATTGCACCACTGCACTCCAGCCTGGGTAACAGAGTGAGGCACTGTCTCCAAAAAAAAAATAAATAAATAAATAAAACCACTATATTTTCAGAAAGTTTTCAGTAAAGTATGAATTTTAAGAACACACAAGCCTCCTATCAACAAATAAGTTGCAAGCGTTTAATCATGTAGCTTTTTTAAGATGCTTTGCCCCTTAACACTATGCCAAAGCTGAGATTGTAAGCCAAAACAAATAAATCAATTGCCTAAAAATGCCCTTGAAATTTGTATTTTGAATAAGACTAGTTACACTTATATAGATTAGACCAGTTAGAGATAATTTGAAATTTTGACATGCACAACAGCTATTACCTTGAGAGATGTGTAAATTAATTCAAATGCAAAGAATAGTTTGCCATAACATATGCCAAGGTAGAAGTAAAACTCCAAAAATAATAGATAACTACAAATAAAGAGGATGATTAAATAAGAGAGTTCATAACTCTTCAAAATATTATAGAGATATTAATTATTATTATTTTTTGAGACGGAGTCTTGCTCTGTTGCCCAGGCTGGAGTACAGTGGCGCGATCTCAACTCACTGCAAGATCCGCCTCCTGGGTTCACTCCATTCTCCTGCCTCAGCCTCCTGAGTAGCTGGGACTACAGGTGCCTGCCACCACACCTGGCTAATTTTTTGTATTTTTAGTAGAGAGGGGATTTCACCATGTTAGCCAGGATGGTCTGGATCTCCTGACTTTGTGATCCACCCGCCTCGGCCTCCCAAAGTGCTGGGATTACAGGCGTGAGCCACCACGCCCAGCCGAGATATTAATTATTTAAGAAAATTTAACCTGGCCAGGCACAGTGACCCACGCCTGTAACCCCACCACTTTGGGAAGCCGAGCAAGGCAGATCACATGAGGCCAGGAGGTCGAAACCAGCCTGGCCAACATGGGAAAGGCCTGTCTCTACCAAAAATACAAAAATTAGCTGGATGTAGTGGCATGCGTCTGTAATCCCAGCTACTTGGGAGGCTGAGGCAGGAGAATCGCTAGAACCAGTGAGGCAGAGGTTGCAGTGAGCCAACATCGCGCCACTGCACTCCAGCCTGGGGGACAGAGCGAGACTGTCTCAAAAAAAAAAAATAGTAAAAATAAAAATAACCAGATGAATTAGGAAGAAATAAAATGCACTCTCCTTTCAATAATTAACTAAAATCTTCTTTGGGTTACTAAAATTTCCAAGTTAATTTGTCTTCACTGTTTATGAGGTGAATAGAAAAAAGGAAAAGATCCATTACTGGATACCATTAAATAATACTGTATTAGTCCATTCTCACACTTCTATAAAGAACTGCCTGAGACTGGGTAATTTATAAAGAAAACAGGTTTAATAAACTCACAGTTCCACATGGCTGGGGAGGCCTCAGGAAACTTACAATCATGGTAGAAGATGAAGACGAAGCAAGCACACATCTTATCATGGTGAAATGGGAGGTGGGGGGAAGTGCCACACTTTTAAAACATCAGATCTCCTGAGAACTCAGTCACTGTCAGGAGAACAGCATGGGAGAAACCAACCCCCATGAGTCAATCACTTCCCACTAGGTCTTTCCCTCAACGCATGGGGATTACAATTGGAGATGAGATTTGAGTGGGGACACAGAGCCAAACCATATCATGTAATGAAAAAAAATATGCATCTCAGGAATCTGCGTCCTCATATTTTTGTTTTTAAAGAATTTCTATACAAAGTGAGATAAAGTCCTATAAATTTAAAACCATAGTAATAGTTCCCCAATAGTGAGCACAGGCATTAAAAACAATTTCTTGGTGACAAAATATTATACCTTACTTTAAAGTCCAACTGTAATGAAAATTCTTCTAGTATGTATTATTCATTTAGGTTCTATTCTCATTTTCCTTGGATGACCATTCCAAGGGTTAGGGATATGATTATTTGCTATAAAATTTGACTTAGAAATTATTTTTAAAAATGAGGCTTTAACCATTATCATGACAAATTTAAATACTAATTTAAACAAATTAAAATTTCCTTGCAGTTGTTGTTACTACCTTTCAGAAGCCTAATGTGCTCCCTTTGCCTCTCTGCTCTGTAGTCAGCTTCAGGGAGTATCCTGCAAGGCAACTCAAGATTATAAGAGCTTCTGCTGGAAGCTCACATGGAGCAGTTTGGGTAGGTGCATTTGCTCTAAATAATTGCTATGTGTGGCCAAGCATGGTGACTCACACCTGTAATCCTAGTGCTTTGGGAGGCCAAGGCAGGTGGATCACTTGATGTCAGGAATTCAAAGCCAGCCTGGCCAACACGGTGAAACTCCATCTCTACTAAAAATACAAAACAAAATTAGCAAGACATGGTGGCAGATACCTGTAATCCCAGCTACTTGGGAGGCTGAGACAGGAGAATCGCCTGAACGTGGGAGGCAGAGGTTGCAGTGAACCAAGATCATGCCACTGCACTCCAGCCTGGGTGACAGAGTGAGACTCCATCTCAAAAAAAAAAAAAAAAAAAAATTGCTAGGTGTAAGTGATTCTGGATTGGCAATTAGCAATGTGATATTCACTATCTTACTCACCTTAAATTAAGCAGAGGATGCTCTATAGAGCATTTCGCTCCTAGAAACAAGGCATGATAATGCAGATGGAAATTGCTTACTTATTCAGTGGACTCAGATAAGGACTATGAAGGTTAATACCATAATAATCCAAAAAAGTAGGATATTCTTATGCTGTTGCTAGAGATATGGCTCAACCTTCAAATATTAGTGTTAGAAATGTTTGTTCCCCAGTGCCGCAAAGAAATAGCACTTGAGGCCAGGCGCGGTGGCTCACGCCTGTAATCCCAGCACTTTGGAAGGCTGAGGCAGGTGGATCACGAGGTCCAGAGATCAAGACCATCCTGGATAACATGGTGAAACCCCATCTCTACTAAAAATACAAAAAAATAGCCAGGCATGGTGGCAGGAGCCTGTAGTCCCAGCTACTCGGGAGGCTAAGGCAGGAGAATGGTGTGAACCCGGGAGGCGGAGTTTGCAGTGAGCTGAGATCTCACCACTGCACTCCAGCCTGAGTGACAGAGTGAGACTCTGTCCCAAAAAAAAAAAAAAAAAAAAAAAGAAATAGCACTCGAACATAAATTTAATTCTCTCAGCAAGGCCATTTCTGCTTTCTGCAGAAAGGGTGCCTCTTGCAGATGGAACAATGGCAAGAACACACTTGAACAAAGGAAAAGCAGACATATTTATTCCTTACACATTTGGGTGGTCCTTACTGCTGTGTCCTGCATCCATTGGCTGGAGATGGACCTCACAGTCTTAAACTGATAGCCAATTTGCTAACAGCCTAAAACTTTTCTAAATAGGTAAGTGCAAGGGAGAACAAAGAAAGAGAGGAAGTTGCTTATGAAAGGTTTAAGGAAGCAATAACATTTCCAAATAAGGAAGGGCCATAAGCTATGAGCTAAGGCTGGACTGGGCCTGTCCAGACATGCCTGAGTAAGCCAAAGCAACTAACTGGGCTGAAGTGTAAGAACTAATGGTTGATAGGAGGCTTTAGAGTAAGAAGCTATTATTTCTAGTGTCTATTATTTTATTTTTAAACCAAGATGAGCTTTGAAGAGGAACTTTTCTACTTTCTACAATTAGCCAAATTTTTATGGTGACAATCAAAATAAGAATTGAAAAATGATATTTCTTGCTTGTATTAATATTACAATGAAAAATAAACTTGCACGTGCTATCCTTTGAGTGTTTCATTCTGTTAGTGCTGAAATCACATTGCCATAATGGCTTATTTTTAATATGTGGACCTTTATAAGACTGTGTCTTAACCCTGCACATAACGAATAGTGGATAAAATGGATGAAAAGAACTGAAAGTAATGTGAAGCTAGCTTATGCCAGGCCCTGCACCAATGCAGTGAATGAGACTAAAATTCTAAGCCATGTGTATTGGACTAAAAACTACACATTCCATACTATCTCTGTGAAGACAGGGAATTTGTGTAAAACATTTCTTAATTTTATAGCTAAGAAAACTTAGAAAGTGTCACAGAAAAGACTAATGTATTAGTGAAAATTGTAACTCTAGACTACAGGTTACTTAGAATAAAAGAAGATGTATTGAGTTTAATTGAGATTAAGAGTCTTTAATTACGTAAAATGGAATTCTGAATCGTGAGGATCAGGTGACACATTGACTCATATCATTTTACCAGCAGAGCAAAGACCAGAACTCAGAAATGCAAGATAAATGAAATCTGATGGAAATGTTAACATAACTGAAGCAGAGATGGGATAATAGGACTTTAAGAAGTATTTAACTACCATTTTTATATTTAACATTATTATGCCAAAATGGCACCCCTAGAGTATCATTTATAAGCTAGTTCATAGATTTTTTTCTTCACTATTATTTATATTTAAATATAGGTTTGTAAAAAAGATTGCTTATCTATAAACTGAACATATTCTATTACTGATTTACATGCTCTCAGAAAATCAATTTTATTTGGATGACAAATACTATAAACTGCTTTGACCTAAAGGTCAGATATTAAAGAGTGTTGTAAAATATATTTAGCAGCTACCTAAGTTTTTCATCCTGATATATCAGGAAAATTCAAATATCATTGGAAATATAAGAGCACTGGATAAAAATTAATTTTATTAGTATGTGTCAGAAAAAAAAATAGGGATTTTTATATTTAAACTCGCCATAGAAATTTTCTCTCCTAAATATGAAACGTAATTTGTACCTCAACATTAAGTTAGATCTGTTTTGGAAAATATGTGGATGATCAATATTAGAGAAGTGAATTAAAATGTGTTAAGATGAAATTTGACCTAGTTTACGCTTATATTATTCCCAAGCATAAGTAATTACACACAAAAAAATAACTATTTCATCAAATAATTTAAGTATGTAAATCACTAATGTATATAAGCTAGAAAACTTAAGTAAACTCTTCTTTGAAATAATCTTTTCATGAAGACGGGGTTTCCTAAGGGCTTCAGAAAAATTTGATGCAGTGTAACCCAAAGTTACCCTACCATCCTATTTGTTTACACCTGCATGGGGAAGTCCCTCCTGCTATAACACTGGGGTGTGGAATATATAAAGAGACTAATTACTCAAAACCATGCAAATTAGCATATCATTTTTATGCTCTGCTTAGAAAAAAAAGCACTGAGAAACAAACACAAATTGGGAAGTCATATTCTGTATTGTGACGACTTATGTATTCCTGTCCTCTCCTATCCCATGCTCCCAACTCAGGAAGACTTAGTGGAATGCAATGCTAACTATGGGGCTGACAAGATTAAATGATTGAAATTGCCATGGTGGACCCAATAAAAATCATCCCGGTGGGAAAAATGGGAAGACATTTTCATCAATGGAATAAATTGAGAGCCAAACTCCTTGAAGAACTAAAATTTCCACATTTATTTTAAAGTCACTTGTAACTAAACATTTAGCATGTCTGAATAGCACCTAGATTAACTACTTTTGCAAATGAGAAGCAATTCAATTTTTTTCTTATCTGCAAGGAAATCGTTTATTTCACATTATAGGCCTTTCACCTGCAAAATCTCATTTCAAAATTGCTTGTTGATGCATGAGAGAACAAAAGAAAAAAATAAAGATTTTTAAGTGAATGTATTAACTTTTATTTTCTTCCAATTTGGGGACCTAGGACTAATTTATTTGCTTATTGCCAATTTGAAACAAACAAATTTCTCCTCTCTCCTGTGAAAGTCTATCATAATAATTCAGATTCTATGGAGAAACATATTAACACTTTCATCACACAAAATTGATATTTAACCCACTGTTGTAAAAAACATTTACCTGCCCACATAAATTTTTCTTAGTTATAAATGATTTTGTGGTGACACTTGTGACAGATGTTAAAATAAAAACCAAGAAATTATGAACTGTTGATAATAATAATTTAATTAAATCTTAAATCAAAATAACAGGATGTCTCTTTTTGACTACTATATATATATAAAAGCTTTTTTCAGTACCAACAGTTAAACAGCTCTCAGTCATTTCTTCCTCTGGATGACAACATTTAAAATATGCTCTTTTAGGATGTTTATTTTTATAAATATTTTTTATTTTTATAGTTCAGTGGCATTATTCTCACTGTCCTTTGAAAAAGTGCAACAAGCAGCGAAAAGAATTGGACTTTAAAGTAACCTATTGCAATATGGAAGGCAGGGTATCAGTTGGAATGGTATATATTTGGACAGTCATAACTGTGATATTAAAGAGACAGGCCATGCCTGACCTGTTGTTGATATAACCATAGGCTGGCAACACATTCCTTAAGAGCCTCACAACCTTACATCAGTCAAGATTCGTGGAGGACAGATGTTTTCCATCAGAGTGATAGTATTTTTACACTGTTTTCATTAAACTGTCATTTTTTAAACTGCTTCAATTTCAGGCCTCTTTTATCGCTTTGTTAGTTTTAATGTATCTCTCTTTACCTTGGATGACAGGCAGGTGGCTCTGACTTTAATTGCGTGTATACTTGCCAAAAATTGAACTATACACACTTACAGTAATCCTCTGTAAGTTGTGAAAACAATATTGGAACCAGCAGCAGCTTAAAGATGACCAGTTATTCATGGCATGAAGACTGAGAAATATTACGTATGTATTAAAATGCTTTGAAGTGAAACATTTATGCAACTCACTTTGAAAGAATCAATAGCTTTGATATATTAGTGAAGTTGAAAATATTGTTCATTTAACACAAAATGGATCTGAGAGAGAAATAAAATAGGTGTTCCAAACCAACATCTATCTGGCAAACTCAGAAAACACCCTCAGTGCAATTGAACTAAATGATCCTTTCTAAAAGTTCGTCTTTAATGCACAAGGTTAAAGTATTCATTGTAGTTCATTTTGTTGGCAATCATTACTTGAGTTTTCTCATTTAGATGTTTCTCCTTTATCTTATTTATTGTTTGCATGACTTGTGAGATACAACCCTTAGGACCTTAGTTTACATATTGGCTTAAAGAGGAGAATTTATCCCTGAACCAATTATTTGAGAATGGTGGCTGTATCATACATATGTAAAAGAAGCAACTGATGATAGACTCTTTACCACATCAGCTCCTCCTTATTTTGCTCTGATTTTCCTCACACTCTTGTGAAAATGCATCAAAAATACAATTTCTGAGAAGGTTGTTTTAAATGAAATAGTGATCTCCTGAATTTGTAATTTGGTGTACATATTTTAAAAAACTATTAAAAATCAAAATTATGAGAAGACTATATTTAAATGTTAAAAGTCTACATTTTGAATTTCTTAAATTAATATAAAGATATTAAATTACACCTTTATCTCTGTGAGGAGCCATTATCCAGAATGTTTTTTCCCACTGAGCCCACACTTTTCTTTGAAAATCACACTTTTGGCTTACCACAATTATAAGAGTCATTGTTAATATAGTTTCTGATCTTTTTGAAATAAATTTGTACTCTATTAAAATAAACAAATAGTCAAATAGACGTTAGTTAGATATTATCACAATATGAATCAGTCTCTTGAATTGAAATTCATTTTCCAGGTTATATTTTGATTGTGCTGAATGTTTGCTTATGAAAGCAAACACAACTTTGTGATCCTTGTGAATTTACTTCCTAAGTATGCACTAAACAAATAATCAAGAAATTGTCTCTATATAAAAGATGCATTACCTTCCACACTTACTAATGTACACCCTATAATATGAAGTTTAATTACCAAGCTCAATAATTCACAAAGCTAGTAAAAGAAAGATAATGGACAATCACAGTCTAAGTAAAGAGACACAAGGCACAGATATATTTCAGTAATAAAATTAATATAGAATTATAATTAAATAGATCACTTACTAGTTTACACTATAATTTCATTTAACTAAATGATTAAGGTTTATCACCAAGCATCTAATAAAGAGCCTCTTCCCCCATTTGTGGCATATATTGTACAATTTCACAGGTACAAAATGAACTGCCAAGTTACAAAAATCATTGATACTTGTTTTAATTATGAGCAGGAAACTTTCCTGCAAAACAATGAAAAAAATCTGCACTTTCACACAATATTAATTATTAAAATCATTTAGAATTGTATACAACTAATATCTTAGAAGGATACAAAGATTCTCCTGTATGCTCTGTCTAAACTTAAAACCATTTATTGGTATCTGAATTTGAACATAAGAGTAAAAAAGAACTCTGATGTATATAGTTCCTTCACTTATTAAGAAACATTTATTAAGTGTCTGTTATGTATCAATCTTGATGCTAGATGCTTGGAAATATAATAAGAAATTGAAAGGAAGATATAATGTCTGTCTTCATAGATGTTACTATCTGGGGCCCTGTAGAAAATTTTTGAAGATGATCAAGACTTGAAAACCTTTTGGTTATATATATAATTTTATTATTCCTTTATATTTATTTTAAGTTTTTTTGCATTATTATTCCTACATTTTAAAATTGTGCTTTTCTGCAATTTTTGATACATACTTATGTCCTAGAACATAAATTATATCATCATTTGTGTATCATTTGTGTTATAATTGAACCTATTAAATAAAATACAGTATTGGGGCTTGCATACTATCAAACATTTTATGCCAAAACTGAGCTATTCTAAAATAACATAGATTTAAAGAATAAGGCTCTATTCTATGTGTTTTCTAGTTGCACATTAATTTAATTTGATATTGTCCATTAAGATATAGAGATAATTTAATTTTCATCATCTACTAATGTTTTGAAATTTTATGTATGATTCAAATGAAGGAGGATTATATTTTTTATTACTCAATATTAAATCTATTTTTTCATCATATAAATTGACTTCAGCATTTTATTTTCTCTTTATTATGTTAATAGTCACTAATGAATATGAAGAATACAGATATTAACATAAAATGATTTATACTATAGTTTAACAATAATAAACATTACAAAAGAAAAAGATAATGATTGTAGATGTGGGAAACTAGTGGTTAATTTCTCACAGAAACAAAAAAAGGAATATATTTAAATAGTATTTTTATATATTTTAAACATATCAACAAATGATGAAAAATTTTATTTTTTTTACTTACTTTTAACTAAATAAAGATATTGTACTTGACTTTTTAAATAAAAAAATAGAAGTACATAAGGATACTGTGAAGAACAACATAGACTAAAGAGTCTAGCAATTAATTTCTATTTTTTATACATTTGCATTTCCATTTTATTAGGACAACTATCTATACTTTCACTTTTACAGCTATAATAAATAGCTTTAAATAAATGGAAATTTTTATCACTGAGCTTTTTTGTAGTTCAACTGAATTATCACAAGCTACGTTTTTGACGTATTACAATAAATGACATAAATTGATGGATAAATGTTCATTTCCTTCACATCAAAAAATATACATGAGCTACTATTTCATTATCTTATTCAATCTACTTAATATTTTGATATTACACTTTGTGAGTTGTGTGTAAATAATTTATCAGAATAAAGTACAATTTTGTTCTTTCAGTTATAATAAGTTGAAAACTAAGCATTAGTTTAAGTAATTTTCTTAAAATGGTTGACATGAATAATTTAGTTTACCTAATCTTCCACTACCTCATACTGTGTGTCTGGCATTATGTGAGATTTTCACTTATGTAAAAATTGTTTAAAAGTATTTACAAAGTGGAACATAATTATTTTTCTATTTTTATAGCAATATGTTATATGGCTCACATCTGGTGTCAGCTACATTTAACCATACATTTACACTAGTCACAAATAAATATAGGTTTTAACATACATGAACAAATTAAATCAGACATGCCTAATAACTTCAAATCCCTTGAAAATATATTTAGGCAATATATTATAAAAGAAATCCCAACATTTACTTCACTAAAAATTAAACCTAGAAGAAGAAACACTTCAAGAGTACCCCCCGAGTTATTTCACTGGAAGGGAAAATTTGAAATATAAGCCAAATACACACTACATTCAAATGTATTTATATTTTCAGTACTTTTTGGAAATTATCCCATTTCAAAATTTTAAGTCACTGTGATAAGCTTTTTGAAAAGCACTCAAAAATAATGCATGTGAGAAAACATTGTCCAGGACTCATTGCATTATTAAATTTCCTTCTATCTCCAGAATTCAAAACTAACCCAGGAATTGAACACTTCTGTCTCTTTCTTACCCTCATTCTCAAGAAATAAGAGTAATTCTTCTCATCTTAAATACTACTGATTTAGTTTATTTTTTTACCATTGCCTCCTGTCATAATCTCTCTGAAAAAATTATGCATTTAGAATCTGTTTAGAAAATATGATAAACGTACTTTGTTGCCACATTCAAGTTTGTAGTTTTGAACCTCGTATATGCTGACAAATAGAAAATGTGCATACATTTAAATAAAATCTTTTAAACATTTTAGAATTTCTGCATTTATTCTTAATAGATAAGGTTCATTCTCCATATTGTATGGATATATACCATGCACATGTAAGTTATGTTGCATACTAGACAGTATCTTCATTAACCAGAACATATTCTGCAAGCAGAAGCACTGAAGCACCTACTTCAGAAACAAAACCTCTAGGCTAAAACTAACTTAACATTTGGTTATATTATTAATACAGAATATAGTTTAACACTTCTTTTCTTCTATTTTAAAACAAGATTTCATAGGCTATTGCTCTTAGACTCAAATACATGTCAGAAAGATCCTCATCCCAAATACTAGGCTAAGCTGAGATTCTTATTCCCTCTATGTTATAAATTATGTTCCCTACCCCTGATTGCCTGACAAGGTCACCTGAAAAATCCACTAATAAACTGGATGGAACTGAAAAATTACATATTCAAATCATACAGAATACTCAAAATTTCAACAAAGTTTTAAATATGTGAATACAATTTCTAAAAGTAGATTGCCAGCCTAGTATAACTAGCATAGATATATACCTGTAGAACTTGGTTGCACTTGGCGAAATGAAAAGAGAATAAGCTTTAAGAGTGAGGCAGACGTGGGCATGATTTCCAACCTGGTTGCATTCTAGTTTGACAATCAGCAAGTTACTTATTCCTTCTTAGCCTCAGTTTCTCATCTGAAGTTGGAATAATAAAATCTACTTCACTTAATGATCATAGTTGAAATGCTTCTGCACATTTGAGACTCTGGATAAATGCTAGCCCCTTCAATTATTTTTCATTTATTTTATTTTATTTTTTGAGACAGAGTCTCACTCTGTTGCCCAGACTGGAGTGCAGTGGTGCAATTTCAGCTCACTGCAACCCCCGCCTCCTGGGTTCAAGAGATTCTCATGCCTCAGCCTCATGAGTAGTTGGGATTACAGGTGTGCACCACCACGCCCGGCTAATTTTTATATTTTTTGTAGACACAGGGTTTCAGCATGTTGGCCAGACTGGTCTAACTCCTGAGCTAAGGTGATCTGCCCACCTCGGCCTCCCAAAGTGCTGGGATTACAGGTGTGAGCCCAGCCTAGACCCCCTAAATTATTTGATAAAGCTCAGAATTATGACATCTGCAAATGGATTCAAAATATATGATATAAAAAGTAACAGTTTGACAAATAATTTATTTCTCAGATTAAAAGTCTCGGTCTCCACAGGCCACTGTCTACTTTTTCATTAGTTGAACAAATATAGTAAGTTACCAAGAATATTACAGCAAATATCCATAGACCAAGCATTAGCAAGCATTAACATTTTGTGACTTACCTTCATATTTTCTAAATAAAATAAATACAACTTTCTAAATAACCTTATTATACTCCCTAGACCTGTCCCTCCTCTTCTCAGGAGGAGAACTATCATCATAATTGGGTATTTATCTTTCAATATATGGTTTATCATATTCACTACATACGTAAGCATCAGCTGTTTTAGTATTACTTTGCCGTTTTAACCATTTTACATAAATGTTATCTAATTTCCCATACCTTTCAATTTACTTATTTTAATTTTGTATAGTATTTCATCTTGATAGAAGCTAATATTTACTATATACTTCTAGGTGTTAATCACTGTATTCAATACTTCATATGTATTAATTCACCATGCTCTCACAAAAACCCTCTGGGAGAGACTTCTGTTATTTTCATATCAGATTTTATATTATGTTTATATTTTTATAATATTGTTATTTTTCAGATGATGAAAATGGAGCACAGAGAAGTTAAGTAACTTATCTGCGCTGCATAAGTAGTAAGTGGTAGAACTGGAATTTAAATCCAGGCTATGGGGATGCAGAGTCTGCACACTAATTTACATGATTCTGTGCTCAGAATCAAAGACTAGACTTGTATTTATTTTCCCATTGATAAACAAATCAGCTGTTTCCAATTTTTCACCCTTGCAAGCAATGCTGGAATTAATGCCCTTGAATATTCATCTGGTTATCATACAACAGATCCTTCAGGGCAGAGGCTTGGCGGGTAATTTTGGAATTTCAGGATAAGCATGTATTTATCAGTGGCCTATATCGGTCAAACCTTTCTACTTCTAACAGGCTGAGGCTCAAGAAGATCAAGGTATAATTGTCAATATTTTCTCTAGTTAAAAGCCCCTGAGGATTAAACTATACTCTATGCCATGATCCTACAACAGGAGAAAAATCTATACATATTTAAAAGAGACTGGTAATATCCTAATAAGGAGTTGCTAGATAGGATATAAGGTGCCCAGTGAAATTAGAATTAGTGATGAACAATAAAGGTTTTGTAAGGGGCTTACTGTACTTAAAGTTATTTTTCATCTGAAATTCAAATTTAGCTCACTGTCATTTATTTTTATTAGTTAATTTTGGCAACCCTACTAATAAGCCATCTACTGGATGGCTAATAAAACAACCACTGTTATTTAGCAGTAGGCATATCGAGAGGGTGTCATTGATACAATGGCACACAATCCAGCTGCTTATCATAAGAGAGTGCAGTCACTTCTCTGTCTTCCATAACTTATGGATTACTAAAATGAATGTAGACAAAGGATGCATATATTTTACCCAACTTTATTTTATTAAAAAAAAGGTTATCAGAAACCTTTCCACTATTATCTATTAGCTGTTACAATGCCTTTCTAAACTCAGGACATCTGGTCTCGAGTCCCCCCCACCACCTCGCCCTGCCCATAGTGATACATTCAGGTATATTTTTGGTAACATTTTATTCCTGAGGACATAACTACAAGGATCATTACCATCTCCCAACTTTCTAAGTTTTGTCTCTTCAACTCCATGCCCACATTCATTTCCTTTCTATTCTATGCCTTCAAAATGCACTCTGGTAGAAGAAAATTGCATGACAGGAACAAAAGGCAGTGGCAGTAAGATAAAGTGACGACACATTAAATAGTGAGAAATTTGCATGTGGGAAAACCCTATATAATCCACCCGATACCTTATTTTATAATTTTTCTTGAAAGAACTTAATCCTAATTGAATCATCCTCCCTGGGAAATGAGACTCAGCATACGCAGGAACAAAGGACAGCTAGTGGGTCTTAGGTATTGCAGCTGCCAAAGACAAAATTTCTCTGCTGGGTATATTCATTTCACCAGTTAAGTGCTACTTGAACTAATAGCACTTTCTTAGGTGAAAGAAATTTTGATCCTTTTCTTATTTTTCCATTACAGGGCTTTGGCATTTCAATTGGCATATCCTACCACATTGTGCTGAAGGTTTTTGCACAGAATATAGAGGGATGATTTTGTTTATAAAATAAACCATCAGTTTGAACTGGGATTTTTGTTTGTTTTTTTAAAGGAAGTCAAGTTGATTACTTGGCATCAGCCCTTCATCACAGATACTACTGAAATAAAAAACCAAGGGAATGTGAAAAAAACGGAAGGACACTGAAGCCCGTGGGGAAATAATGAAGTATAAGTGCTTCAGAGAGCAGCAAGAAATGGAATAATATTTCTTCTGTGAGGACCTCAGTAATAACAACCCATGAGTGATGGGACTTATTGCAAATGGCAAGAGTGCTGTTGGAGAAAAAATAAAAAATACTACACCGTGAAGGATATTGTTTCACATGCCCTATGTGTTTCTCTTCCTTCACAGATCATTTGAGCTCTCCTTTTCCTTATTCCTCATTCCAAATAACAATAAATATTAATGGAGGACCAAATATATGCCAAGGACTAAAAGACATAGGGTTGGAAAGCCATGGTGTCTCATTTTAGGAAGACCCAAATTTATGGTAAAGACAAATGATAAGAGTAATTGCACAACAAATACAGAAGCACCAACAATGTTGATATGTGGAGGATCCACAAAGAAAGAGGGAAGTAATTCTAGCCATGGTTGGCTAGAGAAATATTCACATGGGAAGTGACATTTGTGTTGTAATGGAGAAGTAGGATTTTTTTCAGGCATACGGGGAAAGAAAATTTCAACTAAATAGGTCAGCCAAAACATTATCAATATTACAAATAATCTGATTATTAAGAGGATTTTCTGTTTATAATGCTGACACTGGAAAAATATGCCTAATGTGACAAGCCTGAGTTCTGAGTAGCATTACAGCACTTACTTTATATACCTAAAACTTATGAATGTTTTATGAATATAGGGAAGAAAAAGCAAATGAGTATGTGTAAGAAAGGAATGCAACAGGATTCAGTGTGTGTTTTGGTGACACTGTGAAGAATGGGTAAGAAAAAAAAGCTAGAGATAATTATATACATTAGGAGATTATTATAATTATCTAGATGAAAGGTCAAATAAGCTGTGACAACATAGACAGAGAATGGAAGGTAAATTAGGAGGTAAAATTGATAGGATTTGTTGATGGGTTGGGTAAGGCAGGAGATGGCAATCGAGATGGAGGCCACTCTAAGATTTTGCTCTTGCATAAATGAGTACAGTTGGCCCTCTGTATTGAAGGGTTTCAAATAGGTGGATTCAACCAATTGCAGATCAAAAATATTCAGGAAAAAAATTCTATCTGTACAAACATGCACAGAATTTTTTGGATCAGCATTCCTGAAGCAAGTATAGCAACTATTTATATGCCATTTATATTGTATTAGGTATTACAAGTAATTCAGAGGTGATTTAAAATATATGGGAGGATGTGCATAGGTTATACACAAATTCTATGACATTTTATGTCAAGGACTTGAACATTAGCGAATTTTGGTATTGACAGGAGGTCCTGGAACCAGTGCCCCAGACACCAAGGGATAACTGTATATTGATTCCTTAGAAAGAGACTTTTGCTGATGGAAAAGGAAGATTAATGTTAAATTTTGAATCTAGAAGTAAACATGGATTTACATCTATCCTTGACTCAGCATGCTAACCACAAATTTAGCATCTTACCTTTCATAGAATAATAAAATATGCTATTAATATGCTTAGGAAGTCAATAAGTTACATGTATTATATATACTTTTTAAAGTACTTACAATTATAACCTATAAATTACAATTTATAGTTTTAAAGTCTAGATAGCCTAAGTTTTTAAAAATAGTTTTATATAACAGTTACTAGACCTTCATAGCTGATTAACAGTCTGTATTCTACCAGCTTTTTAGTTCTGAATATAATTCAATAGAGTGGAACACTTAGGGAACAGAATGGATTCTGTCCTTGAATGAACTTTTAGCTTTATTAATGCCTGAGAACAACAGATGTTTATAAAATTTCAAGTCAATTTCAATTAATCAATTGTTAAAGAAAAATAACTTTAATTATGCAAAAATCCTAGCCTGTTTGAATACCTATTCATACAATTTTATATTTAGATGAGCATAATAACAATTGAGATTTTAATTGAAAATTATAATAAACTGGTTTCACAAAAATAATGTATTTTAAAATCTTTTAGTTTAATCTCACATAATCCTGAAAGTATTATTATAAATCTGTTTTGTAGAAGAATGAATAAAAACTAAAAATATGTTAATTTCAGAAAGGTGACTCCATTACATCAAAAGTAGTGCTGCATTAGATAGCATAATTAGGGCACAAACTAAATTTTCTGACTCGGATCCAGTCAATAAGTCCATAATAGCAGTCTAAGAAAATTTTGAAACTATTTATTGAAATCCTATGTTGTGTATTCTTGTAGTTCCTTTCAAAAAGGGAGGTTTTTTTTCTCTATATTACATATATTTGAGGATGGGATGTAAACAACTATACAAAGTAAGTAATCTGAGAACTATATAATTAAAGGGGTTGGATGGATTAGAAAATGAAGTCATAAGAAAATACATTTCTTAAGAAGGGTAGGAGATCAGAGAAGGCATGGGAATGGGACTGGGAATGGGAATGTCATTTAAAAAGTAATTTCAAATCTGGTATGATTTTATAAAAAAAAAATAAAGACATTTCTGGCAGAATAAAATAGGATAAAAGCCAGAAAGTGGATCATAAAAAAGGAACAGAAAACATGGCTCAGATTCGTGGTATAGATTTGTATTAATGAGAGACTAGAAATATAATCTGTGGTCATATTGCAGAGATTTTAATTTCAGGGTAAGGTGTGACTAAATCTAAAAATGGGCTACATTTTTTCCTTGTAATATATTTTTTTACAAACAGAATTAGTTTTTTCTCCAAATAATAACTTTTTTGGAACCCTAAAGTATCAGACACATTAAATTAGAGAAACCTAGGTTGAAGCTGGAGCAAGGAGGTAGTGTACATCTGTACTTAAAATGATAGTAACGATCATATTAAAATAAGAACTTTTATACCACAGAATTCCTACAAACTAAATATGCTCTGATCAAAATAAAAATACAAAATAATTGCAGCAAATATGACAGACATAGAGCTACCTATTTAACATAGAAACATGATATAAATATATAACAGAAAAGAGCAACTGCCTGTAACATAAATGTACAAAAGACACAGAATGGAAATTCACACACAACCTGTACATTCATAAAATAGTATTCGGTATAATTAATGAAATTCAAATTAAAACTATTTTAGGATAAATTTTTTTCTATCAGATTAACAACTATTAAAATTTTATAAAGCACCAAATTAACAAAAACATGAGGAACTAGGCATTCTTATACACCACAGGTAAGAGAGAATAAGTCTCCTTGACTTTTGAAAAGGCAAATAGGCAATTTGTTAAATTTAAAAAGCATATGACCTTTGACCCAGTAATTTTTCTTTAAATAATTTATTATATATATACATTATTATGTCACTGGGTGCAAAGACATAGGTATACGTTTAATGATTATAGCATGCTTTACAATAGTAACATCCTACAGAAATCTTGTTTGTTTAATTACATACATCAAAACCATGAAATGCAGTGCTGTTTTTAAAAAGTTAAACTTAAAAGCATTTTGTTTTGGAAAACTCTCAATGATAAACCTAAGCAAAAACAAGAAAATTTGAGCACAAGGCAATGTATTCTCACATTTAATTGTGTAGTTATTATTTCATAAAGAAAATAAAAACTGATACTGCAGTTACTATTTTCATATGTTACCATCAGTACATGCTGAACTTTTATCAACTTATATATCATCTTTATGATATAAAGAAATAACTAGTTTTCATAACAATAAATAGGTAAAGCAGAATGAATCAATAAGCTATAAAGAATACAAGCCCTTTTAAATTAAGTAAAAATGCAATTGAAATGCAGGTGAACTTACTTCAGAGTAAAATCAAAGAAAATCTACATCCATACCCACGCCCTGTGGATCAAAATCTAGAGTTCTGCTACTAAAAGCTTCCGGAGGGAGTGGCGAGAGGAAGAGGCAGGCTGTGTGAACAGAGGAAGCATGGAAAGCAAAAGCCCCAAGAGATTGTTTGTCCAGTTTGTTATGTCTTTTTCTGTTTGTTCTATTTTCTTTTTCATTTTTTTTTATTCCAAATAGTATTGATTCTAGGAAATCACCGAACATGGAGAAAGGCTGGGTGCAGCATCCAGGACCATTCCCCATCTTGTTAAATAAATCCATACATTTTAGCTTTGGGCCCTTGAAATCTTCCTGGAAAGTAGAACTGAAATAGTTTCTTTGCCTGTGAATTCACATATACTGTGAAATCCCCTTCGGCCCACCTAGAATATTTATTAAGAATTCCATGTGTTCCAGTAATAATTTCCACTCATCAGGGGCCTAGTAATAACGCCATACTTCAATGAATACCTGAATGTGGCCTCAGGCTGTCTATGCTGGAACAAAGCTATGAAAATTCTTCCTCTCCCTTTAAAATATTATCCACGAGAGGAAAGCTAATTTTCTCTCTCTGTCTCTCTCTCTACCCCTCTTCTTTCTCTCTTGTATTCGTTTTTGAAATGGGGGCTTTCAATAATCTGCTTCCTGATGCTATCACTGCCTGGTTAGACAGGGTAAGTCAAATAACAACTTTGTCAATCAGGAAACTGATTCAGTTCTCCAGAGCTTTTTCTGCCCGGAAGGCCATGTAGTAAAGAAGAAAGAAACAGGAATGCATTGAATTCTGAACTTTAGCTTCCTCCTCGTAAAATGAATAGAAGGATATCCACCATTTGTTGCACGTACCAAATCAATCGCTATATATGAAATCAATTTATAAATATTAAGCATGAACCAAAGTAATATATAATTATTTGTCTCAGTAGTAATAAGACTATCTACTATGCACTAAGTGAGCACTCTGTCAATACTCAGCCTTATCCTTAGCTCCTTACCCACTTTTACAAATATTCTGCCCATATTAGGCCTTTGCATTATCCCCAATAGATATGATTTTTGCCTTTGCCTTTCCCAAATTTGCAACTTTTCTCTAGAAAGTGCAATCTGCTCAGAGCAGCTGACTTGAGAAGAGTCATTATTAATAAGCAGAGGTTACACTCTTCCAGCAGGCAAATGTCACCCACAGCAGCTGAGCTCTGTTGTACAAGAACTGATTACCTACATTTATGTTTGAAGTTTCTTTACACTAAGCTGTAGTTAGGTTTTTAATGGCTATATGCCAATGAAAAGTCAAACTGACCAGCTTAATGATCCTGAGAAAGTTTCCACTGGCATTCCTGTAAGTCAAAGGGGAGGGAAATGGAGATACGGACTTCAAATATTTGAAGAACCTCAGTCTACTACTGTGTGTCCCAGAAAGTAGGAGTAGGGTTAATGAATGAGAGTTTGACAACAGTCCATCATTGTCAAAATCGTGAGAATATCAGATGATGGGTCTCACTGAGAAAGACACATAATTGTTAATTTTCTCCCATTCTAAAGTGTTCATAATTGATCAATATTATCATGACTCAAAAAACACTTGAATATTCTTGCAAAAGTGACATGGAGGAAATTGAATTCTAATTTGTTTTCAAGGTTCAAAAAATAAAGACCAAAAGCCCCAACACTTTTTATAGCATCATGGCAATTTAGCAAAAATTTTCAAGATTTAATGTCATGACCTCATTGTGCTAGAGTTCTCATGGACTACTAGCTTAACTAATCCACAAAACAAGATTGGTAAACCAGGGGAACTATTAATACCTAAGTTTTCCAGTACAAAAAAGAAAACAACATGCCTATTTTTAAGACAATTGTGTTTACTATGGAAGTAAACACATGAATTTTTCTTAGAAAATTTTAGGAAAATATATGAATTTAATTAATTTTGACAAGTTCACACTCTATTAACATGAAAAAAGCAGGATAAATTGGGGAAAAAATAAAAGAAAACGAAATTCAAAGTTAGGCTATAAAAAGAGAAAACTGCAGATGGCAAAAACTAAAAAAGAAAGAGAAAGTAGAATTCTCAGAGGAAGCTGCCCTTTGGGCCAGCAAAGTTTTCAAACTGAGAATAGGCTCTAAAGTCTGAGTCTAATGTCTACCGGAGTCCGAAAGTTATGTTTTAGGTCTGCAAATGCTGGAGAGGTAGGCTCAAGCTTCCTTCATGATACCCTTTGAAATGTTTCCATCTTACGGAAAATCCAGAAAAACATCAGGAAAGATTATATCTCTCTGAGCATTCTGAGCATTGGGCATTTTGTGGGGAGGGGGGAAAGCACTTCAAGAAAGAAAAATGTTCACCTTGTGTTCGATGTGAGTGTATGGCCCACAGCGATTCTACCTGCATGGTATAGGAACTGAATCACAACATGCTAAATTTATATTTAAATGACTCAGTGCTATTAACACAGGAAGATGACTTGAAGGAGACACAAATGAGAATCCATTCAATAAAAATAAATCTTCCAAGTTTTTTTTTTCTTATCTTCTCAAGCCTCAAACTTCCAGAGCCATGGCCCAAGTATGTGCCCCTGAGTATTCTATTTATACTCGATTAATCTCATAGCCTCTTCTATTTGGATAGGTGTGGAAATCACCTCGGTTTAAGAATGAATAATTTGTAAAACCTTTACATTCAACCATGGGATGTTCAGGTTATAAATAAGAGACTACACCACAAGCACAATTAAGTACAAAGGAGGCAATATTTTATAAGGATATAAAAAATATTCATGAAACCCAAAGGCAGGAATATGGCTGACCCTCAGAAATGAATGAATGGATTAATTAAGCTTATAAGAAATCCAATAAGTTAAAATCCTCTCTACCCATCTGGTTATTTTTCTTTTTTTTTCTCTTTTTGTTTTCTTTCTTTCTTTTTTTTTTTTTTTTTTTTGAGATTGAGTCTCACTCTGTCACCTAGGCCTAGGCTAGAGTGCAGTGGCGCGATCTCGGCTCACTGCAACCTCTGCCTCCCTGGTTCAAGCGATTTTCCTGCCTCAGCCTCCCAAGTAGCTGGTACTACAGGCGTGTGCCAACAAGCCTGGCTAATTTTTGTATTTTTAGTAGAGACGGGGTTTCACCATGTTGGCCATCTGTTCTTGAACTCCTGACCTCAGGTGATCCACCCGCCTCAGCCTCCCAAAGTGCTGGGATTACAGGCATGAGCCGCCACATCTGGCCCCATCTGGTTACTTTTCTATATCTCTGCTCTAATTCTCTTTTTTGCTGTGTAATTTTTTTTCCTTAAGCCAATTTACATAATAAAAACCTGGCTAAGAAAAAGTTTACAAAGTTTTATATTACTTCTATTCAAAAGTTAAAGGTCGGAGATTCTGGGTTCAGTCTGGCAGTATAAGCCGACTAAAGTCCCAACATATTCTGATTAAAAGTAAAACTTTGGATAAAATACAATCAAAAATAAAATTATGAATGTAGGTCCCTGGAAGTAAACAACAACAAGCAACCTATGGAGGAGAGTGAAATATAGGAGAAGTGAAGAACAGGGGGCGTTTTCTGCTTTATTTATTTTTTCCTCTTGTGGCTTTGCCATGAGTATGATTCTAATCAGGGAATACATGGAAACAGAGGCTACGGAGATAAAACTTTGAGAGAGACCCCATTTGTCTAGACATAGAAGTAATCAGAAGTTTATGGGCCATAGAATGTACATAGTCCCAGAGGGTAAATGACTTTCAGGAGTATCCTCTATTTTGTGTATTAACCATCAGGCATTAATCATACATGTCCAGGAAAGACTCAAAACAAGGTAGCTAATGCTAAGAGTTCTGAATTCTTGTTTGAACCGCTCCCACAAATCTCAGACTAACACCTGACACATGCATGAGAAAGACTCAAACCGGCAGAGAAATGACTTCGAGAATGAAACTGAGATTTGAACCACTGTCCGTAGAAGGTGAACTACATCTTACCTTAATGATGCTGACTGGTTTCGGTTGAAATCCCTGATCCAAACCAAAGATCCTAGTAACCCAGAGTCTTATACTACCATTTTTATAATCCATTCACAAGACCATATTCTTCTTTTTCTCTTTTCAGTTCAACTCTCCAATACCTTCCCTTCATCCTCACAGTCACTTTACAGCCTTGCTGAATAATTCCCTGAGAAAATAGATAAAACCAGAAGAAAATTCCACAAGCCCCCAGAACATAACTGCTTCTACACGCTACCCATGTCTATATTCTGTCCATCTATTTAAAGTTACACTCTTTGAAAAAGTTTACTAAACTTGCTACCAAAAATTCTTTCTCTTCTACACTTTCTTGAAGTAGGGACCACCAGACATTTTATACTGTCTTTTACTCTACTCTGTGAAAACTATCTGGCCAAGGTCACCAACTGACTTTCAACATTGATAAATACAATGTTAAATTCTGCCTACTATCTGAAGCATTTGATAGCATTGGCCATGTCTTTTCCTCAAAGCACTTTCTTCACTTGACACCCAGAACAAGAAATGGTATCTGGCTTTATTCCTATGTTTCTGGATACTTCTCAATCACCCTTTGAGGTTCTTCCTCACATCCTCAACATCTATCTTTGGATCTCTTTTTTTTTTTCTGTTTACTCCCTTAGTAATCTCATCCAATCTCACAGATGTAGATACATTTATATGCTGAGGACTCCCAGATGTATTATTCCCATCTGAATCTTTTCCTGGGCTCTAGACCCTTGAATTCATCTCTTTAGTTACGATGTACACTTGGATGTCTGCTAGGCATCACAAAGTTTAAAAGTCATGAGCTTGTGGTCTTCCTCTAAAAAATATGCTCTTTCTACAGTTGTCTTCATCTCAGTCACATGGCAAATCTATCCTTATAGAAGTTCAGGAAAAAAGAACTTGGAGTCATCCCTGACTTCTCTCTTTCTCTCAAACTCAGCATACAACTTTTTGGCAAATATTATTTCTACCCATATAATAGGGAATCTGATAACTCACTACTACTTCCACAGCTACCAGTCTGGCTCACATCACTTTTGTCTTTTATTTCAATAACTTTTTAGTTATATTTTTCTGCTTCTGAACTTACATATTTTGTACTAGTTTTAAGAAGGTGACCAAAATTCACCTAATAAACTATGTCAGATCATAATACTCTGATCATAGAACTTTAATGACTATCTTACTCATGTTAAAGCCAAAATCCTATTGATGGTCTACAAAGCTATGCAAGAATTTTTACTACACCCGTCTTTATTGCTCTCTTCCTTTCTCATTACTCACAATCACTTTGGCATCTTTGATTTTTCTCACACATGCCAGGCATATTTTCACTTCATGGTCTCACCAAGCTATACATAGCTCATACCCTCACCTCTTTCTGTTCATTCTTTCCTTTCCACTGTGGAATATAAGCTTCAGAAAGGCAGGAATATTTGTTTGCTTCACTAACTGTTGTAATCTGACATCTGGTAGTGTCTGTGTCATAGTAATCACTTAACAGATATTAGTTGAACAATGAGTAACCTCTTTCTCGGATGATTTAATCAACTGTCTTCATAGGGATTCACTACTGCAGTGTGATCAGAAGAGCACTAAAGCTTAAATCAGAGTAAATGGGTTCGGTACCACCTCACTCCTTTTGTACACTCAATGTAAAAGTCTCTTATTCTCTCTTGACATGTTCTCATCTGTACAGTGTTGTTTTCTGTGTATTGTGTGTGCGTGTGTGCCTGGAAAAACAAAACAAAATAACACTTTTTGAATAGCCAGGCAGTTCTAGGGCCCAAAAATAACTATTGAGTTTGTACATGTAATAGGGAAATTAGCTATTTTTTGTAAAATAGTCATATGAAACTTGGAACAATATCTGTTTGTCTTAGGTCTGCCTACTCCCTTTAAAAATAAGATGTCCTGAATTGGAGTCTACTTTATAAAAAGTGGTATACCTTTAAGTAGTATTCTCCTTATAAACCAGCACTCAGAGAATTCAGTCATAGTCACCAAAATTTATGATTTAGGGTAAGATTTCTCTATTGTAGTATTTTAGTGATTCTTTATTGAATTTGCATTATTTCCAGACATGGCAAAGAGGCTTAAAATAATGTAGATGTCTCTAGGAGTACTTGGTTATTGATGTCATTAAAGTATTGTACATATGCTATTGTCTCTTTTTAACATTTATAATTATTCTTTGGAAAAGTACTTAATTTTAGAATAAGTAGTATTACATTATGCATACTTCCCTCTTGCAAATCAAGTATAAAATTTCATTAATGCCTGAAAATTTCAAGCATAGAGAAGAAAAAGAAATGTATTTTTTAAACTGAGTTATGTAATTACTAATAACTGAATGAACCAGAAGACAAATCCTTTCATGTCTAAAAGTAACAGCTGCAGTGTTGGCTTGCTAACCTAAACATAAGTTTACAAAACTATTTCATGGAACACTAAAGAAGTGGAATTGGAAAACAATGGTCCATGTTTATTTTATCTATTATTGGCATAGTTTCTTTTAAGTATTCAGTGTTTCAGTTCTAATTTCCATGACTTCTACGCCTTTCAGAGATTCTCAATGCTCTAATTTAAGATTCATAAGAATCAGAGATTTCATGCCCCAAGTCCCTTAGAATTTTCACAGTAGACACTTAATTATCAGGTATAAAAACTAAAAACAAACAAACGAAAGCACAGCTCCATGTGAGATGAACAGGAGCTATAAAATAGGACGCTTATATATTCGAAATGACAGAGACAATCCCTACTGTTGGTTCCTGTATCTTGGTAGAATAACTGACCGTGTTCCAATGTTGTAAAATACAGGAACTGAACAGAATGTTTGATTTATTCTATCATCTAGTCTAAAATACACAGTTGGTGTATTCATACTTGCAGCATTTTGCATCATAATTATGTAAAGCTAAAATGGGAAACACACCTAAAGCAGCAAATGAATGAATAAAGCAGATTATTCTAATAAGGTATGAAGAGGGGATTATGGTGGGTCATTGGAGGCTGATTCAAGTGTATCTGATGTATTTTGCTTCCAAGAGATCATGGAGGTGCAGAGCCAGTGAAAATCTTTTGGCATTTCTTTTATTGCCTAAGGGAGAATTAAAGTTTAAACTGTCAGGACTATGTCTAGCTCTGTGAAAAGGTGAACTGATCCTATTGCTGCTGGACAGGGAATAAAGCAGCTGACCCAAAAGATAACTTCAGTACACAGAAAAGAACTTTTCATGTCTGATTGTGATCTGGTACAATATGCTAATCTTTCATTTCCACATGAATGAAGAAAAAATATACTTCTTAACTTTCAACAATAAAACTTGTAGTTCCAGTCATGATCAACAAGCTGGTATCAGGTTTATTCTCCCGCTGTAAACAGAATCAACTAATCGTCATCATCATCATAAACTATTTCTAAAAAAACTCTCTAAAATATATAAAGGAACTCTGTTTTGACATTAGACAATAATGAACTTAAGGTTGATTACTGAGAGAACATAAACATAGAAGATGAAACAAACTTTCACACCAGTTTTAGTCTTGAAAGAACTGTCCAAATCATAGTATGGGGAAAGAGAGACCAAGAAGAGAGAGGAGATTTCATGTGTCCTCAATGGGCAGAGGAGACATTGAACATTGTTTATGTAGGTGGCATATGAGGGGATAGAATCCTGGAGAAGATAGGCTTTGGAGAAAAAGTTCCAAATATCTACACATGCTTAGAGTACAGCCACTTGCAGAGCACACCAGGAAAATGTGGAAATATTTCAGAGACAATATAAAGCTGAGAGATGGGGAGTTTGGAATTCAAGCCCAGGAGAATGGAGTGACCTTTGTGATCATTCTGGACAGCTTGTTGAAACTCCAAAAAGAATATAAATAATGAATAAAAAGCACACTCAAGGAATAATATTTTCAACTCTGAAATAAAGAAAAACCTGAAACAGGCCTGTTCTGACAAATACTAAACAAAGCTTTTTTTAGGATCAAGTTAATCTATGAAGAATTTTAAAAGTATGTCAGAAGAAAATTTAATATTATTTAGAAAAAAATAACAATTCCAGATTATATTATATATAAATTGAATAAAAAATTGCTAGTTACGTGTGTTGGTTAATAGCCCCAGATCCAGTGATCTATGTATTGGATTTAGCAGGCCAAGTTTTCTGAATAGAATGCTTAACATATTAAATGGTTATTGGTTAATATATTAAAGAAAATGCAGTAAAAGATAAAGTAATGGATGGAAAGAGAAATAATTTCATAATATATTTGAAATTGATAAAAATAAGACCGGATGTGGTGGTTTATGCCTGTAATCCCAGCACTTTGGAGGCTGAGGCGGGTGGATCACCTGAGCTTAGGAGTTCAAGAACAGCCTGGCCAACAGGATGAAATCCTATCTCTACAGAAAAAAAAATACAAAAATTAGCAGGACGCCGTGCCCCGCACCTGTGATCCCAGCTACTTGGGAGGCTGAGGCATGAGAATCGCTTAAACCCAGAAGGCAGAGGTTGCTGTGAGCCAAGATCCTGCCACTTCACTCCAGCCTGGGCAACAGAGTAAGAGCCTGTCTCAAAAAAAAAATAAAGAAAAGAAAAAAAAAAAGAATCCATCTTGAATTAATTTCGTATATGGAATAAGGAAGGCATCCAGTTTCAATTTTCTGCATATGGCTAGCCAGTTATCTCAGCATCATCTATTGCATAGGAAATCCTTTCCCCATTGCTTGTTTTTGTCAGGTTTGTTCAAGTGAGATAGTTGTAGGTGTGCGGGCTTATTTCTGGGTTTTCTATTCTGTTCCATTGCCCTATATGTTTTTGTACTAGTGCCATGCTGTATTGGTTACTCTAGCCCTGTAGTATAGTTTGAAATCAGGTAATGTGATGCTTGCAGCTTTGTTCTTATTGCTTAGGTTTGCCTTGCCTATTCAGGCTCAATTTGGTTTCATATGAATTTAAAATAGATTTTTCTAGTTCTGTGAAGAATCTCAGTGGTAGTTTAACAGGTATAGTATTGTATCTATAAATTGCTTTGGGCATGATAGCCATTTTTATGATATTTAATCTTCCTATCCATGAGCATGGAATGTTTCTCCATTTGTTTGTGTCATCTCTGATTTCTTTGAGCAGTGGTTCGTACTTCTCCTTGTAGAAATCTTTCACCTCCCTAATTAGCCATATTCCTAAGTATTTTATTCTTTTTGTGGTGATTGTGAATGGGAGTGCATTTCTGATTTGGCTGTCAGCTTGACTGTTGTTGATGTTGCTTGACTAGTGTTACTAGGGATTTTTGCACATTGATTTTTGTATCCTGAGGCTTTGCTGAATTTATCAGCTTAAGAAACTTCTGGGCTGAGACTATGGGGTTTTCTTGATATAGAATCACTTCATCTGCTAACGGGCATAGTTTTATTTCCTCTCTTCCTATTTGGATGTCCTTTATTTCTTTCTCTTGCCTGATTGTCCTGGACAGGACTTCCAATACCATGTTGAATAGGAGTGGTGAGAGAGGGCATTCTTGTCTTGTGCTGGTTTTCAAGGGGGAATGCTTCCAGTTTTTGCCCATTTAGAACGTGGTTGGCTGTGGGTTTCTCATAGATGGCTCTTACTATTTCTGGCATATTCCTTCAATATCTAGTTTATTTTTTATTTTTTTTTTTTTTTGAGATGGAGTTTCACTCTTGTTGCCCAGGCTGGAGTGCAGGGGCATGATCTCGGCTCACTGCAACCTCTGTCTTCTGGGTTCAAGCGATTCTCCTGCCTCAGCCTCCTGAGTAGCTGGGATTACAGGCATGCGCCACCATGCCCGGCAAATTTTTGTTTTTGTTTTTGTTTTTGTTTTTTTTTGGTAGAGATGGAGTTTCACCATGTTGGCCAGGCTGGTCCTGAACTCCTGACCTCAAATGATCTACCCGCCTTGGCCTCCCAAAGTACTGGGATTACAGGTGTGAGCCACCGCACCCAGCCCAATATCTAGTTTATTGATAGTTTTTAAGACGAAGGGGTATTGAATTTTATCGAAAGCATTTTCTGCATCTATTAAAATAATCCTGAGGTTTTTGCCTTTAGTTCTATTTTTGTAATGAATCATATTTATTGATTTGCATATGTTGAACCAGCCTTGAATCCTGGGGATAAAGCCTACTTCATCATGATGGATAAGCTTTTTGATATACTGCTGGATTCAGTTTGCCAGTATTTTGCTGAGGATTTCTGCAGTGATGTTCATCAAGGATATTGGCCTAAAGTTTTCTTTTTTTGTTGGATCTCTGCCAGGTGTTGGTATCATCAAGGATATTGGCCTAAAGTTTTCTTTTTTTGTTGGTTCTCTGCCAGGTGTTGGTATCAGGATGATGCTGGCCTTGTAGAATGAGTTAGGGAGGTGTCCCTCTTCCTCAGTATTTTGGAATAGTTTAGACAGGAATGGTACCAGCTCTTCTTTGTACATCTGGTAGAATTCAGCTATGAGTCTGTCTGGTGCTGAGATTTTTTGGTTGATAAGCTATTCAATACTGACTCAATTTCAGAGCTTGTTATTAGTCTGTTCAGGGATTCAATTTCTCTTTGGTTTGGTCTTGGGATGGTGTATGTGTCCAGAACTTTATTCATTTCTTCTAGATTTTCTAGTTCATGTGCACAGAGGTGTTCACAATATTCTCTAAGCATACCATTCAGGACATTGGAAAGGGCAAATATTTCATGATGAATTTGTCAAAAGCAATTGCAACAAAAGCAAAAAGTTGACAAATGGCATCTATAAACTAAAGAGTTTCTGCTTAGCAAAAGAAACTATCAAGACAGTGAACAGATAAGTTAGAGAACGGGAGAAATTTTTGCAAACTATGGTCTAATATTCAGCATCTATAAATATCTTAAATATCTTAACTATCTATAAATATCTTAAACAAATTCATAAGATAAAAACAAACAACCCCATTAAAAAGTGAACAAAGGAAATGAACAGACACATTTCAAAAGAAGACATACATGCCCCCAACAATCATGAAAAAAAGTTCAACATCACTGATCATTAGAGAAACAAAAATCAAAACAATGAGATATCACCTCACATCAGTTAGAATGGCTATTACTAAAAAGACAAAAAATAAGAGATGCTGGTGTGGTTTCAGCGAAAAAGGAATGTTTACACACTATTGGTGTAAGTGCAAATTAGTTCAACCATTGTGGAAAACAGTGTGGCGATTCCTCAAAAACAGAAATATGATTCCAACGAGTAATCCAATTACTGGGTATATTCTCAAAGGAATATAAATCATTTTAGTATAAAGACACATGTACATGTATATTCATTGCAGCACTATTCACAATAGCAAAGATATGGAATCAACCTAATTCCCATCAATAATAGACTGGATAAAGAAAATGTTGTACATATACATCATGGAATACTACACAGACATAAAAAAATAATGCAATTATGTCCTTTGCAGGAACATGGATGAAGCTAGAGGCCATTATTCTTAGCAAACTAACACAAGAACAGAAAACCAATTACCATATGTTCTCACTTATAAGTGGGAGCTAATTGATGAGAACACATGGATATATAAAGGGAAACAACACACACTGGGCCCTTTTGGAGGGTGGAGGTTTGGAGGAGAGAGAAAATCAGGAAAAATAACTGATGGTACTAGGCTTAATACCTCAGTGATAAATTAATCTGTACAACAAACCCCCATGACACATGTTTTCCTATATAACAAACCTGCACGTGTATCCCTGAACTTAAAATATAGATGAAAGAAAGAACGAGACAGAGAGAGAGAAAGAAAGGAAAAAAGAAAGAAAAAATCCAAGGTACATTCCATAAATGCAACACATAACCATCTGAAGTTAAAAACTTGATAGATGGGTTCAACAGAAGCCTGAACACATTGGAAGACAGGACTCGTGGTTTCAAACACACATCAATAGAAAATATCCAAACTGAAGAACTGAGAAAAAATAATGGAAGAAGAGTAGATAGACATGTAATCACTCAAAACACTTAATGTATGTGTAATTTGGGTATAACAAGAAGACAAAAGAGACTTAAAAGAAATATTGAGAAAATATTATTAAGAATTTTCTAAATTTGATGAAACATATAAAACCACAGTTTGATCACCTCGGTGAACATGAAATTGAATAACCACAAAAGAAATACAAATAAGTGCATTATAAAAAAATTACTAAAACAAATTCAAATTGAAAATACGTAATAGCACCTAAAGGTATAAAAAGACAAATTATTTAAAACAAATAAAAACAGTAACATTGGAAGTTGGCTTTTCAACAAAAGCTATAAAAGAAAGCAGAAACGTCAATAAAATATTATCCAAAAGCAAAGGCAAAACAAAGAGGTTTTATAAAGAAAGAGAGAGAAATAAAAGCTAGGTGAATTTTACTCTGGCAGATCTGAATTGCAAGAAATACTAAAACTACTTCCTTATGCTAAAGGTGAAGCGTGCCAGATGAAAACACGGAACTGCAAGAAAAGCTGAAAAGTTTGAAAAATGGTGAATAAATGGATAAATATAATCAATATTGATGGATCCAAAAAATAATAAATTATTGTAGAATTTAAAATATATAAAATAAAACATAAGATAATAATAGAACAAATGGTAGAGGGTAATGGTGGAGGGTAATTATACATCATTTGGAAAATGGTTAAGATATTGATTTAAAGATATTTTTAGTAAATGAAAAAGGAATGTTGTAGTCTGTAGAACAGCAACTATCAGCGTAATAAAAATACATACAATGAGAAGCTAAAAAATAGCCAAATTATTCCAAAATTGAACAAATAAAAGGGTTGATTAAAGAAAATAAATGGGATAAATTCTAAAAAATAGCAATTTATTGAACTTAATCCCAACTCAACCAGTAATAAGATGGAAATTAAATGGTTTATCAGCCTGGGCACATGGTAAAACGCTGTCTCTTCTTAGCAGGCGTGCGCGCCTGTAATCCCAGTTACTTGGGAGGCTGAGGCACGAGAATTGCTTGAAGTCGAGAAGCGGAGCTTGCAGTGAGCGGAGATCACACCACTGCACTGCACTCCAGCCTGGGCGACAGAGTGAGACTCTGTCTCAAAAATAATAATAATAAATAAAATAAATGTATAAAAACTATTAAAAACCAAGATTATCATCTTGGATATAGGTAATATATAAATATATACTTATACCACTTTATACATATAGAATATATGTATAAAGCCATATGTATATATATATATAGCCACTAAATATGAGAGCACAATTAGTTAAAAACAGATGGCTAGGCCGGGCGCAGTGGCTCACGCCTGTAAATCCCAACACTTTGGGAGGCCAAGGCGGGCGGATCACGAGGTCAGGAGATGGAGATCATCCTGGCTATCACAGTGAAACCCGGTCTCTACTAAAAATACAAAAAATTAGCCGGGCGTGGTGGCGGGCGCCTGTAGTCCCAGCTACTCCGGAGGCTGAGGCAGGAGAATGGCGTGAATCCGGGAGGCGGAGCTTGCAGTGGACCGAGATGGCGCCACTGCACTCCAGCCTGGGCGACAGAGCGAGACTCTGTCTCAAAACAACAACAACAACAAACAGATGGCTAGAAAGACATATACCATATCAACACTGAAAACGAAACTGGCTGTAGCTTATATTAATATCAAATAAATATTTTAAGACAATAGAATTATGGAATCTAAGAAAAATATTTTCTAGTAATAAATGTCTCAAGTCAATATTAATACATGGAAATCCCATTTTGGTAAGCACCAAAACATATAGAGTAGTAGAAAGAAAATTAAACGGAACTAAAAAGAGAGAAAGAGTAAGAGAGGAGACAAAGAGACTGAGAGAGAGAGAGAGAAATCGCCTCTCTGGAGATTTTAACGAAGGTATATCTCAGTGTCAGATAAAACATGAAAAAAATGGGAAGATTTGAACAATATAATTTGCTAATTTACTTTGATTGATATTTACAGAACATTACACCTATATTTGTAGAAAAAACTTTCGAAGTACATATAGAATATTTTCCAAAGTATTTTCTAACTAGAGACGTAAAGAACACCTCAGCATTTAAAAAGTATTGAAATTGTACAATTTATATTCTCTAGCCACAGCAAAATTAAATTAAAACACATTAGTAGAATGATGACAACTGTGTCTCCTTGCAGATGTTTGGAAATTAAGGAAACTACTACTAATTAACACCACCCCCCTGGACAAAGGAAAGAAAACACAATAGAACATTTTAAATGTCCTAAGCTGAATGATAACGTAAATATGACATACCAAAATTTGTGTAACCTACATACTACAGTCTTCATATGGGAATTTATAGCTTCAAAAATCATGTAGTATAAAAGAAGGAAATTTAAAAATAAATTATCTAAGCTAGAAAAAGAACAACAAATTAAAGCCAAACTAAAAACTAATAAAGAATAATATGTTAAAACGAGCAAATATCAAAGAAAAAAATAGTGATACAAAAGAAAAATTAATAAAGCCAAATGGTGACTCTTCCAAACGATTAA
Organism: Homo sapiens; assembly: GCF_000001405.40. Classification (NCBI taxonomy): domain Eukaryota; kingdom Metazoa; phylum Chordata; class Mammalia; order Primates; family Hominidae; genus Homo; species Homo sapiens. The sequence continues at coordinate 104,288,064 of NC_000005.10, read as the reverse complement.
TAAAGGAGGTAAACACCTAGCATAAGAGATCAAGAATAAATGAAAATTTATAGACTACCAGTGTCAAGAATAAAAAAGAGAATGTCATTATTTTTACTATAAATACTAAAAATGTAATAACACGATATTATGTATGATTTTATGGCAATAAAATTTTAACAAAACAGACAAATTTCTTATAATTTACCAATACTGACACAAAAATAAATATAAAATCTGAATAATCCTGTATCTATAAGAGAAAACGTATCAATATATACAATTCTTTCAAAAAAAAAAAAAGAACTGGGTCATATGGTTTGCCAGACATAAGTTTAACATACAAAAATCTGTTATATATATTAAGTATATAGAGCATTATCTATCTTAACAATAAGCAAGAAAAAATGAAATACAATGATAGTTACTCAAAAACATATAAAATATCTGGAAATTATATAATGATTAATTAATCACTGATGCATTCTTTAAAATATTGAGATAATCAATTATAACAAGTGTTCCAAGAAGTTGTTCATAAAATAAAATGACAAGCAACATTTTATATCTTATTTTATATAACCAATATAGTGCTGATATCAAAATATGACAAGGACCTTAGAAGAAAAGAAAATTGGAGACCAGATATTTCCATGAACATTGACACAAATATTGTAAAAAAAATAAAGTTAGCAAATTTAATGCAGTGATATATCAAATCGTTAATGCCTGATAATGAAGTAATGAAGTGGCCAATCAGTCCATTTAATTCATCAGAGCGACAGAAATAAATATAACACCAAAAAATGCAGAAAAATAACTCGTTAAAATTTAACACTATTTAATGATTAAAAAGATATTCTCGTGAAACTAGTAACAGAATGAGAGTTTTTTAATGTGACTAATATAATCTGCCAAAAATACCTGTGTCTAATATAATTGTTGAAAGATAAAATGTTGACTCCTTTCTCATTAAGGTTAAAATTAAATCCACTACCAACACTACTATTCAAATTTTACTGAATGTTCAAGCCATTGAAATAAAATGAAAATAGACTAATTATAATTGCAAAAATGATTTTATATTAGATGACATAAATTGTACATGAAGAATAAGATTATATCTAAATGTAAATAAATTACTGACAAGAAGTAAATTTAGGAAGTTTGCCAGACATAAGGTTAACTTACAAAAAATCTGTAATATATATTCAGAATATAAAGTATTATATATCTTAACAATAAGCAAGAAAAAGGAAATAAAAATGTTAGTTACACTTATTCACAAACATAAAATATCTGGAAATTATATAACAAAAGTAAGCAATACCTTGAAACTGGAAACTACTGAGAATTACTGAGAGAAATTTAAGACAAAAATCAATGGGCAGCGAATCAATATTAGTGGATTGGAAAACTGGGTATTTCATGAGGTCAGTTCTCTCCAAATTGATATATAGATTCAACACAATACTAGAAGCCTTTTTATTTATATTGACAAGCAAATTATAAAATCTACATAGAAATGCAAAGCATCTTGAATATCTAAAGCAATATCAAAAAAAGAACACAAAGGTAAAGGGCTTTCACTATCATAGTTCAAGACATTCACAGTAATTTTGAAAGTGTGATTTTGACCCCAGGGGCTGAAAAATTTTGTCAATGTAATATATATCTAATTCCATGCAAATACTTCAGTGAAATTTGTTGGCAAAGATGATCTTTTTAATAAATTAGCGGAAGGAAATAAACTTCAAGTTCTGCTTTGTATTATTAACACAAATATTAATTAAAGATAGATTAAAAGACAAATGCGAAAAGCAAAACAGTCTTCTAGAATACAACACTGTGGATTTCATGGTTTAGTAAAGGCAGAGGCTTACCATACAGAACCCTATAATCAACAGCCATTAAATAAAAGATTGATGAACTTTACTAAAGCAATGTTTTAAACTTAATTACTTTTGTTAACTGAAAGTAGGGTGATCAACTGTTCCAGGGGTTCCCAGGATGTGGGACTTTTGGTGCTAGCATTTGGACAGTCTCAGGCAAATCTTGATAGATTTTCACCCTATTTTCAGATCACCCTACTTTCAGAAAATATTAATAAATTTGTGATTCTTTCACCCAAAAGAGTAGGATAGAAATGATGTTATAGGACTTTAAAAGCTAGATCTTAAAAGGTGTTTCAATCTTGCTCTTGGGAAATTTAGCACTGGAGCCCTAAGCTGCTGTGGAAGCAGTCTGACTGCCTTCGAGCCACCATTCTAAGAGAAAGCCCAGATTAGTCCACCTGGAGAGATCACATGGACAAATGTTTAAACTACATAAAAAAGATGTCCAGCAAGCCCCTAGCTTCTCCAGCAACCTACTGTTCCAACCCCATCAGCCATCTGACTGCAATTTCAAGAGAGACATGAAGCCAGAACTGTTCTGCAGGACATTTCCAAATCCCTGACCCACAGAAACTGTGAGAAATAATAAAATGAGTGTTATAGCTTTAAGCAGCTCAGTTTTGGAGTGAATTTTTATGCAGCAACAGTAACCAGGACAGTAACCAATTTTTCAAGAGTTCATATATTTTTATATTTATCTTAGTCAAGCCTCATTTTTGTCCAAAGTACATACTAAATGAAAAAGCTAAGAAAAATAGGTATACTATGATACCATTTTGTGTGTGTGTGTGTGTGTGTGTGTGTGTGTGTGTGTGTGTAGGAGTGAATAAAATTTTGATAGAATCTCTGACCAAGACAATAATTTTTACTGTATGTATTTATATATTGTTTAACTTTAAAATATATTTCCATGTATTATTGTACAATTTCAAATGCCCTTATTTTTAGTAAGAAAATCTATTGGGGCAAACTGGAATATGAAAGTTAAATAGGAATATCTTTATCTATGGGAGGGCTTTACAAGGAAAACCTAAAATATAGTTTTCATTTTGAAGATAACATTTTATTGATTCTATAGTGGAAGTAGAATAATGAATGTACTTTTTAAAATTTTATTATTTTGATTTTTCTTTGCTTATAATCAGTACCAATTAAATGGTTCAGGTTATTAAGCTAAGCAATGACTTAAGCAATCAGAAATATAATGTATCTCATCACTTTATTGATTCTCAGTTCATGAGTACAGATGTTAAACATTAAAACATAACTTTATTAACGAAGGTTTATTTTCTTTAAAAATGATGCACAGTTTTCAATGTAAAGAAATATTTAAGTAGAAAGTAAAAGTACAGTATATTGTAGATTTTTAAATGCGTCTCTCCAAGATCCTGCTCCATCAATATTAACCATAATAATTTATAGAATTCATTGTTAGATTCACATGTAATGCTTTAACTCTAATGTGTTTTAGTAGTGTTTTAATAACATCTGCACTTTAAGACTATTCTTAAAATGTAATTTACATGATGTTCACTAAAATGTCTGTGTTTGCTTGTGAGATACGATAGAGAATGATTACCTCCACATGTTCACCAAATTCTATTTATAGCTTTCATTACTGCCTTTCACTTTTGTGTTAAATACGAAAGCAGAGTGGCAGCTTTGCGATAAAAATGAATTGTGTAGAAATGAGGTGATAACCCAACAAAGCTATCGAGTTATACAATGACTATTTTTGGAGGAAGAGGAGCCTTAAACTACCCATAAGGAAACAATAATTAAGGTAATGTTGGAAATATAAGCCTTTGGAAACTTTTGATTATGCATCAGAACATTCATGAGATTGTCTGAATAAATTGAAAATATTTATCATGGTTTCATATCCTCATCTTTGTACAATTCCCAAGTTGTAGAAATCAAGAGAGAAAAACAATAAACTACGACTTCAAGTAATTTATGCTCGCCTAAATATTTTAACTATTTTATAGCTTATATGGAATGTCTAACCCTTCACTTAAAACAGAACATAGATCGCTTAGAACAATAGCACAATAATCATACTTTGCAGGTGTAAGTTTAAACAGTAAATTAATTGCTTCTTTCTCTTTTGTATTCTATTTCATTGGCAGAGCTAACTCTAAAATGAACTGGACTTTCATTGTCTACCTAGAAAAAGAGAGCAAAAATAATTTACTGACTGCCGATGCTATAAATGGACAGAAAAAAATAATTCCTTTTATTATCTCAAAGATTTTTATAGAGTTAATAAATTAACAAATTGCACTATTGTTTTAACATTTCCTTTATATATGAACCTGCATATTTATTCTGTTAATATGATCAATTCATAGCTCCTTAAAAGAAAGTTCTGGAAATAGATTTTATCATAATGTTCAAGATAATTTTATAGGAAAAAAAGAAATTTATTGACCAATAGTACATAAATATGTAAAAAAAGTTCTTCAGTCCAAGAACTATAAAATGATAAACCACCAGAATCAATTTATATTCTACCAGTAAGAAAAAAAAGGAGATAGAGAAAACAAGAGCTCTTTGTTACACCTTCTGCTTTACAGCAAAACCTAAAAACACCTGAAGACTCAAATAAAAGTGATCCCTCTTGATATTTTTGTTGTTTTTCTTAAGTGTAACCCAGCTTCATCCTACTGAGACTTTCTCCTCTCTAACTTCAGTTTTACTCTCCATGCTTATTTTCTTATCTCTTATAAAGTATTATACAAAGTCTCAGAGCTATTAGGACTCAGGATTAGTTTTCAAGACAAGCTTTGCTTATAAGAAACAGCTGTCAGAAGTGACAAGATACAATTGTTAAGATGTATGAAATAAAGGCTAAATAAATGTCTGTGTGTAAAGTGATATTTTCCTGCTGTGTCTAAACACACCACTTTCTCTTCATTCATATTGCTGGACTCAATGTGTCACCCATATCTTTCTTATTAAAATGAACTATCAGTGTAATGTTGCACGTCATCAGTGAAATCCAGCTGAAATTACCTACACTACTGAAGACAAAGGGTTGAGAAACTTTATGATTTTAGTGTTACTAAGGAATAAACAGTGATCATTTTACTGGATGAACATATTGTGTTGGTTTTTATATGGGGAGGGACATAAAACTATTTTTCAATGTGTAGGGACTTAACACCTAAATAGTAAAAACTCTATATTCCTGTTTGAAATAGTCACAGAGTATAAAACCTAAATATAAATCAGTAAAAGTGATTGATAAATAGAAAAGGTTAAAAATAAAAATTTGAGGACAAAACAGTACAAGCTAAAGGAGCTCAAATGGAACCCCTGCCACTATTGTAAGGAAACCTAAAATGATAGGCAAAGTGATATGGAAGAACATAAAGAAATGACAAAATAACATAAGACTCAGAAAACAGTTTTCTAGAGCCCAGGCCTCAGCAGATTAAGTCCTTGAAAAACAGTTCCAGTTATACATGAAGACAATTACAGACAAATCCTCAACAAAATACTACCTAACAGAATCCAACAGCATATCCAAAAGATAATCCACCATAAACAAGCGGTTTCACACAAGGGATGCAGCGATGATTTAACATACACAATTCAATAAATGTAATGCATTAACAAAAACAAAAATCATATGACCATCTCAATAGACACAGAAGAAGCATTTGATAAAATCTAGCATCCATTTATGATAAAAAACTTTCAATAAAATAGATGTAGAAGGAACTTACCTTAAAGTAATAAAACAAATATAATACATTAACAAAAACAAAAATCATATGACCATCTCAATAGACACAGAAGAAGCATTTGATAAAATCCAGCATTCATTTATGATAAAAACCTTCAATAAAATAGATGTAGAAGGAACTTACCTTAAAGTAATAAAACCAATATAATACAAAACCACATCCAACATCATACTTAATGGGGAAAAGCTGAAAGCATTTGCCCTGAGAACTGAAACAAGACAAGGATACCCACTTTCACCACTTCTATTAAACATACTCCTGGAAGTCCTGGCCAGAACAATCAGACAAGAGAAAGAAATAAAGGGCATCCAAATTGGAAAAGAGGAAGTCAAAGACAAACTGTCTGTTTGTTGATGATATGATTGTATATCTAGAAAACCCTAAAGACTCATCCACAAAGCTCCTAGATCTGATAAACAAATTTAGTAAAGTTTTAGGATACAAAATCAAAGTACACAAATCAGTAGCACTGCTATACAACAACAACAACCTAGCTGAGAATCAAGTAAAGAACTCAATCCTTTTTGCAACAGTTGCAAAAAATAAGATAAAATAAAATAAAATGAAATACTTAGGAATATACTTAATCAAGGAGGTAAAAGATCTCTACAAGGAAAACTACAAAACACTGCTGAAAGAAATCATATATAAAACAAATGAATGGAAACACATCCCATGCTCATAAATGGGTAGAATCAATATTGTGAAAATGACCATATTGCCCAAAGCAATCTACAGATTCAATGCAATTCCCATCAAAATACCATAATCATTCTTCACAGAACTAGAAAAAACATTCCTAAAATTCACGTGGAATCAAAAAAGAGACTGTATAGCCAAAGTGAGACTGAGCAACAAAAACAAATCTGGAGTTGGAACAAATCCAACTTCAAATTATACTACAAAGCTATAGTCACCAATCAGCATGGTAATGGTATAAAAATAGGCACTTAGACCAATGGAACAGAATAGCAAATCCAGAAATAAAGCCAAATACTTACAGCCAGCTGACCTTCAACAAAGCATACTAAAATGTAAATTGAGGAAATGACACCTTATTCAATAAATGGTGCTGGGAAAACTGGCAAGCCACATGTAGAAGAATGAAACTGGATCTCCATCTCTCATAAAGAAAATCAACTCAAGAGACATCAAAGACTACCTATCAGGCCTATGTCATGTCCTGAAATCATAAAAGTTCTAGAAGAGAGTATCAGAAAAATTCTTCTAGACATTGCCTTAGGCAAATATATCATGACTAAGACCCCAAAAGCAAATATAACAAAAACAAAATAAATGGGACCTAAATATACTAAAAAGCTCCTGCACAGCAAAAGACATAATCAGCAGAGTAAACAGACAACCCACAGAGTCGGATAAAATATTGACAAATTATGCATCTGATAAAGGACTAGTAATCTACAAGGAATTCAAAGAAATTAGCAAAAAAAAAAAAAAATCCTATCAAAAAGTGGACAAAGGAGATGAATAGACAATTCTCAAAACAAGACATACAAACAGCCAACAAACATATGAAAAAATGCTCAACATCACTAATAATCGGAAAATGGAAATTAAAACCACAGTGTGATACCTCCTTACTCCTGGCAGAATGGCCATAATGAAAAAGTCAAAAAACAATAGCTGTTGGCATGGATGTGGTGAAAAGGGGACACTTTTACATGGCTGGTGAGAATGTAAACTAGTACAACCTCTGTGGAAAACATTATGAGGATTCCTTAAAGAACTAAAAGTAGAACTACTGTTCAATCCAACAATCCCATAGGAAAAGAAGTCATTATATGAAAAAGACACATGCACATACATGTTTATAGCAGCATAAATCACAATTGCAATGATATGGAACCAACCTAAGTGCCCATCAATCAACAAATATACAAAGAAAATGTGGTAAATATACACCATGGAATACTACACAGCCGTAAGAAGGGAAGAAATAAAGTCTTTTGCAGCAACATGAATGGAGCTGGAGGCCATTATTCTAAGTGAAGTAACTCAGGAATGAAAAACCAAATATTATATGTTCTCATTTATAAGTGGGAGCTAAGCTGTGAGGATCCAAAGGCATAAGAATGATATAATGGACATTGTGGACTTGGTGGGGGAAGGTTGTGAGGGGCATGAGGGATAAAAGACTACATATTGTGTACAGTGTACAATGCTCTGGTGACCAGTGCACCAAAATCTCAGAAATCACCACTAAAAAACTCATCCATGTAACCAAAAACCACCTGTACCCTAAAACAATTGAAATAAAAATAATTATTTAAAAAAAAGTAAAATGAGAGACAGGTGGACAAATTCACAAACAGTTTTAGACTAGAACGCAAAGACTGGGTGGCCCAGGGACCACAGCTTTCACAGTAGAGGTAACATCCATGGCAAACAAGGACTATCCAGGGCTGGAGATAAAGACCCTTTCCATTAGCAATGGTGGGAAGAGACGGACCTACCTGGCAGGGTCTTCCTGACGTGAAATAAGTGTTCCTTCTGCTTAGAAAATATAGAATAAAGTAGGGCAAACTTAAGGGCAAGGGGTCCTTGTGAAATTGGGGAGAATGTTCCCAAGACTACTTAGTAAACAATCTATTTGTTCTCTTGCATCAGATCTGCACTTCCAGAGAGACAAAGTTTGGACGGGTAACTCTTAATAAAGAAACACAGCTACATTCCAAGTGTAATAGTTTCTATTTTCATAATATATCTATCTACTATCTTGAGACCATGGCCAGTTTTCCTAGATTCGCTGTGTCATGTCATATAGGGTTAGTATGAGGGTTAATTTAGTGTATATATGTATTATTTCAAAAGTGTGTGGCACATAAAAAAATCTCTGTTACTGCTACAATTATTACCATTGATATCCCTATATTAATTGATAGCTATTTTACTTTCCAAATGTCTTCTCTTCTAAATTACCAACCACAACTAAACATTTATCTGTCTTACTTAAGAGAGTGTTCTGAAAAGTTGGAAAATTTGGATTTGTAGATTAACTTATTATTATGGTTCAAACTGAGAAAATTGGGGTATGTGTACAAAGGTTTCATCTATTCATGATATCTGATACTTCCGCTCCTTTGTAAGCCAGAATACAGTCATAGGAATGTTAGGGAAGAATACTAACCTTTAGAGAATAAGCTGCAAGTTCAGTTTGATTTAAGTAGAAATTGAAATAGATTCTCTCTATTAGTAAGAATATTGAGTACCAGGAGAAGTTGGAGTGCCATAATTAAAGGGTGTCACTGCTCAACTGCTTTCGACCTTATCTCTGATCCACTGAGCTTTCAGACAGGAATAGCTGGACCAATGGAAACAAACTACCCATGTGTAGTGTATTTTAGTTCACCATAAGTTGTTAGGACAGAATAAAAGCAAGTTAATATTCTTTAATTGAAGTTAAGAGTTTCCTATTTGTTACAGGAACTGTTGGCTGCCTGAATAATTTCCTCATCTTTTATTTACTAATAGAACCCTCCCTTCCAAGGGGTAATCACAACAAGGTAACTACATTCATTTTGACAATGATGGACTTTGGAATTCTGTTAAGCAAGAAATGAATGTGGATAATCTTATGGAGGAGATTCTGAGACTTTTACCTCCTCAGTTAAAAAGACTTTTATTAATTTTGTTGTTGTTTATCAGATGTACTCATTAAAAATACCTGCTATTTGAAAAAATTGCAAGTGTCATTTGAGTACTGTGATGTCTGTTTTAAAAATGGAAACACATTCTGAGAAACGCCTTCTTAGGCAATATTCTCATTGTATGAACATCTTAGAGTATATTTACTCAAACCTAGATGGTATCGTGTACTAGACACCTAGGCTGTATGGTATAAACTACAAATGGTATAACCTTACAAATGCAGGCACACAATAAATGAAGGTTCTTTCTTCTAGTTTTGAATATTCTTGTGTGATCAGGTGATGCTGGAAATGGCAGCAATCATTCTGCAACTATGAGAGGGCAAGCCTGAGGGCTAACGCCGGAATGCAGAGGATAGCAAACTAGAAACACAGAAAGATGGAAAAATAAAAGTTCTGTGCAAAAACTTTAATTATATTTTTTTCAAAACTCATATCCAGTCTGTCAAGAAACCATGATGACTCTTCCTTCCAACTATATGCAGCATCTGACAGTTTCTCACTGCCTCCACAGCTACCATCCTAGCATAAGCCACCATTATCTCCTGTAAGACAATCTTTATAATTCCCTTCTATCTGATCTTTGATTTATACCCTAGTTCCCTTTAAATCTAACCTCAACTCAACATCCGCCGTGGTTTTATTGACAAATAAGTCAAATTTTGTTATTGCTTTACTCAAAACTCTACAGTGGTTCCTCTTGTCATTCAAAATAAAAGACAAATCTCTTGGAAGAGTTTACAAGACCCTACCTTATCTCCCCAAACTATGTTATCTTTCTAATTTCCTCTACCACTGTTTTTCTCATTGTTTATTCTCTCTTAGCAACAGCGACCATTTTTATTATCCGTGAATATTTCAGGCATTAATAATCTGCAGAAAAATGTACCCATGCAAAATAAATTTTAAAATAATAAATGAATAAGTAGTAAGTTCTTTAGAAATCGCACTTTCCCCTCTGGAAATCTTCGCCAATAAATGCTAAAACCAGTGGGAGTAACATCACTGGAGAACAGAATATTCACAAGTTTTCAAACTATCCACAGAGTTTTTAAAAAAAATAGCTATTAAGGAAAATTTCCTTTTATAAGTGAGAAACATAAATGTGATAGGGGAAAATGGTTGAATGTAGTTATCAGTTGCATTAAAATGATACTTGTTGTACTTCTTTCTTGTTTTGAATATTATTTTCTCCATTGTCTAGATGTATAACTCAATATCATCAATATCATTTACCCTGTTTTTCAAGCTCCCAAAACAAAATTCCATTTATGCAAGTGAAATAAAGGACAATATATACATTATTCAGCATTTTTCAAATAACAGATACTTTTTTTATTCTATACACAATACAATTTTTTTAATAAAGTCCCAAATCACTTTTTAACTCTGTTGCTATCCAGGGGTTCTACTCTCTGGCAATTCTGTCCTTGAGCAGTGCTCCACTGGCCTCTCTGTCCTATATTGTTAAATCCCTTTTTTCTTCCTCAAGACTTTCTTCACCTGCTGCTCTGACTAGCACAATCCCTTGGTGTTTCTACCCCAGGAAAGGAATTTACACACGACTGGTAAAAGACACAAAACGTTCTCCATGTGGTTATTTTTTTTTTTAATAATTGTGATGTGAAATGTTGAATATCTTCATGTACTAGAAAAGATTTAGCATGTAAATTGTGCAATTGTCAGAAACGGCTATTTTTACTTTCTACAAAGAAGTTTATTTGGTAGTATCTATCAAGAAATTCAGATAAAAAGACAGGAGTACCATACCAGTACAATTTGGAAGAGCCTATCTTGAGGGTGACATATATTTCACTGGAATTATAAAAGTGAACTTTATATATCTGGCCCATAGTATACTATACAGTAAAATGATTTTTAAGAGAATTTCTACTATTTATTTTTTTTCTGAAAATGTGGATTTTCACGCAGAATAGCACATCAAATTGGACCGTACCTATAGCTAAGTATATAAAAGGTGGGAACAATGGAAAAGGTACAGAGAAGAGTCTCCTCTTCTGGGATCATATCCTGGTGCTTTGGCCCCTGTACCGTCCTACAATATTCCACCTACCATAGGAATCTGTGCTTATGATGTTTGTTCTTTCAAAGCTTTCTATGAACAGCTCTTCCTTTACGTCTTTCATGATAGGACCTTTTACAACCTTTCCAGGAACAGCTAAATAAATGAAAAGTTTTTCATTTCTTCTTTGGTCTGCAAAAATAGCTTTTGTTGATGATGAAAAGTGCAACCTCCCAAATTTTTCATTTTTCCATGAAGCAAAAGGTTTACTTTCTGAAGGTTTTCACAAGTACTATGAATCACTGTATTTATCTTCCCTCTGGATGTTGAAAAATGGGTGGCAATTTAAGCCCAGGCCTTGCATGTTTCTCAGAATATGCAGCCATGATCCTGTCCAGATTTGCTTATTTCGATTAGTCTCTAATTTTATTTTTATCAAAAAAGAACTTAATTGCAGTTACAATTGTATATTCTTTTTGTCAAAACAAAACAATGGAAAATATAGCTTAGCAAATCATTCAAACCTAGTCTTCAGATAGGAAAAACCTAATAGCTGCCTAATAGAAGCCTATTATTTAAAAATGCTAAACTATACCTCCAATTTTTCAAAATACTATCTTTTATGTTTAAGAAAATTGATGTTCAATAATTCATTCTCAACCAGTAAAATAATTACATATAACAGTGAGGTTTTTCAAATAGATATTTCCTTTTAAAATATCAGGATAATATCATAAAATAGGTTCACATCTCAATAATTTATTGCAATTTCACTGATATACTGGTAATTTTCTGAAATGTCATTGGAGGTGCAGAGTCTTAAAAAAGGGAAAACAACAATATGAATGAGCCTTTTCATTTTGATGTTCCACAAATAGAAGTCTTTGAAATATTTAATATTATTGCCATTCATTATTAGCTCCTAATGTATATCTTTAAAATGATGGGTTGTTGGTTAAGAAATTGAAATAATTGCTTAAGCCTGTACTTCTGGGAAAAAAGGTTATAATTGTTATAAAGTGTGCATACATTCATAAATCTATTTATAATACATGTTTTCAGGTGAGTGTTAAATAAATATTTTAAAAATAGATTCCATGCACAAATATGCATGCCCTAATAAGTGAGAATAAGTAGCACATTAAATCATTAAATTGTTTATACTCAAATTATACAGGGAAATAAAAAGCTGTTCATGTTCTGCTTGAACAGATTTGTAGGCCTATGCAAGTGTTATCTGACCTTAGTTTCTTTTAGAAAATAAGAATATTTAAAACTAAAACACTGTGAAAGGCAATCACAAATTCAATTAATTGAGTGACTAAAGTGAAGAAATTATACATTAGGTAACCTAGTTTTAAAAAGTTAATGTAAACCAAAGCCTGACTATTTGACCACTAATGTTTGCTGGTGAAAACAGGCCATAATATGGTAGGGTGTAGTATATGTACACACAAATACATGGGTAAGATGTGTAAACAAATATGTTGAAATTCATGATCAGACAACTATTGCTCTATATTAGGCTAAATATGCTGTTATTCATTTTAAGTCACATTTTAAAAAATAAAGTTATTGAATAATAAATGGTTTATCCACGAATGCAATAACAAATTCCATTTTTTTTATTATCCTACTTACTAAAATAGTTTAACCTCAGAGTCTACTTGAAGAGTGAACATCCATATTTGTTTTAAATCACCATCTTTGGAAAGGCGTCAGGCTTTACTATTTTAAGGCAAAGGCAATTTAAAATAGTTACTAATTTTAATATGATATCCCGATGGAACCAGACATTATAATGTCAGATCTTTTCCTGTCTTTGTCAACCACACACATACACACACACATACACATACACACACACATATACATACACACACACATACACATACACACACACACACTCATACACACACACCCAAACTAATTTTGTATGATTTTTCAGTTCTAGTTAGAGCCTTTGTCCCAGGGCCTTGTTAATCTTGTATCCCATTCCTGCCCTGTTACAATTTAAAGATTGTCACAAGAAGGATAAATTTCATGCCATTTTCTGTTCTCATTACAATCTTCAGATTGTTATGAGAACGGATTAATTTTGCTCAATTTTCTGCGCTCATTACAGACTGTTATGAGAATGGATTAATTTTATGACATTTTCTTCTTTCATTATAATCTTTGTTATGGGAATGAGAATATGTAATGAGAATGAGAGCATATCAGGCATTAAAAGGTCTGTGAGAGCTCATGACAAAGATTGTAACAAGAAGAGGAAACGGCACCCAATCCATTCTTGTGACAATTTTAAGATTGCCAAGCGAACCCAGAGTGACACTGTATTTATTCACTCTGAAGACAAAGATTGTTGAGAAAATGGGAATGAGAGCAAAATTAATCAGTTCTCCTGACAATCTTGAGATTGTATTTAAGCTTACAGTATTTTTTTCTGTGATACAGTACTTACATGAAAACATGTGCATCACAATTAAATGTTATTTACTGAAAAAAATCATTTCTATATTTTATTTTGTTTTACTCTCTCCTGTCTCCCTCTTCTTTCTTTCTTTTTGGTTATGTTTGATGCATATTATGGCCAATATTATATAAACATTATTGCATTTAAATGGAAATTCGTATCAAACTAAAATATCAATTAAAAACAAAAGAAAATAATACAAAAAAACCCATACACAATTAAATAAGAGGCAGGGTAGATCTCTTATCAACCATTGATATTTTACTTCAAATCATCTATTTAACTCAATCGTCTTCAAATTCCCAAAAAGATAAAACAATGTTGCTTTTGCAAAAGTTACTTGTCAACATAATGACATCATCCTATGTCAACAGGTGTATTCTATTTAATAATTTTATTTATTAATAAATACTTCTCTGCTTTTTAATATGATTTTCCTAAACTTAAAGGTATGTTTACTGCTGTGTATAAATAACATTAATGTTCTTTTTTCAAGAGAAATTATCTGGTAGTTTTAATATACCTTTGTTTCTCTTCATTCTATTAGGAAGTCCTCAGTTAAAAAGACTTTTATTAATTTTGTTGTTGTTTATCAGATGTACTCATTAAAAATACCTGCTATATGAAAAAAATGCAACTGTCATTTGAGTACTGTGATGTCTGTCTTAAAAATGGAGATACATTCTGAGAAATGCCTTCTTAGGCAATATTCTTATTGTGTGAACATCATAGAGTACATTTACACAAACCTAGATGGTATTGTATACTAGACACCTAGGCTGTATGGTATAACCTATTGTTCCTAGGCTAGGAACCTGTGCAACATGTTACTATACTAAATACTGGAGGCAATTGAAACATAAAGGTATGCATTTGTGTATCTAAACTTATCTAAACATAGAAAATATATAGTAAGAATAGGCAGAAACTATTTTTTAAATGGCACATCTGTATAGGGCACTTAGCATCTATGGAGCTTGCAGGACTGAGTGTTTCCCTCGGTGAGTCACTGAGTGAGTGGTGAATGAACGTGGAGACCTAGGCCATTACAGTACACTGCTGTAGACTTTAACACGTCACACATAGACAACACTAAATTTCTTTAAAAACATTTTTCTTCCTTCAGTAATAATTAACTTTAGCTTACTATAACTTTTTTACGTTTTAACTTTAAAATTTTTTAACTTTTTGACTTGTAATAGCTTAAGATACAAACACATTGTACAGCTGTACAGAAATTGTTTCTTTTTACTTTTATTCTATAAATTTTTCCCTATTTTTAAAATTTTATTGTTTATATTTTTGTGTTAAAAACTAAGACACAAACACACACATTAGTTTAGGCCTACACAGGGTCAGGATCATCTAGATGGTAATATAATTTTATGGGACCACCCTGGTACATGCTGTTTGTCCTTAGCCAAAGCATTATGCAGTGAATGACTACATGTACATACATGTACATATAGAGTATATGTATATATATGTGTGTGTGTGTATATATATGTATATATATAAAATACATCTGTATCCACAGTTTCACATCCACAGATTCAACCCATCAAAAATCAAAAATATTCAAAATATAAAAAATAAAAATACAATACAAACTATAAAATTAAATAACAATACAGTATAACAGCTATTTTCCTAGCATTTACACATTTACATTGCATTAGAGATATGTGGAACCTATATGCAAATACTGCACCATTTTAAATAAGAGGCTTGAGCATCATTGGATTTGGAATCCACAGGGAATCCTTGAACCAACCCCCACTGATGTCAAGGGATGATATATACAGGGAGAAAGAGAGTAAGGTGTATTTCTGGGTTCAACAGTTCCAGGAGACTCTGTAATACCTTCACTGATATGCAACCTATTTTTACCAGGTGCCTTAATCATTTATGTTTTCCCAAAACCACTAGCTGCTTCTTTAAACACTCAAAATTCTTATTACTAAATTGTCTTCACACCTGAAGGCAGACATTACTTTTTTCCATTTCTTTCCTATTACTCTATGAAACTATCATCTTTTGTACTCTCAACTCACTAGTTGTGTCGCACTTTAGTCAGTATTTTTTTAACATTTACAGCAGATGTTCTCCAAGAATGTGTGTGTGTGTGTGAATGTTTGTGTGTGTATTATAGTTTTCAATATTGATGCTGTATTATAGTTTTCAATATTGTATATCAAATGGCACTCAAAAAAATTAGTGAGTATGGCATGATCTCATCTTTATACAATGATACCATTATATTGTTGATGCCTGTAGTATTATATCTTTAAAATGATAGGATAAAATATTCAATAATATCACACAATTCACTTTGTCACTATTTCAGGATTATATATCTGATATTATATACATATTTTATGTCCTGACTTCTTAATCTGTTATGCCCAGGAGTAAAATTCTCACATAATTCTGAGATCATTAACCCTGAGATCATTAAAGCCATGTCTCTTATTTCAAATCATTCTGTTCATTGTCATATCTGATGAACATCATGGATACTAATGTATACTAAGTGGTTGCAAAAAATAAATATTTAGCATTGATAAAAATTTGATATTACACCCAACAAAACTTCCTGGTCACATATCAAAATATGAATCAATGAGTTATATTGATGAATGAGTCTCATTTATAGTATGAGTGCAACCTTAAAGATCTCTTCCATTATCAGTTCACTTTATCCTAATTCTTTTCTTATTTCTTATGGCACAAAATCCTTAGCCTCTTTCTTCTATAGT
This sequence comes from Homo sapiens, assembly GCF_000001405.40. Classification (NCBI taxonomy): domain Eukaryota; kingdom Metazoa; phylum Chordata; class Mammalia; order Primates; family Hominidae; genus Homo; species Homo sapiens. The sequence goes on along the minus strand of NC_000005.10, from coordinate 104,271,512 downwards.
TAGGACTTCCATTTTTAATAAATTTCATGCCCATTCATCTGTGTATATTTGTGTGCATATGTAATATGGTCATGAGCAATATTTTCTAGAATTGACTCAGCTTTGAGTACAGCAATATCAATCCACTTCAACAGTCTGAGATTTTTTTCTAAAGGCTTCATTTTCTTGCAGTGGCATTATCAAACCAGTTAATTACTAATATGGTTTGAGGTGAAGTAGAAATAGCATCTGATAAGTAAAAGAAGTAGTCACAGTGTATGTGCTGTGAGAGAAAGGGACATTCCTATCTGCTCCCTTAAAAAAAAATGGACCCGGTGTAATAATTTAACCCATTTGGTTGACTCAAGTTCTTAACCCAAATCATATTCCACTTTGAGGATTAAGGAACCAACTTAAATTGGTCTCAGAGACTCTTGTAAATTCATCCATTCCACTGTTGCTAGAACTATTTATTTAAAATGCAGAGTTTGACTACATCTCTCTGCTGCTTGCCTGCTACCCATCATCCAGAAAATAAAGTCAGAGCATCTTAACAGGACATTCAAGGTCCTCGGTGACTGACCTTTGCCTGAATCTCCAGACCTTTTCAGTTGTGCTCTTCATCTCATGCTTTTAGCTATAGACCACCCACTGAATTATTTCTTACCTCTCTGCATTTGCTCATGCTAATAGCCCCTCGGTTTTGAACATTCCTCCAAGTCAGACACCCTGATTAATGTCTCCGTGTCTCCATATCCTTTGTGACATAGCTTGTCATTGCTTCCTCTAGAAAGGGTGAGGAAACCGGGGCACTTAAAGTGCTCCTCTTTGATGTTGCTACATACCTAGCGAAGCTCTCCATTGCTGTCTTGTGTGTAAGTATGTGTGTATCATTCTTCTCTTGTGTCCCATTCCAAACTCTTTGTTGAGAATTTTCCTTAATTTAATTAGTGTCCTAAGCACTAATCAGCATATTGCTGATTCACAGTTGACTCCCAAGAGAAATATTTATAAACAACTGACCAAGGATTCGTTCCTACAGCAAGGTAACATTTAAAGTTATGATTTCTTAAATATTACACTTCAACAGCTAGCCTAGCAGTTGCTAATATTTACTGACTTCCTACTATGTATCATTCAATCAAGTAAAGCGATTCATGTCTGCTACCTAATTACATCCTCACAACAACCCTGAGAGTTAAGTGTTATTGTAATCCTCATTTACAGTTAAGGCAATTGAGGATTAACAAGATTAGGTACATTTCCTAAAATTACAAAATTCAATGGTGGAGCCAGCTACTGAACTCATATCTGTGTAGATGAAGAATGCACATGCTGAAACATTGTATGTATTATCATTTGTAGATATATTATTCTCTTTTTTTGAGAGGCAGTTTTTACATAAGGAAGAATTATATATATATATATATAAATCAGTGCATTTTTAGTATTATATATTCAATATTATATAACAGTACAAATATATTTTTATTTGTATGTATATTATTTATATGTACACATAAATATATATCTAGATAGAGAGATCAGTACATTTAAAATATTTTAGGAAGAGCTGAAATTTTAAACTGCTACTTTTCTCCAGTATTCTTAAGTGTATGTGTAGAATACATCAAATTTATTCAGTGTTCCCTTTTAATTGTTTTTCCTCAGCTTTAGTAAGGTATATTTGATAAATAAAAATTGTATATGTTTATGATATATAATGTGTTTTGATACCGTTTCATGCTGTGAAATGATTAGATCAAGTAAATTATCACATAGACCCCTTCAGATAGCTATTTTCTGGTAGTGAGAACATGCAGAATCTACTTAGCAGTTTTCAAAAATATTACTACTAACTATAATCACCATGATGTATAATAGATCTCTGTAACTTATTCATGCTGTCTAAATATAACTTTGAACACTTTCCACCCCATTTTCTTGTTCCCCCAAACCCTGGCAACTACCATTCAGCTCTTTGCACCTATGAGTTAGATTACTTTAGATCCCACATGTAAGTGAGATTACGTGGTATTTCTCTTCCCGTGGCTGGTTTATTTCACTTTGTGTAATGTCCTCGGGGTTCATTGATGTTAAGGCACATGACAAGATTTTCTTCTTTTTAAAGGCTGAATAGTATTTCATTGTGTGTGTCTGTGTGTGTGTTTGTGTGTGTGTGTATCTATCTTCTTAACATTGGTCTGGGCAATGATTTTTCAGACATGACCATAAAAACATGGGGGAAAAAAAAGCAAAAATAGATAAAGGGAACTGCATTAAACAAAGAGCTTTTTGGCCGGGCACGGTGGCTCACATCTGTAATCCTAGCACTTTGAGAGGTCAAGGTGGGAGGATCACTTGAGGCCAGAAGTTTGAGACCAGACTGGCCAACATGGCGAAATGCTGTCTCTACTAAAAATACAATAATTAGCTGGGTGTGATGGTACACACATGTAGTCCCAGTTACTTGGGAGGCTGAAGCAGGAAAATTGCTTGAACCCAGGAGGCGGAGTTTGCAGTGAGCCAAAATTGAGCTACTGTACTTCAGCCTGAGTGACAGAGCAAGATTCTTCCTCAAAAAAAAAATAAAATAAGCTTTTTGCACACCAAAAGAAACAACCAACAGAGTAAAGAGACAACCTGCAGAATGGGATAAAATATTTTCAAATTATATATCTGATAAGAAGTTAATATCCAAAATATATAAGGATTCCTAATGCTATTTATTGCATGTCTGTTTTCATAAACAAACTAAAAATGAAATAGTAACTTTCTGAATTTCCATTTTTAAAATAATATTGAAATAATGGTGAGGCAAACATCAATAAAACAGGATAATTTGTCAGTTGGGGTAATTTTGATGCTCTTTTAGGGGAAAGCTAGGGTATTTTCAATAGTAGAAGTTAACTTCAATTCTATAATTGGTCAGATAATCACTTAGTTCCACAGTTTACTTTATGTGCATATACATACAAAGTATATGTTAATATTCCCATTTAATTTCAATATATGATGTTCTATTTGTAAAGACAGCTGTATATAAAGCGGTTTGTTGCATTCAATGTCATAATTAGACTCATTTAAATTCATATTCAAAATACATGGGTCCATTGAACAATACTTTATTCAATTTTGGAGGTGGAAGCGGTGGGAGAGAGGAATCTGCTTCAAAATGGTAGCTGGAGAAAGTCTTGCCTGTTAACTACAAGCTTGCTGATTTTTTTTTGCAGGGGAACATATGTGAGACTGATTACCCAACAGTTTTTCTCTTTCCCAGCACACTCTCTTGTTTTTTCTTTTTGCTTTTATACCAGTATCAGTTTAGGCATTCTCTGGAATCTTGAAAACAGATAATATGAAAATCAGGAAATGTTTACAACAAAGCCAAGAAAATGCATTCCTGGAATTCCTTTTCATTGATAGATAATAATTGTACATATTTATGGGGTACAAATGATACTTTGATACATGCCTACAATGTAATGATCAAACCATGGTATTTAGAATATCTTGTCACACTAAGAAACTACCTAGTGTTAATCATAGTTTTCTTTGTTTCTAAAAATCGGTGGATTTAGTTTGACATGTCTTGAGCTATGGATAATAATACATACACAGAGCACACTCAAATGCACACACACAAGAAACACATTCAAAGGGGTGGGAGGTGCATATTAACAGCAACAACAACAACAAGCATTCCCGTAAGCCCTGGAAACAGCTAAAACTTACTCTTCTCACAGTCTGATGTCAGATGTAAAATGAATAGGTCTGTTCTGAGGTCAGAATGAGAAGAAAAAGATCAACATGACCTCTGGGAAATAAAGGTTATTTGACATCTTTGGGATTATCTGCTAAAGGCATTGGCCACATATCAGAGTAGACTTGATAGGCAAGGGAAGACTTCATTTTCCCCAAAGTTAAATATAAAGCCAGATGCTTAGCCCACAGCTCCCCTCAGCTAGAGCTGCTGCTGAAATCAGTAGCCATGATCGATGATGCATTTTCAAAATCAAAACAAGCATCAGTGTCTCCAATCTAATCACATCTTCTAAAGCTGCTGCTTCCTGTGGGAATTTAATTGCTGTGACATTAGACTCCAGACAACAGACACTACTCAAGGCTACCCATCAGGGCAGGGACAAAAATCAGTGGGATAGTGTCAAAGCTGTTAGACAAAAAACCTGTTAAAGACCCCATGTGTGTAATTTTCCTCTCTCCAACTTCAGCAGTAAAATTTAATAGGTCCTTTATAACAAGTTAAAAAACATCCCAGGATTATACCAACCATGAAAAAACATAAAAATATTTTTGTCTTGCAAAATCTCAGCCTTATTTTTTCCATGCTCTGAAATGCACTCTGACACACTACTATGGCTTTCTTTTGATTTGTTTTTATCTTTATTTTTATAGGAAGTTGCGGCAGTTAGAAGGTTGCTTCTTTCCAAAAGCTGATTAAATTTTTAATTAAAAATTTTATGATTAGATATTTCTGCTTACCAATCAAATAGAAAAATAAAAAAAATTCCCTGGCAAAAAAAATAGACAAAAAAAAACAAAAAATGGATCTCATATCTCATATTCATATCTTTTTAAAACACAACACTCCCTCTTTCACTCAAAGGCCCTTCAGCCAAGGGAATCGCTTTCTTTCTGTATCATCATAAACTCTAGAAGCCGTGTGATACTTAATCTGAATTATCCTCTTTATGTTACCCATATCACAGAGAAAATGAACAAAAATAGGAAACTAATAAAAATTTAATGGTGAAAGCAAAGTAAACTTTAAAACTTTAAAATAGAAAAATGAAAAATCCATAGTAAGGTGTAATGTGGAAGAGTCACATGAGGTCTAACATAATTTTATGAGGTCTTAGTGAACATGAAAGGATATTTCTTCATATTGTACAAAGTAGCTTAGTGTACTTGGATAAGCTAAAAACTGAATGCGGTGTTTTGCTTCTCTATAGGAATGGAAGTCAAAAGATTTTATTAGGAAATAAATTGCAACTCACCTTTCTCTAAACTGCCCCTCTTTAATAAGATTCATATTCTAAACAGACATTTTCTTATATTTACAGTTCAAAAACAGGGTAACATGATGTTCCTTTATGACTGATGTAGCAACTTAGTCTTGTATTCATGTGGTACTGTGTGTGGTTTAAAGTTTTTTCATATGCATCATCTTGCTTGGCAATTCCTAAAATTTTGTAAAGTATCGTAATCTCCAGTTTATTGAGGAAGAAATGAGAGTAATTTTTTCAAAAGATCTCAGCTAGAAAATAAGGATCTGAAGCTTTAAATCTACAAAGTGATTGCAAGTCCAACATTTTTTCCACCATGCACAGTATTTAATATTTAGATATTTACTTCTGAGTACTTGCTGACCTTTTGTGACTCATTGTTACAATTATTTATTGCCGCATAATTAACCATCTCACAAGATTAAGATAACAACCATTAATTATCTCTCATGATTGTGTGGATGAACCAGGGTGTTCTTTAACTTAATGTGGTGTCATCTGGGGCATGGTAATGGTTGGAATTTCCAAAAGCCCTCAATTAAAAGGCTGTCAGTTAGTCTAGCTGTGGACTAGAGATCAGCTGAGGCTGTTAGCCTGGGGCCTTCCTGCTTTTCCTCCTTCTTCTGTTGTTGAGATTCCAGAGAATGCCTAGACTAATATTGGGCCTCCAAATGTGGCTTCTTGGGTTTCTTCACAGCATAGAAACTAGATCTAAGAAAGAGTATTCTAAACAGTAAAGGCAAAAGTAACCTGAAGCCCAGCCTCACAAATTATAAAGCTTACTTTCACCACATGCTGTTACTCACAGCTGGGGAAGGGGGGTGGGTGGGAGGGAAGATGGACAGGTTCACTAATGATCCCTGTTTGCCTGGGGCTAAGGTGTTTTCTTGGATACAGGATTTTCACTACCAAAAAAGTACATTCCTGGGCAAATCAGGAACTTTGGTCATCCTAGACAGACCAAATTCAAGGATAGTGATAATAAGTAGCATTTTTTGACAAGGAGAAAGCAAGTCACATTGCTAAAGCAGAGATAGTGGATATTGTTTTTCAGCTTTGGAAATACAGTCTACTCTAATATTTGCATTTGGGGGAAATTCCTACACTCAAGGTTAGCTAATGCATTCAATAATCAAATCAAACTAAATAATTATTTACTGAATTATTTACTACTTCATTGTATAAATAGTTTTCAATTTAGAAATTTGTAAAATTAGCAAGGAGGACACACAATCTTCCCCTTCTATATACAAACTTCTGCCAAAAAACCTTCAAGGTCTGGAGAAACAGAGTCCTATTTTTACTTGTTAATACAGTTCAATGACTATTAAATAGATATTGTGGATTAGATGGAGAATATAATCTACATCTGAAATCCTTCTTTTTGTCTTTGTGAAAATTTATTCTGAATTTCCAACCATCAATGTAGTTTCTCTTAATATACGTGTTGCTTCTTTATTGGAAAATAACTATAAAAGAAAAACCTAGTGATTTAAGAGTGCATACATAGCTTAATAAAAGAGTGTTTTCAGTTTAACACTTTCCATGACAAGATTGTCTAAAAGAACTTTATAGTTTACTTTTTAGTTTAAATCTAAAAGTCAGATGTTGTTAGAGGCTGTCATGTTGAATGGCAATTTATCTGCTTGCTTTTTTAGCAGACTTTAAGTTCACAACAAAGTTGGATGGAAGGGAGAGTTCTCATATGCCTTGTAGCCCTGACACATGCATAGCCTCAACAATTATCAATATCCCCCATCAAAGTAGTATATATGTTATTATTATTGAACCTACATTTACCTATCATTACCAAAAATCCATAGTTTACATCAGGGTTCAGTCTTGGTCATGTACATTTTATAGGTCTGGATAAATATATAATGACATGTATCCAACATTATAGTATCATACAGAATCATTTCACTATCTTAAAAATTCTCTGTGCCTCAGCTGTAAATTCCTCTCTCTCCCCTAACACCTAGAAACCACTAATTTTTTATTGTCTCCATAGTTTTGCTTTTTCCAGAATGTTAAATTGTTGGAATCATAGGGCATGTAGTCTTTTCAGATTAACATCTTCCACTTAGTGATAAATATTTAAGTTTCTTCCATGTCTTTTCATTGGATGACAGCTCATTTTCTTTTAGAGCTAAATAACATTCCACTGTTGAGATGTATTATAGTTGATTTATCCATTCACCTACTAAAAACATCTTGGTTTCTTCCAAATTTTGGCAGTTATAACTAAAGTGGCTAATAACATCTGTGTTTAGGTTTTAGTGTGAACATAATTTTTCAGTTCATTTGGGTAAATACCGAGGAATGCAACTGCTGGATTATATAGTAAGAATACATTGAATTTTAAACTAAATTCTGGAAGTCTCCTCCAAAGTGGTTGTACTATTTCACATTCCCACCAGCAATGAATGAGATTTCTTGTTGCTCCACATTTGCACCAGCATTTGATGTTGTCAGCTGTGTTAGTCTGTTCTCAGGCTGCTAATAAAGACATACCCAAGCCTGGGTAATTTATAAAGGAAAGAGTTTTAATTGATTCACAGTTTCACATGGCTGGAGAGGCCTCACAATCATGGCTGAAGGTGAATGAGAAGCAAAGTCATGTCTTACATGGTGGCAAGCAATAGGGCATGTGCAGGGGAACTCCCATTTATAAAATCATCAGATTTCATGAGACTTATTCATTATCATGAGAATAGCACAGGAAAGATCCTCCTCCATGATTCAATTACCTCCCACCAGGTCCCTCCCATGACACAGGAATTATGGGAGCTACAATTCAAGATGAGATCTGGGTGGGGACACAGCCAAATCATACCATCAGTATTCTGGATTCTGGCCATTTTAATAGGGAGGTAGAGGTGTCCCATTGTTGCTTTAACTTGTATTTCTCTGATAACATATGATGCGGGTCATCTTTTTATATGCTTATTAAGCATCTAAATATGTTCTTTGGTGAGGTGCTTGTTAATGTCTTTGGTCATCTTTAAATACGATTGTTTTCTTAGCTTAGCTTATCTTAAAACAGTTGAATTTTAAGAGTTTCTTCTAAATATTTTGGATAACAGTCCTTTGTGAAATGTGTCTTTTGCAAATCCCATCTCCCAGTCTCTGGTTTGGTTTTCTATTCTCTTGACAGTGTATTTTATGAGCAAAAATTTTTCATTATAATGAAATCCAATGTATCAATTCTTTCTTGCATTGAGAGCCTTTGATGTTACATCTAAAATGTCATTGGTAAACCCAACATCATGTAGATTTTTCTCCTATATTACCACTTAAAAGTTTTATAGTTTGCATTTTACATTTAGGTCTCTAATCCATATTGAGTTGAGTTTTCTGAAATGTATAAAATCTATGGCTATATTTTGTGTGTGTGTGTGTGTGTGTGTGTGTGTGTGTGTGTTTCCAGTTTCAACATCATTTGTTGAAAAGACTCCTTCCACCATTTTATTTCCTTTATTCCTTTTTCAAAGATCAGATCAGTTGACTATATTTGTGTGGGCCTCTTTCTGGGCCCTCTATTCTGTTCCATTGATCTCCTTGTCTATTCCTTCACTAAAATCACAATGTCTTTATTACTGTAGCTTCATAGTAAGTCTTGATTTAAGTTAAGTAGTGTCAATCCTCCAACTTTGTTCTCCTTCAACACTGTGTTGGCTATTCTGGGTCTTTTGCCTGTGTATTTCTTTTATTTCCTTTTCTTATTCCTTAGCTAGTTCCAGTACAACATTGAAAAGCAGTGATGAGAGGGGACATCCATGCCTTGTACATGATCTTAGTGGGAAAATTTTGAGTTTCTCACCATTAATTACAATATTAGCTGTAAGGTTTTTTGAGGATATTTTCATCAATTTGAGAAGGTTTTCTCCTCATTCCTAGGGTACCGACAGTTTTTAACATGAAATGCTGTTGGATTTCATCAAATACTTTTTCTATATTTATTGATATGACCGTATCTTTTTTTTTTTTTTACCTATTGATGTGATGGATTTCATTCATTGATTTTCAAATGTTGAAACTGCTTTGCATACCTGGAATAAAGCTCACTTGGTCATGATGTATAATTATTTTTATATAGTGTTTGATTCCATTTATTTCCATTTTGTTAAGATTTTTGCTTCTAAGTTCATGGGAGATGTTGGTCTCTGGTTTTCTTCTCCTGTAATGTTGTGTCTAGTTTTGGCATTACAGTAATGCTCATCTTATAGAGTAAGTTAGGAAGTATTCCCTTTGCTTCTGTATCCTGGAAGAGACTGTTAAAAAAATGATATAATTTAATTCCTTTAATGTTTGGTAGAATATACCCATGAATCCATCTAAACCTGGTATTTTCTGTTTGAGATTATTAATTATTGATTCAATTTCATCAATAGTGATACACCTATTCAGATTGTCTACTTTTGGTGTGTGCATTTGGGCAGATTATGTTTTTCAAAGAATTGGTCCATTTTATCTAGGTTACCAAATTTGTGGACATAGAATCGTTTAGACTATTCCTTTATTATCCTTTGAATGTCCATGAGATGCATAGTGATATCTCCTCTTTGATTTGTTATATTAGTAAACCGTGTCCTCTTTTTTCCTGACAAGAGGCTTATCGATTTTATTGTTCCTTTCATAGTTATCTTTTGATTTCATTAACTTTTCTCTGTTGCTTTATTGTTTCCAATTTCACTAATTTCTGCTCTAATTTCTGTTTTTTTCCCTAATCATTATAGATGTAATATGTTATTATTTTTCTGGTTTCCTAATGTGGATGTTTAGATTATTATTTTCAGGGGGTTTTTTCTCTAATATATATGGCAACACTATAAATTTCCTTCTAAGCACTCCTTTCATTACATCACACAAAATTTGATCATTTGTGTTTTTATTTGTATTTAATACAAAATACTTTAAAATTCTTCTTGAGGTTTTTTCTTAACCCATGTGTCATTTAGAAGTGTCTTGTTTAATCTATACATATTTTGGCATTTTCCAACTCTTTCTGTTACTGGTTTCTAGTTTAATTTTTATTGTAATCTGATAGCAGGTATTATATAATTTATATAATTCAAAACGTGTTAAGATGAGTTTTATGACTCTGAATGTATTCTCTCTTGGTGAATATTCTACGTGAGCTTGAGAAAACTGTATATTCTGTGAAATAGTTGATAGATGTTAATTATATCTAGTTGATTGATGATTTTATTGAGGTTAACTGTTCTTACTAATTATATGTGTGCAGGATCTATTCATTTCTGAAAGAAGGATGTCGAAGTCTTCAACTACAATAGTGAATTAATCCTTGAGGTTCTATTAGTTTTTGCCTCATGTATTTTGACACAATGTTTTTAGGTGCATACATGGTAGAGATTGTTGTATCTTGTTGAAGAATCAATCCCTTTATCATTATTTAATGCCTCTCTTTATTTCTGATAACTTTCCTTGCTTTGAAATCTATTCTACCTGAAATTAATATAACTACTCTCACTTTCCTTTGATTAGTATTAGCATGGTCTGTCTTTCCCCTGGCATTTACTTTTAATCTATATGACTCTATATATTTAAAGTAGGTTTCCTGTACATACTATATGGTTAGGTATTTTTTTTATTAACTCTGACAATCTCTGTCTTTTAATTGCATATTGAGACCACTGATGTTCAAAGTGATTATTGAGCTGGGCATAGTGGTACATGCCTGTAGTCCCAGCTACTCAGGAGGCTGAGGTGGGAGGATAGCTTGAGCCCAGGAGTTCTGGGCTGTGGTGAGCTATGCTGATGGAATATCTGTACTATGTTCCACATCAATATGGTGACCTGGGAACAGGCTGCCACCAGGTTGCCTAAGGAGAGATGAATTGGCCCAAGTCAGAAACAGAGCAGGTCAAAATTCTCGTGCTGATCAGTAGTGGAATCATGCCTGTGAATCATCACTGCACTCTAGTCTGGGCAACATAGGGAGACCTTGTCTTTTTTTTAAAGTGATTATTAAAATAATTGCATATATATATCTATATATATTTATATATATATCTATATATATTTATATATATATTTATATAGATATATAGCTGTATATATATTTATATATATGCATGTATATATATATAAAAAACATTTGTTATTTTAATCTATTTGTTGCCCTGTTTCTTATTACTATTTTTATCCTCCAATTTTTTTCTGCCTGTTTTCATTTTATTTTAGCATTTTATATGATTCAATTTTCTCTTGTTTCTGAACACATTTTTCTTACCTCTTTTAGTGGTGGTTCCAGCTTGTGATACTTTTACAACTAACCCAAGTCTACTTTCAAATAACACTATACCCCTTCAAAGGCAGTTGACTTGTTTATAACAATAAAATAATCCTAATTTCTCCCCCTTGTGCCTTGCTTTATTTCTTCCATTGAATTAACTTATACATAAGCATACACATATATAAAAATACATAATTGAATACATTGTTGCTGTTATTATTTTGAATAAACTATTATTTGTTAAATTAATTAAGAAAAATACAAGTTTTATTTTGCATTTATTATTCTTCCAGTGATGCCCTTTCTTTCTTTACGTGGATCTGAGTTTCTAACCTATATTTTTTTCTCCTCTCTAGAGAACTCTTTTACTTTTAACATTTGTTATAAGGCAGGTCTACTGGCTACAAATTTCTGCCAATTTTTGTTAGAGAATGTCTTATTTTTCTTCACTTTTGAAGGATAATTCTATAGGGTAGAGAACTGCAGGTTGGCAATTTGTTTCTTTTAACACAATATTTAACTCCACTCTCTTCTTTGTTGGATGTAATTCTTGTATTTCTTTCTCTGCAGATAACATGGTTTGTTCCTCTGGCTTCTTTCTGGCTTCTTCTTTATCTTTTATTCTCTATCGCTTGAAAATGATATGCCTGCATGTAGATTTTTGGCATTTATCCTGCTTGGTATTCTGTGAGCTTCCTGGATCTGTGGGTTGATGTCTGACATTACTTTGGAGAAATTCTCAGTCATTATTTTTCAAATATTGCTAATTTAACTTTTATTTCTTGTTTTTTCTTCTGCTATTCTCATTACACATGTTACAACTTTTGTATTTGCCCCATAGTCCTTAAGCGTTCTGTTCTTTTTTTCATTCAATCTTATATTTGGTCTTTAGTTCTGGAGGTTTCTGTAGAGATATCCCCAAGCTTGGAAGTTTTTTTCTAACTGTCTAGTCTTCAAATAAGCCCATTAAGGGCATTCCTCATGTCTGCTAATGTTGATTTTTTTTTATTTTAATCTTCAGCATTTTTTTCTTTCTTAGAGTTTTAATTTTCCCGTTTACACTGCCTATCTGTTCTTGCATGCTGTCTATTTTCTCCATTAGAACCCTTCACACATTAATCATAGTTGTTTCAAATTCCTGGTTAGACAATTCTAACACCCCTGCCATAACTGAATCTGGTTCAGATCTTTGCTTTTTATCTTCAAACATTGCTTTTTGACTTTTAGTATGTCTTGAAACATTTTCTTGATAACTAGGCATGATCTATTGGGTAAAAAGAGCTGTTGTAAATAATAGGCCTTCAGTAATGTGGTGTTAAAGATTGGGGAGTAAAGAGGAAAGAAGCATTATATCCTCCGATAATTAGATGTCAGTATTTTAGTGAGCCTGTGGCTCTGGACTATGAACTTCTTAGTCTTTTTCCACTTCAAGTGGGACAGAATATCTTGAGTGTGTCAAAGCTGGGTATTTCCTTTGTCCCATGTTGAAATCTTCAAGTAGATAGAATTGGGTATTTTCTTTCTCCTCGGTCAGTCAGGCTCTGAGACAAAAAGAAAAAAATCTACTCTGGTATTTCAAAATAGTTACATGTCACCTACCCCTGCCAGAAGCACAAGAGGATTTTTCTTCAATATTTAGTATTAAAATCTGATAGAGTTCCAGGAGGTAACACTCACAAAGTATGGGGGCTCCCTGATTACTAGGCCCCCTGGAGTTTTAACTTCTCAGACTTGTCAACACTAAGTCTTGAGTAATTCCTCAATTACATTTATAATTACAGTTTATCTACCTTGGCACTGGTTCCTGCAGGGATTTTTTTCCAACAAATTCTAATTGCTTGTATTCACCTGTCATTCTCTCCAGTTTTGGGGGCAATTTACCTTGTGACCTCACTATTTTGACAACTCTGAAAAATGGTGTTGAGTTTTCAGTTTTTTCAGCTTTTTACTTATTAGAATAAAGTGGTGCCTTCCAAGCTTCTTACATGCCAGTCCATAAGCTGGAAATCCCTACCATCAGCCATACAGTTTTGACATCATGATTTCCTTTAGTGAAAAGCAGAAGGAGAAAATTGCCAGTATGTAATATTGTTAAATAATGTGTCTGACAGATATCAGGAAGATGATGAAATAGAAGATTTCAGCCTTCGAACCTCCAATAAACATCAACTTTAACAACCACTCATGGACAAGAATACCTTTATGGGAGCTCGGGAGTCCAATTGAGAGGCAGCAACACCTCGGTGGAGAAAAAAGCAAAACAAAAACATAATAGATATATGGGAGAGAATAAGAACAGTTTCACTTTATCCATGTCATTTTTTTCCCAAAGCAGTACAGCTCACTGGCAAGAGAGAGCCCCTTGACCCATAATTTCTCTCATGGGGAAAATTTAGGTGAAGTGAGGACTTGGTTTCCCCAGCCTTGATGGACAATGCCTAGGAAGCCCACTTCTGTCTCACCCCACCCAAAACACTGAGGGATTCAGAATAACTGAGTCTCCTGGGAGAAGTCAGGAGAAGAGAATAGGGTAGGGGACTTAATGGCAGCTGGTGCACAGATCTAAACAAATGTCCTCACATCCAACTGACCAACTTTCAGACCCATCAAGAGTTATTCCCATAAACTCCATGGCCCATCTCAACTGTGAATCTACTTAACCAGCTGACATATGCCCTCAGCAGTTCCCTCCACCCATGGCTAGTGCCCCACCGTCTCCTGCAGATGGTGTGCACTCCCACACAGGTAGTACAGGCTAGCCTCTGAAGATAGCACACAGATATCAGCAGCCAGTTAGACTCTCCTGGATTGGGAAAAGGTGCACAACCTAGAGTGCTCAGGGCACGTCCCTAAGAAAAATAAACAGGAAGCTTGAGACACCCGGTCTAGACTAGTGGGATCAAGAGAAGGCACATAATCTTAGAACTTTCATCCAAAAAGGGAACAAGAATAGTACAGTGGGTGCATCCACATAAAACACCTGAGAGGTTCTCCAAATCTCTAGCTGGACTAACAGAGAATAGTGTTTCTTTCTCAAAGTCAATCAGTAAAAACTGGAAGGTGTGACTAATTCTTGGATTGCCAAAACAGTAATGTAAGTCTTCAAGGAACATTAACATTTTTTGAACATTTAAAACAGACCAAAATAAAGCCCCAGTGGCTCACCTCATAGAAATAGAGATCTGCAAATTACCTGAAAAATGAATGAAAATAATGGTCTTAAGAAGCTCATTGTGCTGTGAGGACACAAAAGGACAACCAAAAGAAATCGAGATAACGATATATGAACAAAAGGAGAGATTCAACAAAGAGATATAAATTATAAAAAAGAACCATATAGAAATTCGGAGCTGAAGAATTCAATAAATGAGCTAAAAACTCTTAATTAAGCAGAAGAAAGAATCAGCAAATTTAAAGACAGATCATTCAAAATTATCTAGTCAGAGGAACAAAAAGAAACAATAATAAAAGGCAATGAAGTAAGACTATGAGACATATGAGACACTATCAAGTAACCAATATATGCATTATAAGATTTCTAGAGTAAACAGATAAAATAAAAGGGGTAGAGGCTTATTTAAAGAAAGAACAAAATAAAAATTACCAAAATCTGGAAAAAGAAATGGGTATCAAGTTCCATGAAGCTCCCAAAACTTCAAATAGATTGAACATAAAGAGTCTTCACTGAGACACCTTACAATTTAATTGTCAAAAGTCAATGGACAAAGACAACATTTTGAAAACAGCAAGAGAAATAGGTAAATCACCTGCAAAGAAACACCCATAAGAATATAAGCAGATTTTTTAGTGGAAATATTGCAGGCCAGGAGAACGTGTGAAAATATAGACAAATCACAAACTTAAATTATTTTTTAAACCTGCAAACAAAGAACATATTTCCTGGCAAAGATGTCCATCAGGAATCAAGGAGAGATAAAGACTTGCCAAGCAAACAAAAGCTGAGGGTGTTCATCATCACTAATATGCTTTATAAGAAACACTAAAGGGAGTTCTTCAAGTTGAAATAAAAGGGTGCTAGTTAGCAATATGAAAGTATAAGACTTACTGGTTAAGGTAAGTATATAGTCAAATCTAGAATACTCTAATACCGTAATAAGGGTGCATATATCACCTTTAGCTGTAGTGTAAAAGTTAAAAGACAAAAGTATTCAAGTAACTATAGTTAAAATAATTTGATAATGTTAAATATAATGAGAAGCAAAATGGATATCAGTAACAAAATATGGGGAAGGAGGAGAGAAGTAAAAGTGAAGAGCATTTGTATGCAATTGAAGTAAAGTTCATATTGCCTTAATATAAACTGTTAAAAGTCTTAATAAATTTAGAAAGAGTGAAATTATATCAAGTGTCTTTCTGCCACAATTATGTGAAACTAGAAATCAGTAACAAGGAATGATTTAAAAATTCACAAATACGTTTATTTTAAACAACACATTTCTGAGCAACCACTGGGTGAAACTAGAAGTCAACAGGGAAATAAAAAAAATCTTGAGACAAATGAAAATGGAAACAAAACATACCAAATCTTGTAGAATGCAACAAAAGCAGTTTAAAGAGAGAATCTTATAGTAATAAACGCTTGCATAAACAAAAATATTAAATAATTAAACTAATGTTATACCTCAAATAAATAGAAATAGAATACACTAAGCCAAAGTTAGCAGAAGAGAGAAATGATTAGAGCAGAAATAAAAAATTAGAGAATCAATAGAAAAAATTAAGTGAAACTAAGAGTTCTTTTTTAAAGTCAACAAAATTGATTAAGTTACCTTAAAATAAGAGAAGACAAAAATAAATAAAATTATAAATGAAAGATGAGACGCTACGAATCATAACCTAGAAATATAAAGGATCCTAAAGGACTACTATAAACAATTATATGCCAACAAGCTGCATAACCTAGAAGAAATGGATAAGTTCCTAGAAACATACAAATTACCAAGACTGAAAAATGAAGAAATAGGAATTCTGAGCAGACCAAAAATTAGTAAGGAGATTTAATCAGTAATAAAAAATAAAACCTTCTGACACAGAAAATCCCAGGATCATATGTCTTCACTGGTGAACTCTACCAACATTCAAAGAAGAAAAATCGTTTTCAAAATCTTCCAAAAAATTGAATGAAGAAACACTTCTAAACTCATTTTACAAGGCTAACATTATCCTGATACCAACACAGGGACACTACAAGGAAAAAAAATTATATGCTGATATTCCTTTGAATATAGATGCAAAAATCCTTAACAAAATACTGGTAAAACAATTTCAACAGCATATTAAAAGAACCATACACCACAATCAAGTATAATTTATTCCTGTGATTTAAGGATTATACAAATAAATAAATGTAATATATCACATTAAGAGCAAAGGATAAAAATCATAATTATCTCAATAGATGCAAAGAAAAAGTATTTTACAAAATTTGACATCAGTTTGTGATAAAAACTCTTAACAAATTAGGTAAATAAGAAATTTAACTCAACATAATAACAGCCATATATTGACAAGCCCACAGCTAACATTATACTCAACTGTAAAAAGTTGATATATTTTCCTCTAAGAACAGGAAGAAAAAAGGATGCCAATTCTTACCTCTTCCACTCAACATAGTACTTGGTATTGTAGCCAGATCAAACAGGTAAGAAAAGGTAATAAAGGCATTCCAATCAATAAAGAAGAAGTAAAATTGTCTGTGTTTTCAGATGACATGTTTTTATACCTAGAAAACCATAAGTACTCCAATGATAATTTTAGGATCATTTTTAACTGACAAATAATAATTGTACATATCCATAGGGTATACAGTGATATTTTGATGCATACTATGTATAGTCATCAGATCAGCTAATAAATAAATCCAATAAAGCTGCAGAATACAAAATAAAATATAAAAGTTAGCTGGGTTTCTATATACAAACCAGGAACTATTTAAAAGATATGAAGAAAATAATCCAATTTAAAATAACATCAAAAAATAAAATACTTACGAATAAATTTAACCAAGATGGTGAAAATTCTGTACACTGAGAACTACAAAACACTGATTAAATATATTTAAATATGTGTGAGTATATATATATATATATATATATATATATATATACGTGTATACATATGTATATACACACATACACACACACACAAACTCTGGGTTCATGGATTTGAAAGGTATCTTATGTTCATGGATTAGAAGAATTACTATTGTTAAAATGTCTATACTACCCAGAGTGAGCTATAGCTTTAGTACAATATTTAATAGAAATATGCCCCTAGATTGTCTCTTCAATACATGGTGTTGGGAAAATTGGACATCCACATGCAAAATAATAAAATGAGCCTATGTTTTTTGTAAGCAACATGGTAAACCACAACACAAAAATCTATAATAGATTGCCTACAAGATAAAGAAAATTACCTCAAAAGACCAAATTAAAGAATGATTGGTGTGCAAGATGTAGTTTAGAGAAAGAAAGGGGTAGAAATCTTTTCAAGGAAATAATAACAGAAAACTTTCCAAAACATGAGAAAGATATACATATCCAGCAAAGGAAGGTCAGAGAACACCAAACAGTTTGGACCCAAATAAGACTATCTAAAGGCATAAAATTATCAAACTCTCAAACCTCAAGGACAAAAAGATACTCCTAAAAGAGGCAAAAGCAAATAAGAAAATAACATGTAAAGGGGCTCCAAATCATCGGGCAACAGACTTCTCAATGAAATCATACAGTCCAGAAGCCAGTGGAATGACATTTTCAAACTACTGAAAGAAATAAATTTGTCACCCAAAACAATGTATCTAGCAAAGTTATCCTTCAAATATGAAGGAGAGATAATGTTTTTCCAAGACAAAGAAAAGGTGAGAGAATTCACCACCACCAGACCTATCTTACAAGAAATACTAAATTGAGCTCTTCAGTCTGAGAGGGAAAAAAACAAAACACTAATGTCCAAAAAAAAATTGAAGGTATAATATCCATTGGTAAAACAAAGTACATGGATAAAACAAGAACTCTCTAATAGAGTGTGAAAATCTCTTATACCTCTAGTATGAAGTCCAACAAACAAGTCTATCAGAAACAATAATATATAGAGCTGCTTATTAAGAGATAGGTAATATAAAATTCATAAATTGAGACAGGTAAATGTCAAAATATATGTGTCGGGGGTGGAGTTAATATATAGAATTTAATTTCCATTTTTCTATTTGTCTCTATTCTTTAGCTATGATAAATTGTCATCTCTTTAAAATAACTTGCTATATTTAGAAAATATTTTTGTAAGCCACATGGTAACCGTAACACAAAAACCTACAGTAGATTCATTAAAAATAAAAAGCAATGAATGAATTAAAACATAGCAATGAATGAATTAAAACACATAGACGGACAGTAAGAAAGAACAAGAAAGGGAAGAGTTACAAAACAACCAGAAAGCAAACAACAAAATGGCAATAGTAAGTTTGTTATCAGTAATAACTGAATGTAAATAGATGTGATTACTCAATTAAAAACCTAGGGTGGCCGAATGGATAAAGAAACAAGACCCAACCATGTACTGCCTACAAGAACCCCATTTCACCTGTAAAGACACACATAGACTAAAAGTGAGGGAGCAGAAAAATACAGTCTATGCAAACATACACCACAAAATAGCAGGAGTAGTTTATACTTATATTAGATAAAATTGACTACATATCAAATACTGTAAAAAAGAGACAAAGAAGTCACAATATCATCATAAAGAGGTCAATTCAGCTGGAGTCAATAATGATTATAAATATCTACACACCCAACACTAGAACTCTACATATAAACAGCAACATTAATAGACCTAAAGGCAAAGGCAGACTGCAATACAGTAATAGTAGGGGACTTTAACACCCCCACTCTAAGTAACACACAGATTATTCAGACAAAAAATCAACTTCAGACACAAACTACACACTAGATCTAATAGGCATAATTGGCATTTAAAGAACATTTCACTCAGCTGCTGCTGAATAAACATTTTTTATCATCAGCACATGAAACATTCCCCAGAACAGATAATAGCTGAGGCACCAAAACAAGTCTATACAAATTCAAAAATGTAGAAATCATATCAAAAATATCTTCTAACCACAATGGAAAAAAAATAGAAGTGAATAATAGAGGAACCTCAGAAACTACACAAACACATGGAAATTAAACAACATGTTCATGGATGGTAAATGGGTCAATGAAGAAATTAAGAACAAAATATAAGAATTTCTTGAAATAAATACAAATAAAACTACAGAATACCCAAATCTATGAGATATAGCAAAGCAATACTGAGAGGGAGGTTTATAGCAATAAATGCCTATATCAAATAAGCAGGAAGATTTAAATAACAACCTAGTCATACCCCTCAAAGAACCAGAAAAGTAAGAACAAACCAAACCCAAAATTGGAAGGAATCAATAATAAAGGCCAGAGCAGAAATAAATAAAATTGAGGCCAAAAGAATAACACATCAGATCAATTAAATGAAAAGTTGTCTTATTGAAAAGATGAACAAAATCAACAAATATTTAGCTAGACTAGGAAAAAAGAGACAAGACCTAAATAAATAAAATCAGTAACAAAAAGGAGGCATAACAACTGAGACCACAGAAATACAAATAATCATGAAAGAATATTACAAACAACTCTATGCAAACTTAGGGAAAAAATGAGTAAATTTCTGTACACATACAACTACCAAAATTGAACCACTAAGTAGAAAATCTCAACAAACCAAATGAGTAGTAAGATCAAACCATAATTTTAAAAAGCCCCGGACCCAATGACTTCACTGCTGCATTCTACCAAACATTTAAAGTAGAACTAATACCAATTATACTCAAAATTTTATAAAATTGAAGAGGAGGGAATATTTCCCAACTCATTCTGAGACCAGCAATACCTTGAAACCAAAAACCAAACAAAGATACAAAAACTACAGGCCAGTATCCCTAATGAATATAGATGCAAATATCTTCAAGAAAATACTAGCAGCCCAAATTCAACAAAATATTAAAAAGACCATTCACCATGATCAAGTGGGATTAATCCTAGGGTTGCATGAATGGTTCAACATACACAAATCAATAAACATAATACATTGCATTTACAGAACCAAAACAAACAAATAATTATTTCAATAGATACTTAAAATGCATTCATAAAATTCAACATCCTTTTATGATTAAAAAAACCTCATCAAACTGGATATGGAAGGAACATACCTCAAAATAATAAAGGCCATATATGACAAACCCACAACTAACATCAAACTGAACAGGGGAAAATTTGAAGGCCTTTCCTTTAAGATCTGGAACAAAACAACGATACTCACTTTCTCCACTCATATTTAACATAATACAGGAAGTCCCTACTGAGCAATTAGGCAGCAGAAAGAAATAAAAGGCATGTAAGTTGGAAAATAAGTCAAATTAAACTTGTTTGCAGTTACATGATCTTATACTTAGAAAATCCTAGAGATTCCACCAGAAAACTATTAGAACTGATCAATAAATTCAGTAAAGCTGCAGGATACACAATCAACATACAAAAATCAGTAGCATTTACATATGCCAATACCAAGCATTATGAAAAAAATTAAAAAGTAATCCCACTTACAATAACTACAAGGAATATAAAATACCAAAGAATCAATTTAACCAAAGAAATGAAAAATCTATCCAAAAAATCTATAGAACACTGATGAAAGACACTAAAGATGATACAAAAATGGGAATATATTCCATGCTCATGAATTCGAAGAATTAATATTGTTAAAATAGCAACACTACCCAAAGCAATATACAGATTTAGTGCAATCCCTATCAAAATATCAATTACATTTTTCATGGAAATACAAAAAATCTTAAAATTTATATGGAACCACAAAAGACCTTGAATAGCTAAAGCAATTCTAAACAAAAAGAGCAAAGCTTGAGGCATTACAGTAAAACACAGAGTATGCAAGAAACCGAAACAACTCACCAGCAAAAAACTCAAATAATCTACTAAAAATTGGGCAAAAGATCTGAATAGTCATTTCTCAAAAGAATCCATACAAATGTCCAAAAAGTATAGACTGCTGCTTGACTAAGTGTATCTCGAAGTAGTATATGTGGGCCTATCTCTAACTTTATTCTTTGTAGTCTATTCCATATAAGATTTGGAAAGCTCCTGTGGTATGCTGAAAGTGATAATGAGGAATAATCTGAGCACAGTAAGCTCAGATCCCCACGGACATTGTAATAAAACTATTCCCTCCTTCTCCAATAAACTGTGAATTTGTACAACTCATTCTGCTTTTGACAATGCTAGGTTGGTCTTTAATGTATCTACTTTAATTTTGGAATCTGTAATACAATTTTATAGTAATGAACCTTTAGAATATATTTCTCATCAAAATAATAAATTATCTTCATAGCAAAATAGGCATTTACATTCCTAAACTTTTGCTACTTTAGAAGAAAATCAAGTAAATGTCTATGAAATACTCAGTTGCCTGAAACTTCTTAACATAAGCATTTATCCTATAACTCCTGCTTTTCTAAAGGAGATAAAAATTATCTTTCTTAGCAAGTAGTTTCTTGCAGAGAACAATGACCATATAGAGATGACAACAGTATTAATTGAAACTGATCATGCCCATTTATGAAAAGCAAGATTGGTCAGAGGGTGAAATATCCCTTATTTAAGTTCATTGCAGGATATATATTTTTAATTCCTTATTATATCAATGGTAACTTTCTTAAACTTATGAATCACAAAATTGATTTTTCTCTTGAACAGGTAATCTACTAGAATTTATTATTGTCTAAATAAAAATAAGTCTGTGGTTGATCAAGCTATGAAAGTCAAACAATTTTTAATTTTCTTTTTGGCCCAGAATTATAACAAAAAAGGAAATATTTATGACGACTATGGATCATGGATAAGAGAACACGCATGACTTTTTATCTGCCTTGAAAGAACAATTTCTGCATTCAAGCAGCCCTCTACTTGGTCTCAAAATGATCGGCCTAGGTGTCCAAATAGTCCACGAAAAGATACTAGGCATCTTTCATTTCTCACCTCCTTTGGTGGTTTTTAACAGTTTTGGCTTAATATGTTTAGGAATCCACTTCCCTATTTTGCTATTTGGACATAAAAGATAAACAAGGCAACAAGATTTATTTTGCATTCTGGTTACATCCAAGAAATTAAGTGATAAGCACTGCACCAGCTGAGTTCTCTAGAGATACTTCTATAGAATTATGCATTTACTCACCATTTTTCAAGTAAAAAATTTTAAACCCATACACTAATTCTTATTTAACCTAGAACAACAGCAATGCTTCCTCTATATTATTGGGTCTATTATTTCTTTTTTGTTTTTCTTTTTTTTTTTTTTTTTTTTTTTTTTGAGACGGAGTCTCTCTCCGTCGCCCAGGGTGGAGTGCAGTGGCGTGGTCTCGGCTCACTGCAATCTCCGCCTCCATTGGGTCAATTATTTCTAAATGCTGTTTTTGACCAGGAGCACATTATGTTCATTTTTTTCCCCCACTTCCACCAGCTTCCATTTCCTTAGCTTTGTGTTTTAGATTTCATTATTTGACTCTTCAGCCACTACTGTACCAACAGGTTAAACTCCACAGTCTCTGTGAGATCAAAATCTCAGAAACGACTTCTCAGCTAAAATAGTTAATTACCTTCCTGCAAACTGGACTTTCAAATCCCTAGATAAACTCTACCCTTCACATCTTGGAAATATATGATATTTTCTAGTGGAGAAAACTGATAACCTCTTTGTACCCTAATTTCCATTTGTCATCTAGACACTTTAATGTGAATACCACACAGACATCTCAGATTCTTTTTGCACAGGTCTATTTTTCTTTAAAATACTACTGTTATTTTAGTTCCCTTAGCACATGAGAATCTTCCTTGACACGAACCTCTTCCACATTCAACACATTAAACTCATAACTAAGTTTTTCATGTCCCTAAGTTCTTTAGGGACATGTTCACATTTCTCAAAAATCCAACTGTATTAACAGTCTGAGATATCATCTTCTCTCAGCTAGATGAGCTCATTTATCCCAGCTGGATGACCTTTACAGTCTTAAATTCTCTCTTCTACCAGATTTGGCCCCTACAAGCTATTCTCTACAGAGTTGCCTGAGTGATTTTTCTGAAATTCAATTTGATGATTTAATTATGTAAATCTTTTTTTTTAAATTTCAGTTGGTTTCAGGGACTCAAAAATATTTGAGAACCTGGCCTCTATCTAAAACTCCAACTTCATCTCTTCATTCTTCACCTAGTCATGATTATTTTCTCTATATCCTCTCACATTCAAGCCTTTATGTTTTCTGTTCTCTCTGCAAACTTTGTTAATCAAAGATTAATGAGTTCAGTGGGGGCAAAAATATAACGATTTTCTAAGAAAAAAGTCTGCTGATTGGGGAGGCACAGAATTCAGTAAGGTGAAAGTACATTCTCTGTAGAAAAAAAAGTGAAGATCTGGCTTAAAAGGGGAAAGTTCTTACTCAGGTTCTCAATCAAGTCCGTTTATGCAAATCAAAGATTCAAACTTGTTTGGTTCTGATTGGTCAAAATAGGCAAGCCCTGTTTGGATGGTTTACAAGCCCCAAACCAGAGGTCTCTGTCAGATGTTTCTTTCAAATAACCAGTGGGGTAGGCGGGTGTTGGCCACAGTTTATCTCAGCACCCACAACAGGAACTGGTTTGGCTTGATTGTAGAAAGGAAGGTCTTGTAACACTTTTACAACATCTTTCTGATAACATACAGTATGTGACTCCTCCCTCACCCAGCTATGGCTGCCTGGTTTGCCTTAACTTTAATCATCTTAGGTAACTACGGGGAGTCCATTCTCTCTGTCAGCCAGGGGCATAATTTAACACCTTGCACCCATCTCACTATGAAATCTCTTTGGTTGCCAAGCCCTTTCACTCATCTATTATTTATTCTCTATGGCTTTTTGGCTGCCTACTATACATCAGTTATATATTATACTGAGTGCTAGGACATGCTAAGTGAATAAACATCTCTTAAGTTATATATTTATACTAGCATGTATTTCAGGTGTCAGTTTAAAACTTCAAATTACTTGAAGACTAGATGAGTTACCATTATTATGTTTTCTCATAACAATGTATACTTTTTCTATCATAACCTTTACTATTTTATGTATAATTTTTTCATGTTTTCCATACAAATTAGAAACTAACTTTGCAAGGGTAGAAAACCAAAACTGTCTTGTTTATGACTGTATATATGACATCTGGCATATTCTAGCACATAGTTAGCATGGGGAGAACATTTTTAAGTGAAATGAAAAGATATATGGATGCAGTTGAAGAAATTATGTCAAGATACATTTAAAAGTGATCTGCCCATGACATAGCACTTGTCATTGCCAACAGTCCTCGAAAACAGTGACAATGTATTATGTAAAGTTAGTAACAAAATGGAAGCAAAAACTTAACAAAATGTAAAGGAATTTTCTGTGCATGAGTTTTTGTTTCTTTTTAAAGCAGAATGACAAGTTAAAAAACAAATGTACATGTTTCACATATTCATAGAATATAAAAATCATATCTAGGCTTCATAAATAATGTATTTATAGATTTAAATATACTATGAAATGAATATAACAAATAATGGAAACAAATTAAATTTTTGAGAAAATTATATGTACATGTGAAATGTTCATGTTTTGGTAAATGCAATTTCTATTATGAAAACTGACTTGAGAATAGATTTGGTGAGAGAAAAGAAAAAACTGTCTTAAAAACTCATTCAAAGAGGTTCTCTATATATGTACCTTTCATTTTAAGTAAATTTTCATTTTCACATTGTCTGTTATCTGTCTCTGTTTTGGCTCCATTCAGAGTATTAGGTATTAAACCAGATTTACTAAAGTCATGTTTTCAGTATATACTTCCCAATAATTTATATCATACATTCTGGAAATACAAGGGGGAGGCCTGGTGATATAGGTGATATATACTCTCTTAAATCTATGCAGCAGCACACTAAAACCTGATATGATTGTGCTCTTCCAGAACAAATTGGAAAAGCACAGGAGAAACAGAGTGGAAAGAGGGACACAATAATTTATTCCTGGATAATAATACAACATCAAGGCAGGGCACCATTGTTACTGCACAATGTATGTGATTCAATTTAAAACTCAAATACTCAACTTATAGATTGGCAAACATAAGTTCAGTATATAAATATTTTTGATTTAGGCAAATCATGCATTGATTTTTTTGCTCTTAAAAATATTTTTCTACTTTAGATAATCTTGCATTACAAAAGTGAATCTCATATCATAATTTCACTATTTTTAAAAAAATTTCCTTGCTGCCTAAGAGTACTTTTTTCAGGTATTTAAAATATTATTAGTTTCCAATATGCTATATTCTATTACAATATATCCTATTTCTTAATGTTGGTATCAAGGGACAACTCTAGTCATAGGAAAACCAAAATTTTTATATTAAAAAAGCCATAGTAAATTTGACCAGCAAATTCACTTTGGAAGATAGTTAGATAGATAAATAAAGTATTTTACTCTAGTGAACACAGCCCTTTTTATGGGAAAATACAGAAAGACTCACATTTTTCAGTTTCTCTGTTTCTCCCTCCCACTTCCCCCCACTCACCACCACCATCACTCATCTCCCATATACACCCACTTCATTCAAGAAATGAAAGATGAGCATGAGAAATGTCAGCCACAATTACTCCAGTCTTCCTCTTTTGATATTTTGATTTTTTCATTCCTCAACTGCTAAGGGGACACAATTTGAACTTAAAAACCTTTTTCTAGCAACTGAGCTTTGATTATGCAAGGACATGCTAGTGTTACTTCAATCTTTCCTCTATCTCAGATTGATGATAATAATGGGAAAATCAGACTATCATACCCTCAAACACATTATGATTAAAAGAGTGCTAATCTCTTTTCAGGTCTGCCCACTGTTGATAATAAATATTAATATGACTGATATAAGGCACAATACAGTGGCCAGTAATCAAACTGCTGATATGAGAGTCCTATGAGAAATAAATGGAAGAATAAAAAGTTATGCCAGTGTAGACAAGTCATAAGTGTCTGGGGTGAAAGATCCTTAGCACAAGCTTATATTCTTTCAAGTGCTGATGGGAGCAGACTCCTAGTTAATGAGCCAAGGAAAAGTGGAAGAAAACTCCCCATCCCAATTAAGTCAGAGTGTATGATATGTGCTCACTTCCATTCTCCCTGCACTGGCATTTCACCCACACCAATGTGGCCCTTTGCTTTTCCATAATATCATGGCAACTCAACACCTACAAAAAATCCAGATGTTACTTTGCAAAAACATTTTTGCTATCAACAGAAATCAGAATCTTTGTCCTAGTTATATTTCATTGAAACTATTTTTATACAGGACCTTTTTGTCTTAGGTTCTATTTACCTTTTACGTAGAGAAACAGCTGAATTAAAGGAAAAGTCTATCTGTCATGCAAAATCTATATCATATAAAACCTAAATTCTAAAGAACCATGGGAAATGTGTGACATGAAATGATTTCAAATATAGTAATTAGTAATTTTGAATATGTCTCTCATTAAATCACTTATTTACAATAAACTCTGAAATCTTGCAAATACAGTTATTTCTTTTTGACTCTCACACTTGGAAGATGGGTTGGAAAATTAGTTTTGAAGATGTATTGTGGTGACAAAACGAAGCCATTTATCCACTTTTCAAAAAGTTTCCAGTTTTTCTATTTGTTTTAGTCATTTAAAAATAATACTAGAACACACCCCATTATATACAGCAAAATATTTCTATGATTCCATGAAATATGGGCAGTTAATCACGTGTACTAGTACTACTACAAAACCAAATGTGATTCCTTTGACCCCTTGGTGATGTAGTTGGATTAAAGAGGAAATAGCTCTATTAGTAATTTCCCAAACAATGTTGTTTAATAAAGAGCCCCAATATTTCACTGACTTTGTGACCGCAAGTGGTTACTTTCCTAACTGTTGTGTTTTCTGGGTGGCTTAGCCTCAAGCTACATGTTAGGTTCAAGTCTTCTCTATGTGTCTTTTACTGGTTCCTGGAAAAATGTTTCATGAAGTAGTAATATTGATAATATTTATTCTGAATCTTAAAGGATAAGTGTTATGTTAAGTGTAATAGCCAGCCAAAGAAAAAGAATACTTTGTGCTCACTTTTATATGTGGAATTTTTTTTAAGAAAAACAAAAGTAGAATACATAGAAACAGAGAATAAAATGCTAGTTGCTAGAGGTGGGAAAGGGAGGTGGAATAGGGAGATGTAGATTAAAGTGTACAAAGTCTCAGTTTTATGTAGGAGGAAAAAAATCTAGATATCTAAAATATAGCACGAGAACCATCGTTAATCGTATTGTATTGTGTCCAGGATATTTTCTAACAGAGCAAGTTTAGGCGTTGTTACCACATGCACACAAAAAGTACCTATGTGAGATGATGATTATGTTAAGTTGCTTACCTGTAATCGTCATTTAACCATGTATCAATACATAAAAACATCATGTTGTATACTGTAAATGTATACAATAAAAAAGAATTAGAGTGATAATATTTTGGAGAGAACAATTATATTCAAATCTATAAGGATATGAACTATCTCATATTCCAAAAATTATTTTCTTTAACTTTTAACAGTAATTTAAATTTTAAATTATGTATTAATTTTGTTCATTCAATCAGTCAAAGAAGATTGACAACTATGTGCCAGACGACGTGTTGAAGATATGAACAAAATGGAGAGAAGTAAATAGACATGGTCCCTATTCTCTCAGAAAAATGAGAGAAATAATCAAATAATCATATCAGTAAACATCCAATAACAGACTCAGATAAGGGCTCTGAAGGAAATTATCAGAGCTCTCTGAGAATGTCTAAGAGGCAGCCTGATGCACAGTGGGGCAGTAGACACAGCTCCCCCCAGAGAAGTGATGCTTCAGGCAAGGACATGTTAACTAGAGGGGAGGGAGAATTTTAAGCAGATATGGAAATGTGGTAAAAACCACATGACTTAGAAATGATTGGATATGGCACGGAGGAGTAAAGAAGAGGAAGATTTTCTGGCTTACACTGTTTGATGTCTTATTCTTTTTCTTTCTTTCTTTTCAGTGGTATATCTTATGATCTCTCAATTTGTCAACAAAAAATGAAGAGATTAGACAAATCGTCCTCCACATAAAGCATTTTTGCCCTCATTTTGTAATTTCCTGTCTTTATTTCATTAACAATTTATTATTGAGGATAGTAGAATATAGAATTCTGATTTATTTCAGGGGTTGAAAGAGGCAAATATTACTTACAGCTTTGTTTTTTCTTCTCCATAAGCGACATACTGTGAATGTCATTTGTGTCTGAAAAGGTGTATATTTATTTTGGGGTGTTTACAGGTGATAGTACTTTTTATTTAAGTTTGTATCCTGTGTATTTTCTTTATTACATTTTTTACATACAATTTAATAAATGAATAAAGATTATTCTACAAAATAGACAACCAAACAAGTGATCAAATGATGAGCTATAGTGTCCTTATAAATAAGTTATTCCACAATAAAATGAAATTTCTTAAAAATATATTTTCTTTGTATTCTGGATTAGAAAATAAGAAATATTTCTAGGTAATGGTATGAGTCTGCACATGTGTCTGTGTAACAACAGGGCTTCTCAGCTATGTATCTGTCTTAACATATGTGACAATTGACATGCCTATTAATAAAAATTATATAACCATATACATTCATGGCTATACCATGACCCACATTCATGGGCTATACCTATGGTTAATATAGCACATATTTGAGTGGGTAAATATTTTTCATGGGTAAATAGTATTATGCATAGATAATGTTGATTCCAAATGCTTTTTTATGTCAATTGTTAAAGCCACTGGTCAGATATATTAAATTGCATCTTTTTCCTTCTAAATCTCTCTAAGTAACTGATTTTTCTAATGTCTAATCTTAACACATACTGTGACGTGGAGGCATTGGGAAGCTTATCCAAACTTAAGCAGAACTTCAGTGAAAGTGTTAAAGAAAATAATCTTGAGTAATACAAGCCTCAAATTTTGTGTTTAAAAAATTACTAAAGATTTGTTCAGAGCTCACTTTGTTTCTAGTCCAGGTTCCTTAAAAATCGCAGACCCAGAATTTCAGAAAAGTGTAGAAAGTCTTGTAAGTCTAACTCCTTTCCACTCTAATGAGTCCTGAGAGTGAGAAGGAAAATTGCAAATTTACCTAGGTAACAAACCTTCACATGTACCCCCAAACCTAAAATGAAAGTTTAAAAAATTGCAAAGGCACTAGAAAAACAGAATAGCATGGAGCCTTTGGTATCAGAAAAACCTGCATTCAAGTTCCAGCTCTCCCATCTACAAGCCTTGACACTGAGCAAGTGTCTTAAAGTGACTTTGTGTGAATTTCACAACTTTTAAATTGGATTTGTATTGTCATACAAAATGTAATGTATGTAAATCATTTAACATGGTGTCTGAGATCTGGCGCATATTCAGTAATGGTAACTAATATAATAGTAATAATGTAACATCAATGTCCCGATATTGTCTAGAGTAGGACTGCTTAATCTTCAACCTTAATCCTTAGTAAGGTTAATATTTCTGGCTAATATTTATGTAAAATTAATACATACATTTTACTTGATGGTACAAAGGTGTTTCAAATGCAGATTGTCAAAGATTTTCATATGATATATTTGCAGTCACGGCTAAACATCAACTGCTTGATGTTGGCAGCCTGGCAAATGGAAACTGTGCCTCCAGCCTTACGGGAGTCTTCTGGCTCTCCTGCACTCTGCAATGCTTGCCTGGGCAGGGACACGCTGTTGCCAGCGGAAACTCTGGGCTTTCTGGCATGGCAGATGCTCAACTATTGCTGCAACAGAGCTCAAGGCTGTGTCTCCCAAAGCCCCATAAATTGGGAGAGTCTTGCCAAGAGCTTCAGCATTATATGGCAGGCAGCAAGCCCTAACTATCAAGGGACTTTAAGGGGCTATGTGCTGAAAGTTGGCAGGCAGCCACTTACAGAGATTTTTGAGACCTGATTGTTGTTATTATTCTGGAATTAAAGAAATACTCACATACTCACAGTGTGAAAACCATTTTATAAGCCATGCTCCTTTTCAAAATATGCTTTGTCACATGGGTTTAATGATAGAAATATCTGAGGTCTAAAAATAGTTTGGTTTTTACAAAGAGAAAAAAAAAACTAGTTCAGTTCTCCTGAAATTCAGCTTTCTTTGAGAAAGAAAGAGGACTAAGAATAGAGGCAAAAATATAACTATCTATAAAAATAGCAGAGAAATAGTGACACATTATCGTGGACTGAATCAGAGTTATATGCCATACTTTTGGCTTCATGTTCTTTTTAAAACAGCATTCTTCTCCATTCTTATTAAGTTTGGATTCTTCCCAAGAGTTCCTTTGTGGCTAATTTAATACCTGTGAACTCATGGTGATGCGAAGTATAAATTCATTGCTTACTGGATGGGTAATTTTATTTTACTTGAAAGTTATTGCAATAATTAATAAAATTTTATAAAAGCTTATATTAGTTTAAATCACTATTCATTTTTTCCATCAATTAATTAGAGAATAATTTATGACATTAAAAATAACTTTCTCATATACTAAAAAGCTAGGTTGGAAACATAACTGTTTAACCATATCAAAAGAACTTAAAAATCATGTCTTTGAAAGCACTGAGTTAAAAAAAAAATTGTGAAGTCAAGTTAAAGCCTAATGCCTTCTTCAATTTGTTCTTTTCACCTTTCACCTTGTTTTACCTTGTCAATTGTATTTTATGAAGCATTTTTAGGATGGGGTTGCAAAAATTAACCTATTAGTTGTTTAGACTGCGAGACATGACTATATAGCAGTATATATTGAATTATGCAGACCAAATGTTTTCTTTTCACTCTAATCATTTTACATATGTAATATTTTGTACAGAGTGGAAATCAACAAGATAGAACCTGGTTATTAAACACACTGGAGAAAGCTAAATGCTATAGACATTGAAAATGCAAGTTATTCCAAATTATAGAATTTTTAGCATGCTTAAGATATTTAAAAATATGATTTTATTCAAAGAAACAGGAGTTAATAGAACATATCTAATGCATATTTAATTTGTTGAAGTCTTTAACTGAGGGTTATATTCTATAAGTTAAAAGTTCTACTTTAAAAATAAAATATGCTAAGTATTTAAGCATCAGGTACCATAGCACAAGATTTTCTTGAATTGAAGGCACATACCTCTATGCATCTGGAATTCAAGTACTTTCGATCAGAGCTTTCTTTACTTGTAACAAAATGAGGGAAATCATATGGATGTTATTCACAATCAATATTTATCTTGTTTTTACTATGTGCAGATATTCTTTTTGGTTAAGCCTAATACAAGTATCATCTAAACTAAAATTATGAGATTATATTAAGAATCCTAAACTCAACTACCTAGAAAGGTCATACAAGTAACATAAATGATTGAAACAGGACTAATGTAAAGAAAAAGAGCATGTTAGAGACTTGTGTAAAAAAAATATGTTCATCTAAAGGCATTCAAACATACTGTGTGGATTAAGGCAAATATACTTCAAAACCTAAGCTAGGTATAAATGAAAGAGCTTCTTTTTAACATTCAAAGAGGAAATTATAAAGTTATTAAATTTCTCATTAGGAAATAAAATCATTCACAAAAAAGCATTTGTGAAACATGCAATCAAACTTAAAGGTAAAGAACAAATAGATTCCATCATTCTATATGTATTTACTCCAAATACATTTTGAGTGATTTCTCTGTGCTGGACATTGTGCTAGACAAACAGAAGGAAATGGTTCATAACTTTTTAAAGCTAACAGTTAATAAACACAGATGTAAAAGAGTACATAGCATCCTTAAAGTAGTTCCAAAAACTCTTTACTATATCCATGAGGGTCCACTGTGCTTCCCTACGTCAGTGGTTTTCACTTGGAAACTACTTCAAGAGAAGTCTGGAAATATGTTATTGGAATGGAGTGATAGTTGTGGCATTTATTAAGTCAGGACTAGAGAATCGAAACATTCCACAATGTGCTGGTGAATTACACACAGTGAAGAATTTTCCACTCCAAAATGCTAGCAGTTTCTTGTTTGAGAATCATTGCTCTAGACCTTGTTATCTCTAATAGGAGCACTATATCCAAAATTTGTATTACAATTATCCCACTCTTTGATCACAGCATCTTATTTTTTTAGATCATTTTAGTGTCCCTAATGCATCTGATCTTTGACCTCATTATGTTTCATTTCAACCTCATAATCCTTCCCCTACATGTACACTGCATTTCCTTACTCCTCTATTCCTCAATGCACTCTGCAGGCAAAAGACAATTTTGATTTAACGAGATTTCTCTCTGATTCCCTTCCCAAACTCTTGCTCTTAAATATGATGTAAGATATGAGAACGTGCAAGTAAAATGACCTTTCCCACTTTATTATTTTATCCTCATAAATCTCAAATTATTCTGCAGTACTGGGTGGCAATACTAGTAGAATTATCTAAGAAATACTCTGACTAAACAAAACATGTTTTGCCTATTTTCTTATGTTATTAAGCTTTCAATAGCCCAGTCTCCTTGTTTCTCTCAAAAGATGATTATGTTTAATAAATTATCTCAGCAAAAATAGGTCCTTAGAAGAGATCTTTATCTTTTTACTGACGAGTATATATTTATGTCTTTTCTTATGTCAACTTTTTTCTCTTTGAAAATTAATCAATGGTCTTTTCTCTTTCCAAGTATACTTTATTTATATCCTGAGTCTGACTCCTATTAGTTGAAATAGGAAGTTCTTCGTTCACCTAATGTTCACCTTCTTTAATCTGCTAATATTCCACTGTGCTGAATAATTTCCATTAATATACACACACAATGCAAGTGCTCTCCCTAGCTACTATCTCATTTCTCTGCAGTTCTTCATTGCAAAACTTCTTAAAGGAATATATAATACTTACTACCTTCTCAGTCTTACCTCCCATTTTCTCTTGATTGCATTCCAATTAGGCATTTTTCCCAGTATTCTTCTAAAATCACTCTTTGCAAGGTCACCAATATTGAGTTTGCCAAATTCAGAGATTCCTCGTCTTCATCTTAAATTTTCAGCAACATCTGTCATATCTCTCTTCTTAAAGCATGTCTCTTACTTGTCTTCCAGCATACCACAATCTTGGTTTTTCTCTTATCACACCAATCAGTCCTTCTAGGTTGCCTTTTCAGCTTTTACTTTCTTCCATACTTTAAATATTTGAGTGATGCAGGACTGTCTTTCGTCCTCCTCTCTTGTCTGTCTAAACACTCTTTCTGGTTATTTGCATCCGGCCTCGTTGTTTAAGATAGTATCTATATGCTGGTGACTCCCAAATGAGAAATTTCAGGTCGGAAGTCTCCCCTGAGCTCCAGACATAAATATCCCAATTCCTACTCAAGGTCTCATCTCGTATGTCAATTAGGCAACTCAAATTTAATAGTAAATCAAAAAGTTATGGCTTTCCCTTTAATTTCATCTCTAGAACTTGTTTCTATTTCAACCTACTCATTTTAGTTAATAGTTTTACCATTTACTCAATTGCTCAGTACAAAATTTAGAAATTTCCCTTGAGTTCTCTCTCTCTTCATGTCTATATTCAATTCACCAGAAAACTGCCAACTTTCCTTTAAAACATATCTCTATTATGAACACAATGTGCCATTTTCATCCAAATGTTCTTGGTTAAAAAATCTTCTGTTTTTTTTACCTAGAGTATTTTATCTTGTTGCCTTATAATTGATACTTTGTACAAAAGCCAGATCATTAAATATATTATAAAATGAAAACCTTCCATTAGCTTCGCATCGCATCTACAATTAAACTTAAACTCCTTGTCCCCTATATGCTTTGGCTGCTACCTGTGTGCCTGGACCCACCTCCTTCTGTTCTCACTCTTGGTTTCTGTTCTCCAATCCTCGTGGTTTTACTATTATTCTATAAAATAACATTCTTATCCCAAGCCTTTTAGTCCTGCTTTCCCTCTATCTGTAATTCTTGCCTCTCCCATCCCTCATTCAGATTTTAAGTTTCTCACACACATATTATTGAAATCTATGCTGGGAAGTTATCATTTAAAATGTCCATTAACTGTCCTCTCTAGCTAACATGTTCCTTGCCATAGAACGCTTTCTATTTAATTATCTCCTACTATTTAACACTACTTGAAGTTATCTTAATCTTTTTTTTTTACTTTACCAGTTATCTTCACTTTTTTTAAAGATCCATGATATAATAGCAAAATTCCTGTCTTCTGTGCCAATAATATCTCTCAAGCGTTATTAACATCACCTGAAATGAACGAATGAAGGGCTGTAAACTAACATAATGGATTGGTTTGTAAAATCAGTTTCATATAAATCAGAGACCTTGGCCATTATCAAGCTTAATACTTTCAAGGACATAAGCCATCAGAGAGGCAAACATTGAGGGCAGCCCCACGAATTCTCCATACCTGCAGTGGACATGTACTCTCTGGCTTACTGGGGACAAAGTCACTACTTTACATAAATTACTAACTTACATCATGAGGAGGAGTTAGTTTTAGAAAACTCTTCATTTTATAGTAGAGTTTATAGAAACTTTTCAAGGGAACATGCTATGAGGGAATATCCCAGATTTGGGGTTTTAGTTACTACAAGCAATGTTTAAACAGGGACATCTTGTTAAGAACATTTAATAGATTTCTCCTCTTTATAAAAATTATTTAACCATTGATGTGGAGGTTCGGTAATCATGTTGACAAGATTATTAGACTGCTTTGTCTGCCTTCTTTACTTTCCACTGGCAATAAATAATCACAGAAGTGTATTACACTCCAGCTGCTTTAACTTCCTCCTCAGAAAGCATGGCTAAATCTTAGAAGATGAAAGTTTGATTGGAGGGAATTGGTCAAGAAAGGTAAATAATTACCAGATAATGAAGGGCCTTGTACAGCAATCTAATTTTTATCCAACCTGAAAGGTTTTGAACTAGTGAATTATTTAATCCATTTAGGATTTTAAGAAAGATCTCTCTTAGAGCCTCCTAGTCTACTAATATCTCAACCTTTAGTGTCATCCCTCCGTGCTACGTTACCAAGGTCTCCAGAATATTATTAAATAAAATTAGGGTCCATAGGCATTCTTGTCTCTATCACAATCTCAGGTGAAAAATCACAGAGCAGGATGTTTGTTATTCTATCTATGCTTCTAGAAGCTTTTGCTTGTTTTATCATGAGTGAGTATTGAATATTAGGAAATGAATTTTCTGTATTCAGTAAGATAATCACATAATTTTTCACTTTAATTCTGTGAATGCAAAGAATTAGATTGATTGATTTTTCAAATAATACACTAATACTGTTTTTCAGGGATAAATCTAACTACATTTGAGGCATCTGGCATCTTCCATTTTCTATATTGTTGAATTTAAATGACTATTATTTTTCTTTTCTTTTTTTTTTTTTTTGAAACAGTCTCACTTTGTCACCCAGGCTGGAGTGCAGTGGCTCCATCTCTGCTCACTGCAAGCTCCACCTCCTGGGTTCACATCATTCTCCTGCCTCAGCCTCCCAAGTAGCTGGGACTACAGGTGCCCACCACCACTCCTGGCTAATTTTTTTGTATTTTCAGTAGAGACGGGGTTTCATCGTGTTAGACAGGATGGTCTCGATCTCCCAACCTGGTGATCCGCCCTCCTCGGCCTCCCAAAGTGCTGGGATTACAGGCATGAGCCACCGTGCCTGGCCTTATCAAGAGTGTTTTATGTGTCTGTGTCTATATGTGTGTGCATGTGTATGTGTACTTTTGTCCATAAATTCTATAGCTTTTCTGTTCTTTAGTTCCTATCTTTTTCTTCCTTATCGAGTTGGGTAACTTTTACAGACACACGTTCTAGTCACCAAACATCTTTTTTCCTTTGTCTATTTTGTTACAAAGCCAATATGTAGAGCAATGAGATTCAGTATTTTATTTTCCCAATTCTCTTATATAATATTTCACCTTGTTTTATATTTTATTGAATATATTCAATGTTTTTGTTTCAATTCTCCTACTGTATAATGTACATATCTATATTTTCTATGGATCTGTTTTAAATATTTGGCCTTTTTTCCCATTTTAAAGGTATTTTCATCTCCCTCCTCTCCTGTGTGGTAATTGTGTTTGGATGCTGGACACTGTATTCAAAATATTGAAGTTTCTGGATTATGTTATTAAGTTACAGACATAAATTAATTTTCTTCAGTGAAAAATGAAGAACACAGACAGATCCACTTGATTCTTATTACCCAGTTTCTTATACTGTCAAGCTTTAGCAACACTTTCAAGGATACAGTCAACCAAGAGGCTCAGTGAAACTGAGAGGTCTGGGATATTGATAATGACTCCCTAGTATTCTTCATCCCTGTATTGGACTTGTGCACTCTATTTAATTAATGTTTAAAAAGTTAGTATCTTTTTTAAATGAATTTTATTAAGCCTGTACATGGAAAAGTTCTTCTCATGAATAATAATTATATTGTTACACTTAACACAACTATAATTTAATAAAAATAAAGTTTTATAAACATTTATCTTTTTCCACTAGACTCTTATCTTTTGTGACATGCAAGAATCATTTTCTCCTTAAAAGAGAGTTCTACATCTTAGATTAACTTTACTTGTAAAACCTATGTGTAAGTAGAATATTCAATATATTAGCATTTAGAATATATCTATATCTATCTATCTATGTATCTATCTAACTATATATATATCTCCAACTACTGCTCCTTATGTCAGCACCAGTTAAGACTTCCCAGTACTAGATATTACCTTGAAGAGAGAGAAGATGGACAGACATTGGCAGTAAAAATGCTCCTGAATAGAAATTTCTCTAGTGAGCAGAAGGCCAAGGATATAAAAAAGAGTATTTAAATGCATGTTGTCTTCACAAAGCTAAAATGTGGGCAGACAGCTTATTGCTGTTTTAATGGCACCTCACAGAGATGAAATTAACATTTGATTTACATGAGTGTCCTTGGGCAGAAGCAACTGTGACTACTCATATCCACTGATAGGAGCTGAATTAGTTTTAACTTCTCAAAGAAATAATCTAGAAGTCATAATGAAAAGCTAAATGCAGATGTCCACTTAATACATAGTGGTACTTCAAGCAGTAACAAAGAGATTGCAGCATAATAGTATTTTATACTCATTAAGTAGCTATCCTTTAAGGAGTCAAAGGAATTTATACCATTTTCAAATGAGATAAACTAGTCACAAAATGTGACTTTATCATTCTGAAAGTAATCTATGACTTGAGACTCAAGAGACTATATAGTTAGAAAACTCTAGGACCACAAACTCAAATGCCTTCAGGAGTCACTGAAGTTTTAAATATGAAATAGCCAATCTGACATTTTAAGATGGGATAAGAACTGTGATTAACTGGAAAGTACAAGTCTTGCCTAAAAGCAATGAAATTTATTATTTTAAATATTTTTCTGGTGAAATAAAATATGCATGCAAATAATGGATCCAAGGGCTACAGATTTTTGATTTTTGATTCTAGTTCAACCCCTTGACTTTAATGTATGAGTCACACAAATTTTAAATAGGCAGATGACTTGCCCAAGGTCACATAACAGTTTACTAGAAGGAGTGAGAATAGTTCTTATTCTGATGATATTATTAAACTATTAATAATGGTTATTATTATAGTTATGTAATGTATACATACATTACAAACTCCTTAGTCCAAAATGGTTATGAATTCCTAGTTTGCATGATTCTAATTAAAACCTATAATATATATGGAAATTATCATCCAAGTTTTGTAAATAGAAACACCAATGCACTAAAATTAAGTGAATTACTGGTACATCCCAGAATACAAAATAACAGTTAATTGAGCACCAAGTTTCACGTGCATTATACCATCAATAGTTGCAAAGCTTTTTGATATAAATCATGAGTGTAATAAATTGAATAATGTCCCTCAAAATTTCATGTCCAGGTAAGATCTCAGGATGTGATCCTATTTGGAAATAAAATCCAGTATTTGCAGATGTAATTGATTCTGGCCCAATTGTTCTATAGAAATGATGTTCATGGTTTCTTTTGAATAAACACAGAAATTAACCCAGTCTTAAAACTTGAAAAAGTTACAATTATCTTACCTAAGTTCCTTTCTCAGGAAACTAACTATCAAGCCTTCCAGACAGTATCAAGGAACTGAAACTTACCAGATCACCACATCTGGTCGAGGAGATGCTAGACCCCTCACGCATTATGATTGTCTAGCCGAACACCTGCCTCCTGACGACCAACTCCTCTTCCCTCGTTCTTGTTTTCCAACGCATGGGTACATTTCTTCCCTACTATACAAACCCTTAATTTTAGTCCATCAGGGAGACTGGTTTCAGACAGATCTCCCATCTCTTCCACTGCAGCACCTTATTAAAGCCTTCCTCCCTGGCAATACTCATTGTGTCATTGATTGGCTTTCAGGGTGATGAGCAATAGAACCTAGATCAAACCCCTGGTGTTTCAGCAACATAATCAGTTAAAATGAAGCCACACTGGATAAGAATGGGCCATAAATCCACGGACTAGTGTCCTTTTAGGAAGACGATACACACATAGAGACAGTTAGAAAGAAGGTCATGTGACAATGGAGGCAGAGATGGGTGTGATGCAGATACAAATCAACAAATGCCAAGGATTGCTTGTAACCATAAGAAGCTAGGAGAGAGTCATGGAACAGATTCTCTTTCAGAGCCTCCAGAGCCAACTTGCTAACATCTTGATTCCAGACTTCTGACTTCCTGAACTAAAATAGGAAAAAAATAATGATAAAATCCTGAACCACTTCGTGGTACTTTGTCACAGCAGCCCAAAAAAACTAATACACTGAGGCAAATCACATTTTGACTTTACTAATACAAATATTCAATAAAATGTTATAGCAATATCCTTACCTAATTTATGAATATATGTCATAATGAAAGTGCAATACAGACCCAAAGGCTACTAATTCATTTTTTTACCATATCAATTGTTTTGTCTCCATGTTTACAGGGACATGTTTCCATTTATTTCAAAGCTATCTTCCTTAGTTTCAAGGTTGTTAGTTTCAATACTTTTTAGCAGGAATATTGTTCACTAAAATGAAATAGAAATATTTGAGTTTTAAATATCTTAAAAATTCAAATAACCTAAATTTTCGTCCTTGTTCCACTCCTATATAGACATTAATAAGCCAGCAAAAGTAAAACTACATTATTCTAGATTTTCGAACCTTCAGGAGTTCGTCTATAGGAGGATAAAAGTCTTAATGTGAGTGACAGCTATTACTGAGTCTCCGTCAAGGCAAATGACAGGGTCTTTGATTTTTGAAACTCAGGTATCCAGGTCCTAGATGAGTTGGCATTATTGCTATGTGCGTTTTACCTGAAAATGGTGATGCCTGAATGAAGAAATGGAAGTCATCCAAGGAAGGACAATAGGTATAAAATATATATAACAACATTTTCAGTGGAAGAGAAAAAATAAATAACTAAACACTTACGATGGTGATTGTATGTTGAAATTGAACATAATGAGAGAGGCTTGGCAGATATTCTTATTTAATGTTTCAGTTAAAAAGGGAAATAATATTATTTGTATTTGATTATAACAATTTTAAAAGATATAAAATAAAATAAATATTAAATGATTACTTATAGTTAGTAGACAAAATAGACCCATTCGATTTTCAAAATCTATACACAACTATATTTGTAAGACCACCTATATTGAAAATGTGTTGATTACCACCTATGCAATAAAATCATAGTCACACATTTATTAATTTTCAATCTAAATACGTGTAAAAACAATTGATTTGTTTGAAGAGAAACAATTTGAAAAATCAGATACGTTTTACATCGGTAATCAGGAATTGCTGTAATAGATGCAAAGCATCTAGTTTTCTGATGTTTATAATTTCAGGAATTCATTGAGAGTGGGCTCAATTTTATATATAAAATTTGTGTTGATATTATTAATACTTCAAATATGGAAAAATTTCAAATCAGAAATAGATCCAAATGTGATTTGCAACTCACTTAGAAGTATCAAGATTATTGATGATATCCAATTAACCCATAATGTAGCTACAACATAGAACACATGGTGGTGTAAAAATTACTATAATATCACTTCCTTGAGTGAATCACTTGGGCTTTTTAGTTATTAAACTTGTCCTTTGCCCAAGCTAGTCTCCATGGTAGATATTGCCCCTGGGGAGACTTACTTCCCCATTTCTACCCATGTTAACTCTCTTTACGTCTCCTGTTGTGGGCAGGGTCTGAGAAAACCTGGAATTGGGGTAGTATCACAGTAGGTTATTTGGGGATTTGCTTAATATTAATAATACAGGTGGCCTTTATAAAGCACACACATGCATAAGAAAATCTTCTGAACATTTTACCTTCATAAAGTCATTCAATTTTCAAACCTTAAAAGGTACAATATTAGAATTGTTTTAAGATAATGTAACATAGTATAATAAATTTTTCAGGGAACAAAATAATATATATAAAAGTGTATAAAGGGTTGGAAAGATTCAGGAACTGATGAGAAAAAAAAGCTATGACCAAGAGGTCAAGAAGTGGCAGTAGCACACACAAACTTTATTGAGTGAGGGAGGCGTGAACAAGTTTATATGTAGGGCAATGGAGGAATCCCTCACAGCAGGAGGCTGTCTAGGGTCTACAGAGCAGAGTTGCTACTCATAAGGGGAGGAAGGCAAGCAGGGAAAGTCCAAGGGAAAAGGATGCTGGAGAGGCGCTTTACCTGTCTAGATGCTGTCTCTCAGTAGCACTGTGGAGACTGTGTTAGAGAACCACAAAGGGCAGCAGCAGCAGTGTCTTGGTGTCCTCTACAAGGCTTATTTGAGGTATGGCTGGCAAATGTTGGTTTTAGAAGCATGCAAAGCAGGCAGGCTCTAACGGCTAAAAGGGGCTATTTTGAAAATAATTGAATAAGTAAAAATTTGAATTTAGTGTTGTTGGGCTTTTGAGATAACTGATTTTAGCCTATAGTAAATAAATAAGCAAATTAGATGTCAATACACAGAGACCATCTTTTTGAATCATTTACATAATAGTGTTGTAATGTTAGTTATTTGTATTATAAATCTCTCAAAATTACATCTATTGAGTATCTATGGGATACATATTATGGAAGAAATTTAGGGATGTACAGTAATTATTATATTGTTCTTACAATCAATGAGATTATGCCTTGATGGAAGTGTTTGCATATACCCAAATTGACCTCAAATAACTTTCCAAATGGAGTCTTCAACAGTAAGTTGAAGTCCAATATTGACAAAGCATTAACCTTCTAGTGTTATTTTAGCATTGGCCTAATGTTAGCACTTTCTATAAGACAAATTTCAGTTACTACATCATACCTCATTACTAGCTGTTGCTTGAAGTCAACATGTTAGTTTATCTATTTCAACCTTGTCCAGTAAATTATATGCAAGTTCAGAAATAAAAAAAAAGTATATACTATACAATCTCTGAGATCTCGTTCAGCTTTAAAACTCTATGGGCCAGGCACGGTGGCTCACGCCTGTAATCCCAGCACTTTGGGAGGCCGAGGCAGGCGGATCATGAGGTCAGGAGATGAGACCATCCTCGCTAACACGGTGAAACCCCCGTCTCTACTAAAACTACAAAAAATTAGCTGGGTGTGGTGGCGGGCGCCTGTAGTCCCAGCTACTCGGGAGACTGAGGCAGGAGAATTGCTTGAACCCGGGAGGTGGAGGTTGCAGTGAGCCGAGATTGCACCACTGCACTCCATGCACTCCAGCCTGGGCGACAGAGTGAGACTCTGTCTCAAAAAAAAAAAAAAAAAAAAAAAAAAACCTCTATGGCCATGTATGAACAATCTTCTGTGTTTTATAGAAATCTCTAAGCTGTTTTTTTAACCCAGTGAACTATTTTACTTGAGCTAATGCCATAAAATTCACTTTAATATTGTAATAGCATAGGTGTGGTTCATTGCAATTATGTCTATGAAATTATTGTTTGGGGATCAAATAAAAAATCAATCTATTTGTTAATAGGATTACAGCATTCTGTTCAAATTATTTCTGTTGAACCAAAGCCTGTAGAGGCATCAACATTAACCTAAATTAAGAAAAAGAGATGGTAAAAACAAGCTTTGAAATAAATTACTTTTGAATTTCAGTATTTTAAATGGAAAGTTTGTGACATGTTAAATTTTGGGAACTACTTCACTCACATTACTTTATCTGTTATAGGTCACCAGAAGGCTAAAGAATAAAACTACTTTCAAAGAAACTATTAGGCCAACAAACTAAACCAAACATACCGAAAATAAAATATAAATTTGTGCCTCATCTCATTACTATGGGGAAGAGTTTTTTCCTTGTTTCATATAACTTGTTCTAATTATAAAGGAAATTATATTACTGATAGATACGAAAGCTCAATAATACAAATGGAGAACAAATCACTTGAGATTATGACAGTCTCTTTAATATACTATAATAATAAGAATTAGATAATCTAAGTAGAATACTAATTTAAAAACACTTTATTTGATTATACATTTTTAAATTCATCTTGTCATTTATTCTCAAAATGATGAATTTAATTAATTTTAGGGTGCACTTACTTTGTGTCATATTTTACAATAAGGTTAGCCTGGAATAGAGAATCACTGAAAATTAGTGCAAACACTTAAAAATTAAAAAATCCTTAAAGATCCTTAAAATATTGTAGAAAATGCT
Organism: Homo sapiens; assembly: GCF_000001405.40. Classification (NCBI taxonomy): domain Eukaryota; kingdom Metazoa; phylum Chordata; class Mammalia; order Primates; family Hominidae; genus Homo; species Homo sapiens. The sequence goes on along the minus strand of NC_000005.10, from coordinate 104,228,277 downwards.
ATGAAATCATTTTATTCAAGGTAATCAGAAAGAATTTTTCAATGCACTCTAATAGTGCTACCTAATTTACAACTCCTCTCATCCCTTAAACATTTATTCATTTAATAGTATAATTTTAAACCAAAGTAAGAAAATTTGTATTTAATGTTTAAGCCACAGTTCACAAGAGGCCAGAAGTTTTCTAAATATATTATGGAAAGCCTTTTCTGTGCAATTAGGATAATAGTATTTATCAAAGTTTTTTAATGGTACTAGGTGTCTTTGTTTGTTGTTGGTTTTTGTTTTTCTGGTTTACTACAAACACAACTGTTTGGAATAAGGAGCCACGGTGTCATCACAAGAAAATAATGGAAAAGAAAACAGTGGAAAACCCTTCTTTTCCATTGATCATGCAAAGTAAGAACAGCTTTTACTGCTGCCAGTTTCAAACATGCTTTTCATGTTTTTAAGCAAAAAGAAAGCAGCAAATCATACCCAAAAAACCAAAGTATAATTTTCCAAAAGAATTGGTCTAGTGAAAAACAAAAACAACAACAACAAAAACAGGTGCTCATACACTCAAATTTATATGCAAATACTCTTATTTACGTATAACTCTAATACATTAATTTACTCAATCTCTATATATGTAATGATCCCCGGGCAGTTTGGTATTGGGTATATGTGATGTTGTATTAGAGATAAAATCTGCCCTGTGTAAGCTAATATTCTAGCAGGGAAAAAAGACATTAAATCAGAGACTATTGACCATTGAGATAAATTATATGATAAAATCAGGCATTTAATTAGTTTAAGGAAAACTTCTGGGAAAATAGTTTTAAATTGTCACAGATTATTTTGTATTATTAATTCAGTTTAAAAATCTTTACTATTTACTCTTTAAAGGTCATACATAAAAGCTATAAAACTCTAGTCCACTTTTCTTATTGTATTTTTTTTCCAGAAACAAGTCACAGGGAATTCCTTAAAAGATTGTCATTGGAATACACTCAACATTGTGAAGTCCCCTCATGCTCATGCTGCTATAATTGTCATGCATCTGTAGACCACCTATTTCATCTCAGGAAAGTTGCAAAAATCCTTTTAATAACAGCTCAATCCCTTGTCTGAAGATTATAAAGAAAGAGTGGTAGCAACTATAAAATGCACACAAAAAAATAGAAGAATAGCAACGTGTACATCGATTTTATTTGATCGTATCACTGTTGCTTTGGATTGTCAGTGATGTGACAAAGCAGTCTGAAGAGCGTATTACACGGTCTTGCTGAAGCAGGATAGTAGGTTTGTATTATTTTACTACATGTTAAATAGTTATTTTTAAGCAAAAAAAATTTTGAATTTTGTTTTTTTCTCTCAAAACTTACTTTATGGAAAAATTTCATAGTATGTGATATACAATGTAATAAGTCAACTTAGAAGTACTGCAAGAAAGTCTTTACTGACAAAGCTTTGTTAATATATATTACTGAACCATGAGAAAGTACTATTTGTATAGGTCAAAAAATAGTAAATATATTAGTCTTCTAATGCATTCATGAAACTTGGTTATTTGCAGTAAGTGCTCAAAAGCATATGTCCATTTACTGTATATATATTTAATAAAGAAAAACATATGCTTTCTTGGTCTTTTCATGTATCTTTTACATAATTTAAAATATTATAATATCTGAATATTCTACTGACTTTTTTTAAAAAAAACAAGTATTTAACATTTGGAATTTATAGAATTTGTTTGTTTTTTTAACATTCATATCTGGATAGTTATTTATTGGCTATTATATTACAAAATCATATCTCTCTGGACATATTAAAAGTAGATTTACCAAAATGCATTTTGACTCTTTTCTGAATTACTACATCAAAGCTAAACAGCTATTACCAACAGTTCAAAACCTGCAAAATCTAAGATTGTTCACTTAACTGCTCACTAATCACCAGTAGCAAGGAAAGCATTTCACTTTTTATGTGAAAAAAGTTATTCAGCAGTCAGAGTACTGAGAATTTCCAAAACATGAAGCTGTTTGAATTTTCTACTTCATTTTCAAAAGGAAGATCCTCACGCTAATTGACAACAAAAATATCAAAGAAATGCTAAGCTGGAGTGATTATATGATACACAGGTACTGCTCAATTCCTTCATCTAGAAGAAAGAGCACATTACTTATTTTAATGGTGGTGACTTGCAGAAATGTTAATAACCCAAAAGAAGAAGGTTAGTTAGAGGAGGCAGAAGCTACACCAAATGATTCTGCATTCTGGGAAAGGAAAAATTCTTACTTAAGTAATGTTTTGGGGAATTGTTAGGAGAATCATAATAAATGTGCTGAAAAGCTCCCAGGTCTGAGGACAAAGTGCTCTAGTAGCAACTTTTTCATATAACAAAGATACAGTAGCTTAATGGGCATTCCATCATCATAGCACATGTATCTATCATAAAACTGCAATGAAAAATATTTGTTCTTCAGGCAGATCTCCAGTTTGTGACTGCTTGCTGCTATCCACCTTTTTTTTTTTTCTTTTCTTTCTTTCTTTTTTTTTTTTTTGTGAGACAGGATCTCGCTCTGTCACCCAGGTTGGAGTGCAGTGGCGTGATCTCGGCTCACTGCAACCTCTGCCTCCCAGGTTCAAGCGATTCTCCTATCTCAGACTCCCGAGTAGCTGGGACTACAGACGCGCACCACCACGCCTGGCTAATTTTTGTATTTTTAGTAGAAACCGGGCTACACCACGTTGGCCAGACTGGTCTCAAACTCCTGACCTCAGGTGATCCACCCGCCTCGGCCTCCCAAAGTGCTGGGATTACAGGCGTGAGCCTCTGTGCCCCGCCTATCCATCTTTTATGGAAAGAAGAAATAGTATTTATATAGGATCACCTGATGTACTGTACATTCTCTCCTTTATACTAGTCTCCAATACAGGACAATCATCCACGATAGTACAGGAAAAAAACATTAGAATTTCTATTTTCATTTTTCTACCTCATCCTATTTATGTTTTCGTGCATGATTTATAATGTACAAAATAATTAGTAGAGTGATGTTTGCATAAAAATATCTCAACTTTAATATACATAAAGTTGAGATGAGGGCCCAACCTTAGGCATTACGTTGTTACTGAAAGAGGTGTAATATCAAAAAAGCTTGAAATCATCTACCCTAATACTCTAAAATCTAACTACAGTTTAAAGCAGTCCATTGGTTACTTGAGCAGCCGAACACCCCATTTTTCTGTTAATAATTTTGGTCTAAAATAATGTCATTTCCTACAGTGAAGTACACTATATGTATGGCATTACATTCTCTCTCCATCTGTGCTAAATATGCCTCAATTTTCTTTCAATGAGCTAACTCTAACACAATAGATATAGAATTAGTGGTGCTACCTTCAAATTCTTTCGCCCTCTCCTGGCTAAAGAACGGGCACAAGAGCACTACTGAACGATCAGACTTCCTCTCCCTTGCAACTGTAAGTCCTGAGCAGAAAAAACAAAGCCTGAAGATGGCTGCAGCTGATTCATTCAGAAGGTAATGGCCTGAAGAGCTTACCCAGTAGCTCATTCATTTGATGGATTTGCTCTGACACATATTGATGTCAGTGGCTGCTGCCATCATGCCGGCTACGGCAGGGAAGCGTGGCTGGGGCACCACACTCCATGGAGCCAGCGGGAGCCCTGCCCCTTCTGAAGAAAGCTCCCCGTGCCGCTACAGCGGCGCAAACTGCCCCTGCAGATCCAGGCCTCTGGCTCAACGACGCAAGCAGGAGACCCTGGGAGGGACTACAGTTGTCCAAACTGCAGCTATGGATCCAAGCCTCTCTGTGCTCCTGGGGGAGCCAGGAACAGGCAGGATCAGCCCTCCAGGGTGCAGCTGCAGCCTCCCAACCTGAGGCTACCCACCTGGGCCTCCCGCTCCATGAAACAGGCAGGAGCTGGAGAAAAGTGGGAGCTCTTCCCCTTCCAAGTTGCTGGGTGCAGCTGCTGCTGCCGCCCTCCCAGGCGCAGGAGCCGGGCGTCTCTGCAGCCTGCACCCTCGGGTCCCCAGGAAGGACCAACCTCCCCATTCCCAGCCCCTAAAGGTTTAGGGGTGTCTGCTCCCACTGCCTGGCCACTTTCTGCTCCTGGCACCTGCTCCAATCAGATGGAGGGGAGGAACGGCCAAGCCCTGGGGCCATGAATGGCAGCAGGAGGCATGGAGGGCCTGAAGACTGAGGGCCGGGCTGCCAGTCCCGGACCAGAGTGGGGAATACTTCTGCCTCTTCCGGGCCTGCCCCTTCCTGCCCATGGGCCAATCCACAGGCACTTCCTCCCTTCTGAGGCCTGTAAAAGTCCTGGGCTTAGTCAGACAAAGGCAGAGGACCACCAGAAGTTAAGGGAGGCAGAGAGAGATGTCTTTGGCAGGGACGACCAGCTGCAGAGAGCAGTACCTTCTCTGCTGATAGCTGGGATGACCAGCTGCAGAGAGGAGTATTCGAGGAGTACCCACTCTGCTGAGAACTGCAGAGACGATCTGCCAGCAGAGAGGAGCTACCCTCTCTGATGAGAACTTCAGAGACCTGCAGAGACGTAAAAATGACTTGCCTGCAGAGAAGAGCCACCCTCTCCGGCCTCCTCTGCTAAGAGCCGAACACTCAACTGGACGACCTGCCTACAGAGAGGAGCTACCCAGCTCTCTGAGCTGTTGTAACACTAAATAAAACTCTTCTTGTGGCCGGTTGCGAGGGCTCACGCCTGTAATCCCAGGACTTTGGGAAGCTGAGGTGGGTGGATCACCTGAGGTCAGGAGTTCAAGACCAGCCTGACCAACATGATGAAACCCGGTCTCTACTAAAAACACAAAAATTATCTGGGCGTGGTGGCACAGGCCACATGTATTATATACATGTGTGTGTGTGTGTTTGTGTATATATATATATATATATATATATATATATATATATATACAGCTGCAATCCCAGCCACTTGGGAGGCTGAGTCAGGAAAATTGGTTGAACTTGGGAGGCGCAGGTTGCAGTAAGCTGCTATCACGCCACTGCACTGCAGCCTGGGTGACAGAGCAAGACTCCGTTTCAAAAAAAAACTCTTCTTCTTCACCCTTCACTTGTCTGCCTACCTCATTATTCCTAGCTGCAGGACAAGAACTCAGGCAAAGGTGCTGCAGCCACAGAGGTTTCTGGCCAGAAAAATCGACACCCCCCCAGCGATCTCATAACAATATGATAACTCTTTTTAATCTACATTTGATAATAAAATTATGCCTATCTGACTTAAAATGGAAAATCAGAACTTAAATGGATGCTAGTGGTATATAACTACATATCAGTTCTTTTCATTGGGCTAGAATAGTGATGATTTCTCCAAATGCTTTCCTGTTAGTGTCTGATTTTCTTAGAGATTAAAAATTTCTCAGAATTATAGAAATCCCTATATTCATCCATATAAAATTCTCTGTCAACCAAATAAGATGAGAAGTAAAAAAACAACATAGGCTGGGCGCAGTGGCTCACACCTATAATCTCAGCACTTTGGGAGGCTGAGGCGGGTGGATTGCTTGAGGTCAGGAGCTCGACAACAGCCTCCTCAACATGATGAAACCCCGTCTCTACTAAAAATACAGAAAAAAAAAATTAGCTGGGCATGGTGGCGCATGCCTGTAATCTCAGCTACTCGGCAGGCTGATGCAGGAGAATCACTTAAACCCGGGAGGCAGAGGTTGTGGTGAGCTGAGATACAGGTACTGCACTCCAGGCTGGGTGGCAGAGTGAGACTCTGACTGAAAAAAAAAAAAAAAAAAAAAAAAAAAAAAAAAAAAAAATGTATATATATATATATATATACACACACACACACACACACACACACACACATATATACACCAATGCATTTATATATATGCATATACCAGTTATACACCAGTGCATGTGTGTATACACACACACACACACACATAGACACCCCAATGATATTAGGTATATGGCTTTTTCAAATGACGTAAGTATGTATCAGTATAAGTATATATTATTGGTCTATTGAGCAATGACCAATAATAAATCTAGACCCCAAAGTTCCAAGTTATCAGATTGAGCTTCCCTGGTTGTCAATATTTTTGCATATTGTCACACACTTACTGAATTAATTAAGCATTGTCCCTGTGACTCCACCGGGAGAGGAGAACTGAAAGCATGCGCCTCTTCTCTCCTGGACTCTATGTGTTTAATCTGTACACTTTCACTGAAATAAACCTGAGTTCTGTGAGTTCTTCTAATAGATCATTGAACCTGAGAGTGGTTTGGGGGACTACTGAACATATCATGACATCTATTTGACTTTTAAAAAATGATATTCAAACATGCAAAACAAAATAAATTTTAAAGGGGATTATAAAGCTTTGATAAAAACTTACTTGCAAATATGGAATTCTATGAATCCTTGAGATGATGAAATTAAATCTTATTTTAAAAAGATGTTACCTCACTTATTCTGATAATACAAATTAAGAAGCCCTATTGTGCTTTTGGCCAAAAACTTAGAAAATGCCAGAAAATTATAATGAAAACAATAATTACCCATAATACAACAGTCAGATAAAAGCACTGTTTCAATACAGTGTCAGTGCTCTTTTTTCCCTCCCCCATTTTATGAACTTTATTTTAGCCTGTAAGCTCATTTTCTGTCTGAAGTATCAGCTATTGTATTTGGTAGTATGCAAGAGAAATGCCAACCAATGTGAGGACTGGGGTGGTGATGAGTTCTAGGATGGAGAACCCTAAGGAGGCAAAAATCACTGTTTATGTTTCCTTTCTGGAACAACTCCATCAGGTGAATACACGGAACCATGATTTATGATCTTCAAATCTTCAAAAAACAGCTTCATTGGAGGAAACAGCTTTCCTAGATTGCAGTCCACCAATCTAAGGTTTTAGAAGGGCTGAGGTGAATGATAGAAGGGTAGCCAATCAGTCTGCTAGGTTTTATTGCAACAGGTGCCTATGCTGGACTAACTTCTTTGGGAAGGAAAAGGCAATCATTGTCACCAAGAAATATAAGACCTGAAATCATTCTTTCATGAAGAACCTCTGGCCAACCTCCCCTATCGGGCTTCAGACACCACCCCATTCCCTACATACACACATGTATACAAGTTCAAGACAGCATTCAGATTTGCTAGAGGTTTCTCACATTCTGGTTCGGGTTGGTTTGTGTTAGTACTTCAAATCAATGTTTTTTAGTACTAGTTTCTCCAGGGATGATTGTAGGGGAGGCAGTCAAGGGGTAAAATTAGCATTGGTTCTCAATATTTCCAGGAACTAGAAACAGTTATATAATTTATAAGCATTTTTATGTGTGTGTGTGTATATATATACATATATATATATATAATGAGCAGAATTGTAATTATTTATAATTTGCTTTTCTCCCAATTAACAATATGTTAAAATTCCCTGTCTTTAAATATTCTTGTTTAAAGTTTCTCAGTGACCTCATAATGGTATTAATATAATGAACAATTCCTTATTTTGAATATACTGATATCCTCCCTTTTTAAGTAATTATAAAAGTTTTCCAGTGAACATTCTTTTAAATAAGTATTGGTAAACATCTTTGGTTAAATATTTGAAGCAAATTCCTATGTTTAGAACTAAGATTCAGCCAATATGAATATTTTGTTTGTTCTTTCATTAATCACTCTAAGAAATTTTTAGTAGCTTCAGCATAGCACATTCCGTATATTAACTACCTTTTATAAACAATGTTTTCAGGATAGCATGTTACAACATTTTTTAATGCACCTATTCAATTTAATATAAATAAACATAAACGTGGTGAATTACTAGAAGTCAAATGATGTAAAAATATTTGAAGCACTTGATGTTTTTCAAATTATACACCAAAAATTTTGAATTCACAATCTCACCAATGAAAACAACCAATTCATTTTAAAAGTCTAGTTGAAATTGAGTGTTTACACATTTAAGTTAATAATGACAGCAATAATATGTAATATATATTAAGAACTTACATTTTCATACCCTGTCATATTTGATCTCCACAATTCTAAGGGTAGATTCCATATAATTCCCATTTTAGAAATGAGAAGACTGAAGTTTAGGTGAATTAGTTAACTTGCTCAAGGTCTCACAGCAAGAAATTAGAATAACAGATATAATTCTAAAGAGTCTGATTCTTGTGTTTCTCTGGAGTGTTCTGAACCACTAACAAGGCAATCAAAAAATGTTTTAAAAGCTCAAATGCAGTAAGAATCTCAAGTCAACCTTAATGTCATAGAAAAAAATAAATTCAAGTCTAGAATTATCTTTACAATTGTGTTGTGTGCATATACATTATATCTTCCTTGAAATTCACTAAGCAACAAAAGTATATATATATATCTATTTTTAAAGTGATATTTATATGCAAAGTTACCACAAATAATGAAATTATGAAATAACCACAAATAAATATATCTTCTCCAACAAAAAAATTATGAATTTGACATTTTTCATCCTGATACTGAGTGTCTTAGCCTAGCTCTTTTTATTAGTTCAATATTTTTAAAATTTACATATTCTCCATTTCATTCCCAAAGAATCGGCATTTTGATGTTAATGCAGTGTCTTTTCTCTTATAAATTATTTTTGTCTTTTGATTGATAAAAGCAGACTGAGACATAAAGCAAGGAGACCAAATGTAAAGTGCTTCCATGTGAAGCATTGCTTCTGGGTTCCAGCTGCTGAAGTATGTTTACATGCAAAGGTGCATACTATCATAAGAGCTACAATAAAGAACTGTCCAAAATAGCAGATAATAGCACTTATTTTATTCTTGTAATGCCACATTGTCTTCCTGTTCATATGGAACAGTCAATTTTATAAAAATAATACACTGTAAGTTTTACTATGGAAAGGGTAGAAAACTAGCTTAGAAAACTAGTATTAAAGCTATTTCTGCTACGTATTTCCTTTGTCATATTCGGCAAACAAATTAGCTTCTTAGGTTTTTACTCCCCCTTTTATAAAGTGGTGGTTGTATTACATTATCTAATTCTATATGGTCCTTCTAAGTTCGAAATATCTATGAATAAATTAGTCAGCAAGAAATTTGTTTCTTTTAATTCTCACTTGATGGTTTCTCACTGAGAGTTGTGACAAGTCATTATAAGAATCAGTTGCTTTCAGTACAAGTTAGTTTAAAGACAGCCAGAGATTGGGGAATTTGTGACCTTTGGAATGGGTGTACTGGAAACCATTACAGTGTTTTGAATGCTCTACAACTTTCAATCCTACTCAATAGTTTATAGGTCATCATCTTTATGCCTCCTAAAATGAGCTAATTTAAGACATATTTAAAGTTTTAAGCATGATTACCACAGGTTAAAATGTAGAAGAGAGGTTAGAACTTTGTTTCAGAATGCAATCATATAAATATCTACTTTAGAAAAAACTTTTAGAGGTTATCCAGCATTACAATTCTATTCATTCTTGATACAATTAAAATGATCTTTTTCTTAGTTCTCTCCTCCTGTTTTGATTTTAGACCATATTTATTATGATGATAGCTAATGTTTATTAAATGTATTTATAAACTTGGCTGTGCTCTAAATTCTCTTCATGCAATATTTTATTGCTTTTATATAAAACCTAAAAGGTACACAATTTTGCTTTTATCCCTATTTTTTTTTTCTGGGGAAGAAGCAGAGATTCAGAAAGTCAAAAGGACTTGCCTAAAGTCACGTAGCTAGCAAAGTGTAAGTATCTAAATTCAAGTTAGTTTGCCTCTAAAATCCATCCTCTGAACCACTATGTTTATTTCCTTTGAAAGACAAAAAAGGAGAGGAAGAGAGGGGAAAGAAGGGGAGGGGAGAGGAGGAACCCTAAAGTGTGACGTCACATGTTGAAGAGTTGTCACATAAATATACTTAAGATATGTAACTAAATTCTGTCCATAAAATGTGAAATCTTTAAATATACAGAAAGGAAATATTGTCATAAGTAGACACAAATATTTTGTGGGGTTCAGTCTGTTATTTAAAGAAGGTTCTCTGGGTAAATAGTAATAGTTATCTTAAATATTTACCAGAGACAATAGGAAATACAAATGTGGTTTCTCTAAAGAATAAACCTTTGTATTCCTCAAGGATCAGTTTAAGTATTTTTAAATGGTTTACTGTCATAGCATAGTTTAATTAATATGAAAAATATATTTATATATCATCTAAATGTCTTTAAAATGCTGTGGGATGGTTTTCATAATTGATATTAAATTTCTTGTAAAAAAAGCAATGGTATGAAAATTACAAAAAGAGTCATCAAGTTACATGTTTATAAATAATGCTGTTCCACTTGAGGAATAAGCTTCCCACAGCATTGATTCTATCTCAGCACAAATAACTCATCGCAAAATACTACACACTTGCCAGGGCTGTTTTCATAGCCTTTGGAAATAGAGTGCTTAATAACTAGACTCATTAATGCTAATGGTAAATCAGTGAGATTAAATATTTCTATAAATCATTTCATTAATAAAACAGAGGGCCCATTAAAGAACTATTGAACTGTTAAGCTGCAATATTTCAGAATCAGCATTTTATAAACATTTCAATTAGCATAGGCTGACAACATCCTTAAAAGGCACAGCACTCCAATGCCAAAGGATAGAAAAGCATTCACTGGTCAAGTGAATAAAATCGTGAAGAATGCCATTTTCTTCAGGATATTGTAATGTACAGTAGCATTATATATAAAAACAATGGAGATTACATATTTGTATATATTTATAACCATATTCTGTCTCTTGTAGCTTTCAAGAACCAGCTGAAGGACGATATGTTATGATATTCATTTGTACACTCTATCATCTTACTATTAATCTTAGGTGGATCATGGACCTTGAATGAAACCCATTAACTCTAAAGTAGGGAATACTTCAACAATAAAAGAACATCATAGTTCATAATAACCTTCAGTAAGTATTTCCAACATGTATGAACTAAAAAATGAGAGATAAAGCATTTTAAATAGTGCAACAAAAGAACAAAGCAGGAAATGACTACACACTAAGTGGTGCATAAAAGTATAGAATGTTTCAGGCCTCTCATATGTGAAAACTTTTTATCTAGCATTTATTTCCGCTTTCAACTAATAACAAAGTTTATGCACATAGACATTTTTTAAAGCCTCCAACTGCACATTTTGATGAAGAGGGGAAACTATTCAGCTGGTAGAGTTAATTTTACCCTCAAGCCACAGTCTCTGCTCCAGTTCTGAATGCTTATAATTTGCTAGGGAGTGCATATTAGCTTAGGGGAGGTGAGGAGCCAAAGTGTGAGAAAAGCAGCCGGATCTCCTGGCAGAGGATTGAGGCAAAAAAAAAAAAAAAAAAAAAAAAAAAGAGCTCAGGGTGCAGAGAAGCTGGGTAAATATCTAAACTCAAATCCCTTGTTTACTATAATGTTTTCTGTGTTCGGAGAACAAGTCCATGCAGCTTGGGTTCTGTATATTAGAGGGAGGAATTCAGGTGACTTTTTGCCAGGCTAGTGTTTGTACTGGCATTTGGGGATTGAGCTTTTTGAAGCTTTCTCATTAGAAAGTGTATGGTGAGCCACATGTTAACTAATGCAGCACTGGTTTGAAATAGAGCAAGCAAAACTAGGAAGTAAAAGAATATTTCAAGAGTGTCCTTTTAACAAATACATATTAAAATTAAAGATAGCCACAAATCACTTGATTTTATTGTCACAAAGAGGTAGGGGTCTATTTTTTTTCTCCTCCCCTTGAATCTGTGCTAAATTGGGACTGCTTTGACAAATAGAATGTGATAGAAGGGACATGATGCCATCTCTGCATTTAGGAATTCAAAGGATTGGCAGATTTCACCTGGATGTCTGGGGACCATGATCCACCTTGTAAGAAGTTCAAATATCCTGAGGTTGCCAAACTCTGAGAAGCCTAAACCACAAGAAGAGCCTAAGCGGATGATTGGATGATTTGCTTTGCAGAAAATGAAATACAAAGACCAAGACCATGGAGGAGACAGACTGGCCAGTAGATCCTCTGTTAGACACCCCAACTGAAGCTACTTTCATCAGAGGCTAAGCATCCAGCCTAAGAACCAAGTTCATTGCAAGTTTATGACACATAACGTTATTAGTGAAATGAAATGGTTAAACCAGGTGCTTTTAGGGTAGTGTGTTACAAAGAAATAGATAACCAAGATGATGTTAGCATAAGACTCCTCAGATTTCAACAAATCTGAATTTATGAAGAAAACCAATGTTTCAAAGTTATTTTTCCTTTCCTTATACCTCCTGATTGATGCATTCTTTTGTTGTTTTTAATAAGAATCATTAACTGTAATAACACATCCAAAGTCACTCAAATAGTTTGGCTTTCAATAAATGAACCATGCAATATTGACATTTACACTAGTTAATCTTCCTAGGGGATGAATTTTACCAGCTAGGAAAATTACTTTGTATTTACCTGCTGAAGTCTTTAAAAAAAAAAAAAAAAAGCTAAAAAAAATTGTTTCCATCTCAGGAAACATTTTAATACAATTTCTCCTTTTTAGACAATGTTTCTTAGTATTTTATAATAAATTATGATTTTAAATAAAATTGAATACCTAAAGAAAATATATTTTACAAAGGATTAACTGTATTTCAATATAGATATGTATTTCCTTAAGAACATTTTGGGTATAGTGGATATGATTGGCTTTATTAATTTAGAATATTTGTATTCAATGAAATATTTATTTCGAAGAATTTCCCAGTGATTAAACTTCTGTTTGCTACCACAGTGACTGATTGTGCATACACTATATTTCTGGATAAGAATATTAGAGTGAAAAAGTAAACTGTGGAATATATTAACAAGTGTTTTTGTGTTAAGGATTTGTCATCTGAAAATACACTGAAAATAATATGAGACTTAAAATGATTGAACGGAAATAAAAAAAAATTGTATTAGCAGGGTACAGGACCAACATTAGTAAGACAGTTAAATAAATATAGATGCCAAATGTCAAAAGAGGATGAAATCTGTACATTTAATCTTATAATTTTAAAATATTCATACTGAAATTAATATTTTTAATAACCATCATTGAAGTTTGCCTAAAATGCTGCAATATTTCATTGACCATCTTACATTATTAAGATTTAATTTTGTGAGGTCATGATATATAGAGTTTTAAAGAAAACTAACAAATGTTATCTAAATATTTTAGCCAAAATAAATACCTGGAAAAAATATACTTTTATCCATGATTAATAATAGTTATTATTTCATTTAAAGGTGATCATATTAGTTGATATAATATATCATTATTTTATTTAGTAAGAGGTATTAGCTAATATGGGAGGCTTTGAAACAAGATTTCCCAGGTTCAAAGACTGGTTCTACTGCTTCTCATCTGTGATATTTTAAGGAAGTTATTTAACTTCTCTGTGTTTCAGTTCCTTCAACTGTCAAATAAGTTAAATAGTACTTTCTTAGAGAGTTACTGTGGGGATTAAATGTGTTAGCAGCTTCAAAGCTCTTAAAAAAGTTATTGAAAAATAATGAGACCTGTAAATGTGAGGCATTATCATCTTCTTCTTTATTGTTAGTAATATAATAATTATTTGCATGTGTAAGTCACAGCCAGGGTCACCCTCACCCATTGGCAGAGTTGTCACTTGTTCCAGAAGACTTCATGAGGTATTAGCACACATTTCTCTGTTCTAATGTATGTTCTTGCCTGAAATTCCTTCAGAAATAGCAACAAAATACTGAAGGGACATTTTCTGACATCTCAGAAATTCAGCTCTGGTCTTCTAAGTTGAAAACAATAGCTGCTAAGTATATTCTCACATTTGAAAGAGGAAGGAAAGAAAGACACCCCTTGCAGGGTTTGTTAAGAGGTGACCCAATTCACTGTGCAGACACCAACACACTCACCCCCAAAGCCTATGTGAGTAGTCACCTAGGAAAATTGAAGGACAGTGAGTCCTGACTAAGAACTTCACTTTCTTTCTTTTGAGATCTTGGAAATACCAATATGATGGAGAAGACACAGCAAAAGGAGATGAGCTAAACACCAGATGGTGAGAAACCTGAAGGAAAGAGAATCCACAGGAAGCTCTTTTAGAAATTGGGACTACCTGCTATAATGAAAGGCTAGCACTGTTTAACTCATTTTATAGTTAGACATTGCTGTTTTACCCTCTGTTGTATTTAAGCAGGAAGAAATGGAATAAAAGAGAAGTAAAAGAGATATTTAGACTGAGAGAACAGTCTATGGTGAGGCAGCCAGTTTTCCCCTCCTTTGGCTCAGCAAGGCTGCGTGATTTCCTGTGAGCCAAGCGGATACTGTAGACGATGGCTAAGGCCAGCTTGACAGTATGTGGCCAAGAGGACTACTCAGCTGGCAAGAAGACCCCAGGCAAACAGACTTTGGGACTCCTGCAGAATGTGCCTGAGGACTTTCAAACTACTAAACATGTCCTCCAAAGTAGAGGTTACCTCTGAATGCCTGAACCCAAGGAATTTCCTTTAGGGAGGGCACAGCAGTACGAATTAAATAAGAGGTTAATATTTATCATTCATTCTCTCATCAAGTTCAGGCTGAAGTAGACTAGCTAAATTTTATTTTTATAAACTTACTCTATATGAGGCACTTTTACAGAAGACGCTCATAAAATCCTCACAATAATCTAGACTATTTGTACTCTATTTTTCGCAATAGAAAACAGAGGGTCTATATTTTTTTTAGAGTAATAAAGATAAACTGACTTTCCACATGTTTCTCATTTTATGTTGAGCCGCTGATATCTTCTAGTTTAGCTAGTAGAGTAGGCCACAGGGGAGTTAGACACATGTCAAGTATTGACAAGAACTACAAAACTGTCAAGTGGCAGAGGACTTTTCTCTGAGGCATGGAAAACCAAGAGGTAAAAGAAGAGCAATCATCTCCTGAAACATTTATGTTATGGAGCACTATAAATACATGTGATTGGGTAACAAATATGCAATTAATTCTTTATTTTAATTTTAATTTTAATGTAGTAGAAATTCTTAGTGATCAAAAAGGGATTGGTAAGAAGGCTTTCAAATTTATGATCTGGAAATAGTAAAATATCAAATCTAACATGAAATCCAGTTGTTGAAAACATAGGTGTGGAACTTGTTAATATGAAGGTAAAGAAAACTATTCCTTTGAATGTTAATGTATATATTCATGTGAACAGATAAAAACAAGTATTTTTCAATGAGGTTGACTTCTCAGGAGAATTATATGAAAGGAAGTTTTGGGCTTCTGGCATCCAAATGACAAATGAAATTGAGAAGATGGCAGTTTCAACTTATAAAATGTGCCATTAAACATTCAGTATAAAACCATTAAAATGCATGATGTTATTTAAGAGGAAGAGACTAGTCAACTGCAACTGAGTTCTGCTATCACATTCCAAACACCGCATTAGCTGCCACCTGGCTTTGATTCCCTCCCAGATCTGGGTAGTTGTGTATAAGACAGTTTTTGTCCTGCAGATCCAACTCTTCTGCTGACCCACATTTTTATCCTAGGGCTCACTCTCCTCATCCTTTCTTTCCAATGACTTCAATATTTATTAAAATTCTCTCTTTAGTGCCAATGACACATTCTAACCAATACAGAAAATGCAGGGAAACAACTCTGTATGGTTAAATATTCATGGACTCAAATGCTCAGAAAATGGGGTGCCATGATTTATTGAATGGTCTTGTTGGTATCCTATGAACAGTGTTTATTATATGTCAGACATAAAACTCTCAGGGCTTTTCCTTTATTAACTCATTTGATCCTATCAACAACTCTATGAGTTATGGACAATTATCTCTAACAAGACACAGAGAAGTTAGTAAGCTGTCCAAGGTCAGTTAAAGCAAGGGGCAGAAAGTGAATAAAGACAATCTGATTCTAGAGATTGACTTCCTAAACACATGAATTCCACTGCCTCCAAGTCTCACTAAACATCTCTCTCAAGTATTTGTTTATTTGCTGCTATACTAAGTCAACAAACTGTTTAATTCTATTTAACTACCATGATAATCATGAAGTATTTTGAGATCATCATGCCAACAATGAATTATCATCATACAATTGAATAAATGTGGAAAATAAAATATAGGATATTAAACACACACTTATATAATCAATAAACTTTCAGATATATAGGATGATAGAACATGAAATAATAAAAATGTAGACACTTATTTTGAAAATACACATTTTGAAAAGACAAATGTGTAAATATGTCACTACAATATTGTGCCACAAATCCTGATAGAAATATGACAAAAACATTCTGAAAAAGCTAAGAATAAAGCAATATATTAACTGAGAGCTAGTGAGGAAAGGCTCCAGAGAAGACACATTCAAGCTGTCTATACAATAATAAGTATTCTCCAAAGGCTGCAGAACATTTGGGATAATTTAAAATGAAATATTCATAAACTGATCAATCAACAGATATCTAAAAATTTGTGATTGCAAAGAAGGCAAAAACTACCAATAAAGAATATCAGTAATTGCTTTTGCTCTTAAAACATCATTTCTTATATTACATATCAAATTACTGATTCCAGGAAAAAAATTGAAAAGCTAAACAATATTGTAGGTGTTACACTTTTATACCTTTTTCCTAAAATGTTAAATATAATTAAACAAACATATTAAATAACTATTATGAATGTAAGACATTACTGGTAAATCATAGATGAAGAAGATATGATAAAGCCTACTCTGTAAGAGCTCACAAGTTCATCAAGACAACAGATACATACACAGCCACCCCAATAAAAAGTACACTCTAAGTCCCTTAACAAAGCTTTGTCAAAACATTATGTGAGACTAGGGAGGAGAGAAATTAAAACTAAATGGAGATGTATATGGTCAGTCAATTAGGGCAAGCTAATTCTAGGTGAAGTGCATAATAGCTAAGATTTATCAAGTATTTCTGTTTTAACGACTTATTTAAGCTTCATAACGACACTATGATACAGCTACTACTAAACTCTGTTTTACAGATGAGGAAACCACAACACAAAAAGGTTTTGGTAACTTATGTAAAGTCCTCAGAGTATGAGGGAATGTAGGAACTCTTGCTACGTTGCCTTACTTAACTACCAGCTTTACTACCTCACTAGTGCAATGAAAATAAGAAAAGAAAATACAGAACATATTTAGATTGAGCAAGAACAAAATGACTGTACTCTATTTGGTAAAAATAACCAGAAGGGAAATAAGTAATGATAGATTACATTATTGTAGTACATTAATAAGCAACGAGTACCTAAGATACATTTTTTACAAAGTTTATTAACGAATAACAATATAATGGGTTTATATGCTATTTGTTATGTTGGTAGGAACACAGTGTGCCAAATCAGAGCATTCTACAGCATTCAGAAGGATATTAGGAGATCTGAACACAGTAGGGAGAAATAGGTTGCCAACTGTTTTTATTCTTGTAATCCAAAGTGAGGTAAGATCTCAGTTGGAATTCAAGAGCTTCATTTCATGTTAATAAAAGCCACATGAAATGAAGAAACTACTAATTAGGAAGAGACTAGAGCAATATTCATTTCAGCTAACTCCACCTGAGTGAGAGTTCTCAGGTGGAGTTTCTGAGAGACTTAAATGGAGAACATCAGTGAAATCACGTGGGGAATCTTTGCAGCGTGGATAAAAGCGTGGACAAATATTGAACTCTCGAGAACATTCTAGGTACTGCAAATATCTTCTATTTCTTGCAGATATGCTTGAAAACAGTGCAATTTAACCAAATGTTTTCAAAATCACTTGGTCTTATCTATTCTACCAGGCAATTTCGATAGTTGGAAGGAACTCTGGACCGGAAGAAAGTTAATTTTTAAGAATATCTTTGGATTACAGCAAGATTGGTAACTTGGTGCTGTCATACTTGGCATTATCTTTGCTGCCCTCCAGGAAAACTGTCTATACCTAAAGGAATTAAGATATGTAGACATGGAATCAAGAGAACATTGTAGATACGATATAGCATGGAGGAGTTTTGTGTATCTCACCACAGTATCATTCTCTTTCTGTAACAGTCATTGCATTTAGCTTGGCCCATGTACACTTGGATGGAGACTGAATTCTTAAATTCCATTTAAATTAGGTATGTGCTTATGCCTGAGACCTAGCTAAAGAGACAGAAGCAGAAATGTTGTGTGGCAGCATGTTTTCTTTTCTTCTTCTTTCCTTCTTCCCCCATAAAATTTACTTGGAACATAACTGTCAACACTTGAGCTTCATTTTGGCCTATGACAATTGGAGTCCATGTATAGTGATGGCAAAGCATAGAAGTGGAAAGGGGTCAGGTCTCCATGGGCTTTATGTAGCAAAGCTGCTAGGCCAGCACCTGATTACTTGCCTTAAGAATTGTAAATGAAAGACAGATGCATTTGTCTTCTTTCAGCCACTGTTATTTTGGGCCTCTTTTCTTTCATAAAACCTAGCCCTAACTGATACACTGTGTATTATGGAAATGTTAAAATGTTAATTGCTAGCATATCAGAAAGAGTTTTGGTTCCTAAACTTGTGTTTATAGCATGTATGCCCTGGAAAACCATTGTTAGCTAGACAATCAATAAATATTTTAGGGTTAATGGGGAAAATCAAACACTGGGCTTAAGTAGCTGCTGGTCAAGAGACTATTATAACAGATCAAGAATAATAGATAAGCATTTGAAAGAAGGAAATTGAGTATAAAGAGTGATATTTTAAAACTCTTTCTACTTCATATTTGCCCCTATTTATATTGATCAATGATTTTCTTAATCACCAAAAATATTTTAAAATTTTGTGTTAAAAGTAACAAGTTTACACTCTTTTTTGAATTAGTAAAATTTTCCTCAGCTTTCTTGCACTTTGAATGACATTTATCCACTTTTTTTTCAAAAACATTCCTGTTAAATTTGTCCAGAATGCTAGCTCTATAGAAGAGTGACAAAAATAGTTGTACATTTGTGTACAGGATAGTAGATCTTGGGCAAGCTTAAATGCTTAATACCCTATTTAAAATTCAAGGTTGGTTTATGTGAGGCTAGTTCACAAAAAGTAAAAAAAAACTAGGGGTTTCTTTTTAGTCCAATAACATTTTCCCACACAATTTTTTGTCAGTTTATGTTATTCTGAGTTCCTTATAAGAGATACCATTAAGTAATAAATAATTTCTAATTTTCCCTTGAATAAAGTTTCCCTGTGAAATGCATATTATTTTTATTTCCTATATAGTTAACACATTTCAGATTTTACAAAAATTTAGGTCACTCTATAAAATATATGCCAAGAATTTTAACTAGAGCAAAACGTTTTTTCATTTAGTAAGTACATACTTTTGGTGATGTCAATCTTACCCTAATGTTTTTTACCTTAACATTATTCCTTCCCAATTTTAAATAAGAAAATGTCAGTTTTGAACCTCAAACTTGGTAAATTTACTTATTTATTCATTCAACAAATGTGTACTACGTTAAGCCCTGTGTTAAGAATCATAACATTTTCTTTATGTATCTTATGCTTTACCTTTCTGGGAGAATCATCTCCTTCTTAGTGTCCTCCACCCTCCATACACTATTTTCTGCCACAGGCTATCATAAATATTTTATAGACTTCATTTTTGTTCATGTGTTTCGCTTATCTAGAATTAGGAAGGAACTACATCTGTCTTCTGTCAATATCCTTGATACCTAACTTAGTGCCTGGCACATAGCTTCTGAATGAATCTTTGCTAATGGATAGATGGATGTTAATAATAGTGGATAGATGGATGTATGGATGATGGATAGATTAAAAAAAAAACAGGCAAAGGAAGGAAAATATTCATCAGAACAAGTTGCCTGGGAAAGAAAGAAATACAGACCTGTATTTAACTGTTTGTAGGAAAGGAAATGGCGAAAAATAATTAAAAGAATTTGTAAGACTAAACTGAGAAAAAGCACACAAGAGTAGTGTTTCACGGATAAAGGAAGAAAGTTTTCCAAGGAAAACAAAATCATCAATTTAGATTGATGCACAGAGGCAACCTAGCATGACAAAAAAAAAAAACAACCTTCTAAACGTAGTAACTACAAACTAACACAGTGAGTTAGACATTTGTACTTAATGTGTATTCTATTATGAGTCTGTGAATATTTTAACAAATTGGTAACATAAAAAGACTGTTATTGACATTGACTCATTTTGGGAAACAGAAGGCAATAGAATTCTGACTGGTATGTAAGTATTTTGTGAATGCGGTTTTAGAAATATATTGCCACATATGCACAATATTTTAGGATCTATTCTTTTGAAGTAAGATAACTATTTAATTTCAACTATAAAGAACACTTCTAGAATCAACAACAACAACAAACTGGAAGGAGGCTATGCATATGTGGGGACAGGGATATATAAGAACTCTTCATACCATCTGTTCAATTTGCCGTAGACTTAAACTTCTCTTAAAAACTATTTTTAAAACAATATATTTTATGAATTTATCCTATTTGTAGTCTCCCTCCTCCAGATGCCCCTTGAGGGTAGGGGCATTTGTTTATTTTGTTTATAACTGAACTCCCAGCACATGGCGGTAGCCTGTGATACATGTATGTGGAATGAATTAATAAATGTCTTGGATTTGTGTGTTTCCATCTTATGAACTTAATATTCCCTAGTAACTGTAGTTTTTTTTGTAAGTATATTATTTATACCATCCAATTTTCTGGTAAGAAGAGATCCAGTGAGACAGATGGCTCTGTTGTATCTGATGTTTAATGGCTTGCTGTAATGAACAGTGAATCCCTACGACCCAAATACATGCACTAAACAGGGACTGTGGTTCCCACTGCTAAGAGAATTATAGGCATTGACATTTTGGCTGTTTGTGGCACAGAATATTACCACTGCCTCAGAGGGTATGCCTTCTCACAGCAAAAAAAAAAAAAAAAAAAGAGACAGTCGTAAGAGTGGGGCTTATCAACTTCTGCCTGCCAATTAAACTACTCAAGCCCCAGTGGGTTATTCAACAAAAGCAATACTGCATACTAAATTGAGAAAATGAATTACTTTGCTAATTCAGAACTTACTACATATAGAAATGTTACAAACCACCCTGTCACCATGTAACAGCCCAGTTTGGTTGGTCAAAAAGGTCTCTGCCCATTGAGTCTGACAATGGATTACCACACTGTGAATGCTAAGGTTCCACCTTTGACCCCTGAGGTGCCAGATATTATTACCTTCATTGAGACATTTGCAACCTGTGGAGGAGATTGGTATGTTCTAAGTGACTTGGCTAGTGCCTTATTCTCAATCCCGTTGGGGAATGAAGATCAAGACCAATTTGTTTTCACATGGAGTGGCCTACAGTTACCTTCACTGTGTTTCCTCAGGGATACTTCAATTCCCCTGAAATATGCCACCAGTGGGTACAAGCCCAAATCCTCACAAAAATTTTAGTGATTTATTATATTGATGACATCTTGATAGTAGGGCCCACTGAAAAATAAGTGGAGGATGTACTGGGCTTAGTTATTGACACCCTGACTAGTGCTGGTTGGGTTATCAATTCGAATTAAAGCCCAGGGTCTAGCACTATAGGAATAATTCCTATGGGTCCCTTGGGATACAGTCAAGTAAAAACTGTTGGCCTGAAAGGCATCCACTAATAAAAAGAATGTCCAACAATTGGTAGGCCTCTTTGGGTACTGGAGACAGCAAATACCCCACCAGGGTGTGCTTTTGCCCTCCTTAGTCAAAATGACCCACAAGATTCCAACTTTGAATGAGGCCCTTCACAGTTTCAGGCCTTGGAAGCTGTTCAGCAAGCAGTGTCCCAGGCACTGCCTTTGGAATATTTTAGAGCCTGCTAGGCTGATGGAATTTCCAAGTGTCCATAACCTCCCTGCTTGCTGAATGGAGTCTCCAGGAACAGGAAATTTCCACTGGGTTGTACTGGATTCTCAGATTTTGGACAAATAAGTTTCCTGAGGCAGCTGCTAGATATCCCCCTTTTGAATGACAACTTGCTTGCTAGTGGGCACTGGCAGAGACTGACCACCTTACACCCAAAGTGCCATGTGTGATATTGAAAGCTAAACTGTTCAGTCTTATTTGGGTGCTTACAAATCCTACCAGTAAAACTGGGTATGCTCACCAGAGCTCAATTATCAAACAGAAATGGTCCCTAGCTGGGACCCCAAGGGACTAACAGATTCCATGAACAAATGGCTACTTTATCAGAAGTGACCAAGTGACTCTTGGAGGATGCTTTGGCCCCTGCTGTGACTGTCTGGGATTCATGATTCAGAGACATGCCTACTGACACTTAGACCTGGTTACTTGTGGCTCCACAAAACTAAAAGAAGAACTCCACTGGACAACAGTCACCATCTAGCCAGTGGATGGCTATCTTTGGACTGAGACTGAGTACAGACATTCCACCCAATGGACCAAACTACATGCAATGGTGATGACTGTTCCTCCTTTCCGTGAAATCCCTCAGAGGTTGGGAGTGGGACTAAGGAGTATAAAAATGCTAGAGTCCCTCCAGTAGCACCAGGGACATCTGATCCCTCTAGTTGGATGGGCAATGTTATCAGAAGTGGCAGGTTTTTGTAGAATGTGACCTCCCTTCCTGGACTGGACATCAAGGCTAAAAGGCCTGAGTCAAGCAACAAGGGCAATGGGTACCTATAGAGGTAGTAGCCTCAGGACTGGGACAGACAGCCTGGGTTGTAATACATGGACAGTTGGCACCCCAACTAATAAGGAGGAACACCCTTGACCACAGTAAATATGGGAATTTGGCAGGGTTTGGGAAACTAATCTTCTCCACCCTTATGCCTTCAGAATACTCATTTATACCTGGATTGACAACATACTGGTGAAGATCAGCAGGTCAGTAGCAGCAGGTGACAATGTGACGAATTGCTCAATCTGCTACCCACGTATGCAGAGCATTACTCTCAGGTGCAAATAGTTCATGGCCTATTGCTAATCAAACAGGAGTCCGGAAGGCCATCAACAGTTCTGACTAGAGTAATATGCTCAGTGCAGGTTCAGCTCAACAGAGTCTCTAATAACCCATGCATGAAGAACATTGACATAAAATCACGAGACAAACTTTAAACATCATTGATGAAATGAGAAGGTCCATACACCTGCAAATTTACCCTGCCATCTAACTCATGGCTAAAACAGACACAAGCTTTGTACAATTCAACTAGTAAGTCTTATAGCGACTTCTCTCTGACTGGAATGACATGTATTACTCCAGATCATATGTCGTTCTATTGTAGGGCATACTGAGCTATGGAGTACCTCTCACTCTCAGATGGGGCATGCTCTTTGGGAATTGTGGGTGCGCAGTTATTTGTGAAAAACAGCACTCTAAACTGAAAGGATTCCACGTTTATAATACACCAGAGGGTTGCCCAAAACACCTTGTCAGCAAGACAAACTGACAGCTGATTCAATTCTGCTGTCAGTGTCCTCATACCTGGCATAGGTGTGCATGCCCTGGAAAAAAATGGGATGCAAATTGTACCTTGACCATGATGATGATAGCTTATGCTACATCTAGCTATTCAGTACCAACAAGATTTACTGAACTCACTAGCCAAGATGGTCATTGGTAACCAAGGGCCCTCAATTATCTAGCAGAATGGGCTGGCATTTGTGTTATTGCCAACAACACCTGATGTACCTAGATAAACATCTCAAGTATTACAGAGAAACAAGTGGAAGAGATCCAGAAGCAGGCCCATTTGTTCCACCCAGCGGACCTAAAGGATCCTTCTTTGAGCTCGTTAGCAATTTTATACCTAGATCACTGGGATCCTAAGCTAGGTCACTGCTCCAGGCAAGCCTGGTCATCCTGCTTATGGCAGTAGTCCTCCTGGGTCTCATGAAATGAATTTAGCTATGGATCAAGGATGGTACACTGAGATATGTCAGGCAAGGTATGACATTGCTGTGAGGAGACAAACCTCTGCCTCGAAATCTGGGGAGACAAACCTCAGTGGGCATATGAAATAGTATAGTTCTGCTAAGGGGGAGATAGTTGGATTGGGTGATGGACTGTAGAAGGACAGGTCCCAGGTAGTCTTGGCTGATCCAGCCCTCCCTTTTCCCATTTGTAGTTCTCAGAATAACTGTACAAGGTACCAAGAATGCAATGTCCTGAGGTAAGGAAGAACCATCCAGAACAGCCCAGGCTATATCCTGTTTTCTCCTAGAAGAAGTAGTTCTGCAATGCTTGAACTCAACAGCATAAGTGACAACCAGATTATAAAACCCAGGGAAGAATGCCTTCAGGGTTCCTCAGCTGAGGTGTGACATGGGGCACAGTGATGAAACTCCATCCACCCAGGGCAACTTTCCTGAGCCTTGGAGGCTGGCTTGTCACGTTCCATCTGATTCTGCTTATTCTTGCTGCCTATCTATCTGTAAGTAATTAATCTGCTTTGCCTGACTTGTTCTGTTTCACTGACTAGACCTAAGAATCTTTGCAACAGTAATATAGCATTATAAGATATGTAGTACTTTATGAATAGTTATGACCCATATATATGTATAAACCTTTATATTTATCTTTCAATTTATCTTTCTATCATGTATCCATTTAATCCTCCATTATTGTAGCTATCTTTACTTTGAAAAATATTGTTCTCTCCATGCATATTACACTAGAGTTTCCATCTAGTAGAAGAGATGACGCTTCTCCCACAGAACCTTATATTATTAAATATTCTACTGATACATAAAACCATTCAATTGAATATGTGCTCCATACTTGGATTTTACATAAAAGAAATTCTGTAAACAATAATCTTCTCTTGATTCCCAACTCTCTACCAGAGAAAATTAAAATTTTCCAAGTAATATAATTAAATGATTTAATTTGAAAGTTTGTCAATATAGTTTTTTAAATTGTATTTATTTATTATTTTTATTTATTATTTTTTTTTTTGAGATGGAGTCTCGCTCTGTCATCCAGGCTGGAGTGCAGTGGCGCGATCTCGGCTCACTGCAAGCTCCACCTCCTGGGTTCACGCCATTTTCCTGCCTCAGCCTCCCGAGTAGCTGGGACTACAGGCGCCCGCCACCACACCCAGCTAATTTTTTGTATTTTTAGTAGAGACGGGGTTTCACCTTGTTAGACAGGATGGTCTCGATCTCCTGACCTTGTGATCCGCCCTCCTTGGCCCCCCAAAGTGCTCGGATTACAGGCATGAGCCACCGCGCCCAGCCATATTCAAGTATTTTACTAAGTAATTGATAACTAAATTGAAGTGGAAACATTGATATTAATTGGGAATGAATTTTTTTATCAGATAATTAAATAT
The DNA here is from genome assembly GCF_000001405.40 of Homo sapiens. Taxonomy (NCBI): domain Eukaryota; kingdom Metazoa; phylum Chordata; class Mammalia; order Primates; family Hominidae; genus Homo; species Homo sapiens. The sequence continues at coordinate 104,202,906 of NC_000005.10, read as the reverse complement.
ATATCATATTTAAATATATTTACATATATAATTTTTTGAGTACTAACCCAAAATTCTCAGAGTAGTATCTATAGTACACTAGCCTCTGGAAAACTTACAGAAGAATAAATTTTCTGGAAAAGCCAGATAATTGCTTACTTTAGAGATTGTCATAGATATTTGAAAATTCATATTGTGCATTTTATTTGTAATGAAACTATATATATTTATATATTTTTATAAATATACAATATTTTATATTCCTTTTATACAATAGTTTTATATAAAACAATGTAAAACTATATATTTTATAACTGTTATAAAATATACATACAAATTGTATAAAGATATACATTTTTCTGATATTTTTAAAAATATATATATCAGAAATATATATATCAGAAAAACTTATATCTACTCTTTGCAATGAAAAATTTGGTTGACAATGGTCGTAGAAAATTGAGAATTATTTTTCTGCCCTAGGTCACTGATTTTCAAATATTTGAACTTCTGTATGAAACTGAATTTAAGATATATATGAAATATATCTCCTTTCCTAGAATAGCCTTACTCATAAAGAGAGAGTACCAAAAACAAATCAAAACAAAAAAAACACATCAACACATTTTTCATCATTTTCCTTTTTTGTCGTTTCCCCTGGCAATAGATAAAAGTTTTCACTTCAAAATTATTTAACAGCTTCAGTTTGGCAATACGGCCATGTTGAGGGGATGAAGGGATTTCTTGTACATTGCTCTTTACCCCTAGACTTAAACATCATTGTCATTCTGATTACAAGATCACAGAGAATTTACCTCTGTTATTTCTTATTTTCCATTTTTTACCCTCTCTCTCTTTCCTGACTTATAAACAAATTGATATTAGAAAAATATAAGACCACTGGTAAGAAAAGTATTGATGAAGGGAAGGAATAACAGCATGTTCTCATATTTTTTTTTTGCTACCTCTTGAATGAGTAGCTTTGTAAATATATATAGTTATGTACCATGTAATGACATTTCAGTCAAAGATGGATCCAATATGTGATGGTAGACCCATGAGATTATAATGGAGCTAACAATTCCTATTGCCTAGTGACATTATAGCCATTGTAACATCATAGCTCAAAACATTATTCTCATGTTTGTGTTGATGCCGGTGTAAACAATCATACTGTGCTGACAATCATATAAAAGTATAGCATGTACAATCACATACAGTACATAATACTTGATAATAAATGACTATGTTACTGGTTTGTATATTATGCTATACTTTTTCTCATCACTTTAGAATGTATTCCTTCTACTGATTTAAAAAATATTAACTGTAAAATATTATACTGTATTACACGGGCAGCAGACTCATGCATCTCATGTCTAACTTGTCTCCTGAGTGCACCATTTTCTCCTGTGCTTGATAATCTTGTGTTATTTTGTTCATCATGGCCCATAAGTATACAAAATCCATTGCCAATGTTGCCAGTAAGAGGTTGCATTAAGTGCTGAACCTGAAAACAAAATTGGAAGTGATTAAAAATTACAAAGGTAGAAAATCAGTGATGGCTAATGTGTCATTCTGAACATGTGTCATTCCACCATAGCTACCACCTTGAGGAACAAAAAGTGACTGAAGCTGTCAAAGGACATGCGTCATTGAAGAGAACGTGACTAACAAAAATTCAAGCAGGGCCTATCAGATATGGATAAACTTCCAGTGAAAACTTCTAATAACCTGGATTGAAGGCCAGACAAAGAAGCATATCTCTCTTAGTACCATGATAATCAGAGCCAAAGAAAAATGTTTGTTTGCAATGTTGAAAGGAAAAACTGGACCCAACTACAGTGATAAATTTCCTACTAGCTCTGGGTGGTTAAATGATTCAAGAATCTTATCCATTATACAAAGTAAAAATGAGTGGTGAGTCTGCGAGAGCTGATGTGAGAGGGCAGCAGATGAATTTTGGAAACTCCAGATAAGCTGATTGCGGAAAAAAATTACTTGCCAGAGTGAATCTTCGATATGGATGAAACTCCCTATTCTGGGAACAGGTTCTTAATGTACTTTCATGCATCAGAAGACTAAGTCAAAGCCAAGTTTCAAGACTATTAAGGACAGGGTAACAGTCTTGCTTTGGGGCCATATTGCAGGCTGTGAATTGAAACCCTTTATGACCTGGCACAGTGAGAACCCAGAGCCTTCAAGTATTAGTAAGCACAGTCGTCCTGTGTATGACAGGAGCAATAAGGAGTCATGAATGACCCAACCGCTCTTCCAATATTATTAAACATTCTACTGATATTGCTGAATTGTTGTGTCAGTGAAATGGAGAAGTGCTATTAAGGGAATAATTTTCCTTTGAAGAGTTTGTTTATTATTGGTAACATTACTGCACATTCTTCTTTTACTGATGATCTTCACCTCAAAATCGATGTGTTTTCTCTCCTTCCTAACACCACCTCTTTGTTTTTTGTTGCTGGTGGTGGGTTTTTTGTTTGTTTGTTTTGCTTTGTTTAGAGACAGAGTTTTGCTCTTCTCACCCAGGCTGGAGTGCAATGGCACGATCTTGGCTCACTGCAACCTTCACTTCCCTGGTTCAAGCGACTCTTCAGCCTCTGCCTCCCACGTAGCTGGGATCACAGGGGCCCGCCACCAAGCCAGGCTAATTTTTTTGTATTTTTAGTAGAGATGGGGTTTCGCCATGTTGCCCAGCCTGGTCTCAAACTCCTGACATCAGGTGATCCACACCTCTCGGCTGGGATTACAGGCATGAGCCACCACACCCAGCCCAGTCCCTAACACCACCTCTTTAATCCAAACAATAGTAAAGGAGTTATAGCAGCATTCATGAGCTACGACCTGAGGAGAAACTTTGCCCAGTTTATTACTGCAGCTGAGGGAGATGATGAAAATAAACTGACACAATTTTAAAAGGATTACAACATCTATGATTACATCAAGAACCCTGTTTGGACTTGGGGTGATGTCACCAAGGAGTGAATGAGTGGCATCCGTAAAAGGATACTTAAGAGGCTCCCCTGTGAATTCAAAGGTTTGTCAAAGATTAGGAGGTTGCAAAAATCAACACAACTGTGGTTGAGAGGCAAGCAACTTTAACCGGGGTGTGGATGAGAATGACACTGAGGACCTCCTAGAGGTTGTTCCTTAGGAATTGACAAGTGGGTAGTTGGAACTGGAACAGGAATACACAGCTGAAGAAGAGATGAGAGAAAAGGAACCGCAAGAGAAGGAAAAGAACCCCTAAGAAAATTCACAGTGAATGGCTTAGCAGAAGCTGTTGCAGACATCAATGCGCTCCTTAAACAGTTTGAAAACGTGGACCCCCAACACTGAAAGGTTTATTAATAGAGTAAAATGTTAATGCTGTATTATTTGCTTACAAGAAATCTATAGTGGAAAAAATAATAACAAAAGTACAAGCCAAACAAATCCCTGTTGACACATTTCTGAAAACAATGACACCTCCTCAAGAGGAGACTCAGGCAGGACCTTCATGAGGTATGCCAGAAGAAAGAACTGCTACCAGAGGAGATTACAACTCCATGCCTGTTATTGTCCTTTGTTCCTTTGGGACAAGATGTGGAGAGGGAAGACAGTAATATTCATGATCCCAAACCTGCGTAGGCCTAGGCTAATGTGTATGTTTGTGTCTTTGAGTTTAACAAAGAAGTGTAATAAGTAAAAATAATAAATAAAATTTCTTAAATAGAAAAAAAATTATGGAATAAGAAATAAAGAACAAATATTGTTGTACGGCTGTGCAATGTGTATTTTAAGCTAAATGTTTTTACAAAAAAAGTCAAAAAGTTAAAAAAATTAAAAGGTTACAAAGTAAAATAATTACATAGTAAGTTATAGTAAGCTACGGTTAATTTATTATTGAAGAAAGAAAAATAATTTTTTTGTTTTTGTTTTTGAGATGGAGCCTCACTCTGTTGCCCAAGCTGGAGTGCAATGGCGTGATCTCAGCTCACTGCAACCTCCGCCTCCTGGGTTCAAGTGATTCTCCTGCCTCAGCCTCCCAAGTAGCTTGGATTACGGGTGCCCGCCACCACGTCCAGCAAATTTTTGTATTTTTAGTAAAGAGGGGGTTTCATCATGTTGGCCAGGCTGGTCTTGAACTCCTGACCTCAGGAAATCCACCCACCTTGGCATCCCAAAGTGCTGGGATTACAGGCGTGAGCCACTGCGCCCAGCAAGAAAAATATTTTTTATAAATTTAGTGCAGCCTAATTGTACAGTTTATAACAGTGGACAGTAATGTCCTAGGCCTTCACATTCACTCACCACTCACTCACTGTGTCACCCAGAGCAACTTTCAGTCCTGGAAGTTCTACTCATGGTAAGTGCCTATACAGGTATATCATTTTTTATATATTCTACTGTATTTTTAGTGTACCTTTTGTATGTTTAGATACACAGTGGCCTACAGTATTAAGTGTAGTAACATGCTGTACAGGTTTGTAGCATAGGTGCAATCCATATAGCCTAGGTGTGTAGCAGGCTATCCCATGTAGGTTTGTGTAAGTACACCCTATGATATTTGCACAGTGACAAAATTGCCAAACAATGCATTTCTCAGAAGTATCCCCATTAAGTGATTCATGACTGTGTACACACACACACACACACACACACACACACTCATCTGAGCCTTGGAGTCCAAATCTAAGCATGCAGATATAAAGCGCTTGGCCATCAGATACTTAACAAAAGTTTTCTATCACTGTTTTTTTTTTTTCTATTTAATCTCTAGTACTTCTCTCAAAGACTTTCTAATAATTACAAATTCTTGTTGTTGGATACCAGGTTCAATAATCCTGACCTGGAAACTTTGTTTCATCTTCTGAATTAACATTCAAACTTCCAAAGGCCTGGTGACAACAACAATGAGCAGAAACCAGTTTATTTTCCCCCTTTATTTTCAGAAATCTAAACTCCCTATCTTTGTGTGAGACTATATTTTTCTAAAAGAATGTTTCAAAGTGCAAGTTTCACAAAGTTCTAATTGTTTACAAATTATTTTGTAAGCCTGTGAACCAGTCAACCATATCTAAAACACTGTTAGGAGTTCTTAGATCCTCTGAAAACCATGCTTGACTCAGTTCCAAAGGTTGGAGAATGCCACTAATGCATAAGGGGATGATTCCTCAGGGTTGCCATCCACATATATGTATGCATTTTAGTACAGCTTAAATACATAGTAGGGACTTTTCATTCTATTATAAATCTCTTCCAGGTGGGCTTTACTTTATTATCTATATATCTCAGGTCTAGTAGTCACTTGACTGGCCACCAAAATGATGTACAGGAATAGAAGAAAGGAGGAATGAAGGAGAGATAGAAGAAAGAAAATTAATTTGCATCTTGTCCCTATTTTATATATGGTAATAACTGTGAAGCATATAACCTTTGTATTTGTAGATAAGAAGATTAAAGCTCCTAAAATCTCAGAATGGCAGTCTGTTATCTCACCAAATTTCACATGGCAGGAGACCAGGAACAATCAGATGTCAAACGTGGGTGATTATAAGCTTGATCTTTTAAGTAAAACTGAGAGCTCTTTTTTATATAGGACATTGCAATAATTCTGCAATAAACTTTAACACCTGCAATCCCTCCATTTGTCACACAGTATAACCCTCTCATTAACCCTGATTTCTAGTTTCTAAAATAGAGCAAAGCCTAAAACTAGCACGAAACAATGACATTAAAACTCTTATTTTAAAAATGATCACCATCCCCAACCTGCCCCTGTGTATCTCCTCTCACTTTCGGCCTAATAACTTAAAATGAAAAAAGCAAAATCCTCACCTTCAGTCTTTTGAACCATATGCTAAAGAGTACAGTTCATGTCATGAGATTTATTCTTCTCTGAAAATTTCGATTATGTTGTTCCATGGAGTAAATAAGCCCATTAGTTTCTCAAAAAGAATAAGGTAAGGCATATCAGTTATAATAAAAATTGTGGCAGCTTTTCTTTTCTTAATTTATTTTGTAAACATTGTTGATTATGATTGTTTATGGGCATGTGACATCACCTTGCCCAGCCATACCTCAACAGAGAGAATTAGGAAGTCCTTCAAGTACTCTTGTCCTTTTGCTTTGTTATGTGCAGAATAAATCTTTCAACAGTAGTTTTTCAAAGCAGCAGAGTAAAAAATATCCTTTACCTATTGTATGCTGGGGAAATGATAGAAACTGTATATTAAACATAATTAAACTATGCACTAATATGCTACTCACATTCAGGAAAGAGTTATATATTCCCCTTAATTTGTTTGATTTTTCATTTTATAATATAAATAGTTTGGGGAAAATTATTCTATAAGTAGACTTTTAAAAATCGGGTGGCAAGTTTTTTAGCTTTTAGTTTCCACATGTCAAATTAATTTGTAAATTTTAGGTGTAAGACAAGCCACAGCTGTTTATTTTGACTCCCTATTCCTATATATTAGGAAAATTAAGATATTGTTTTACTGTTTTTCTCAGCATTTAGAAGTAGTAGCACTCTGACAAAGCAGATTATATAAAAACAAGCAGGAAACAGTATCAAGAAAGAGCATATATTTCCAAAGGCAACATAAAGTACCCTGTGGAGAGAAATATTTATATTTATGCACAAAATATTCTTTATCAAACTGATGGACAGAGATATAGGAACAACTTGACATTACATTCACAACAGATTACATTGAAATGTGACATTCACCCTATGTTTTATGTTTATCGAACATAAAATTATGTACATGAAATTATGAAAATATATATAATAGTTATACAGTTATAAAAGATACATAGGACATAAAATCACACATTAAATTAAAATGACCACCAATATTCTGTTATGTCTTTTTCTACTGTTTATTTCTATGCTCATATATTTGTTAAAAATGTGGGAAAATGGCATTTATATTGTACATACTAAGTTTCTTACTACATTAGCCCCACTTACTCTCCAAAATTACCATTTTGATGACTGCATAAGATTCTATCATTTAGATGTGGCATGATGTATTTATTCATTTGCCTTATCTTTAAGCATAGTTTTAATATTTCATAATTATAACTCATATGAAAGAAACATATTTACATAGTCTTTACCTCTGTTTCTCCCTTTTTTGAGAATTGATCACTCTATCATAATATTGCATTTATGATATATAATATATATCCTCATGTACATATTTTAAAGCTTAATAAATATAGCCAAACTATTTTCCTGAATGTGAAGTTCCACTCTTAGCATTATAATGCATATATCGAATACGTTGTTTTTAGGGCAAGCATGGTGACTCATGCCTGCAATCTCAGCACTTTGGGAGGCCAAGGTGGGAAGATTGCTTGAGGCCAGAATTTTGAGACAAGCCTGAGAAACATAGTGAGACCCCATCTCTATAAAGGAAAAAAAATTACATTAGTCTGGCACACTGGCATGCGCCTGTAAACCCAGCTAATCTGGAATCAGTAGGGGAGCGGGGCTGAGGTGGGAGGATCCCTTGAGTCCAGGTGTTCAAGCTGCTACAATGAGCCAAGATTTCATCACTGCAGTCCAGCCTAAGCGACAGAGCAAGACCTGTCTTAAAAATAAATTTATTTTTATAACATTTAAATATGCAGAAAATGATGTGATATTCTTACTTTAACTTCACATTTCTTCAAACACAACAGAGTATGAAGAATATTTCATAAATATTATCTAAAACTTAAAAATTGTAATGAATTGTGAGTTCATTATTTTTGTCTATTTTCTTTGAGGGTTTTAGAGGTTTTCTTTTGTTTTTGACTCATGTAAGCCAATCACATTCCATGAGTTTACCTTTTTTCATAGGCCTAGCCAATAAGTAAATATGCACATATGTAAATTAAGTAAACATGCATGTGTGTTTGTGTGTGTTCTTCTTTGTGATTTTTTTCTTGTTTTTAGAAAATGCAACCAATTAACTGTGATGTTTATTGTTCTTTTGTCATTAATTTCTAAATAATTTTTACTTTTTACTTAATACAATACTAATTACTTTTCTTGACTTTGCTTTTTAATTTCTATACAACTTTAAGTGTTTGGTTTTCATATCCAAACTTGTGAATTCCTGGTGTTATTGTCCTTTGATCAGAAAATATATATTATAATTTTTTACTTCGTATTGTATTAGTTTTGACTTTAATTTCTTAAATCAATTTTGAAAACAAGCTTTATTAATTCAACATGCACACAAAGACATATATGTATATGTGTGTAATTTTCCAATAATCAATACTGTTGTTTCTTTATATTATTCTCTGACAGTACTTTAATATCACTTCCCCTTTTGTTTTGTTACATTTTCTTGACATATTTTGATATTTGTTGGTACATTTTTATTTTTACATTTCTGTGTCACTTGTATTTTATTTGTGCATGTTGTAAATAGCATAAAATTTGATAATCTTTAATTATTTTAAAAAGTTTTTTTAATTGGAAAGCTTCCTTCATTTTCAATTACCATAAGCAATAAGTTTAATTTTACCTTAGATCTATTGTTTTACATTTTTTCTAATGAATCCTTATAGATTCCCTATTTTCTGGCTCAAGTGCATAATCTAAATTTTTATTTGCTTTATTAAGAAAGTATACAACTTGTATTTAATTCTAAAAAGATTGTGTATAAAGTTATCTTATTAGATTTTACTAAAAATATTCTCAATAAATTTCAGAACTACTATGCCCTTTTGTATAGGATGAAATTTCTCTTGCTTTTACTCACTCTCTAGAATACATATTTTGGAATTTTGCACTTATTGTTTTAATAACCAAAATATGTTAATTTACTTTCCTTTACAAATTATTTAAATTTTATTTTATAACCATATGTTTAAACATTTCTCTATAATGATGTTCAATTATAGAGTGCTACCTGTGCTTGCATTGTAAAAATCACTAAATTGTTCCTAGTGACTGAAAGATTGTCAAGTATCATTGCTAATTTTTAGTAGAATTAGAGTTTGAAAATATCTTTTTAATAATTTCATGAATATTTCATTAGGAATACAAGAGAGTGCAATTTGGGGGAGCTAGCCAACATGTTTATTTATTCATGATTTTTTTTTTTACTATACTTTAAGTTTTAGGGTACATGTGCACAACGTGCAGGTTTGTTACATATGTATGCATGTGCCATGTTGGTGTGCTGCACCCAGTAACTCGTCATTTAGCATTAGGTATAGCTCCTAATGCTATCCCTCCCCTCTCCCCCCACCCCACAACAGGCCCCAGTGTGTGATGTTCCCCTTCCTGTGTCCATGTGTTCTCATTGTTCAATTCCCCCCTATGAGTGAGAACATATGGTGTTTGGTTTTTTGTCCTTGCAATAGTTTGCTGAGAATGATGGTTTCCAGCTTCATCCATGTCCCTACAAAGGACATTAACTCATCATTTTTTATGGCTGCATAGTATTCCATGGTGTATATGTGACACATTTTCTTAATCCAGTCTATCATTGTTGGACATTTGGGTTGGTTCCAAGTCTTTGCTATTGTGAATAGTGCCGCAATAAACACACGTGTGCATGTGTCTTTATAGCAGCATGATTTATAATCCTTTGGGTATATACCCAGTAATGGGATGGCTGGGTCAAATGGTATTTCTAGTTCTAGATCCCTGAGGAATCGCCACACTGACTTCCACAGTGGTTGAACTAGTTTACAGTCCCACCAACAGTGTAAAAGTGTTCCTATTTCTCCACATCCTCTCCAGCACCTGCTGTTTCCTGACTTTTTAATGATTGCCATTCCAACTGGTGTGAGATGGATTATCATTGTGGTTTTGATTTGCATTTCTCTGACGGCCAGTGATGATGAGCATTTTTTCATGTGTCTTTTGGCTGCATAAATGTCTTCTTTTGAGAAGTGTCTGTTCATATCCTTCACCCACTTTTTGATGGGTTTGTTTTTTTCTTGTAAATTTGTTGGAGTTCATTGTAGATTCTGGATATTAGCCCTTTGTCAGATGAGAAGATTGCAAAAATTTTCTCCTGTTCTATAGGTTGCCTGTTCACTCTGATGGTAGTTTCTTTTGCTGTACAGAAGCTCTTTAGTTTAATTAGATCCCATTTGTCAATTTTGTCTTTTGTTGCCATTGCTTTTGCTGTTTTAGACATGAAGTTCTTGCCCATGCCTATGTCCTGAATGGTATTGCCTAGGTTTTCTTCTAGGGTTTTTATGGTTTTAGGTCTAACGTTTAAGTCTTTAATCCATCTTGAATTAATTTTTGTATAAGGGATAAGGAAGGGATCCAGTTTCAGCTTTCTACATATGGCTAGCCAGTTTTCCCAACACTATTTATTAAATAGGGAATCCTTTCCCCATTTCTTGTTTTTGTCAGGTTTGTCAAAGATCAGATAGTTATAGATATGCGGCATTATTTCTGAGGGCTCTGTTCTGTTCCATTGGTCTATATCTCTGTTTTGGTACCAGTACCATGCTGTTTTGGTTACTGTAGCCTTGTAGTATAGTTTGAAGTCAGGTAGTGTGATGCCTCCAGCTTTGTTCTTTTGGCTTAGGATTGACTTGGCAATGCAGGCTCTTTTTTGGTTCCATATGAACTTTAAAGTAGTTTTTTCCAATTCTGTGAAGAAAGTCATTGGTAGCTTGATGGGGATGGCATTGAATCTATAAATTACCTTGGGCAGTACGGCCATTTTCACGATATTGATTCTTCCTACCCATGAGCATGGAATGTTCTTCCATTTATTTGTATCCTCTTTTATTTCATTGAGCAGTGGTTTGTAGTTCTCCTTGAAGAGGTCCTTCACATCCCTTGTAAGTTGGATTCCTAAGTATTTTATTCTCTTTGAAGCAGTTGTGAATGGGAGTTCACTCTTGATTTGGCTCCCTGTTTGTCTGTTATTGGTGTATAAGAACGCTTTTGATTTTTGCACATTGATCTTGTATCCTGAGACTTTGCTGAAGTTGCTTATCAGTTTAAGGAGATTTTGGGCTGAGACAATGGGGTTTTCTAGATATACAATCATGTCATCTGCACACAGGGACAATTTGACTTCCTCTTTTCCTAATTGAATACTCTTTATTTCCTTCTCCTGCCTGATTGCCCTGGCCAGAACTTCTAACACTATGTTGAATAGGAGTGGTGAAAGAGGGCATCCCTGTCTTATGCCAGTTTTCAAAGGGAATGCTTCCAGTTTTTGCCCATTCAGTATGATATTGGCTGTGGGTTTGTCATAGATAGTTCTTATTGTTTTGAGATACATCCCATCAACACCTAATTTATTGAGTTTTTAGCCTGAAGCGTTGTTGAATTTTGTCAAAGGCCTTTTCTGCATCTATTGAGATAATCATGTGGTTTTTGTCGTTGGTTCTGTTTATATGCTAGATTACGTTTATTGATTTGCATATGTTGAACCAGTCTTGCATCCCAGGAATGAAGCCCACTTGATCATGATGGATAAGCTTTTTGATGTGCTGCTGGATTCAGTTTGCCAGTATTTTATTGAGGATTTTTGCATCGATGTTCATCAGGGATATTGGTCTAAAATTCTCTTTTTTTGTTGTGTCTCTGCCAGGCTTTGGTATCAGGATGATGCTGGCCTCATAAAATGAGTTAGGGAGGATTCCCTCTTTTTCTATTGATTGGAATAGTTTCAGAAGGAATGGTACCAGCTCCTCCTTGTACCTCTGGTAGAATTCGGCTGTGAATCCATCTGGTCTTGGACTTTTTTTGGTTGGTAAGCTATTAATTATTGCCTCAATTTCAGAGCCTGTTATTGGTCTATTCAGAGATTCAACTTTTTCCTGGTTTAGTCTTGGGAGAGCGTATGTGTCGAGGAATTTATCCATTTCTTCTAGATTTTCTAGTTTATTTGCATAGAGGTGTCAACATGTTTATTTAAAATCAATCTTTGTAATATCAGACAACTTGTATTTATTGAATTGGTTCTAGTCAAAATACTTCAACAAGAAATTTCTACACAGAGAAAGACATTTCCGTGTACTTACAAAAACACTCCCTTTTACTTTCTAATAGTTGGCTGTCTTTTGATTACAGTAACTTGGATAAATGTCACACTGCGAACATTAATGGATTAATGTCACCCATATCAATCATACCTAGCTTGAAGGTCATTTTCAAATTAACAGTTTAAAATCAAGTCACCAACTGTTAATGATCCTGCACAATAACTGTTCAGATAACTGTGGACCTATGCCACATTTAATCATATTTCAAATAGTCTGGGGTAATTCTCCACAAGATTATTCTAAATTATTTCCAAAATGTGTAAATATATTTGCATGTGCACCTTATTCCAAATCTGAATACTAAATTTACTTTGTTTTTATTATCATTTCCTAGTCTCCCCAAAATATCAACCTTACATGTAATATACTATGGTTTTTTAATAACAGTCAATTTTCAACTAGTAAAAACCTGGTAATTAAAACAACAATTTGATGTAATATACAACCTGGCTGTGAAGAGAAAAGCAAAGTTATATGAAAGATACATTTTGAAAGAATGTGAGACATCCAAAAAGTACTTTGCATGAGCCATTTTTTACTGTTTGGATCATGAAATTAGACTAAATTAGCTTTAAATATTATAAATAGAGTTTTATAAGTTAAGTTTTACTAAAGCTTTTGGGGGATAATGTAAATTTAAAAAATGTAAAGGATAGTTTAAGAAGAAAAGCATAAAAATGTAGAAACCAAATTAAATCTACTTAGAAAAATTTTGAAACCCAAGTAATTTGGATACCGATAACCATCAGTGACTCATATCCTGTCCCAAATGTACAGCCTTCCTTTCAGCCAGTTGTTGCTATAATGTTCAACTGAGCTCAGTTTCAGACCAGCACGTGTATTTTTGCCACAACCTAAATAGGTTTAGCTTGAAATCATAGTTCAAAAGTTTCAGATAAAAGTTATGTGGGGAAAAATACATAAACAACTTCAAAGGACAGCTCTTGCTTTGTAGCACAATGATAAAAACTTGTCTAGGATGAAATCCTGTACTGCCCTTGACTAGCTCTGTGACCTTAGGAAAATTAATTAGGTCTTCTGTGCCTCAGGTTTCTCTTCTGTAAAATGGCAATAACAGTAATCAGTCAGGGTTGTTGAGAAAATTAAATGTCATAATTGACAGAAATCATTTAGAACTGTTTCAGGTACAGAGTAAATGCAATGTTAGTTTTAGATATGACTATCATATGGATGACTTTCCATCCTGCTCCATCTCCAATCTACTGCCGTGTAACAATGATATCCAACAGGGCAGGAAAAGGAATATGGATGTCCAAAGCTTATATTTATTATTTACAACATGTATAATTGATGCCAGTGGGAGATTAAACAGCTGTGAAAAATTCAAGAACTCCCTAGCATAGAAGAAAACTTTAATATTCTTTATTCATAATCCCTATGTTGCTTCTTATCAGGTTCTAACTGAGCACCAAGGGCAGTTAGTGGGTGAGTGGCAGGTAGCTGGAAAAACACTCAAGGAATCATAGACAGTTTCAACGTGGCTTTACTCTCTCTCTGGGCATGAGCGAGCCTGGGTGCAAGCCGTATGTACAGCATCAGCAGGGTAGTTATACCTTTTACAGACAACAGTGGCTCTGAGCCAAGCACAAGCTCATGTGGCATGGTTACATAATGTGCGGAGTTGTGTGCCTGCACTCCAAACCCACTGAGTCATGCTATACTGGATGTCTGCCTTGGCCTATTCTTGACCACAGGCCATCCATTTTCCTTATACTCCACCCCCTAGGCCAAGAGAGACATAGGCCTTAGACACATGGGTCTGACATATAAGCCTTATACATAGGTTTTGTGCACACAGGCTTGACACATAAGCCTTGCACATATGCTTTGGGCACACAGGCCTGACACACATAGGCTTGATACATAAGCCTGACACATAAGCTCTGGGCACACAGGCCAGATACACAGGCTTGACACATAAGCTCTGGGCACAGACTCCAGATACACAGGCTTGACACATTAGCTCTGGGCACACAGGCCAGATACACAGGCTTTACATTCCATCCCCTTGGCTGAGGGAGTTCTTCTAGTGGAGAGACAGGCCCACAGGGAAGAACCCTGGACCCAGAGGCCACAGCAGTAGTACAGGGAGCAACAACTCCAAGTTATGGCAGACAACCACCCCATGGTGATGTTACCCCAATGTTGCTTTATACATTAAGCCGGTTTTTATTTCTCTACCTTTAGAGGCATGGGGGCAGGCAACAGCAGGTTACCATTCATCCCCATACCTGGTCAGAGAAGGTCATCCTCCCTCTTATAGGTCTTGCCACATGACTTGGCCCCACATGGGCTGGTGACTAGCCACTTCTGTAACTTCCAGGTAGTTAACCACAAGATTAAACCTCAATAAATTGCCCAGCTATTGGTGCAGATTACTATGGGTATCGCCTCCTTGGTGATCACCATGCACATTGCTCTGGGTTCAGCCCACTGGCTACTTTGTCCACGCCTAGTTTCAAACCATATGGTGTCAGTATTAGGTTGGACAGCAAGAGCAGTCCAAGCAGCAGTAGCACCTTGACTAGACCCATCTGTGTGCCATGCCTCATTGTGAATGAGGGGATGCACTTCCCTAAATGGTGATGGCTCAAGGTCTAGGGGTGCCTCAGGCCCCATGGCTTTATCTTGAATTAGGGCTACAGGTCCCAAGACCTCTTGAAACTCTCCTGCTAAAAGACTCATTCTTAATGTACTCCACTGTTCTCAGTAGGCATCCTACTTTGCTAAAATGAATGTCTGTGCTGTCCTAGTCAGGGGTGTCATTACCCGTGAATGTACCCATCCCACTATCAGGTAAGTCATCTGTACAATGGCTGTAGCCCATCCTGTCACACTCTCACAAGCCTGAAGGGTGGCATATACAGATGTTAGCTGTTTCTCTATCAAGGAATATTGGAGCTCACCTCCCTTCCATAGTTGGGATCAAAAGCCTACTGGCATTCTCAAGTGCTCCGTATGCTACCACAGGCCCCACTGAAACCATTTGTGGTCACATGCACACCCAGCTCAAACAGGTGCCCCTGGTCTAATACCCACAAAGCTTGTGCCTACTGAATAGCCTGCTTGGCTGCCAGGAAGGCGGTCTCAGCCACACTATCCCAATCTCAGGCAAGAGGAGTGCTGCTGCTTCTAAATCTGCAAGAGAATTAGAGGTTAACATAATATTATCAACAAGACCATGGCATATGGTGGGGCCATGCATATAGCCCTGCAGCAACACTGTGAAAGTCCATGGTCACCTTCCCATGAAGGCAAACTTTTCTTGGCTCTCTAGGGCAATGTTAATTGAGAATGCATTGGTCAAATCCACCACATAGTGGTACTGTCCCAATTCTGTCGTGAAGTGGTCCATCAAGTCCATGACAGATGGCATAGCTGCCAAGCTGTGTAAAACATCCACCCTCAAAATGTATTCAGGTATGGGAGAGACATACACAGTACATAAGCAAGGAGCCAAGCGGCCGATGCCAAGGGGCAAAGATACAGGTTTAACTTTCACTAACTGGTCTTCATAACTGTCTATGCAGCCATGCCCAGAAATTATCCAGGTGCAGGGACTTCAATTGACAAGTCTACATGTGGTCTCCAGTCATCCGGTGTCTCCACAAGGTGGGCACCTAGGCCAGTTTTCTAATCAAACAGAAAAAACTTTACACCCCCACCTGGCTGCAGCACATAGTCTTTGGGCTGGAGCACCCAGGTGGGACTGGGTCACTCAGCAATGTCCTTCTTCCCCTTGGGCATTTTCTGGAATTGCTGCTCTGGAGACAACTGTTTCAACAAAGTTAAGAGTAGTTCATTGGGCTGCTTACCAATTTCCTCTCAGTCAACGCTGGCGAAAATCAAATCTATCCACATCTGCGAACATGTCACTCATTGGGAACCCCTTTTCTCCCATGGGGGGCCCTCTGTGGGTGGGAAATCTTTCCCTTCTTTACAGCATAGAACCCTTGATCCCATCTGTGGGACCGAGCCACCATAGCAGCGATTCCAAGCTCTGTAGCCAGGCCTCCAGGCACCCAACCTGTGCCTGAAGGTCCCCATTCATAGCAGCTTCTAACTCTTTTTCTGAGCTGTGCAGCCAGGCCTCCAGGTGCCCTGCCTGCACCTGGAGAGCCCTTACCTGCACTACATCCCTCAGAAACTGGGTGTGTACTTCTCATAGCACAGTGAAAAATGCCCGTCCAACTCTGCTGGCAAAAGCTAGCTCCTTCTTGGTGCTCTGCACTTCCAGCTGCTTCAGCAGCTTCTCCACGCTTGCAGAGGATCCATCTACCACTGCCCAGGTTTCTACTGGATCCCATCCAAGCAGCACAGCTCAGGATCCTGTTTGTGATGCTAATTGTCAGGTTCTAACTAAGGTCTGAGGGGAGTCAGTGGGTGAGTGCTGGGTAGCTAGAAAAATACTTAAGGAATAGTAGACAATTTCAACATGGCTTTACTCTCTCTCTGGGCACAAGTGAGCCTGGGCACAAGCCATATGTACAGTGTCAGCGGGGTATTTATAACTTTTACAGACAACAGTGGTTCCGAGCCAAGCACAAGCTCACATGGGTGATTACCTAATGCGCCTCACGTGGCGTGGTTGCATAATGTGTAGAGTTGTGCACCTGCACTCCAAACCCGCTGAGTCATGCTGCACCAGATGTCTGCCTCCGCCTATTTTTGACTACAGCACATCTATTTTCCTTACACTCCTCATTTACTAATATTAGTGCTGGCAAATTTGTATCCATAGAGGACTGCAGTGACCTCAATTCTTGCCTCCTCAGAAGAAAGAATATGACAGAAGGGCAAAAGGCTAATGGAGAGACTGAGGCAAGTATCAGAGCAGGAGTGAAAATTTACTAAAAAGCTTTAGAACAGAAATGAAAGAAAGGAAAGTACACTTGGAAGAGGGCCAAGTAGGTGACTTGAAAGACAAGTGCACGGCTTGAACTTTTGACTTGGGGTTTTATATGTTGGCATATTTCTAGGGTCTTGTGTTACTGCTTGCCACTCTCCCAACTCCTGAGATCTTACTGGGAAGCTGCTGATCACCAGTTTTAGGTGTTTTTTTTTTTTTCTATTAGGAGACTGCCTTTCCTGGCACTGCTGTGACCAATTATTACTTTAGAGAGACAGTTAATCGCCTGACCATTACTCTTGGTGTGTGTTGGGGGGTGGAAAACCCTCTTATGCACTGCTCATACTGAACTAGCTATGCACTGTAACAATGTCACTTAGTGGTCTGCAACAAGTTCCATCCAAATCATTGCTTAAGATGATGCTTTGAGAAACCTAAATGCTTTGTTGCTTTCTTTCTCTGTGACCGATTTTTGGAAACCACTCTACATGGATTTCTCACATTTAAACAAGTCTTGTGACAGACTAGTTCTCTATCTTCTTTTCAATAATACTTGTTTCATGAGCAACCTTGAATGATACTCTCTCCCACTAGGGCAGAAGGTAGAATTATTTGCTGTCCAGGATAATAAAGATAATGTCTTCCTCTGGGACAAAGATTGGGCAGGTTTTCTTATATTTCCTTATTAAATCGGGAGTTCTTTATATATGGGGTTCCTCATCTGTGATAGAAGCTCATTGCATTCATGGAATCTTCCTGGGCTCATCATCACTGTGGAAATGATATGATTTTGAAGATTATACTTCTTGATGTGTCATGAGTAGTAAAGGTCTTCATCTCAGAAGCATCATGTCTTCTGCCAATATCTACAGAACTTCTTTAGGCTAACTTGTAAACTTGTAGATAGGATAAAATGTCAGACCTTTACAGTTTTGACACTTATTATTATGACTCCATGTGCACAAGGTAAGATACAACAATTTCTTGGAAAGAAAAAGTGACATTTGCTCAAGTTATTGCTTCCCAACACTTTGACTGCAATTGTCTCAGTCCACTGTAGTACTGATTCCATTTATTGATAAAGTTTCTGCATTATTCTCTTTTTCTTTTGCTCTTTCCTACTGGCCTACACTTTCCTTTAATATATTTATTTAGTTAGTTCTCATTATACTAATACATTCTTTTCTCAGGTACAAAATATTCATCTTCTGATTCATATTGTCCATATACAGATTCTTATGCTCATTCCTCAGCATCTTGAATGAAATTCTAACATTTCTACTGGTTGGTAAACAATATAGACTATTACAGAAAATTAGAATACATGATACAAACTTTATATATTAAAGTCTCTGCTACCATATTCTGTATCTTAGTCTATAGTTCTATAAAATAGAGAGAAACATTATAAAGAGAAAATACACCTCCAGGGAGGACAAATATTTTGATAAATTTTACTTTCCTTTTCTCCGAATTTTATTATAGGTATTTTATAATCATGCTGATTACTACGTGTAATCAGTATTAGAGTCATATATATGGTATGTTTACTGAGTCAACATGCAAAAAATGTATGTGCCAAGACCTCCAGTGCATTCCAGTGTTAGAGAGGACTCGAAGTAAAATTAGTATAGTACCTAAAAATCAAGAATGAGGCAAACATGTAGAACAGTTGATAAAATGTGGGTTCAGAAACACTTGGTTTATATATGGAAGTAGTCATTACTCCAGTGGTGGAAATGATTGACAGACATGGTGGGAAAAACTTTTTTAGTAGTGTCTCAATGTAGTCTCTTAATATGTCCCTTCTTTTACATCATATAATTCACATATTATTATTTGTTTTACTGTCACAAACTTTCTTTAAATTTTATGTGAATTTCTCCAGTGGAGAAAAAAAGAGTTTTCAACAAATGGCTCTGGGAAAACAAGATATCTATACATAAACAAGGCAGTTGTACCCCTGCTTCATATCATATCCAAAAATGAACTAAAAATGGATCAAACACTTGAAGTACTAAAATAATAAAACACTTAGAAAAAAACATAAAGGTAAACCTAATGAACTTGGAAAAGGGGATGATTTCTTAGAGATCTAAAACAAATAGCATAAGCAACAATATATAAGGCAGATTTTATCAAAATTAAGTTTTGGTGCTTCTAAGGACATTGTCAGGAAAGAAAAAACAAAACACAAAATGAAAGAAGATATTTTCAAATCATATATTTTCATAGTAACCTCAGAAATTGGGTGTGTACTTCTCACATTTATATATTCTGTATTCAGAATATATAAATAAATAACTTTTACCACGCATAATGAACAAATAAGTAAATTGAAAATGGGAAAAGCATCTGAATATAAATATCTCCAAAAAGATAAAATGTCTAGTAGCTCATAAAAAGAAGGTTAACATAATTAGTCATTAACAACATGCAAATGAAAACCGCAATGAAATACCACTTCATAGCCATTAGGATGATTACTACCAAAAAGACAATAACAATGTGGATGAGTGTTACAGATTGGATTTTGTCTCCCCAAAAAAGATATATTGAAGTCCTAAACCTCAGTACCTCAGAATGTGACCTTATCTGCAAACCAGGTTTTTGTAGATGCAGTCAAGTTAAGATGAGGTCACCACTGGGGGACTTAATCCAGTATAACTGTTTTCTTTATTAAGAAGGGAAATTTGAACACAGAAATAGACAAGAACACAACAAGAATTCCATGTAATGATGAAGACAGAGATACAAATGATATTATTTACAAGACAAAAAACACCAGAAGTTATGAGAGTGGCATAAAACAGATTCTCTTAGAGCCCTTGGATGGAACAAACCTTGCAAACATCTTGATCATGGACTTCTAGTGGGCATTACTGTGAGAAAATAAATTTTTTAAGCCACACAATTTGTGATTCTTTGTTATGACAACCCTAGTGAGCTAATATAGCCATAATGTGGAGAGGCTGTAACCCTCATACACTGCTGGTGAAAATGTAAAATGGTACTGTCACTGTGGAAAAGGGTTTTGCAGTTCCTACAATGTTGAACATAGTGTTACTATCTCACCCAGCAATTATATACCTAGGTATATTCCCAAGAGAAATGAAAATACACATCTACATAAAAATTTGTACAAGAATCTTCATAGTAACCTTATTCCCAATTACCAAAAAGTGGAAACAATACCAGTGTGTATCAACTGATGAATGGATTAAATAATGTGGTATATCCATACATGTAATATTATTTGGTCACAAATAGTAATGAACTACTGAAAGTGTTTCAATATAAACACTTGAAATGGTTAGACTAAGTAAAAAAAAAAAAAAATCAGACACAAAAGTACAGGTATTGAAACGGCTATGTTGTCTGGGGTATATATGCAGTGTTCATCATCTCATGCCAGGAAAATTTAGGACATAGACACACACAAGTTTAAGAGTGGAGGTTTAATAGGCAGAAGAAAAGAGAAAGAAAAGCTGCTCTCACTATTAAGAGAGGGGACTCCTGAGTGGAAAAAAATGGCTGGCAGCAGATGTGCTAGGTTTTACAGTCCAGCTTGCAGAGACAGTGTCTGAATTACGTAGGGATCACAGATTGGTTCAGTCAGGTATGGTGTATGCGTAGTGTGCAGGGAAGACTCGTTGCTCCACCCTAACCTTACCATGCAAATGAATTCTCCCCTCAGCCCGTGCCATCTCGTCTGATCCTTACTGTACAAGTGGCTGGCGGCTAAGGGAAGATGTAGCTGCCATCTTGAACATGTCTAGTTTCTAGTTCCTGCCAGCATTCACCAGTGCAAGCTCCCAGCTTTCTTGCTTTCTTTCTTTCCATTTATTTGTTTATTTACTTATTTGTTTATTTATTTTGAGATGGAATCTCGCTGTCTTGCCCAGGCTGGAGTGCAATGACGTGATCTCAGCTCACTGCAACCTCTGCCTCCCAGGTTCAAGCAATTCTCCTGCCTCAGCCTCCCGAGTATCTGGGATTACAGGCACCTGCCATCACACCCAGCTAGTTTTTGTATTTTTGGTAGAGACGGGGTTTCACTATGTCGGCCAGGCTGGTCTTGAACTCCTGACCTCAGGTGTTGCACCCACCTTGGCCTTCCAAAGTGCTGGGATTACAGGCATGAGCCACCAGGCCCAGACCCTAGCTTTCTTTTCTATGTCTGAAGTTTGACTTTACAGGCTGCTCTTTGTTGGAAAATTATGTGTGGCTGCTTTTTATTAAAAAGAAAAGCCTTACTGAGGACTACACTACCCTTACTATCTGCTAAAGTGATTTCTTCTTAACTCCTATGTCCTTCCTCACTCAGGAGTGGTAACCCTAACTGCTGTTAGGGGTGTTGGTCAATGACTCTTTCTGGCTACTTCCTGCTGAAAAGCAGTGTGAGGAACAGAAAGTAGGGATCCTCCTGGGGTTGAACTAAGAGTCCTCGGAAGAAAGGCGTGTCCATGTGTGGTTCACTCTGCAGCACCATTTGGAATTGGATTGCTTCTAGGCAAGAGTAAACAATTTGAGTAACAGTATTGAGTAGACAAGGTCCAGACGTTAATATAAAACATATGAGCAAGAGGGGGCACTAACCAGTTAACAATGTCACTAGCCAGTTTCACGAAGAAGACTAGAATTCATTAAAGAGGGATTGTAGCCATCCAGGGCTGGAGCCTGCATTTTCTTTTAATCTGTAATTGATTTTAACTTGATCTTTAAGCAACTGTAGGTTTTCTTCTACTTGACTAGAGGTGTTGATCTGGAAGCAGCATTTTTCATTTAAGACTCCCAGGTCCCCCTCCTTTGGCTGTAAGGACATCTAGGGCCTGTCTATTCTGTATTACTACTGAGGCTAAAGAGTTTATGGATTATTGTTGTGCTTTATTAGTGCCTCTCTCAGTCTTTCCAAGAAGGCTGTAGGATTCTCATCTGGCTTTTGATCTATCATGAACAGTTTAGAGTAATTAAGAGGTTTAGTCCAAGTTTTTCTGGCACTAGATCTGGGTCCTGGCACTTGTTGAATGTGCTGCCCATAGTTGCAGGTGTGACCTTAAATATGCACATTAAAAAATGTTTCCTTTTCCATTCATCTGTAGCATCATTAGGGCCCCAATTAGAGTTGTCAAGAGGAACTGCTTTCCTTCCTTTTGGGAATGGAGTTTCCATTATTTCTTCACCTTCCCTATTTTCTCTTTTCTTTTAGACCTACTACGGGAGACACATTGCTCATTTCTGAATTTCTCTGCTGCCTACAGAGCTACCTGCCTCTCAGCTGTGGTTAGGGTTTGGCTTAGGAGCAGCATAACATCCCTCCAGGAGAGGTCAAATACCTGAGTTAAATTTTGGATGGCTTCTATATACCTATCAGTGTCATCAGAAAATTGGCTTAGGTCTCCCTTTACTTGCCTAAGAGCTTGCAATGAGGAGGGAACTTGAACCCTAATGGCATCACCTCCATTGGGCCTTTCCTGTAGAGGGAACAGTGAATGTGTGAAAGTGGGAAACTTTGGAGATGGTGGAGGTGGAAGATCTGTGGCATGGTTGGAAGTGGCCCCAGATAAGGGAGACTGGAAGGGCTGGCACACTCAATAGCTGCCTCAGATGGTTTCTGCAGAATTTGCTTTTCTAGTCTTGGGGAATCATTCCCCTTGGGACCGTCTGACATGATAGGTAAAAGGGCTGAGTCAATTGTGCAATGTTTGCAAAGATATGGGTTGTCACGCAGAGCAAAAGAAAGCCTGCACATAAGGTACCTTGGACCATTTGCCCTCCCATCTGCAGAAAAGATCTAACTGTCAGTTAATATTAAAATTAAGCTTCCTTCCACAAGCCAGGCTGGTTCAAGAGGGTAAAAAGACCATGCCCTTATGCAAAAGAAAATGGGCCATGTTTTCTTCAAAGTCTCAGGGTCAAAGGAGTCCCAGTGCTTCAGAATGCACTCCAGAGGAGTACAGCCCGAAGATAACCTGTTACCCATCTAGAAAGAGAAGTGAGAAAAAGGTATCCCTTTTGCCTTCTTCCTTTTGGTATGACCCAGAGTTGGGAGGAAGACAGTGTGGGTGTCCCCCAGCTGTTTCCCCTCCGTGGTTCCTGGGTCCTGGCACCTTGTTGAATGTGCCACCCATGGTTGCAGGTGTGACCCCCAGCCATGGAACCAGAGGAACTAAGAGATTGGGATTAGTCACGCCCACCATGCAGCTGTAGTTCTCTGCCTGTGATTCCCCTTTGACTTCCTAGACTTGTATGACCTGCCTAGCTCCCCGAAAAAAAAAAAGGATCTCTCGAGAGACTATGTGAAAGTTGCTTTTGGGAAACTTTTGCACTTTCCTCCTTAATGGAGGAAGTGGGTTGATTTGGGCTCCATATCCTACTGTTATAGCCCATGCTAAAGCATTTAACCTTAGAAAATGGTTCTGGTTAACTTCTGAACTTAAAAATCCCCTTACTAATTAAATACCATTCTAATTAGAGGCAGAATAGGTGACTTAAAGGAATGTGGGAACCAAATGGCTATTTTCCTGCTGATGGGACAGTATTGAGACTAGAATTTAGCTCCGGATAATATGTTACTCCTAGTTGTTGAAGGCAGAATTTCGCCATTTACAGGAGCATGAAGGCTGGTTTCTAGTAGAGAGGCACAAAAAGGGAAGAGAATTGGTAAGCTAAGAGTGTTTTGGTAACGAACCAATGGTGTGCCTCATGGAGATTATCTCGATGCCACTAGGTGGTGCTGTTGACCTTGAAATGCTATGTGCTCGCCACACCAAGGGCAGAGTGACGTTGACATGCCATGTGTTCTTCAGACCAAGGGCAGAGAGAGACCTGGAAATGCCATGTGCTCTCCAGACCAGGGGCAGAGAGTGACCTAGAAATGCCAGGTGCTCTCCAGACCACGGGCAGAGAGTATGCTCGGTGTAGAAGGGAGACCCTCTGTTTTTAGAAAATCAGAAAGACGCCTTCCCTTGAGCTATATCCCCAGTTACTACAATACTCCTTGATCTTGCCAAATAAGATTACTTCCCTGAACTGTAAAACTTCCCACATATTGCATATGCAGAGAGCATAGGAGATATGGCAGTTGTGGAGAGGAAAGGAGGAAATTACAATAGAAAAGTTGGAGATTATGTAGCCGACACCCCATTGGGTGGTCAGAGGTTGGGGTCAGTCCAGAAGCCTTTGGATAAAACCAGGGGATAGCCCCAGCCAGGAATCCTTAGTTGCACTGAAACCTCTTTCAGCCCCATGCAACAGTTAAGTCCTCCATGAAAGGAAGCTGGTTCAAACATGGCCAACATGTCCAGCAACCCGTGGTTGCAGGGGATTCTCCATGTTCTCCTCAGCAAGCTTCACATCTAGGTCTTTAAGAACAGCAGCCACATTAACTGTGTTTTTACCTGGCTGACAGATGCCCTTTATTGATTTGATTTGGTTCTAAAATGGAGGGCAAGAGCCCCGAAATGAAAGGACAGAGTTGGAGTTTGCTCCTCTACTCACCATTTTGATAAATGTTTTACCTTGGTATCCTGGACGAGATCTCCAGTATAAAGCAACTATGTTGTCTGGGTTATATACCCAGGGTTCATCGTCTCAAGCCAGGAAAATTTAGGACATGGTCGCATACTAAAAGTTTAGGAGCAGGGGTTTAATAGGCAGAAGGAAAGAGAAAGAAAAACAGCTCTCTCTATTGAGAGGGGACTTCCGAGCAGAAGGAAAGAGAAAGAAAAACAGCTCTCTCTATTGAGAGAAGACTTCCGAGCAGAAAAAACCAGCTGGCGGTGGACACACCAGTTTTTATATCCCGGCTTGAGGAGGCAGTGTCTGATTTACACAGCGTTCACAGATTGGTTAGATCAGGTATGATGTTTACATAGGGTTCAGGGACGGCTGGTTGCCCCATCCTAATCTTAATATAAAAATAAATTCTCCCCTTGGCCAGTACCATCTTGTCTGATCTTTATTGTACACGTGGCTGGCAGAGAAGGAAAGATGGAGCCACCATCTTGAACATGTGTATCCCCTAGTTCCTGCTGGCATTCACCTGTGCAAACTCCCAGCTTTCTTGTCTGTTTGCAGCTTGTCTTTACTGTCTGCTCTTTGTTAGAAAATAATTTGTGGCTGCTTTTCATTAAAAAGAAAAGCCTTACCAAGGACTCTCATACCCTTATTATCTGCTTAAGTGATTCCTTCTTAACTCCTATATCACTATTGTATACTTTCATTTATATGCCAAGTAGGCAAATTCATAGAGGTGGAAAGTGGATTAGTGGTCGCCAGGGTCATAAGTATGGAAACACATTGAGCCATATGGAGTGAAGAAAGTGTTCTGAAATTAGATTGTGGTAGTGTTTATGCAACGTTGAGATATACTATTAAAACTCCAGTAAATTGTATACTTTACATGTATAAATTTTATAGTATATGAATATCTCAAAACTATATTTCAAAAAATAAAAACGAAATTTAAAATTATAAGTGCATAACTGAAACTAGAATGTAGCATACTAACCCTAAACATCTAGCATACTAACCCGTAAATCTATATTAAACATGGCTTTTCCTCAGAAGATATTCCATAATACAAAAATGATGTCAAACAAATAGAAATTGAGCAGAAGAGCTGAAAGCCATAATCTTATAGGCTTGAGTTGTCAGAGAATCCAATAGGACTTCCAAAAGAGAGGGATTATAGTGAATAGAATCCTAAAATCTCCACATAAATAGCCGCTTAACCTCTTTACAGACAGTTAAATTATACATGGAGGGAGAACAGACACCAGAAAACAGCAAGTTAAAAGCTCAAAGTAGTAAGCAAAGATTTAAGATACCGTCCACCTCAGAAAGAGGGAGTTTGCAGTTTAAACACTTCCAGATGAGAGGGTTTTGGTCAACATCTCAGGCTTTCCATAGATCTGCCCTAACAAAGTGTAGATCAAGAATTACAACTTCAAAGTTATCAATCAGTAGTTTAGCCTGGTAGAACAAAATCCACATTTCAGGGCAAGATGATAGAATTCAAAATTTAGACAATGTATCATTCACAATGGTAAGGGTATGACAAAATATTAACAGACATGAGAAAAAGGAAGTAAATATGATCCACTATAAATAAAATAAATATTCCTAAGAAACAAACTCCTCATATACCCAGTTAATAGAATTGATAGTCAAGGACCTATCTATTATAAATATGTTCAATGACTTAAAATAACTGAGCTGAGACTGCACCACTGCACTCCAGCCTGGGCGACAAGAGTGAGACTCCATCTAAATAAATAAACAAAACACAAAATATGCATTACATAAATATATAACATAATGAACATCTGTATAAAAAGATGTTTTCAAAAATTTGTGGTTGTGATCACTTATTAAAAAAACAAAAATCCAACTGGGACGTTAATGAGATTTCAGTGAATCTATATCAATTTGGGGAAAATTAACCTATTAAAAATATTGAGTCTTCCAATCAATGAGTATAATTTATCTATTTCTATTATCAGTGTTCTATAGTTTTCAGCATACTGATATTAAAAATACATTCTACTATATTTATACCTAATATTCACTTTTTTATACTTGTGTAAGTGGTATTGGTCTTCATGTTGTATTCCAATTGTTATTTGCTAATATATAGAAACAACAGTTTTGCTGTATTTAGTTTGAATCCTCTGTCTCATCCCGACTCACTTGTTAATTCTAGAAGTGTCCCCCATTAGATTTTTGAAATCTAAGAGATGCAGTATTATTCCTTTCTTTCTAATCTATTTATTATTCATTTTTATTGCCTTATTACACAAGGCAAATCTTCCAACAGGGTGAAATTATGTAAGAGGAAATGCTTGCTTTGTTTCCTATCTCAGTGAGAGTATTCAGTCTTTTACAATTAAGTATAAGGTTAACTGTGAATTTGTTTTAGATACATTTTATGAAGTTAAGAAAGTTTCCTTCACATTTTTCTTGAGTTGCTGAGATTTTTATCATGAAAACATTAAATTTTATCTAATACTAGTTCATACATCTAACTTTATAATTATTTATTCTTCTTTAGTCTACTGATCCAACAAATTATTGATTTTCAAATGCTGAACCAACCTTGCATCCCTAGGAAAAATATAAATTGACCATAATGTATTTCTGTATTTTATACATTGTAGGATATAGTTTGAAAATATTTCATCAAAGATTTTTGCAACTATGTTCATGAGAGATAGTGATATATAGGTTTTTTGTGTTTATTTATTTATATATTGCTTTCAGTATAGACTAAGGCTGTCTTCATACAATAAATTGTGAAGTATTCTTTCCTCCCTTTTTTGAAAGAGAGGTATAGAATTGGTATTGTTTCTTTATTGTTTGGCAGAATAGGGCAGTGAAATAATTTTGGTCTGTAGTTTTCTCCCTTGGATGATTTTAACCATAAATTTTATATATTGTATATAATTAAGTGTAATGAGATGGCCTGCTTTTCCTTGAGTGTTTTGTTAGCTTCTGTCTTTCAAAGAATTAATCAATATTATCTAACTTTTCAAAATTGTGAGCCTAGGGTTTATTATGGTATTGCTGTATTGTTATTTTTACATCTGTGGGATTTAGTAGTGATAATCTCCTTTTCATTCTGATATTTATAAATGTGCCTTCTGTCTTTTTCCTGATCAATCTAACAAATTTTTATCACTTTTCTTGATCTGTTTGAAGAAGCAGTATTTCATGTCATTGGTTTTTTTCATTGCTTTGGTGTATCTAATTTCATCAATATCTGCTATTATCTTTATTATTTTTATTTTTCTTCTGGCTTTAGTTTTTATTCGCTCTTCTTTTTCTAGTTTTTTGAGGTAGAGGTTTATATTACTGATTTGAGAACTTTCTCCTCTTCTTATGTGATCATTTAATGCTGTAAATTTTAATCTCAGCAGCTTGAGCAGCTTCCCACAAATTTTGAAATAATTTCTTCTTTTAAAATGCAATTCAAAATATTATAAAAACTTTTTTGAGACTTCTAAATTGAACTATTAAGTATTTACAATTAAGTTGTTTAATTTTCCAATAATTAGGAATTTTCCTGATATCTTTTTGTTATTGACTTCTAGTTCAATTCTGTTACAATCTGTAAAAAATAGTTTGAATGATGTTTTATTATTTTAATTTTATTGAGTTTGTTTAGTGGCCCTAAATATAATATATATATAGATTAATGTTTTGTGTGCATTTTGAAAAAATATATGTTTGATTGTTTTTGGCTGGAGTTTTCTATTAAAATTAATTTGATTTAGTGGGCAGATAATGTTGGCCAATTCCTCATTTTAGTTTTCCCATGTTTCCTTCCAGTTTTATCAGAGTTTTCCTTATGTATTTCAAAGTTCTGTTGCTATGTGAATATACATTTAGAATTGGTATGTCTTCTTGGTGAATTGACTCCTTTGTCATTATGAAATGTTCTTTATTATCACTAATATGAATTTATACTCTGAAATCTAGCTTTTATAATGTTAATATGAATACTCTAGCTATAAATTTTGTAGATGACCAAGATTTCATTATTAGCGCTGAAACAACATATTTTTTTGGCTTCCTACATAAACTGTGGTAGCAGATCCTCTGATACTAATTGTTTTTATCAAACCAAAGAATCTGAAATTACATTTTCTCCAAGATTCTGACAATTGCTTTTCTCTCATACTTTGTTTCTTTTGCTGCTGTGAATATTTATCTTTTTTTCCTGAGTATTCACATTTCTATTAGCGAATAATGAGAGTTTCATTTAAGTGCTAGTCTATTTTAAACCAAAAGTCTCATAATTGACTTTCAACTTATCTCATTAGAGCCTGATTTTGATAGCATGTCTTTATTTTATAAAGCATATTGTCATTTAACATAAGGAATAAATGTTGGAAGCCACAAAAAATTGAATATAATAGAGTGACCTTTTACAGTCAGTTGCACATGAGTATAGCCTTAAAAAATATAAAGGTTAACAAATGTGTCTGGCTTTAGACACTTACAGACAATCTAATTTAAGAGTCTATTCAGGTTGCAGGATAATATAAAGGAAAGAGTATTGAACCAGAATTGGGAAGACTTATATTTGATACTTATTTTCACAACTTACTAGTAACCTTAGGGAAGACATTTAGTATTCAAAAGCCTCAGCTTCTTAGTAATAAGAAATAGAGACAACCTGACAACTATCAACAGACTTCTTATGAGGCCCAAACTAATTATCTATAGTGAGAGCATTATAAAGTGTTACAAAATCATTTGCTTTTATTAAGTTGATTTAGTGTTAGGTTCTTTAACAAATATTGTAAGGCATTATTGTATTAGTTAGGGTTCTCCAGAGGGACAGAACTAATAGGATATATGTATGTATAAAAGGGAGTTTATTAAGAATTGACTAACATGATCACAAGTTGGAGTTCCAAAATAGGCCATCTGCAAGTTGAGGAGCAAGGAAGCCAGTGGTGGATCAGTTCAAGTCCAGAAACCTCAACAGTTGGGAAGCTGACAGTGCAGCCTTTGGTCTGTGGCCAAAGGCCCAAGAAATGGTAAATCACTGGTGTAAGTCCAAGAGTCCAAAAGCTGAAGAACTTGGAGTCTGATGTTAGAGGGGAGGAAGCATCCAGCACAGGAGAAAAATGAATACTGGAAGACTCAGCAAGTCTGCTCTTCCACTTTCTCCTGCCTGCTTTATTCTAGCCACAGTGGCAGCTGATTAGATGGAGCCTGATAAGTTTTGGCTGTGTCCCAACCTAAATCTCATCTTGAATTATAGCTCCCATAATTCCCACATGTCATGGGAGGACACAGCGGGAGAAAATTGAATCATGGGGGTGGGTTTTTCCCCTGCTGTTCTCGATAGTCAATAAGTCTCATGAGATCTGATGGTTTTATAAAGAGGAGTTCCCCTGCACATGCCCTCCTGCCTGTCACTATGTCAGACGTCACTTTGCTCTTCCTTTCTCTTCCACCACGATTGTGAGGCCAACCCAGCCAGAGTCCATTAAACCTCTTTCCTTTTTTTTTTTTTTTTGAGACGGAGTTTCACTCTTATTGCCCAGGCTGGAGTGCAGTGGCACGATCTCGGCTCACACAGCCTCCACCTCCCAAGTTCAAGTGATTCTCTTGCCTCAGCCTCCCGAGTAGCTGGGATTACAGGCGCCCACCACCATGCCCACCTAACTTTTGTATTTTTACTGGAGATGAGGTTTCACCCTGTTAGTTAGACTGGTCTCTAACTCCGGACCTCAGGTGATCCCCCAGCCTCAGCCTCCCAAAGTGCTGGGATTACAGACGTGAGCCATTGCACCTGACCAAACCTCTTTCCTTTATAAATAACCCAGTCTCAGGTATGTCTTTATTAGCACTATGAGAACGGACAGATAAAGTGCCCACCCAGATAGAGGGTAGTTGTGCCTCTCCCAGTTCACTGACTCAAATGTTAATCTCCTTTGGCAACAGCCTCACAGACACACCCAGAAACAATATATTGCATCTTTCAAGCCAATCAAGTTGACAATATTAACCAGCACATTCTTTTACCCAGTTGAGCAATAATGTTTTGAAATTGCAATCACTTAATGAGGTATGTAATAATATTGTAGTTACAATAATAAAAAGCCTGTTTCTGCAACGCATGAATTTAGAAACACATTACTTTTTTTCCCTTTATAGAGATAGGATCAAAATCAAGTGTTAATTGAGAATTTTTTCCCAATATCTTCATTTTCATATTTTGTAATCTCCTTGTCTCACTTAGGATGTTATAATTTATAATTTGACACTGATGAGTAGTACTAGGATCAGGAAATAGCATGATTAGTTTCCTGGCAGCTCCATGCTGTCAGTCCCATCAGTTAATTTCTTTTCTCACATGGCAGCTTAACACCGCACAGTTATTTGAAAGCTCTATGTAAGAGTCTCCCACCTTCTTTTCTTGTAATAAGGAAGTTCTCTGAGCTTCTCTGACATTATACATTCTTTAATCTCTTTGCAAGTTATGTGACCCACTGCATGGTTTCCCTTTTATTAATGCAAATGTCCCTTAAATGTCTAGAATTAAACATTTTCTGTCAATTTCAGGAGATGGAGTTCTGCTCAGATAATGACAATGCCACTACAAACCTTGCTTTAATTGCAGCTTTATAATCTCTAGACCTGAAATCCCCTGGAGACTCTGATATTATAAAATGCTTTTCAGCTATGCAGATGTGGAATTCATTACAAGTATGTTTTATGTGAGAACATAAATTTATTGAAAATATCATTGTCTTGGGGTGTTTGATAACTTGAACTATTATTTAAAGTGTAACAACAGTGACATATTGGAAGTGAGTAAAAAGAATAATGCTTGTATTTATAACTTTGAAGACACACATATATATGCACATACCTTTAAGGGAAATAAATAATAGCAGGAGGTTTTTTGCTGAAAGCAGGGAAAAATGAAATATCTCTGTATAATAATAAAAATTATTATCAGTAAAATTATAATTTTTAACATGATTAACAGTAAATTTAAAAGTAATTTCTGCCTAGTGTAACATTAGTGGTCTATTAATTATGTTTATTATATACTTCTATTTTAAATGAAATTTTTAAAAAATAAAAAATATCAAAAATATGAGCCTATAATATGTGACACAGATTTATATATCTAACCTTAAGAAATTTTTTCTCTCCTCTAAGTGTATTTTCAAAATGCATTTATCATGAATCTAAACATGTAATCTGTTTTGTGGTTCCCATGCATTTTATTCATAGCTAAGTCTATGTCAAATGCACATCTTGCACCAATCAACAGATTACAAAATAGTGTTCACACATTTCAGCAATAGTAACAATATAACATGTGATATGATTTTTCTCATTCCATTGAATCATGATGAAGATCATTTCTGAGGCCAATGCAAGGACAGCCTGAGATTAGTGCATCTCTCTCTCTTTCTCTCTCTCTCTTTCCTTAGTCCTATAAGAAATCTATGTCCTCTAAATTAACTGCATGAGTCAGGATGAAAGAAAAAAGAGGGAGTAGAAGCCCTGTCAGTGAGTATATTAATTGGCCCCTGTGCATTATTTTTTCTTTGATGACTTAATTTAAAACCATTTTTACTGGGAAAGCTTTTGAAAGGGAACACAGAATTTTCAAAGAAAAGTTGTGAGACAGGCTGATCAAAGTGACCATCGGTTGCAATAACATTTAACAGTGTGTGACCTAAAAACTCCTCATAATGGACCTTAATCATATAAAATAGAAAAATAAAATGAACAGCAAGCATGAACATGGTGAGACAGCTCTCCTTTGCCAATCAAGCAAACAATGTCTCAATGCTTCAGAGAAAGGACCCCAATCAGTGTGCCGATGTGAGGTCTAACGAGGTCTAACTAGGTACTTGTGTTGACCTCTTCATCTCCTTTAGAGAAGAGTTTTGAGAATAAAGCATGGCTCTGAAAAATATACAATAGCAGATATAGTATCACCAAGATTCCCTTAATGCTTATCTTTATGTTGACATGCTGGGGCATAAGAAATAAAAATACTGTATTAAGTATAATTCACAAGGAGAAAGTAGCAAAACATATATCATAATTTGTAATAAACTATTTCTAAGAGTCCAATATTCACGATTGTATTTTATTCCATATTTTTCTCCTTTGCATTGCCTTTTTCTAGAGGAAGTTTCAAAATTAAAGTTATTCTTTATAGAAAATTATGTTTTCTCTCCTAGATAATACAATCAAGTGGAAATTTCTATTATGACCATAAAAAAAATCTGCTATCCAAAGCCTCTAAAGTCAGCCATAGAAGGGGTTTTCTAGTATGTCCTACAAGTACTTGGATGAAATTAAATAACTTGTACGAGAGAAAATACTTAGTATTAATATTTCTCTGTCCATGCAGAATATTGATATAAAATATGCAGACACAATACATTTGACTTACTCAATCTGTTATGCATAATGGATGCTCCCTATATGTCCTCCTCATTTGCTCAATCGGAATATCTCAAGTTTTTTTATGAAGTAAATATATCTGACTATACTATTTGATGACTATACAAGCAGTATTATGTGGGCAATTTCATCTCTGTGTAAAAGTTAGATGCTTCCTTAAAATAGAAGGTTGTAACATTTTCCATAGACTTGGATACATAGAAATTAAATGCTTGCTCCAAGTTTTCTGTACATTTGTAGATTTCCTTCCAGTCCATTGCTATTTCTTAATCAGAAGGCCATGGTAACATACTGACCAATTTGGCATAGCCTATCAGGAAAACAACACCATCAAAACATGGTAATTTAGTGGGTATTGCCTCTGATTAAATTTTTTACTATGTAAGCAAACTGCGATATATTAAGTTAAAAAAAGAGAATACTATTATAAATACATGCCATGGGGATTGATGGAATAAGATTTAATTGGGTTTAGAATGTTAACTGAGTTTTAAAATAGGCAAAATAATTCTCTCAATATTTATTAGGAAATCTTACGTATTCAAAGAAATTATGTGGGATGGGACATATTAAATAAAGATTAATAATTTTGAAGCTCTGTGCATTTGCAAAATGAATTCAGTTTATAATATAATCAAAGAAAATACAACTAATAGGAGTAATGTTTAAATGTGCTTTCATCACAGGGAAATTTTGGGACAAAAAGGGTGAAAGTTCCAAGTCACGGTGTCTTTTTTTGTTTCAAAGGTAGATTTCCTCCTTCATGAAAAGAGCCTGTTTCATATTTTATGCCCACAGACTAGAGAAAGTATGCTTGTGGTAAAGCCATGGCAGTGGAAAGTAGTTTATGTTCTGCACTTATATGGGAATAACAAATCAAAACCAGACATATGTTTGCTTTC
The DNA here is from genome assembly GCF_000001405.40 of Homo sapiens. Lineage (NCBI taxonomy): Eukaryota > Metazoa > Chordata > Mammalia > Primates > Hominidae > Homo > Homo sapiens. The sequence continues at coordinate 104,169,168 of NC_000005.10, read as the reverse complement.
AAAAGTAAGGTTTTGTTATAGATTTACTTAATGTTTGAAATACTGAAGTGCTATTAGCCTGGGGTTTGGATAGGAATAGAGAAAAGTTAACAGGTTACATTTTTGCCAAAGTATTGATTTACATTCCACTGAAAGCCTCTTGTTGTTTTATATTTATTTTATATTCATGGAAACAGAAATATGTGTTCAGTATAAATATCAAGTTATAGGACAAATGATGAATATATGGTATTGAGAAGCTGAACTTGCAAGAAAATTTGAATTTAGTTCAGTTGTAAAACCAAGATACTTCTAAAATATGTTCTGTAGGTTCATTATAGGCATAATTCAAATTTTCAATAACTAGCTTAAAAGTTGATTTGGCTTGATGTAGTTTCCAAATCTGTTATCAGTTGCAAAGTAAGGCAAAACTCCAGAATAACATGAGTTACTTTCCTTTAAAAAATTCAAATATGGCACAATCCTTAGAAAACTTCTTATTCTGTCCTCCTCTTTACACTTTTATTAGAAATTAGGTTAGGTTTTTTGGGGGGGGCGGGGGCGGTGGGGGGACAGGGTCTCACTCTGTCACCTGGGCTGGAGTGTGGTGGCATGATCATGGCTCACTGCAGCCTTGAACTCCTGGGCTTAGGTGATTCTCCCACCTCCTGAGTAGTTGGGACTATAGGCATGCACCATCACATCTGGTTAATTTTTTGTGTATTTTTTGTAGAGATGAGGTTTTGCCATGTTGCCCCGGAAGCATCTTTTCTGTTTTTAATGATTTATTTTTAAAATTAAGAATAGCAGCACTTTTGCAATGGTTGAAAACAATACACAATTTTGTTTTCCTTTTGATATAAATCCTGCATTTTAAAATCTATTTTTCATGTAATAAGTACATGTGAGAATTACTTCTCCCTGTGCAAGTCACTGGATTGTGGAAAGGTGAAATGATGTGAGTATAATATTTGTGTTATTTTGATTCAATGAGAAGTATCATAATCACATTTTTCCCCTTGTGTGAACCACTTCCTGATATGGCAGCAGCTTGGACTCATAAGATTGAATTGAAAACCCTAATTTGTAAATGGACCTTGTTGATCTTCCCTTTGGTGGACTTTTCCAGTGAACTCATCCATCAATACTGACTCCTTGTGGTAAAACTATTTCCCATTTTATGATTTTTAATGTAGGAGTCAGTAGGCCTGTTATTTAAACGTTTTATCTTCTACACTTTGCATACTGCTGTGACTCCAAAAGTCATCTAATTTCCAATGAATCTTCTCATATCATTAGGCAATACTAAAAAACCTCACTTAAAGATAGTTTAAACATATTGAATTTTCATTCAATAAATCTTAAAAACACAAACAAATTTAATAATTTAAAGATAATGAGTTAGATATGAAAACTGTGTATATAAAATATGGGACACTAAAATTGGTAAGAATAATAAAAAAACTTGGAAATATAAAGTTCTTCTTGTATATATAGTGTAGTATAGGTAATGGAAATTCTTACAGGATTTTCTTAGACAAAACTATAGAAGTTCAGTCTTATAAAACCAGATACAAATTCTGTTGAATTTTTCCTGGCCATTCAAAAAAGCATTTTGAATGCTTTTAAGGTAATCATTGGCAGGCAAAAGGAATTAACAATTAATGGATTCCAATAATCTTAATCCAACTATTTTAACAGAATAAATGTTATGCACTAATTATACATATATATATATATATATATATATATATACACACACACATATATGTATAATATCTACTGATTTAAATCCAACGATGTCCCCAAATGATTTATTATAGGGATATAAACAAACTTTTATAACATTTTAGCATTTATCATTGTTTATATTTACTTCCTTTCTATTAGTAGGATTTATAACCTGGCTAAACTCTCATTGAACGGAAGAATAAAACAAAACTACCTATTGCTGATCTAGAGGTACAGCAAAAGTTTGAAATTGTGATATAAGGTGGAATTTCATATATTTCACATATACTTTGATGTGCTGCTTGATAGAGCTGTTGTTCTTAATTTTCTTTAGAATTCCTACACAGCTATACATAAGTATTTGATTTATTTGAGTACAGAGTTGCTTTAGAACATGTAACTATAATTTTTTAAAAACATGTTCTAGGCTGGGCGCAGTGGCTCACATCTGTAATCCCAGCACTTTGGAAAGCCTAGGCAGGCGGATCACTTGAGGTCAGGAGTTGGAGACCAGCCTAGCCAACATGGTGAAACACCCTCTCAATTAAAAATATAAAAATTAGCCAGGGGTGGTGGTGGGTGCCTGTAATCCCAGCTACTCGGGAGGCTGATGCATGAGAATAGCTTGAGCCTGGGAGGCGCAGGTTGCAGTGAGCCAAGATCACACCACTACACTCCAGCCTGGATGACAGAGCGAGACTCTTAAAATAAATAAATAAATAGATAACATGTTCTAGACATATATCATTTCAAAAATATAGTTTTATGTAATTTAAGATTGACACTGACTTAGGCAAAATCGATTTCAACTTCATTAAATATTTAAATTATTTTTATTATACATATCTCAATTAGTAATAAATATAGTTTTTTTCTAATAGACTCAAATTAGTTTACTACTTATTAAACATTTAACAACATATATGATATTAATATTCATACACTTACAGAGTTACTCTAGTCTAAACATATATTTTAAGACCAATTATTGATTATTCCAGATTTCTGGAGATATATGATGATCTCTTAAACAGGTCAGCTTATGACACAGATTATCTAGATTTCTGGGAAGGCATGAATTTATAGTACACATTTTCAGATCACAGGGCTTTGCGTATATGACTGTATGAAAAAATGGGCCTACTATCCTAAAAATACTACCCTTCATTTTCCATTGGATCCTTTCTAGTATCCTGAGTATTTTTAAGATCATGTTGCTTTTCACACATCTACATAGCACATATTATTTGTATGTTTGAATAAGTAAGTGGAAGTTTGGGGTTCTGTTTATTTGCTTTATAAGAAACACAAATAATAAGAAAAGCAGTGGTAGCTTGTTTTGGATACAAAATTAAGAAGCAAGATAATATAAATGGTGTGTTACAGTAATGGAGATTGTACGTATAGAAATAAGGTAACTTCTGACTATATGGAAAGCATTATTTAGATTTTAATGCTTATACTTGTTTTTTGTAAAAGTGAATACTAAGCAGTACAGAAAATACAAAATTAAAATATACAATAAATATTATTATTTGTTATCTTTTAAAATAAAAAAGACAAGGGTAAAAATGTTTAAGAAATTAACAGCAGAGGAGAAGGTTTACTCAGCTATAATCTAAATTTTAATTAAAGCCATGATTGATGACAAATGCCATGTTGCAATGTGACCTCTAGAAAGATCTACAGCTGTTGAATCAATTGAGAAGATGATTTCTACTGTTTTCAAAGTAATGCACAAAGAAGATAAATTATATTTGGAATTATTAATCATATGAACATTATATTAATGATTTGGAAATTTGAGGACAGGCAAAGAGCAGTCCTAAAAAATGAAGTAAATATTCAGATAGGAGCTTTGGGAATGCCTTATTTGGGAAGCCATAATTTCCAGATTATTAACCTAATCATTTAAAAATAACTTTTCACTGCATTAATCCCATTTAAATTTAAGATGGAAACACTGAATAAAGATGAAACTCTATTAGCTGCACAATATAAATTAAATGGGACTACAGATAGGCTGGAAATAAAAAAGGGAAAGTAAGCAGGCTTTTGAAATACATCATCAGCAAATCAATATTCTGTCAGAAGGACATTTGCATTGGTGGATTTTTTACCCACCAAGTGTTGCTATCTCCATACATATCTGATTAAGTCATTAAAATAAAGCAAGTGATTGGAAGAAAATACATTTTAAAAATACAAGGAGTTACAGTGTTTTGACATCATTGATGAAGAACACAGGGCAGTTATAAAAATTTGTTTAAAGGGATTTAAACAAAAATCTACTAGAAAAGCCAGCAAACTCAAGGTCAAACTGCCTCTAGAACACCCTAATTTGAGTCCATTAAAAAAATAAAAACAAGAAAGAAAAGAACCCTAATGCCAAAAAGAAAACTGAAAGACAACTATGTTGTTTAAAATAAAAGTTAAAGGCAAATGAATTATATAGTTTGAAGAAAAGACATTTTTAGTATCTGTCTTGAAGTCTAGGAAATTCTGTTATTTAGACATCACTACATTTTCTCAAGAAACTAAGCAAAAGGCAACAAGCTTAAATAGCATTGAGTGGGATTTATGCTATAAAAAAGATGAGATTTCCTGCAATAGGGTTTGCTAAATCCACGAATAAGGGACAGAAGGAAGCTGTGCTTTCCTTTGAAGGGGTAGAGAATTAAGGTAGCTACTCATCTGTCAGAAAAGTTTAACGGAGGGTGAACAGATTAAGTGACCTTTCAAAATTACTTCCATCCAGGGATTTTTGATGTCAATATAAACCAGCAGCCAAAATGGAAACCTGGGCAGGAACCACTGACTCTTGTATTTGTTTCTGATCTTCCTTGAACCTAGGCATAGTCAGGTATCTTGTTAGAAGCACTAGTAGTCAACCATGCGAACTTTGGAGTCAGATAGCCTGGGTTCCAAGACTCTGTGAGTTTCAGCTTCTTCAGCCACAAAAGGTGGGTAACTGGTATTTGGATCATTGGATTGTTGAGAAGATTAAAGGAGTTGATCTATGTAAAATACCTAGCATTTAAGTAGGTATATAACTATAATAGCATTCTCATTAAACTCTTTTCTGCCACTACATCAACCATTGTGATATAACATGATGCTACTCCAATGACAGCTTTATCTTCCTTATGTCTCTATTTTCTGATTTTTAAGACTATTTTTTGGATTATTGTTAGGTTTGCAGAAAAGTTGAGAGGAAGGTACAGCAATATTCGATAGACCTCTAGCCCCCACAAGGTATTACTTCTCCCATTATCAACATCCCCCACCAAAATGGCACATTTGTTACAACTGATGAACCTACATTCATACAGCATAACCAGTCAAAGTACATAGTTTGCACCAGGGGTCACTACTGATGTTATACATTCTACGTGTTTGAACAAAGTATTATGGCACCTATCTGCTATTACATCACTTAGAATATTTTCATTGCCCTAAAAATCCTGTGTGCCTCACCTATTTATCCCTTGCTGCCTCGCTTGTATTTTGTCTTTCTCTCCACTTCTCCTCTGAGTAGAAAAGCCCTGATTTCTATTAACAGAAACTGTTAAGTACTACATTTTAGACACACAATTTCTATACACAATATAAGTACCACAATATTGTAGATACAGATGATATGGATACAGCAGACGTATGAAGGGCAGATGATGTGCACTACTAACCCAATTATTGAAACACTGGAAAATGAGCCAAATATCAGTAAACTATGATTTATTTTGGATGAAATTGTATGCATCTATTAAAATATTTTGCAAAAATATTTAGTGACATAGGAAACTGCTGTAAGGTAAGCAGATAAAATGGGGTAAAGAAATCTGTGTGTAAATAAAAATAAAGTAAAAACACATAAATCCAAAATATTAGATTTTGGAAGATAAAATACCCCAGAATATTTCAGTATTTACCTGTTGTTATAGCAATGATTTGAATTTTCTCCTCCAGTTTATTTTTCATATGTTGCAGGTTTTATTATTAGAAAAAATTAGTTGTTTTGCTTTATAAAATATGACTTTTTATTCCTACTCGTTTTATAATATTTTCAAAAAGCTATCAGCTATTAGTTCTTCTAGTTGTTGTTTAAGGGAGAAACTGGCCCTAGCATTTTATTTTTTACATGTCATTTAGAGATGATTTGTAAGCATAAAGACTTAATAATAAAAACTTTTACAAAGACATTTATGCATACATATGCAAGTATCACCTGCAGATGCTATGTCAAGATGTTAGTGGTGAAAGGACTATAAATTTGGCTTTATTCTCTTATATCAGAATATTACTGTAGCTCAGTAAAAATCAAGTTGACATTTTCTTCATTTTTCCTTTGGAAAAAATCTGTATTAGAATTTATTCAGGATTTTGCAATTCAGTGACATATTACCAAATAAGTCAACAGTTACATGGATGTGGATTCAAATATCATGTATAGAAATTTTATAAATGATGTTAAACTATTTTTAAAGTATACATTGATTTGCAGTAATTTAAAAAAATAAATTGTTCATTTCTTGTTTACATGAATATTTCTCTCCAAAAGCAAACATTCACTTTTTAATTTTGATTGTTCAGTATATAACCTCATTAACATTTTCTTTTCTCCATCCACTATTTTCAGTCATAGAAGTATCTGTACCATCATTTTCTACTGATAATGCCTCCCACCCAGATATTTCAGAAAATACTGTAAAAATAATATTGGTAAAATGAGTGATGATAAGAAAAAGAAAGCAGTTAGCAATAGCAAGGGCCTCTTTTTCTTTCATCTTTAATATAACAGAACTAATGTTTATTCACTGCTTTCTTCATTCCAGGAGTCATAATGAGGAAACAAAGCCAAGCGCAATGTACCCTATGGTACATTGAATTTTAAAAAGTATTTTTACATTTTATTATAGATAAATATATTTCTCCTGATTAGACTGTAAACTACTAGAGGACAAACGCTATGTTGATTTTTTATCATTGTATTTCCAGTGCTTGACAAACATTCTGCTTTTTTGAATGACTAAATGAATGAATGATTGTTGTACTAAAGAAGTTTGTCTTCTTTTTTTTTTTTTTGAGATGGAGTCTCGCTTTGTCGCCCAGCCTGGAGTGCAATGGCGCGATCTCTGATCACTACAGTTCAAGCGTTTCTCCTGCCTCAGCCTCCGGAGTAACTGGGATTACAGATGCGCGCCACCACGCCCAACTAATTTTTGTATTTTTTTAGTAGACATGGGGTTTCACCATGTTGGCCAGGCTAGTCTCGAACTCCTGACTTCATGATCCACCCACCTCGGCCTTCCAAAGTGCTGGGATTAAAGGCGTGAGCCACTGCACCTGGCCCGGAAGTTTTTCTTCTAAGAGAATTGCTCTCTATTATCGTAATAGAAACCACATACCTTGGATAATAATGCTTAATTTCTTATTTTTGACAGGAGCATCAGGACTTATCTTCTTTTAGTCACTGTGTATAACTTTAAAAATGTAAATAAACATAAATGGGAGGAGCACAGTTACTATTTGTTTAACTTTGACTTATAAGTTAATTGTATCTCAAGTAACTTTGGAAGAATCATCACATCATTGAAGTTATCCTCAAATTCCTTTGTCATTTATAGGTTTTTGTTTGTGTGTTTGTTTCAAATAAATTCCAAATAAATACTGGTCAACTATGTACCAATATCTCTATTTGAGCTTATTTTGCAAAACATTTCACTCTGAATCAATCTTTATGCAGGACAGGAACAATTTATCAAGTAATCCTTCAAATGTCCTCTCCTTTTTGTTCCTCAGATAATAATATCATTATTGCTGTTTCCATAATGAGTCCTAAACATACTGGGGAAGTCACATGAATATAACTAACTGATAATAACAGAACTGATGAAAGCAACAACAACAACAAAACAATCCTATCTGTCACCTTAAGAAATGTCACCCTCAGGAAAATAAAATTGAGCATGTAGTGTGTACCACATCTACCTGCCTACATCTCTTGGGCCAAAAAAAAAAAAAAAAAAAAAAAGGTTTATTTACGTCTTCCACAGCTCTGGCTTACTGATCTTCTCTGGACCTCTTGACTGTCAATATTTTTGTTTGGGGGGAATACTTTTTCTCTTTCCAAGCTGAAAGAAAAGTACAAGCTTGTTTTCTATTTTCCTTCAGGACATAAAAGAAGAAAAACAGCAGTTAGAAAGAAACCCTTTTAAAAAGTAACTGCCATAAAAAGAGAAAGCAGACACATGACATGGAAAGAAATCAAATGTTTGCTTATTTCAGGAGAAAGTTAGTGCCTCAGAGCGGTGATTGCCTTCACCAAAGTACTCTTTCTGTATTTCTCGTAAAGGTGAATCCTCCTCAATTAAAAAGGTAAAGGAAATGCCGAGATCTTAACAGGTTGTATTAAATAGAATGGTCTCCTATATATACAAAAGGACTGAAGTGTGATTTTCAGAAAGAGATGATAGTGACTTTGATTGTGATTGTCCTAAAGACAACTGTTGTTTGGCTCAGTATTGTCTTTCTTTTTTTCTCTTCTATCCAAACCAGTTAAGGGTGTGGAATTGCCAGTTTAAGATCTGGAGCACTGTATTGCAGATACACAGATTCCGCATACCACACACCAATTTATTTCTGGCTCAAAATAATTTTTTAATGTTATTTCAAAATCTCTATCCATTCTAGATTAATATCTTGTTTGCCTGATTATGTTTTTATAGAGTTGACATATCCTTTCCAATCAAGAGAATTGAGCCTGCGTATTCTGCTGCCTAGAGTCAAACTAGCCACCTCATAAAATGTAGTTACTGACCATGTTTTTACTTGAGTCCAAAGATCTGAAAGTTAAAAAAAAATCCAAATAAATACACATGAACCTGTCATGCACAATAAAAGGTGCACCCATGCTTCTGTTGTTTGGAACTGGCATGCTCTGCTAATCAACCAGAATTCCCAGCGTTATGCATCCACATATAATATACTTTAGACACCACTGAATTCAAAATGTCTTTGTTCTCACTAGTCTCAAAATGCCATAAAGCTAGTGAGATCCGTGATTTAAAACAGAAAAGCTTTTGTGTGTCCCTCCTTCTCTCAGTCTATCATATCATATGGATGGTTTTCCGTTTCTTATAATTACCTAAAACATACAGGTAAAGCTGGTGCATTTGAATATATTTCTGTCTTACGCATACATGAACTACTCTGAATCAAAAACAAGTTACATATTTTAAATTTAAGCATTTGCTGCACCAGGAAGGATTTTTGAAAAGGTCTGTGGTTTTTAAATCCCATAATGTACTTGCTAACAAAAGTTAGTCTAAATTCTCCTGCTCACACATGTGAAGGAGAAAAATAACAAAAGTACAGTAACATTTCAATTGAATACTTTGGTTTTGATGAAGCAAATCCAAATATCCTACATTTAGGTGCCCATGTCTATTCAAATATCGATTAAGAAATTTCAGGAATAAGTTCCAATCACAGAGTAGCAATTACAGTTGGATAAAGTGAGCTATAACTAGAACTCTGTACCTGTTGAAATTATTGTTGAGATTAAATGGCCTGGCAAGATGAATAGCATTCATGGTAGAAAATGAGCATTTTGGCTAGGAGTTTAATGAGCTCAATGAGATTCTTACATGCCCAAAAAAGCACATAGAACATCTGGCACTGGTTGTTGCAATGATAATTCAAGGATTGTTTTGAAAGTTATATAAAATGCCAGCCACCAAATAGCATCAATTTAAATAGATAATTATAGGAGGTATAGTAAGAAGTATAAGAGGTTTGTGATAAAAATTGTCCTCAATTTAAAGTCCAGATAATACTCGTGCTTTCATTTTCTGAAAAGCACATGTAGATTATTTTCCCCTAAATTCTCCAGTTCAGCTCTTTTACAATAATGACAATAAAAAGGAGACAAAGCAGTCCGACATTTCTGACATTTCTTAGCCTCTAGTAGCTTACATTTAAATAGAGTAGCCACTGAACCAACCATTTGTTTTTAAAACACCATTCAGCATGGAATTATGAAGCGAGACAATAAAGGTGAAAACGTATAACATTAGTAAAATTAGTAACTACTGGAAATTAGAAGACCTATTTCTAGCTCAATTGTAAAACACCTTTGGAGAAATAGTCTGTATTTAGAATACCTAGTTGGAAAGCTGAATAAGATAAAGAAAAATAATGTTTCCTCTTGCCATCCACACTATCATTTTTGCTTCTCTGAATTGGCTGCTAGGTTTACATCTCATTAACCGATCCACACAGAATCATTAGGGCTGGAGGGCTAATAGATGCTTCTCTGTCTCACAATACCTATTAAAGCAATCGACACATCTTTAATGTGGTGTAACTTCCAATTAATTTTTTAAGGTCAGCCTGTCACATTGCAGTCAGCGGTGGTATTGTCAAGTCCACTAACTCGTGAATAAAAGTCTAACAAATCTGTATTCTGAGCCACTCTCTAGCTTGGTGGTGGGTTACAGAGATCATGGCTATACCTGCCTTCATTCTCTGAGAAAATATATTTAAAACTATTTTATAATAATAATATATCATATGCTGCACTAATATAAATATATATCAATATACCTTACAATCCAGTTCCATTCTTATAGCCTAGAATATTTAATAGCAATTTAGTCATATTGATTTTATATAGTATAGTTTTAATTTTTTAAAATGAAGTACAACAAAAATGACTACTGTATTAGACAACTTTTACAGATTGTTTAATATATTTTAATTAATAAGGTGTATTAAAATGTCTTTCTGTAAAAATATGCAATCATGAGAGACAAAATAATGACACTGATACCTCATATATACATGTTTGTCTATTCAAGTTAAGTAACTTGATACAACCTTCTTAAATGCTAATCTCTACAAATACAGTGCCAAAATAATTCTTTATTTTTGGAAAATAATTACAAAAGCATATTTATAAATCAAACATGAAAAATGGCTAGATGCAGTGGCTCACGCCTGTAATCCCAGCGCTTTGGGAGGCTGAGGCAGATGGATCACTTGAGGTCAGGAGTTCGAGACCAGCCTGGCCAACATGGTTAAACCCCATCTCTACTAAAAATATAAAAAATTAGCTGGGCTTGGTGGCGGGAGCCTGCATGTAATCCAAGCTACTCCAGAGGCTGATACAGGAGAATCACTTGAACCCATCAGGTGATGGCTGCAGTGAGCTGAGATCTGGCCACTGCACTCCAGCCTCGGCAACAGAGCAGACAAAAAAGAGAAAATAAAAAGACAGACAGAAAGAGAGAAAGAGAGAAAGAAAGAGAGAAAGAAAGAGAGAGAGAGAGATAGGAAGGAAGGAAGAAAGGAAATCAAACACAAAATATGCATTACACATATAATATCTATATGATAAAATTGTTTTCAAAAATTTGTGGTTGTGATCACTTATTAAAAAACAATATCAAAGACCAAAATGTGTAATTAGCTTCTGAAATGCAGTCAATAGTTTTAAGGTGAGCAGTTAAGTGCCTTATTTCCCTGTAAAATAACTAAAACCTTCTTACTAAATATCTTATATGAAACGGTAAGCTTGTAATAACAAATCACAGCCAAAGCATTATATAATATATATATATTTATCATTTTTTTTCTGTAGCAACACTCAAATTGAGTGACCAAATTGCTTTTATATATGTATATACATCAAGAATACACTGTACTGTCACAGTAAATTTGGGACTCTATTTGAGAGTCTTACTTTTAATTTTTCTTTGGGACTCTTATTCTATTATGATTAAATTATGAGATAACTCAAGTTGTGTATAGTAGATAATGTCAAAACTAAAATGATCAAAATTTTATAGAAAACTTGTAAGATTTTCTTTTTGTACTAAATGTGCAAAAAATAAGTCATACTTTGTAACATCAATAATTCTATGCTTTTTGCCAGTAGCATTTGTAAATCTCAGTATTGCCTCATTAGAAGTTAGACAGTTACAAAGAGTACTTAAAGCATTTATCAAACCTCACATACTAAATAATATTTGTGTAGAAATAGCACTCTTGTCTACATAGCTTGAGTGAGTGGGAAAGTTGAGGTAAGTTATTATGGTAAACGGGAAGCAAAATGTTCCAGATGGACATATTTAATTAATGTAGACAATTCAAATTTATATTTCACAAGTACAGAATAACTTATTCTTCTATTCACTGTGTGAAAATTACTCTATGTTTAAATGCCATCCTATGGTTGGTCAAAAATACATTTTATATGCAAAGCAGTGATTGAATCAGTTTGAATGTTCCAGCTTCTTTCATTTCTGAGCAAATGTTGGGAAAAAAAGCTTAAACACTGAGAATGTTCTGGTTCATGATAAGTGTAAGTTTTAGTCACCCTTCAGATTCAGGAAAAAAAATTACTATGGTTTAAAATTCCATGGTTTTTCTGCAAAGCAACAAGAGGTATCCTCAGTGGGCCAGATAATACAACAAACCCCAGAAAGATCAAGAGCATACCGAATCTCATTATAGAAGATATCATTAGTCCAAACACCTGCAAAAGAGCATTTCTGAAAAGTGTGGCCGAAATTATAAAGTGGGCTCTCATTTATTTTTATGCAAATAGCCAAAATTCATCAAATTATGGTCAATCTAAAAAAGTGTTTATTTTAATATATATCAGTTAAATAATCTAGACCCAACATCCTAGATAGGTAGTAGCAATGGGAGAGGGAGGAGAAAGTGGAAATAAGTTAAACCATACTGCATTAGTCCATTTGGATACTGCTATAAAGAAGTGCCCAAGACTGGCATTTATAAAGGAAAGAGTTTTAATTGACTCACGGTTCAGCATTGCTGGGGAGGCCTCAGGAAACTTACAATCTTTGCAAAAGGTGAAGGGGAAGCAAGGCACATTCTTCACAAGGAAGCAGGAAGGAGAAGTGTCGAGCAAAGGGGGAAGAGCTCCCTATAAAACGATCAGATATCGTAAGAACTCACTCACTATGAAGACAACAGCAAGGGAGAACTGTCCCCATGATTCAATTACCTCCACCTGGTCTTGCCCTTGACATGTGGGGATTATGAGGATTACAATTCAAGATGAGATTTGGGTGGGGACACAAAGCCTAACCATATTATATACTTTTTGGAGAAGACTGGAGAACTTAATGGATGCTAGCCATTGATAGAAAAATGCAATATTCAATATGTGCTTAAATATAATGACGAAGTTCCAAGTCCTTTAAAGTAGAAGTAGTGGCATAATGGTTTGGAATAATCATTCCTTAAAAACAAATATTTTTTATTTCACATATATATTAAGTGAATGTGTTTACATATGTGTGTGTATATGTCAAGGCTATGGACATCTTCCAAGGAAGTAAGGAACTGTGAGGCATAGATCCATGTGAATAGGAATGCACACGTGTACCCAGGATTTGGTACTGCTTTTCTTCAACAGGTACTGACTATGCATAGCAGATGATATGTTAATGAGCTGAAAATAATTTTAAACAGAGCACATGAAAGTAGGTAGAGGGGAAGAATTGGACAAAGCCCTGTTAGTCCCATAGGATTTGGCTGAGACACTGATGTGCTAAATCCTAAGAGTAAGGTTAAACAAAAACAGAGCATTCTTCCCAAGGATAAAAAGCCTAGCTTCAATTTGCCTCAATATTTTATTGAATTGAGATAATCTGGGATTTCCTGTGGCCAGTTTCAATCATGTTCAGAGGAAGATAATATCATTGAGAATCTCAAGTAGCCTCTAAAGTTTTTATTTATAATTTCCAGTGCATAAGGAAATTAAAATATGTAGCTGTACACAATGAGAAAAATCAGCGTGGGAGAAGAAACTACACAGCTATGAATAATGATGATTTCAGTCATGCACTTTACAATAAGTATAATACAGGCACTGTAGAATTCAAAAGATTACATTAATAATTTTATCAAAATACTTTAACATCAGAAAAAAGAAACAAAGATAGAGAACTGAAAATATCAGAAACTATGTATCATGAAGAATTGTTTACAGAAAATTAGGCATAGCTGAAAAGACAATTAAGATTCAAAGACAGATCAGAGGCTGGGTTTAGTGGCTGACACCTGTAATCCCAGGCTTTAGGAGACTGAGGTGGGAGGATTACTTGAGCCTAGGAGTTCAAGACCAGCCTGAACAACATAGTGAGCTCCCATCTCTACAAAAAAATACAAAAATTAGATGGGAGTGGTATCACATGCCTGTGGTCCCAGCTACTGAGGAGGCTGAGGTGGGAGGATCACTTGAACCCCTGAGGTTGAGGCTGCAGCGAACCATGTTCACACCACTGCCCTCCAGCCTGGGTGACAGAGCAAGACCCTGTCTCAAAATAATAATAAATAACAATAATATCCAGAATAAAATACAGAGACAATAAGGTGGAAAATACAGAAAATAACATGACAGAATCATGGGATAGAAGTGTGACAAGAGTATAATCAACATCCAGGAGATGAAAAAAATAGAACGAAGTAGAAGCAATACTTGACGAGATAATGAAAGAAAAATATCAAAATTGAAGGAGGACATCAACCCATACATTCAAGAAGCTCTAAAAATCATTCAAACTTACCTATGCACTTCAGGTAAAGTAATTAGAAACATAAGACTAAGAAAATATAAAAAATAGTCAAAGGGGAAAAAACTCTTGTTAAAAGAGCAACAATAAGACTGAACATTGAATACTCAACAGAGAAAAATAAAAGGCAAAGGACAAGGGAATGACATATTTAACGTGCTGATAGAAAATAATAGCCAACTTAGAATTCTATATCCAGAAAAAAAAATCTTTCTAAAAAGGAGCTGAAAGACATGTTTAGAAAAGTGAAAGCTGAGAAAATTGATCATCAACATGCCAGCACAAAATACAATATTAAAGAGTTTACTCTCAATCAAAATGTGAACAATCACAGATGGAAATCTGTAGATACAGTAAGTAATGAAGAGAATATAAGAAGAGCATATATAAGGATAATTAAAAATAAATATTAACTGCCTGAAATAAAAACAATAACATTGAATTCTATTGAAAGAGAATGACAAACTATATGCTATGTTTATATTAGCAAAAGAAAATATGGTGCCACTAAATGAACACTGAAAAAAGTAAACTCGGTGGCTGAATGCATTATGAGAGAAAAAATGAATACATTAAAATATATTAATGAATACATTAATGAGAAATATTTGAACCAAAAGAGTCAGAATTTGAATGATAATAGATAAATCCAAATCAATGTGGGAGCTGTTAGCACATTTTTAAAGAAATAAGTAAGAAGATGAGACAGAAAAAAATGCACGTCTTTCAAGTGCACAAAAAATTACTAAAATTGCCCACATTATGAAACGTAAAGAATACCTCACCAAATTCCAAAAGCTTGCATCACATCAAGTGTCACAAAAGAATTAAGCTATAAATCAGAAAAAAAAAACAAGAAACAAAAAGATTATGAGTAAATAATTTTATGCTTGGAAATTGAGAAATTATTACTAAATTACACATGGCTCAATGTGTAACTCAAATGGAAATGGAAAATATTTGGCCAAGTAATAATAACAATAATTGAAAACTTATGAAATGCATCTAGAGCTGTATTAAAACAAAATTTGATTATAAAATATTTTTACCTAGACAAAAAGTCTCTAATATATAATCATTTATCCTAAGAAGACAGAAAAATTACAGCATATATAACTTAAAGAGATTAGAAGAACAGCTAATATATAATATAATGTTATATCATACATGTATATAGAGGGGGGAAGTAAAAACTAATAAAACATATCTTTTAAAAATCTATCAAAAAAGAGACTCAACAAAAATTACGTTTTTGTCTTTGGAAAAAACACCAAAATTGCTAATTATCAAAATTAAAAGAAGACATCAACATGTACATTCAAGAAGCTCCAAAAATGATCAAATGAAAACCTTACCAATGCACTTCATAGTAAAATAATTAAAAACCTAAGACGAAGAAGATACGATACAAACTGTCAAGGGGAAAAAAAGTCTAGTAAAAGAGCAACCAAGCTCTTTTGCAGAGCTCTTTTTCAGCAATAAGACTGACAGCTGAATTATCAAAGGAAAACATAAAAGGCAGAGGACAAGGGAATGATATATTCAATGTGCTGATGGAAAATAATATCTAAAGCCTTGGTGAAGCTTATTTTTAAAAACAACAAAACCAGTTTTAAAACAAAATAGTAAAAGAGACAATCATGACAAAATTTATAGATACTAAAAGAATCTAAGAAGATATTATTAACTACTTTATGTCAATAAATTCAAAAATATTAAAGAAAATGAAAAAATAGCAGAAAGGTTCAATTTGCAAAACTGACACATGAAGAAATAGAAAATCTGAAAAATGCTTTAAAGAATTAGAGTTTGTAATTAAAATCTTTCCCATATCAGAAAACCAAACCCAACTTATTAAAAGATATATCATTTTGAGGTCGATTATAGAAATCAGTTACTCTCATTTTACAAATTATGATTCACAAGAGTGTATATATCACTTATTAAAATTAATAAGTGAATTCATAAGATTCCTGAGTATAAAGAGGAATCTATAAAATTAGCTCTATACTACATCTTAACAGCAGAACTATATGCACACACAGTGTGCACACACATATATATATATACACATAAAGTTTTGTGTAAATAAACCATGCATGGTATGCTCAATTTAGATTCTGTTCCCAGCAGTTTCTCTGCAGCATGCTGATTGCTCTAAAAGATGGCTTTTGTTTGCTAGTTTTGAGGATTTGTGAGGCCTTACTTCTCCATTCAATTTAGACATCATTTTGGACATCCTACATTCTCCTACTATTGGAATGGGCAACATTCTTTGTGGTTTTAGCAGTTCTTAAAAACTTCCCTCCAGGTTTTCCTTTAAGTAACAGTTGATTATTTTAGAGTTCTTGGGTCTATCTAGCAGCTCATTTATTTTCTGTGTATTTTCATGTTGTATTTTTGATACTACACAGGTCTTGTAGTCCTGTCAGTGGTTCATCGCTACTTGATCATATATTGGTATTCCTGGATATATTCTTTCACCTAATTGCTTTTTGTCTTGTAAATGTCTATGAGACTGTGTTTTTCCTATTCTGCTTGCTTTCATTCCATCTGGATAGGTGGTCAAAAATATTCAATATCCTTGCTACTGGATCATTCTACCCAGAATCTCCCCACAATGAAGAATGTATACTTTTTGAATAGATCTGCACTGTCCAATCAAGTAGTCTAGCCACATGTAACTATTTAGGTTGAACTTTTAAATACGTAAAACTAAAACATCCATTCATCAGTCACACTAGCCCTGTTTCAAGAACTTGATAGCCACATAGAAAAGATTGTCACATAGGAACAGATATAAAACACATTTTATTGGATAGCGATGAGTTAGAGAAAAGCAGTTTTAAATTATTTTTCTACACTTATCATTCTTGACATTCAGTCTATTGTACATCACTCATTTAAAATAACTAACAAATGTTATATCCTTGACACTTTGTAAGAGAGTTTAACGTATACCTTCCTCACAGTATGCTTTGAGGTAGAGATAATCAATCTTACTCTTATTACTGTAATTTCACAGATAAAGATATTGAGGAGGTATTGAGGATAAGTCCACAGAATTAGTGACAGATTTTGGCTAACCTTGATCCTAAATTGTATATTTAAAATAACACCCTCTGTTATTCCACTGTGCAGTCTTTTATATAGTAAAGAATTTAAATTCAGCTACTAAAACTTAATGCATTCCAAAACAAAATTCAACTCCTTTGGATTAATTCTGTTAACAATTTCAAAACAATATTCTGATGTGTCCTTTGGACAAAGAACCATTCTATGGAGATATGCAGTTGCCTTATTCAGGATAAGTATTACTTTCATCTCGCTCCTTACACCTATCCCCACCACTAGCTTAAAATTTATAACTTAGTTTGTTAATTTAAATTTCTTTATGGCAAGGAGTTCCCTAGAGTCTGGCAGTCCTGGGTAAATGGAAAAAAATTGAGTTTAGAAAAATGAAAATGTAAGGACTTGATCCTGGATATTGGCACCCCACTTAAAATGCATCAAGACCCTAAGGCCATTTTTGAAAGAATTGATGATGTGTTCAAAGTCAGTGTTATCAATCCCGAGGTCACATTTTCATAAGGTATTCAATTAAATATTCCAAGGTGTTCTTTTTAAAGTTCATTGAGAGCTCTTTTTAAAATGTTCAAATATTGAAAGTATTTTTATCTTTTCCAACTGAGAGGATTCAAGCAAAATCATCTGTATTTGTCAACTTTATTTTGCATTTTACTTTATGAAGACTATACATTTTCTTTTAGTATACACTTAGAATATAATATGCACAGATTGCATGGTATTTCTTATGCATGTAATCACTAGACCTATGAGTATGGTGGTAAAAAAAAATTGTAGCATTATAGATGCAATGTATGTCCCATAATGTTTTAGAAATAAAAGAGTTTCCTGCAAAAATTAGTATGATAATTTACTTTAGGGCCAAAGTATATTTTTCAAAAATAACATTTATTTTCAAAAGTAACATTAAAAATTATTAATAGAGTATTAATATTTATGGTAAATAGTAAGGAAAGGTAAGAATTTGATTTGTATCTCCAGCAAGTAAAATGTAGTAGATTTGCATTTTCTTTCCTTTCAAAATATTATAGAAAAAAAATTTTAAACTATTTTCATGAGAAAAATACTTTACAGCAAAATGTGTCTTGGTCAAATGGTATTTCTGTCTTTAGGCCTTTGAGGAATTGCCACACTGTCTTCCACAATGGTTGAACTAATTTGCACTCCAGCCAACAGTGTATAAGTATTTCTTTTTCTTCACAACCTTGCCAGCACCTGTTATTTTTGACTTCTAATAGTAGCCATTTTGACTGCTGTGAGATGAGATGGCATCTCATTGTGGTTTGGATTTGCATTTCTCTAATGATCAGCGATGTTGAGCTTGTTTTTTTCATGACTGTTGGCCGCATATATGTCTTCTTTAGAGAAGTGTCCATTCATGTTCTTTGCCCATTTATTAATAGGGTTGTTTTATTAATGTAAATTTAAGTTCCTTACAGATAGTGGACATTAGACCTTTGTCAGATGCATAGTTTGCAAAATTTTTCTCCCATTCTGTAGGTTGTTGTTCCCTCTGTTGACAGTTTATTTTGCTCTGCAGAAGCTTTTTAGTTGAATTAGACTCCATTTGTCAATTTTTGCTGTTTTTTGTTTTTTGTTTTTTTTTTTGCAATTGTTTTTGGTGTCTTTGTCATGAAATCTTTTCCCATGCCTATTTCCTGAGTGGTATTGCCTAGGTTGTCTTCCAGGGTTTTATAGTTTGGGTTTTACATTTAAGTCTTTAATCCATGTTGAGTTAGTTTTTGTATACAGTGTAAGGAAGGGGTCCAATTTCAATTTTCTGCATATGGCTAGCCAGTTATCCCAGCACCATTCATAGAATAGGAAGTCCTTTCCCCATTGCTTGTTTTTCTCAGGATTGTCAAAGATCAAATAGTGGTAGGTGTGCAGTCTTATTTCTGGGTTCTCTATTCTTTTGCATTGGTTTATGTCTGTTCTTGTATCAGTACTGTGCGGTTTTGGTTACTGTAGGCCTGTAGTATAGTTTGAAATTGGATAGTATGAAGCCTCCTGCTTTGTTCTTTTTGCGTAGGATTGCCTTGGATATCTAGACTCTTTTTTTGGTTCCATGTGAATTTAGAAATAGTTTTCTCTCATTCTGTGAAGTATATCAATGGTAGTTTAATGGGAATAGCACTGAATCTACAAATTTCTTTGGGCAGTATGGCCATTTTCATGATATTGATTCTTCCTATCCATGAGCATGGAATGTTTTTACTTTCGTTTGTGTCATCTCTGATTTCTTTGAGCAATGGTTTTTAGTTCTCCTTGTGGAGATCTTTCACTTCCCTTATTAGCTGTTTTCCTAGTTATTTTATTCTTTTTGTGGCAATTGTGAATGGGAGTTCATTTGTGATTTAGCTCTCAGTTTGACTGTTGTTGGTGTATGGGAATGTTAGTGACTTTTCACATTTATTTTGTATCCTTAGACTTTGCTGAAGTTGCTTATCAGCTTAAGAATCATTTGGGCTTAGATAAGAGGGTTTTCTAGATATAGGATTATGTCATTTGCTAGCTGGGATAGTTTGACTTCCTCTCTTCCTATTTGAATGCCCTTTATTTCTTTCTCTTGCCTGATTGCCCTGGCCAGAACTTCAAATACTATATTGAATAGGAGTGGTTAGAGAGGACATTTTTATCTTGTTCCAGTTTTCAAGGGGAATGCTTCCAGCTTATGCCCATTCAGTATGATGTTGACTGTGGGTTTGTCATATTATTATTATTTTGAAGTATGGTCCTTCAATACCTAGTTTATTGAGAATTTTTAACATGAAGGTATGTTAAATTTTATCAAAAGCCTTTTTGGCATCTGTTGAAATAATCATTTTTTTTTGTCTTTAGTTCTGTTTACCTGATTAATCACATTTATTGATTTATGTGTTTTGAACCAAACTTGCAACCCCAGGATGAAGTCCACATGATCGTGGTGGATAAGCTTTTTGATGTGCTGCTGGATTTGCTTTGCCAGTATTTTGTTGTGGATTTTTGCAATGTTCATCAAGGATATTGGCCTGAAATAATATTTTGGGTCTAAAATGAAAAGTTGTTTCTCAAGTACATAAGAAATACTTATTTAGGGAATGAATTAATGATAGAAGGAGCAGTTATTTTGATGAACCAAAAATTCCTATAAAAGTCTTCTATTTTGAGAACCTACAAATAAGTTTTTGGTTTATCGTTATTACTTTTTAGGATAGATGTAAAGTTGATGGAAAGTAATAAAAGACTTAAAAATAGAGCTAATAGAGTTTAAGTTAAATTGCTTTTATATTAAGAAATTCAAAAAAACACTAGGCAGTATACTTTAAGAAAATCAATTATATGACAAATTTTAATGTTTTGTTTGTAAGTTACACTAAGGAAAGTCCAATAAGGTGTGGACATTTCTGAAAATAAAATAAAATAACTAACATTTACGAATTAATTACTAAAGCTGGGATGTCCTGTCTTCACATATCTATTTCCCAGTCACAAGTGGAGTATTAATGTAATTGTCATGAAATAAGCAATAATTATTTAGTATTTATCCTTTGGATCTTTTTCTTTTGAAAGCTAAGACAAAAAATTTATCTTTTTTAAGTGAGGCAGTGCTGAATAACTTTTAGCTGTGCTATTCAAAATGTATAGATTTGAATTAAAATATTTTCTTCACTTTTCTTCTCCATATATTATTTCACTCAATGTAGAATTCACTAACTTAAAAAACATTTTTTAAATAAAGAAAGCAAAAATGGCAAACTACAAAAACAAATAATGATTATTAGTTAATTTTACTTTCTCTGATTTTTAAAAATTAGCTTCTCATTATTAAAGACCCATTAGCTTTTTTTTGTTTTATAATTTATCAACTAATTCTTATTGCTTTATATATTAAAATGTTTGCAATAAGTTCAGGCTTATTAATAATGAAGACTAGAAAACTTGTAATATTTATACCATACCAAAATCTGTTAGAGTTTTAAGTTATCTTCAAACAAACAACACTGAAACACTAAAGTTTATTTTTTTTTCCTCCGAGGGTTATGTAAGGGCATTCTAGATATCTAGGGATCAGGAAATGAAAAGTGCTCTTCTACCTCTATATCAAAACTCCATTCTCTCCTCTCTTAAGCTGAGTAAAACCAGAAGCACTCTGCAGCTACCTGTGAGTTAGCCCATTGTGCTTGTGGTTTTTCCTATTTTTTCCAACCTAACTGAATTGATGTTTACTTACAAGCTGTTTTTCTTTGCCTAACATATCTGACTTTTGACTGACAGCAAGTTTATTCAGTATGTGAACTTGAATGGCATTGAATGCTTCAGATACTTTTTTCTCTTGCCGGCTATCTTCTGGAAGGAAAACAAGAACCTCTGACGGCTGATTCCTACAGAAGTGTTTTCTATGTACATGTGATTTTTAGTCATTGAAATGCATGACAAATGTTGAATAAATAATATCTACAGATACAGTGTGTGCATTTGTTCAATGTATACAACACTCTGAAACCTCTAATATCGTTATGGTTCTTGAACATGTTTATGTACAAATGAAGTATAGTCAGTCAGTCTCAGAAAACTGTTTATTTAACCTCAGAAGCTTGACTGCAGCCAATAAAAGCAAGATAATTCATAATAAATAGTGAATCTCCACTCTGACACATCTATTCATTCTACAGTATTAAACTTTCCTTTCTCATTTTACTTTTTAAAGTAGAGTTATAGAAAGGCTTGCACATTTTAAAATTCTCAACAGACAATATCTCTAAAATAACCACAATACAATAAACGGTCAGAAAGTTTAAACATACTTCCTTTTAGTGTGGGTAAGTCAGCAAGTAGAAGATTAGCATTTAATGTGACAGATTCATATCTGTTCACTGTGCTTTAACGCAAGGGTGCTGCAAGTAAGGAGGTTCTTTCAGTGCATTTCATGCAGAAATATCTCTGGAATTCCCAACATTTTAACAAGAAGTGAAAACAGTAACCTAGGTTAATATGAAGCTTTCTACCAACTGTGCATTGCTTAGAGTGCAGAGCATTGTGAGTGTTCACAAAGAGCATTTCATATGCAGCATTCACCAAACTTATTTGAAGATGGAATACTTTTTTCAAGCAGAATCAGTGGAGATTTATTCATCTGAACACACTCTGTGAAACAGTGGACTAAGGAATGGTATAAAAAGTTTTCGCACAAGTTTTTTTTTATGTCTCACTTCTGGATTTTATTGCCACTTCTCTAAGTTTCAATAACTTGACTAGCACCATGGGAACTTTATGGGGAAATGATCTCTGAATAGCCTGCATATATTTTTAATTTCTGCTTTTTAAGTAGCATCTCATATTTCTGAATGGATGATTGGAAAAATATAGTGTGTGAACACCCAAACTGGAAGTAGAGTGTATATAAACATTTTGATTCTCTGAGTACATTTAATTTCCCATAATATTACTCAATATCTTTTTCCCTTTATGAAATGTAAAGCTAATATAATAAAAGTAAGTGATAAAAAAGGTGTATCCAAACAGTGCAGATATTTAAGATGGCCTTTCAAGTGAGGGAGACAGAGACACTATGGAATTCTTTTCTTTAGGTTGCAATAATGCCCATTCCCAAAATCTCAGAGCTAGAGAAATCATTTTTCTTCTGCTTATAAAACAGCAGTTACATACACATTTGTGTTTTTTAAAATATGTTGAAAAGAAAATATTCTCTAAATAATAGATTTTCCATTTCAGTAAGATCTTTCAACTAACTCCATTTTAATAAACTTTAAATAATTATTTCCTGAAATTCCTAGTAAATATGGAGAATAATGGATCACTGCATTACACTAAATGTATTAGCTCTCACCAGGTGAAACAGTTCTACAAGTGTTAATTCTGGTAATTCTTTCTGTATATGTCTGTTGTGTCTGTTAATTTACAAGAACTTGGAAGGTAGAGAAGAGATTCCAATTCAATTCGAATTATTTCCACAGTAGATATAGTAGTTTTTAACATTAATACTTAAGTATTGACTGCATATGACATTTATTGGATAGTATGTCAAATAGTTATTTTTCTTCTTGATTTTAGTGATTTATAATTAATATATTTTATTGTATTTCAAGTGCATATATATATGTAAATAAAGTTTACATAGTCCCTGCCATTCTTGATTTTAAATATTGTGAGGAAGACAAACAATAATTTAACAGAATGTAAATATATGACTGGAAACCAGCACAAATCAAAGAAACAAGTTTCAGTGTCAGGATGGAAGTGGGGTGAGGATGTGGCCTCCCTGATACTTTCAAAAAGCAAGAAGGGCTTGGGCCCTGGAGGGCAAGGCTTCAGTGAGCCCAGATCATGCCACTGCACTCCAGTGTGGGTGACAAAGTGAGACCCTCCCTCAAAAAAATTATTAATTAATTAATTAATTAAAATAAATAACCATACTGAGGAAAAGAGAAATCTAGAAAGCTGAGGGAAATGGCATATTTAAAAGCCCTAAAGTGAGGAACAGCTGGCTCTGTTTTAAGAGTTGAGAGGTGACCAGTAGAGCCAGCAATACTGGACAGGAGGAAGACTGCTTAAGATAAAGCTAGAATGATTAAGAAAGGTCTCAGCATGTAGGACTTCAAAGTCCACAAAAAGAGCTTGAATGTTAACAGGAGTGCAATGAGAGGTGAACAATCCAAGCTCCCATGTGTTTGAACACAGACATTTCAGACATTTCAGACAAATATTAAGAGGCACATCATTGTTGGGGGATGGAAAATCTTTTCTCTCAGAATATAATAGAATGGCAATGAAGTAGAGGCTAAAATGAGTATCTATAAGTTAACAATCATCTAAGATTTTATTAACAATTGATAGACAATAAGATTTATAATTTAGCTTCAGTTGCCTATGCAATTGTCCAATTATAATAATAAGAAGAAAAATGAAGAGAAGGAAGAGGAGGAGGAGAAAGGGGAGGAGGAGAAGGAAGAAAATAAAGGAAGCCTTATTTATTACAGTAACCCAGCAAAGAGCATTAAAGCATGAGATGATACCATACTTCTTTATGGATTCCAGTTTAGTATAAAACAGCTTCTTCCTCTACAGCTTCCATAGTGTAAAGAATCTCTAAAATAAATTGCAATTTTCCTGAGAGAAAAAAAAAAGTCCTAATGCATGTGCACTGTAGCTTAACATAAAGCACAACCACCTGGTGCTTGCTTTTTATTTGGCAATGATCTATAATGACATATTATAACAGATTTTATCTGTTAATTACTAAGTAGCAAATGTGATTCTGCTCTCAAATTCAACAGAGCAAAATAAAACAGTTACAATAACAGAAAAAGTGTTTCTCAAGAATTGAAAAATTACTTCAGAATTCCTAAGTCTGTTTCATATAATGTTACTATTACTCACTGGTATACAGATTTTATAACAGAGATTTAGAACATTTCTTATTGCTTGCATTTCCATTTTTAATTTTTAGATGTTTTCATAATGGTAAAGTTTCTACCGTGTGTTAAAGATACGTAGTAAAATATTAAATTATGTATCTGGCAAAAATAGCTAAAAGTTGTTTTATTTTCATAATTCATGTAAATGTAGTTTTAAAAGGGTTTGTCTCTATTCTTAGGACACAGAAAAAATTATAAATTTCCTTGAAATGTGAATTTTTCTCTGGAGACCTAGCAAAATGTGAAGGAATATAAACAGTCAAATTAGAAATGGTTAAGACATGATATCAAGACAGATGACCTGAACAGTTCCTCCTCAGAAACGTTTTTAAAGAATTGTTTTGATAAACTAAACCTCCAAGTGCCCTTGAGGTTTGCTTTTTTATCAGAAGTAACAGACAGTTTGGAAATATATTTTCTTCACATGACGCTGGATGGCTGGAGGAACATTCATGGGAACACAGGTCGACATTTTCACTATTTTAAAAGACATCAATGACACTGATGGGTACCCTATCTGCTAGAAGTTGTCACTCACAGGTTCAAGCGAAAGTAATTTTGTCGCCTTAAACCTTTAAGTTTAAAGGGTTGAACCAGAAATCATAAAGTTATGTAGACAAATGGAAGGGGGTTTTCAAAGGTTATATGTCCAATCAAGCTGAATTTGATGCTAGCTCTACAAGGTATTCCAATAGTGAACTGTAGAATGCAATTAAAAACATTTCAAATAGTTTTACAATGGAGCTGAAAGAGGTAAGCACTTTCACAGGATTGGAAATCAAATAGCAAATTAGGTAAATTAACATGTTTTGCTGGGATTATGGGGATAGACTTTTAGTATATTTTAGCTACAGGCTAGTAGATGCTACTTCTTTTTCACTTATTTTTATCTATTTGCCATTTTTTCTTGGTCATTGAACCCTCAAAGCTCAGCTTGGTAAACAAATGCTTGTAATGAAAATGATATTTTCTATTACTTTTTGGAGCTAGGTGTGGTCATGAGACTAATGAAAAACAAGCAAGTTACTTCAGTTACAGGCTAAAAAATCATTTTATTCACATTTAGAATATAATACTTAAATAATGACCCAATATAACACTGTAAAGAATTTTTCTGTGTGTACAATTAGTTGATTAAAATCAAGATAAAAAGGGCAATCACCATTACTTTGACATAAACAATATTATCAACATAGAAAAATATGTTGAGATCCTCTAATCATAAATGAGAGCCATCCATATCTGTAATTGCTGTACTGGTTCAGTGTCATTTCACAACAAGCAATCAATCACCAAATATTCTAATCACACAAAAGTAGATATTCTATCTTGTGAAAAAGCCATCTAATGGAACCCCTAAAATATATTCTCCACGTTTCCTGTCAGTAATCAACTGCCCTTGCAACTAGTTATGAACATAAGACTAGACTTGGAGATGTATGTTGAAGTACTGGGTTCAACTTGCCTAAAAAATTACTGCCTTTTCCTTTATGTCCACAAGCCCTTTCCTGCTGTCTAAAAATGGTGGTAATGAGAGCAGTCACTGTGAGACCAGAAATGGAAATCACTTGCTAAACCTGGCATAGCCACCTTATCACCTGGTGGCTACATAGCCAGTGTCCAGATACATGAACTGTGTTTTATTCAATCTATGGAATTTGTTATTAGCAGCTTTTATGAATTCTATTAAAAAGAACAAAAATTAAAAAGAACAATTTAAAAACCCAAGAATTGCCCAGGCGTGGTGGCTCACACCTGTAATCCCAGCACTTTGGGAGGCCGAGGGAGGCAGATCACCTGAGATCAGGAGTTTGAGACTAGCCTGGCCAACACGGTAAAATCCCATCTCTACTAAAAAATATACAAAAAAAAATTAGCCAAGGATGATGGCAGGTGCCTGTAATCCCAGCTGCTTGGGAGGCTGAAGCAAGAGAATGGCTAGAACCCAGAGGTGGAAGTTGCAGCGAGACCAGCCTGGGCAACAGAGCAGGATTCCATCTCAAAACAAACAAACAAACAAACAAACAAAACGAAACAAAAACCAAAGAAAGCCCAGGAATCTTGGTCTTATAATTTACAGTAACATTTCAAATTTCATTTAGGAATTTCAGTTTTTTAGTAACTGTGGAGAAATTCACTCAAGGTGATTTAAAAATTAATGCAAAGGACTTTAAACTCTCATAGTCCATTTGTTATGCTATCCATTGCAAAATTAACCAATCAAATATGACCATCTGTTGGTCTTTAACCTTAAACAATAAATATCAAATATTCTCATTACAGAATAATTTGTTAATCATTTATGAAAGTGACAACATATTTAATTATATTTCATATTAAATAATAAAATCTACTTGGATGAGATAAACCATTGTAAGACATCATTTCCAGATAATAAATAGCAATTTTAGTTATATGTTCATTAAGAGAATAATTTTAAGTGTTCTGAAAGTATATATACAATTAATATTTTCAGTGTGGTTACAGACACTGTCAGACTCTTTTAATATTGTTATTTCTGGGCCTGGCACGGTGGCTCACGCCTGTAATCCCAACACTTTGGAAGGATGAGGCGGAATCACTTGAGGTCAGCAATTCATGACCAGCCTGGCCAACATGGTGAAATCCCATCTCTACTAAAAATACAAAGATTAGCTGGGTCTGGTGGTGGGTGCCTGTAATCCCAGCTACTCAGGAGGCTGAGTCAAGAGAACCCCTTGAACCTGGGAGGCAGAGGTTGCAATGAGCCAGGATCGTGCCACTACACTCCGGCCTAGGCAACATAGCAAGACTCTGGCTCAAAAAAAGAAAATTATTATTTCTGTTTTAAAGGTATTTTCTCCTTGTCATTATTTTCTGTATTTGAGTTTCCTCCTTTCTCCTATATTTTATTGTTATCTCTCAGTTTGTCTTTCTAAATTTTTTTCAAATAAATAATATTTTGATATATGAATTCATTAAACTATTTTATTTCTATTTTCTATCTCAATTTTGTTTATATATTTATTATTTCTTAATATTCTTTTTTCATTTAATTCCTTTTTAGCTTTTCAATTGGAAACATTTACTTATTTGTAACTTTTTTGATTAAAGCTTTTATTATTATGAATTTTCTTGTGATCACTGATTTTAATGTATTCCACAGATTTTCATATTTGGTGTTTTCATTACTGTTTTTTTTTTTTTTTTTTTTTAGAAATTCATTAGTTTGGCCTTGTACTTCTTTTACCCAACAGCTGTTTAAAAGGAGGTATTTAACATCTAGGTACAAAGTTTTTTTTATCATATTTTATATTGTTAAGAATTATTATTTGTATTGTGTTTTGATCCAAGAGTCTTGTTTGTAATATTTCCACTCTATTTTAAGAAAATATTGTTGCTTAACAATATTTTTACTATACATTACTGTATGATCAATTTTAATGTATGTCTCAGGTGCACCTGAAAAAAAGTTCTGTTTTCTATCATTTGGGTATGAGGTGTTTTTGTGTGTGTGTTTAGAGGTGTATGGTCTACCTTATAGATTATGCTGCTTACAACTTTTATATATTTTCTTATTTTCTGTATACTTGATCTATCATGTACTGAGTGTAGTATGTTAAAGTCACTTATTTTTCACCTATCAATGCATCCTTTCATCTCTTGCAGATTTTGCTTTATGAAAGCAACTGAATTATTTTGTGCATAGATATTTATAATTATGACATCTTCATTGTGTTTTGTGGCTTTTAACATTATGAATGTGTAGGACTTTCTCACAATGTTTTTTCACTTTGAATTCTACCTTACATCAGGATTGATACCTGCCTATTGCTTTCATTTTAGCCTTTTAAAATCATTTGTTTTAGATGTCTCTCTTTTATTCATCATATAAAGGGGTCCTGCTTTGTAAGATAAATTGAAAATTAAGCTTTATTTCTTTTAGAAGGTGAGGGACGCCCATTCACACTTTTTATGTGACTGATATGTTTGGGCTCAGCTTGATATTATGTCTTATACTTAGTATATGCATTATATCATATTTCCCATGTCTTTAATTGCCATGATGTTTTATTGTGTTTTAATCCAAGAGTTTTGTTTGTAATATTTCTACTTTATTTTTAAGAAAATATTGTTGCTTAACAATATTTTTATTATACCTTACTATATGATCATTTTTTAACATATGTCCCATGTGCACTTGAGAAAAAGTTGTTTTATATCATTTGGGAATGAGGGTTTTTTGTGTGTATGTTTGCATGTGTATGGTCTACCTTATAGATTATGCCGCTTACAGATCTTCACGATCTTTCTTTTTTTATGTGCTAAGTTTTTAGGAAAGCTTGGATTTTTTCCCCTAGTGGTGGTTACCTGTATACTGATACTCTTTTAATATCCTTATTTATAATTTTTAGTTTAATCCTTTACTGTATTTTTAATTTCTGGTGACAATCTTTAATTACCCACTGTTATATTTACCTTAATTTTTTCTCCTCGCCCTTTGCCTCTCATTTTATGTGTGTTATTTCTGCTTTGTCAAAATATCCAACACATGGCATATGGCCTATAATAAATTATTCTTTCATTTATGCCCTGATTCTGCTTTTAGTCTTAGATCTAAAAGTAAGTATATTAAATGTTCACCATTATTCCTGCTGCTAAAATTTCCCCAGCTCCCTCTTATTGAATGAATTTCATGTTCTCATAGACTATATAAGAAAGATCCATGGGTATTGAAATCCTTGACCTCTCAAAACTATTTTCCTATGTCCTTGATACTTGAAGGAAATCATAGCTGGATATATATAAACCATTACGTCTGTATTCTTTCCTTGAGTTTCTTGAAAATTCTTCATTATTTTTGCATTGTCTTATTTGTTGTTTTTAAAACTCTGAAGCCATTATAAGTCTCTTGCCCTGATTATTTGATCTTTTTTCACCTGGAGATGAGTATTTTGTTATTGTTTATACCTGCAAAGTCTAAAAGTTTTACTAGAATATGTCTTGGATTGTGTGGATTAGTTTTCCCTGGCGTATAATTTCTTTCGGTATAGATTTGGGTCTCTTTTTGTTTCTGGAAAGTATAATTGGATTATAGTCATAAAGTAATTTGGTTCTTTTTTTGATTTTTCGTTTATTATCTTCTATTAAGCATATATTATTTATTATTTTCCTTTCTTCCATTCTAATAAATTCGTCTCTGACTTTTATTTATGATTCTTTTTGTTTTTTTATACTGCTTTTATTTTGTGACCCTTATTATGTTTTTTTATTTTTAAACCAAATTTTAATATACAAAAAATATTTAAAAATCAGCGAGAAAAATGAAATTTAACCAAACAACCAATGGCAAAATATATAAATATATAATTTACAAAAAATAATGATGAATATTTTAAATGAGAATATCAATGGCTATGTATTCTTGAAAAGGTATGCCCTTTGAAAGACTACCATCTTACAACTACATGAAAGAATATTCATTGCTAACAGAAGAGAACTTGTGAGTGAGTAAAGATGGCTAAAGAATGATATGCAAGAATTAAAAGTGTTATGATTAAAATCATTTGTAGTTCTTACCTTCCCTTGATCATAAATGCTAAAGAAAAAATGTCTTTATTTAACTCTGCAGTATGATGTGTACACTGTAGATGTCTGCATGTGTATACTAAACTTTGAATTTTGTAATAATTTAAAATTTTGTTTAAGTTGATAAGACAAAAATAGTATCAA
This sequence comes from Homo sapiens, assembly GCF_000001405.40. Taxonomy (NCBI): domain Eukaryota; kingdom Metazoa; phylum Chordata; class Mammalia; order Primates; family Hominidae; genus Homo; species Homo sapiens. The sequence goes on along the minus strand of NC_000005.10, from coordinate 104,138,636 downwards.
GAATATCCCATCTATGCACTCTTTACCTAGATTCACCTGTTGTTTACATTTTACCCCATTTGTTTTATTAGATTTTCCTCTTTTCCTCTTTCCTTCTGTTTTTTCCTTCTTTCCTTTCTTCCTCTCTCTCTCTCTCTCTCTCTCTCTCTGTTTCTTTGCCTGTCTATCTATATCTAGCCTTAGTTTAAGGTTTCTCATTCAAATTTATTCTCTCTAGGTCACTTTGTAACTTCATAATTATTTCTAATATGATTTTAACATCCCTTCTATTTATTTTCTTGACTCAATAAATTTTATTTCTTCCTGTTATTAACATTATATTTTAGATTTTTTATTTCTGATTCAAGATGATTTTTCAGATCCATAAACACTGGTTTAAGATTTGCAATTCAATTTATACTGCTATATTTCAGTTTTCTTCTGCTTGACCAAGTGTTATGGTTTTTGGGGGGGTGAGGGAAGGGCTTTTTTGCCAGCTAAATTGTATAACTTTATATTTTTCATTTAACTTTGTCAACATTTTCAGAAAAGAGTGTTTGATATTCTGAATTTTTATTGACAAGACTGACAATCTGTTGTTTTATAAGGATCTTGGTTTAAAAATCACTCACTTCTGTCTCTGTAACAAAGCATATAATTCTGTATTAGATTTTTCTTAGGAGGAGTGAGGAAGTGGGGACCAGGTTGTACGCTTTTAATTTTTTAAATTTTCTTTTGCCTTGAAAATCTTGTTTTTTTCCACTTGCTCTTTTGCAATTCATCCTTTTGCTTCGAAAGAATGCTTTTCCATTTCCATCAACTCCTTTCACTGTGTTCCTCCACTCCTAGGAGACTACCTTTTCATCCAACACGCCCTTATACTTTATCAATTTGACCCCTGCAATCTTTATTTTCACAAGTTGAATAATCTTCCATTCTTGGCTGATGGTTCAGCATTAATTTTAGGCATTGCTAGTTGCCCTCTCCCCTGTTCCATGGAGGTAGCTTGCTGGAGTTTGTTGGTGTTCTTGAATATTTCTGTTTGCTTGATTTTTTTTTTACCCATAGATAATTTAAAATTTAGATTTTTTTTAGTTATAATGACAGTGTGATTTTTATGTAATTGCATTTGTTCCCTTCTTATTTATTTATTGTGTTTGAATGAGATATTAAATTATTGGATTTAAAGGCTGCTATTGCCTCAGCTACCAAAATGTCTTGCCAGTTTACTAGATGCAGCTGTGTGGGAAGTAAACTAGGGAGCTAGACTTGAAAGGCATGAAAGGCAGAGATAAATTTAATTTCTCTGCTATGTTTCATTTTTTCTCAAATAATATGTTGCTTTTTAACTCAAGTTTTTGGAGTAAAACAATGGATTATTCTCAAGTTGACAGAGGAATAACTATACTTTGGGTTTCACATATGGGTTCTCTAGTTTTTAAAAATGCAAGGGTAAAATAGAAATACCTTAATTGCTATTAAGTTACAGAATTAAAGATTCAGAGATATATATGTGTATGGGTAGGTGTGTGTCCACACATGTGTGAAATATATTTTAACTCAGCTCTCTAGTATTTCCCCTTAGAGTTTATTTGTTTTAATAGATTCAAAAGGACAAAAGAAATCCATTTTGTAAATTGTTTCTTATTTTAAGTATTAAAATAACTCATAGAATTATTGTAAGTAATCTACCAATTCTTCACATTTATAAACACATTGTTTTCAGAAGCAACATAAACATTGTTCTCTTTCACTGTATAAATTAGGTTCCTGGCAAGAAACAGATGGTGCATGGAAACTGCATGCTTTGAGGAGTTCAGTGTAAAACTATTTGTGCAGAGGGATTAAGGAGACCTAAAAAAGATAGTAGTATAACAGAGGATGGTAAGAACAGGAAGCCTTCACAATATCCAGGCAAATAGAGTAGTTGTATGGAAAAATGTACCTGACACAAACTATGGCTAATAGAGAAAACAGCAAGAAAAAATATGACCTACGAGGAATATAGCCAGAAAAATAATTACCCCGAATCCAGTTTTCACCTTCCCTTCCCTGTCCCCCACCTTCTGCTGGTTCCTCTTATCAGTCAACCCAAACCAAAAACAGACTGTTAAAGCAGCCCGTTGATGTAGTTCATATAGTTAATGTGCTGAAGGAAAAGTCAATCTTAGGGACAAAAGAGATACAATATACTCACACAAGTTCGTATTATTATGGAAATCTTATCGTGCTTATTGTAACAATATCAAACAAAGTAAAATCTCGGTCAGAATAAAACCTTGCAATAAATCAAACATTATATTTTTCCATGCTTACCAACCATTGCCATCACATTTACTTTGCAACTTCATTCTTTTCTGTTTTTTACAACCTCCATCCAGCAATCCTTCACATTTATGACTGAAGATAGCATACTTATTTGCAAGCTAATAGGACTGGTGTTGGGTAATAGATGATTAGAATTGAAAAATGGAACTTTTTGCAAAAACAGTAAACCAAAACCAGATGAAAATTTACCACTTTACTTTGAAGAGACTAACTTCAAAGGCATAAATATAGTTTCAATTTTATTTTTCCATTCAATGCACAATAAAAATGTTCTAATTTATAATATTTTTAAACTGAAAATGAAAATGAGAACAAGATAGTCTATGGCATGTTGAACCTATATAAATTACATGTGATCTGTATCATATAAATTTCAATCTAGAGTGATTTTCCATCTACCAAAAATTAAGATAAGAGATAGAAAACTTCTAGTAAGATTTGGAAAGTCAATGACAAAAAAAAATTGTTATAATCTAGATACAGAATATTACATTTTTCTAGTGCATTTTAAGTCCCTAACAATTAATGAATCTGTTATCATTAATACATTAATACCCTTTTCTAATTCTGCTTATTTGTATTTATTTGTTTTATTTTGTCAGATTTTTATTTCTCTAATATCTGAATATATAAAATTGACTTGGGACATATACATATGGACAATTTGTGCTCTGGTAAACATTAGACTTAATAGATAAATGCTTGACATAGCAAAAATAACTCAACCAATTATAATGAAAAATATGCTAATTTGGGAGTTGAGAAATACAAAAGAGGTGATAATTTCCATAAAGATGATACATAGAGGATGTCTAACAAATGCTTATGGAAATAAAGAAAGGCAAATAGAAGGACATGAAAAAAGAGCATTCCCCTGTCTACAATATCTACTTGGTTGATATGACAATCTCTATAACTATATATTTGTAAATAATAGAGTGCAATTTTCGTGAGAGTGTAGCTGCTCCTTTTCTCAGATGCTGCACTGTACTATATGCTACCTGAGAAAACTTTTTGTGCCTTTCCTACATCTCTAAATAAATTTTTTAACTGAAAGGAAAATATAAAAGTCATGGATTTTAATGGAGAAGCAAAAGTGCAGGCTATTAGTTATCTAGTGAATTAATTTCAACTGCATTATGCCATGAATAATTGTTATATAATATCAGGCTATTGATAAAATAATTATTCAAGGATAAAACTCTCAAATGCCACTCTTAAACAAAGAGTGCTCCAAACACAGCAATATTCAATAGCTTTTTAAAATTATATTATATATTCTTAATTTGTGTGTGTGTATGTGTGAAGTTCACTACTCAAAAGGATATGTGAACATTTCAACTATCTTTTGAGCTTTTATGATGGAATTAAAGGCATTTTCTATTTTCTGTATTTTGTTACATATTTTAATACTCTTATTGGCTATATAGAAATACATCTTGACATTACAAAAGAATCCCTAACACTTTGCCCTGTAATTTGAATACATAACCAAAAAGTAGAAAATATATTTTCCCATATATAGAAAATATAAGAAATATACAAAATTTTAAAACAATATGTTTTTAGAGTTAGACAGAGATAGAGATAAGAAAGAGAGAGAGAGAGAGACAAATGAGTCTAGGTTTTTATTTAAAAATAGAAATCAGACTGAGGTGTGGCAGACTTAACTCAAGTAGGAAATTTTAATAAGACAGAATAGTGTAACTGCCAAATGGGTTCTTTTTCTTGCCCACTGCCCAGATGAAGCCAACTTATCAAGACAAGGGAATTGCAGAGTTTAATACACAGAGAGCCACCTCAATGGGAGACCAGTGTTTCCTTCTATTCAAATCAGCCTCCCCCGGAATTCGGAGGCTAGGATTTTTTCAAGGATAGTTTGGCGGGCAGGGGGCTAGGGAATGGGTACTGCTGATTGGTTGGGGATGCAATCACAGGGGTGTGGAAAATAATTCTCATGCACTGAGTCTGCTTCTGGGTGGGGGCCATGGGGCCAGATGAGTCATGAGTCGCAGGTCCAGGTGGAGTCAGCCAGTCAACAGAAATTCAAAAGTCTGAAAAGACATCTCAGAAGGCCAATCTTAGCTTCTACAATAGTGATGTTATTTACAGGAGTAACTGGGGAAGTTACAAATATTGTGACATCTGGAACGATGTCTGATAGTCATCTGGTAATCATTTAACTATGCCTACAACTTACCAGAATTCAGGCCCCTTTCATAATCCTAAACTTGGGGCTTTTTACTAACTTTAAAAAGACAGTTTAGCTTGGGAATGGCTATTGTCATTTAAACTATAAACTAAATTTCTCTCAAAATTAGCTTGGAATGACCCCAGGAATGACCAAGGGCAATTTGAAGGTTATAGGCAAGATGGAGTTGGTTAGGTCAGATCTCTTTCACTGTCATAATTTTCTCACTGCTATATTTTTTGCAAAGGTTGTTTCAATAGTAGGTTCAATGGCAAAGAGGTATGAAAGAAATCAGGAGCCATGGGGTAATAGAGACTATAGCATGTTTTAAGAGCAAATCATGTGTCCTAATTAACAGAAAATACGAAGCTGTAAGATTAAGTTAAAATACTGAAAAGCGGTCTTATGTATCATTCTAAAGATTTTGGACATACTAGTGTGGTATTAGCATAAGTAAAGGGGTGGAAAAGGTTAAGGATTGTGTGTGTTTGTGTGTGTGTGTATGTGTGTGTGAGAGAGGCAGGGGAGAGAGACAGAGAAAAAGATTGGCAGATGATTACACCAATAACATTTGAGTTTTAGGAACAGGAGTTTGTATTAATAATAGATATTGGATTATGCAAAAAGGGAATCATAGTGGGAATGACGTGGTGAAATTTCCAAAGGAATCGGGAGCTCTAATCAACATGTTTCAGTGATTGATTAACTAAAGGAATAAGTGATATGAACTAAAGATGTTTTGGGGAGGTTTTCAATTTGGGAAATAGGTAGATATAAATATCATTAACTGAGAAAAGAAATCATGTAAAATGGTGTCAGTCTTCAAAATGTTGAATTGTTCACTTAAAATGATTCTTTTTTCTCACCACAAATACATATGTAGAATTAAGTTGTTTGCCATAATGTTCAGACATGCTGATGGAGTAATTAATGCAAAGAAGATGAAAAAGAGCAAATGCAAAAGATTATGTTAAAGAAAAGAAATAAAACCAGTAAGTAGCTCTAATTATAAATCTACACACACAATTCCAGAGAAGACACATTCACAGAAAAGGTTTGAGAGGCCCATAGAATCTCTAGCCAGGTTGATTGGTAAAGCTATTTCCATGTATGAAGCTAGTCTATAAATACATGGAGAGATGGCTGAGTTTTATTCCAAGATGGATGACTAGATGGAGCCAGGAGGAATATCTCCCACTGAGGGACCAAGAGGATTGCAAGACTGGTGCATTCCTAGCCAATCTTCAGAGGGAAGGCATTGAGAGCAGATGGAGGGACAACATACATGCTGAAGAGGAGGAAGCTGGGAACCCTGAAAGCCAAAAATATCATAACAGAAGAAAACTACTGGTCAAATCCCTGATAAATATAGATGCAAAAATCCTCAAGAAAATATAGCCACATACTGCATAATGACATTTCAGTGAACAGACTACATATATAATGATGGTCCCGTAAGATTATAATGGAGCTGAAAAATTTCTATTTCCTAGTGATGTCATAGCCATCATGACATTGTAGCGCAACATGTGTTTGTTGTGATATTGATGTAAACAAATCTGCTGTGCCGCCAGTCATATAAAAGTATAGGACTTTCAGTTATGTACATTACAAAATACTTCGTCATGATAATAAATGACTGTGCTACTGGTTTATGTATAAATATACTATACTATAATTTTTATTTTTATTTTAAAGTGTACACCTTCAGCTTATACTTTTTTTTTTAAGTTACCTGTAAAACAACCTCAGACAGGTACTTCAGAAGGTATTCCAGAAGAAGGCATTGATATCATAGGAGATGACAACTCCATGGTTTATTGCCCCTCACAACCTTTAAGTGGGACAAAATATGAAGGTGGAAAACAACAATATTGCTGACCTTGACCCTGTGTAGTGTAGGCTTTGGCTAATATGTGCATTTGTGTCTTAGTATTTGACCGAAAGCTGGAAAGGTAAAACAGCATAAATTTAAATAGAAATAAGCTCACAGAATAAGATATTAAAAGTAAAATATTTTTGTACAATTGTGCAATGTGTTTGTGTTTTAAGCTAAGTATTATTACAAGAATCAAAAGTTTAAAAATTTGTGGTTAATAAAGTGAAAATGTTACAGTATGCCAAGGTTAAATTGTTATTGAAGAAAAAATGTTTTTTAATACATTTAGTGTATCCTAAGTTTACAATGTTTATGAAGTCTGTAGTAGTGTACTATAATGTCCTAGGCCTTCACATTTACCCACCACTTACTCACTGACTCACTCACCTAGAATTCAATGTAAATATATACATAATAGATACATAACATCATACTACTTATGCTGAAATATTCAAAGTGAATTATAGATATCTTAATAATCTTTGGCTTTTAAGTAAGATTTTCATAGACAGTATAGCCTCACATGAATATAAGAAATTACAGATAAACCTAAATGTCTTCCTAGGTATTTTCTTTTTGTAGATTTGGTACTGAGAGTGTCTGATAGCATCAGTAGACACTATCTACTAATAGTAGTTTTCAATGGGGATGGTCTCATGACCATCTCAAACAACAGAGAGCTGAAAACTTCACTAAAGTTACTCAACAAAATAGTCTGTATGACTATTTTCTGCCTGCTCAGTAATGAAGATTTATATATGTGGAAGAATTTGGTCTCAGTCTTAATTACAATCTGAAAGTAAGGTTGTAGCAAAATAGCCAACGCTCATCTAATTATTGCCAATAACTGTTATCTGACTGGGAAAACCTAGTAGATACTCATGTCAAATTGGTCTAGGTCTGATTGCAAAGCATTACATAAAATATCATGAAATGATAATATGTCTATAGCAAATGGATAAATGAAAAAATAGTCAATGGCAAAAATCAATGGCTTCAAGTTAAAAACTTCTAATTAATTGAAGTCATGAAAATGTTATTTTAGGAAACTTTGCAGTCCATTTCCACACTTCCCAAATGAACTGTTTTGGAATTAAAGTAAAATAAAATAGCATCAATATTATTTACAATGTGTACAATGCCCCATCTTGTGATTGTTCACTTGTTCCAATATCAAAAATATAAAAGTTATCCCAGACTCCAGGATATTTCATGTCTTAAGAAAAAAGACAATACACAGCCCTGGAAATGTAAGCAATGTAGTAAGAAAGAAAATTATTTTAAAAGGAGGTAATAGGCTTCCTGTGCCCATAAGAATTTTATATTTAATGGAAAATATCTTAATAAGCTCTTTGGAAAGAGTTCTCAAGAGATCTTGAGAATATGGATAACAAGATAGATTAAATGTAGAAGTAGAGAAGCAAAGAACAATTAACTAATAAATTGGAATAACCCACAAATGATATTCAACATCCCATTTTCACTTGTTTATGCTTTGTGATACACCCAAAAGACCTTTGGCTCAATGAGTTGCTGATTTTATATTGATTGTGGCCATTTGTGTGTTTTGTAAGTATGCATATGGATAGTTCATAACTAGAGGATCCAGTAACTTAGGCATATCTGCATTTACAACTTGGAGTCAGTTGTTTTAGTCCAAAGGCTGCTTATGAAATTTTCATTTGTTACTGTAAAACCCACTTTTACATAAATATTGGATCATCTAATCAAATACGAGTATGCAATGAGTCATGCTAACATGAAAGTGTAAGTTGAGCACTTCGAGAGTCTTAGGGAAAGAATCCATTGCTAAAAATGTCTTTAAGTAATAACTTATCAAAATCCCAGGCTTTATATGACTTCTGTGTTAACCAATAAACATTACGTCCCAATCAGAGTAACTTAGAACTTTTGTCTTAATACTGAGATAAAAAAAATACTTCTTGATTTTTATTCAACTGATTTCTACACAAAGCAGAGCAAACAAACACAATCTATACCAATGTACTTAACCTAGCATAATATAATTTTCTATTCTTTAAAACCACCCTGGCCACCTAAGTCAATTTCATCAGAGAAACATATTAAGCTGTGATAATTTTTGATACAACAACAATAAAAATTCCTGAAACCAATACTGTTAAAACCTAGTGTCTAGTCCGTTTGTGCTGCTATAACAAAATACCTGAGATGGTGTAATTCATGAAAAATATAAATGTAATTCTTACAGTTCTGGAGGGTGGAAAGCCCAAGATCAAGCTGCCAGCAAGTTTAGTGTCCAGTGAAGACACAGTCTTCTGCTTCCAAGAGGGTGCCTTGCTGCCACATCTTCCAGAGGGGACAAATGCTGTGTCCTCACATAGGGTAAGGAATACAGAAAGGCTAACACTTTTCCTAAAGCCCCTTTGTAAACACCCTAGTCCCTTCCATGAGGGCTGCACCTTCATGACCTAATCACCGCCTACAGGCCCCATCTCTTGTTACTATTACATTGCTTATTAAGTTTCAATATACGAATTTTGGGGAACACATTCAGATCCGAGCACTTAGGATATCACTTAATCTCTCATCTAAGCTACCATATGTGATATTATCTTATCATCATCAATACTAAGGAGAATTTAATTAACTCATTCCTACTTAGGTAATCTTTTTTTTTTCTTTTTTTTAACACACAGTTATAACTACAAATTTCACCACAATCGGCTCAAATTATTAATGTCCACCTCACCTGCTATGTTAGTCTTCCTATTTTCTTGATGCAGACTTTTCTTTTTTTCCTGTATTCTGGGTCCCTACTCCCTACTCCCATAAACAATTAGATTGCCTCTTTGGGAACTGTAGACCATTAATGTTCCTATCACTTTCTTATACCTTTAATCGATCACTCCTCTTATCATTCCTTCTCCTGATTTTATAACTACGCCCACCATCAAATTACATTATTTAATTAGACACTGTAAATTCTCTCTCTCAGAAAAAAATCTAAATTTTTAAATTCATTCCCAAAATTTGAAAGAGAAGCCTTCACCAACTGATCTCTGTTCATGGTGTCTCTTCAATTCTTCCAACATGTCTTAAACATTTCTGTTACAATTTCTCACCAAAGACTTTCCAAGTATTAGATTTTTGGCATCTTCCTTGTCTTCATCCAAATATTTCTTTTCGCTTTCCCACACTATTCACCATCACCTTATTGAAACTTTCATCTTTTCCTGTCATTCCATTCACAATGTTTCTAATCTCTTCTACAATTCTGACTACTTTTTTGTTTTTTGTTTTTTTTTTTTCTGTTTTATTCCCCAATTGCTCTTCCTTATTCCATCTTTAAATCTTGGTGTTCCCAAGTGCTCAAGTGCTTTTAAGCTCATGATTCTCTATATTTTTCTTTCCTTACCAAGAAGACATCAATTAACATGGTTTTAACTATCAATATTACGATAGCTTTTAAAGTGATATTTCCTGCTGTAGGCTCTTTTAAATTCCAGACTTGCATTGTCCCCACCACCAAGCCCTTAAATGCAAATAAGCCAAGCAAAATATATTATTTCTTAACTAAATCTCTTTTAAATGTCAAGGGTGCTCGCGAGCTGCCAGGAAGCCAATTTCCAGTCTATAGGGGAAGTCAAAATACCACTGTAAATATAATAAGATAGATAATATTGAATTTCCAGAACTCTATATGATTGAAAGTGGTATTGCGTAAGAGGGTTGGGACAAGATTGTCCTCAAAGATACATGTTTCAATAGCTACTGATATTTGTTAAGCTGTTTCCCATAATGAATGGACCCATTTATCTACAAAGCTCATTTTACTGACTAGGATGCACAAGTTAAGGCAGTACCGCAAGAAAGCCTCCTTTTTCACTTCTTCCCAAACCAGCATTCGAAGTCTTCTCTAATTAAAAGGTGAAGAAAAGCATTTAAATAATGTATATTTCAAAGGATACCAAATTAGTTAAAAGTTTTAGAACTCTCAGCTCTTGTCCTGCCACAACCTTCTCTTTTTTAATTATCTTTGTTAGATAATGTCATCACCATCCATCAAATCTAAGAGAGAAAATTGCTTAGTCTTCAGCTCTTATTTTCACCATTCCAAATAAAATTATGACTGCTCACAAGTTTTGTTCATTCCACTTTTTAAAAATCCCAATTCCTACCCATTTAATGAATAATTCCTTAACATATATACCCATCATTGTAATAGCTTATTTATTTCATTACTCTTTCTTCATACCATGCTGACATGGCTACTTGTCATACTTTCAAAAATGCTATTCTATTAAAAAAATAAACATCATGGAAGTCTTCCACTGAAAACATACCAATTATTAAAACTTATCTAAAGAATTCAGTTCAAATTTCTTAGCTATTCGATGTACCTCCTTTGTCTGCAAATAAGCCCAGAAATCATGTCCAAGCTCAAGAAGTACCTCCTCCACATTCACACCTTCTCCCTCATATTAGAAAATAATCTCTCACTCTTCTAAACTTCTTAGAATTTATTTTTACCTTTCTCATTATGCCTTTACTTACAATTTGTTTTGTAATTATTTAAACATATTTTCTATGTACATTAGTCATAATATTGAGCACCTTTAAGGACTGTACCTTTATTCTTTTTATGTACTTAATAATTTGTTGAATGAATAAATCAGTGTTTAATTTTGCATTTGGGATATAAGTATGTAGGCTTAGAAACATTTCTCTGAGAGCAAAATGATTGATATACATGATAAGTAGAAAATTATGGACACAAAGACTAGTTGGGAGGTTTCTGAGACACTCTGGCAAAAGATACTGAATAAATATATTTAAAAAATATGAATCTCATTTTATCATCCATATTTTACTGTTCAGCTGCTTTAAAAGAAATACTATTATCATAAATTGTCTCATAAATTTAAAGGACTGATATCATTATGCTTGGAAAGTTGACTCTAATAAATTACATAGGTCCTGGTTGTCATTCTAAAGTACATCTAAGTTCTAAGGAAATACCATATTTTCTCCTGTTATATATCTTAGCAACCAAATGAGAACTGTAGTAATCAGCACCCCTGTCTCAAACTCTATAACTCTGTGAAGTCTGACTCATCTTTTTTTCATTGCACAGCAGGTCAGAAAACTGGAAGACTGGGTTGATGACAGTTGTATCACAACCATTAAGATGAAATAAGACAAACTATTCATCCAAAGAATAGCAACAATGAAAAGAAAATTGTTAGGTTTCAAAATGCCCATTGCTGATAGCCCAAGTCACACAGTAGTCTCCTCGAAGACTACTATTTTTTAGTAGTCTTCTCTTGAAATTTTATTGTACAGTAAGTAGAAAACCCAAGCAGATGGCCCCTGGATTGTCAGGAAATTATTTTGTGTGTTTCATGAGAGTAGTGATTCTAGGTTGTATACATTATATATTCACCTTTTTCATAAGGACTCTCTGTGCATTAAACACTCCTATTACTGAAGGAAGCTAGCTCTATTGGACTAGAGATATCCGATTTATAATGTTATAAAAAATACTGATGCAAATAAAAGCTGAGTGAATTCACAAATAAAGCAGTAAACTAGAATCATATCTTTGCATGGAAATAACTCCTACCATGCATGCAAGGTATTATAGGCCCAGAGCCAGATTTAGAATCCCTCAATTATCAATTTTTTAATTATTCCATATTATATAGTAGTTAGTTCTAAGAGGTATGTCAACTACCTACACCTACTCTATATTTTTACCTGTTCACTGGAAGCAGGGAAAGTGCGGAAGAATTGTGATCAGAACAGCGTGGTTTTTCTTTTTTTTTTCCAATTTCTTCCACACACAAAAAAACTTAGAACAACTCTGATCTTCTGGTTTCAAAGATAGTGTCTAGCTTCCATTAACAGTTAAATTATTACAACATTATTGTCACATACATCATTTTGAGATCTTTTTTTCCTTTGCCATAATCCTCATGTTCATTGCCTTAATTCTGCTCCAACTATGATCCCTACCAAGAGATACTCTGCTCTTTGAACCATTTCCTCATTTCTCCTATCAAATGCAGCTGCTTATATTCTACTTCCTTACATCAGGCTGAAACTCTTTTTAATAGTTGTCCAAGACTGAATGATTTTTCAACGGTATCAGGTCCTAATCCCTGGAACCTGTAAATCTTATTTGATAAGGAAAATGATCTTTGTAGATGAGATTAAATTAAAGATCTTGACCTGGATAAATTATCCTGGATTACTTGGGTGGACATTTGCCATGGCAAGTGTCTTATAAGAGAGAGGAAGAATGAGATTCAACACTATCCACAAATGGAGGCAGAGATCAAAAGTAATTTAGCCACAAACCAAAGAATGACAGCACCCATCAGAAGCTGGAAGAGACACAAAATGGATTCTCTTGTAAAGCCTTCCAAGAAAGCATGGGCTCTGCTGACATCTAATTTCATACTTCTGGCTTCCAGCACTGTAAGATAATAAATTTCTGTTGTTTTAATCGATTAGGTGTGGCCATTTGTTACAGCAGCCACTGGAAACTAATACAATATTCTAAGAAATCCCTGCTAAACTGCTAGTGACCAAAATAACTTAATATCTTACCCATGAAAGAAATGTATCAAAATAATCCCTAGAGAAAAAAATTAACTTAATGAGATATATTTATTGTTATTAGGAGTTTGGCTATGTTACTCAACAACGTAGAAGTGTTTCTAAGTAAGAAGAATATTTCAGTTTGAAGCAGGTGAGTATCACTTAAATTTCTTTATAGAATCAAGCCTGGTAGCAGTCTTAATCATGGAATGGCTAGTTACGCATCTCAAGAGTATCTCCATTGCTTTGAACAGTTTATTTTTAATCTGTTTCTTCTTCTTCTTCCCAAACTTAGCACAACTAGAAAGTTAAGTTAAAAGACTGCAATTGGATATAAAATCTTAAAAAGTTTAAGATGGTAGATCGCTTCCAGCAACATTTAAATATCCAGCTATAAGCTAAAAACATCATGACACTTGTTATCTTTTTATGTTTTTAATTTTTATTCTCATGAAAGAATTTGAAAAATTTCTCCTTTATTTATTAGCCATCTCTGTTTGTGAAGGTCCAGTTTAAGTTGAAAGACAATATTTCTTTTGGGTTATTTATATCTTCTTGTAGAAATTCCTTATATATTCTTGATATAAACTCTTTCTTGGTGACGTGTATTGCAAATAACCTCACTGGTTAGCTATTCACAATCTTAGTAGCTATTCAAACTCTTTAGATAAACAGAGTTCTTATATCTAATGTGAAACAATTTACCAAGGTTTTCCTTTACAGTCAGTATTTTTCTGTTATGTTTAAGAAAACTGCCCACCAAAAGATCATAAAGACATTCTCCTATATTATTTTCTGGAAACAGTCTAGTTTTACATTTTAGAACTACACTCTAACACTGCAATCTGCCTGGCATTTATCTGGGAAATGGCGTAAGGAAGGCATGGTTTCTTTTTATGTTTTGTTCATATGGCCAACCAATTGTGATAATGTATTTGATTGAATAGAATGCATCAATGCTCTGCAATGCCACCTTTTTAAAAATCAAGAAGATAGAGTCTGGACTCTCAGTTATGTTACATTTTTATATTTTTATATTTGTCTATATTCAGTCTCCACTATACTGTTTTAATTATTGTAGCTTTATAATAAATTATGATATATGATAATATATGTCCTTCAATTTTATTATTCTGCTTAAAGAGTACTTGTATTCTTGGCCCTTGCTTTTCCTCTAATTTAGAGTCAGCTTGCCAATTCACACACAGATGTACAATTTGGGGATTTTAAATGAAATAAATTTAATCTATAGATCAATTCAAGGAAAACTGACAATCCGACCTGTGGATATATCACATCTTTGCATTTATTAATATTGCCTTTTATTAGACATATTTCTAAGTGCTTTACGTTTCCAATGCTTTTGTAAATCATAAAATTTTGATAATTGTATTATCTCACCATTGTGTCTGATTATAGATATACAAATGGTTTTATATAATGATATGACAAATAACATAGCTTAATTTACATATTCTAATAATGTATACATATTCTTTTATATTTGCAATGTATATAATCATATTTATGGTACATACTTACAGTTCTATTTATTCATTTTTAATTGTTATACCACTTTTTCCTGCCTTATTATACTGCCTAAAATATTTCATGAGAACAGTAAAAATGGGAATTCTCTCATCTCATGTAGCATATGACAGGAAGTGTCCAAAATTCTATTAACAAATGTAATGTTTAGAAGCATGTTGTTTATGAATGTTATGTTTTTTGTAGTTACTTTCTATCACATTGACTTCTATTTCCAGTTTAGTAATTGTCTATAAAAATAGATATTGATTTCATCAAATGATTTTTATGACACTATTGGGTTGATTTAATCAGTTTACCCTTGTCCTGCTAATGTGATAAAACACCTTGATTAATTTTCAAATGTTAAATTAATATTTTATTCCTGAGAAAATACAAATTTGTGACATCAGTTTTTATTTTATAAATTTTTGCATTTGATATGTTAATATTTTGTGTACAGATTTGCACCTGTGGTTATTAATGAAATTGGCTTGTAATTTTCCTGAACTGTAATGTCATCGTAAAGTTGATTCCAAAGTTATACTTGTCTTATAAATTTTCCCACCTTTTTATGTAGTCTTGCCTTCATTTGTTTCTAAATGGCTTTGTAGATATATTTCTGAAGGCATGTTCATCTCACCTTTACTCTCTGTAAATAATTCTTTGATAGTTATAAATTGTTCACATTATGTTTCTCTTCTTGTTTCATTTTTGCTAAATTATATTTTTAAAGAAACTTATCTATTTCAAATAAATCTTAATATTGAACATGCTATCCCCATAACAAGATAAAATTGACACTTCCTTTAATATTCAACCTATTTTTGTAGTTTTGAAAATAAATTTCTGTTCCAAACTGCAATAAATTCTTTAACATTGGATACTGAATATTTAAATAATATTTTTACATTTGTTTTAAGTTTTAATTCATGTTTTTATCAATTATTTGGACTTTGTTTTTTGCTGTTGGCCATGATTCTCTCAATGTGTTCTTTTAAAACATATTGTGGCATTTCTATTTTTAATTAATTATTTTCATCAATCTCTGAGGGATCATTAATACATTTTCAGTATTTTGTTTTTGGATAAATACATGAGCATTCTACTTTCTGATTTCTTATACGCATGGGGATATACCTCTCATGCTTCCCAAATGATATCCTGACAATACAGACATCTTTAGTGACAGGTTTTAACTCTAAAACATCTGTAAAAGTTGCTCAGTTATCTCTAATGTATAATAATTGAGAGAAAAACATCTGATGTCATTCATATTTGTGTTTCTAAATTTAGAAGAACTTTTATTTAAAAAGTGTTATATTTTGTTTCATTTTATTTTCTTCTTTATCTGTATTGTGTGGGGATTTGAATCATATTTTTTTCTTATAGTTGATTTGTGCATGGAAAATGACAAAACTAATGCTGCCCAGGTTTTTCTCTTTCCTATAGCATTTTCTTCCTATTATTTTATCTCCAATACAGTTTCATTAATGGTTAATACAGTTATTCAAAGATATAAGAGTTACTAAGTTTAGACTGAGAACAACTTAAAAAAGTGTGATAAAATATCCTAAGCTATTTCAAATAGTAGGAATTGTCCAGGACTCTGACATAGAGACAGGCATACAGTAATCAAATAAGTTATCTTTTAACTATTCTTCCTATCATGGCTGGTTTTTCATCACTCAAGAAATGCAAATTGTGTGTGAAACTTGTGTTCCAATCTGAGTGGTAGGAAATGGGGGATTTTAAGAATGGACTTAGGGTAAAATATAATGCCATTTTCTAGTAGCATGACCATTCAGTGTTACTTAACTTTTCTGGGAGTGAATTTCCTCTCCTATAATCAGAGGAAATTAACATTATCCTCTTAATTTCTATCTTGTCATGAGTAATAAATACATATTGGCTTTTTATTATTACTTTTATGTTATTATTGACAGTGTTATTGTTATCAGCATCAGCATAACTATTGTAAAATTTACATCTACTGTTATGTAACTATATATGAAGACTTGATTAATAGATAGTTACCGATCCCAGATTGTGCTATGAACTACTATGGCTGGTTATACTGGTGCCTAAGCAAGTCATAGTTTTTGAAAGAGAAGCCAGTTAACATAAAGTTTTGCATCTTTAAAATTTTTATTTTTTGTGGCACACTGGTTATTTAAACAAATATCAATGTGTTCTTTCATAAATGTAAAAACAATGTACATCCTTTATGTACTTTGTTGTTCTTCCACTTAGATTGTCTGGATGCCACATTTTAACTTCAAGAACTTTGATGCTCTTTCCAGAAATGCTCTTCAGTACCAGGAAAACATCACTCCTAGACTCACCTATGTAATTTTTAGTGGGGTAAAGGGTACTTTTGTACCCTTCTACAAACCTTCTTCTGAATGATTAGTGAAAAGCTGCCCAACTGATGCTTCCAGATTCAAGATTTTCCTCCGATTTACAAAGCTCTTTTCATCCCTATCAGTTGCACTATTCACATGATCACATTTACCTAATTCAGGAGTATTGCTTTAATATTCCATCTGGTCTCTCCACTTCTAATGTCAGTTTATCCAAACTACTTTTCCACAATGATACCCTTGTACTTTTCTATAGTAATCCTAGATCATGACTCCCTGTATTTTGCAGAGCAGGCAATACCTATCCAGTGCAGACAGTGCTGTAGATCCCTTACTTGTAGAGTTTCCAGGCTTGCTGCTAATACAAGAAGTATTATTATAATCCTGTAGATGAGCAAACGTAAACACAGAGTAGTTGGGTTGCTTACACAGCTCATCAGGTGCAAACCTAAGGTGAAATCATGTTCTCACTTCAAAGGCAGCTCTTTTTCCCAGGTTATCCAGTTATCCGCATTAAAGTCCACAATGTTGCAAGTCCTGCATGAATTGGCTTCAACTCTTGTTTTTTCTTCCAACTTTAATTTCATTCATTGACTTCATATTTTCTGTAGTTTATTGAAACTTATGACAACCCTTAATCAAGGCTTCAGAATTTCTTCCTCCATTACTCTATTATCATTACTTGATTTACCTTTTGCTGTCCCTCTTCATGATCCCTAAATTTCGGAATCCTTCCCATTAGGAGCATTTTAAATACTACTTCCTCCAGGAAGGAGTGACTGTTTTCCTTCTGAGAAGTAATTAGTAATTCTTATTGTTCCTTAGTACATTGCTTTATAGTAACTTGTATTAGAATTATTTATAAACAAGTCTTTTTCCCCCTACAACAAATTACACATTTCTCTCAAAATATAATTTATTTGTGCCTTTGCTTGGTAATTATCAGAGGAACTTACACCAAATGAAGTTTCAGTAGGTTAAGTTTACTTGAAGTGCCTAAAGTAAAATATCACATTAGTGTTCATTGGCACTTAAAGGCAAGACATCCAATATCAAATTTCTTTTCTTATATGGCCCTCCCTTGAAAAAAGTTGTTATTGAATTTTTATATAAGTTTAAAGTAATTGACTTCAAAGACAACTAATAAAGTTAACATGAGTTATGAAATAAATATCCTCTAAAATGTACTTCCCAGTTCTATGACTTAATATTGATACTCTTTTCTCTTATATCACTTTCCAGAAGAGAGTCAGTGAACCCATGATTATTTGATAGTTGATTATAAGTTTGTAAATTATCCAGGCCATTGACTTCTCCTTCCTTCTGCTAAATGACTTTTGCCCATTTTTTCCCTTCATTAGCACAGAGAAATTTAAAAACATGTAATTCAACTCATTCAATTTTGCTTTCTGTTATGGAATAAATAACAGAGGATAGATTTCAATTATCTGTCAAAAACAATGCTTATAAATTACCTGGGAATTTTTAATGTTCAATCTCTGTAATTAATACAGTTAATTGACAGGTGACTCTACATTTGATATTTAAGAATAAATCAACCTTCTTTATTGCCTCTCCATCAGGAATATTGTTTATTTGGATAGTAAGATTAATCAACATTCATGTGTCAAAAGCTGTATAAATTATTGTGATGTTCTTAACTAAGTAAAAACCAGAAATATGAAAGCTGTAGCCAACCACAGTATCCCTCCTCAGTTACAGAGTTTTACCTTAACAGCTAAAGCGGCTGTCTTCCTAGGCACATCTCATAGTAAAATAAATATTACTATGACAAAATCTCATTGTGAATACAAGTTTCATTAAGAATGTGGTATGAGTTATACACTCTCTATTCCAAAGAGTATGTAGTGAACACTAGAAAGAATTAGAATGTTGACAATTCAAAATGAGCATGAGAGGGGAAGAGAAAGGGACAATCCAAAGGGTTGCCTCAGTAAGTCTTTTAGTGTTCAACTTACACTGTTTTCTATAATACCACTCATAAAGCAAATAAACATATTAATTTAAATTTATATATTTAAAATGTTTTATTTATCAATTAAAAATTAATTTTTAAAATTAATAAAACAATTTATTTCAATTAAGACAAATAAGTAAGCTAAAGGATATGAGGCCTAGTATACAAGGAAACAACCTCAAAGAAGTCCTGTCCTTGGGACCAAGGATAGGTCAGTGGCATTAAAGGAAGAATGGAATGATGGACATTTGTTCCCTCTATTTCTGGGATCAATGTGATCCCACTTTTTAAAATAAAAGTAGTTCCCCACAAAAAGGCAACATTTCTGACCAGTGTTAATATCAGACATGGTTTATGATTTTACTGCAATGTAGGTACTTAATCAATATGCAGAGACCTATACAAAATATGAAGAATTGAGCCATTTCTCAAAATACATAAAAATGCAGCAAGAAAGAGCCCATCCAAATATGCAATTAAATATGATTTAAAACGTCTGTAAAAATTATGGCATAAATTAGATAGAAGAAGGCAAAAAAAGAGATTAAGGTAAAAAATACATTTGGGGAAAGAATTAGAAGAATATTTGTATACTGTACTTGAAAACTGTATTTTTGCTGAACTGCTAACAATAAATTCATGTTATTACTGGGACCTCCTCCTCCCTCTAGCAGGGTTGTCAATTAAGGAGCTCTTCTTCTTCTGCCAAAGAGAGGTCAATAGAGCCACACTAGTGAATCAGAGTTCTAAATGTATATGACTTAATGGAACCAATCAAAATTCTTAATCTAGAATTTAAACTGCTCATCTTTTAAGAAAACATTTTATTTTATTTTTAGGCATTAAGATCCATGGAACCCTGAACTCTTTACTGCCTTCTTTGCTAGCAAATAGAAGAAGCCTGCCCAGAAATCAGGGAAGCTTAATTTTCTTTTCTTTTTTTTTTTTTTTGAGACGGAGTCTCGCTCTGTCGCCCAGGCTGGAGTGCAGTGGCGCAATCTCAGCTCACTGCAAGCCCCGCCTCCTGGGTTCACACCCTTCTCCTGCCTCAGCCTCCCGAGTAGCTGGGACTACAGGCTCCCGCCACCACGCCCGGCTAATTTCTTTTTTGTATTTTTAGTAGAGACGGGGTTTCACTGTGTTAGCCAGGATGGTCTCGATCTCCTGACCTCGTGATCTGCCCACCTCGGCCTCCCAAAGTGCTGGGATGACAGGCGTGAGCCACTGCGCCCGGCCAGGAAGCTTAATTTTCAATGACATGAGTCTAACCTTAGGTAAACAGTACTAGGCGCACCCTTGAACTTACCAGTCATATGAGCCCATATATTTCTTTACTGATTAACTTGCTTTGAGGGAGTTTCCCATTATACAGCCAAAACACATGTATCTGTGCATGTTTGAAGAGGAATGGCAAAAGTAGCTAAAGTTGGTATAATTGCTTATACACATTAATGGGTTAAAATGCACAGTGGGAAATCTTGAAGAATAAATAATGCAATTTAGAGAAAATTATGTAGAAGTTGGCAAATATATTGAGTGTAAGTACAGCATATTATTATACAAATTTTTAAGATATGAAAACATAAAAATAATGTAAGACCCATCAATAATGTTATTATCTAAAAACATTGTTGACATACATTAATGTATATCTCTATATACATACCCATTCATATAATTAACCACATTTCTCTTTGGAGAGATTTTAAAAAGCCTTCGGTTTTACACCATTAAAAGTATAATTGTAATCAACGTACTTTATATTCTTTTCTCTTAATTTCCTTAAAGTTGATTCCTAAAAGAGAAATTGCTAATCAAGTGTAAATATTCCTTCAATTTACAGTTTAATAGATGACAATGATAGAGCATTATTATAGTGTTAATTGAAGAAATTTTCTCATTTCTTCATATTTTGTATAGGTCTCTGCATATTGATTAAGTACCTACATTGCTCATGTCTGTAATGCCAGCACTTTGGGAGGCTGAGGCGGGCGGAGATCACTTTGAGGTCAGGAGCTCAAGACCAGCCTGGCCAACATGGTGAAACCCTGTCTCTACTAAAAATACAAAAGTTAGCCAGGCGTGGTGGCGAGTGACTGTAGTCCCAGCTACTCGGGAGGCTGAGGCGGGAGAATCACTTGAACCCGGTAGGCAGAGGTTGCAGTGAGTCCAGATCACACCACTGCACTCCAGCCTGAACGACAGAGCAAGACTCTATCTCAACAACAACAACAACAAAATTACTATACAAGTTAAATATTTTGGTATATTTACTGGATATTTCTTTCTTTCATCGTCGGACCATGTTTTTTCTTCTAGATGGCATTTTTCCTTTTTGTCTAGATTTTTTCTCTTTGTGTGAATAATCCCTTAATGTATTAAAGATATTGACTTTTGGTCTATTATATGTAAAGTAAATATTTCCTGCAAGGTTTCCTTTGGCATTTAATTTTATTTACAATTATTTTTATATATAATTTTATTTTAACTTGTTATGTTACAGTGCATGAGCAAAAAGACCAACCAAAAAATAAAAAGACAAAGAAAAGTAAATTCTATGATGTTTAAAGAAGAGAAAGAGGAAAATGACCTGAAGTAACATCAAGATATCTTGGGGTATCAGGGAATGGAGAGATGACAAGATGATTAAAGCGGAAAGAAACTGAGGCAGTACATGAGAGTCATGACTATTCTGAAGTAAATACAACTTTTTTTTTTAATTTGCAGCAGTACGTAAAGAATATAATTGGATTACTTTTGCAAGAGGAAGTATTTTCCTTTTGTGTCACTTTTCCGTGTCATAGTGAAACCTTATAATTTGATGTTGCCTCAGTATCCATTTTGAATACCAGTTTAACTTTCTTATACTAGAAGCAAGGCTCAGTCATGCTTGACACAGTTTCCAATTCTATATCTTACCCAAGTAGCTCAAGCCAGTGGCCAGAGATAACTCAGATCCATCTCTTCTGCCTACCCTAGTAGACTGGGCTCTCCCTTTCTGGCCCCTTTCTTTAGAGGAAACTCTGAGGCATTTGCCCACAAACTTAAAGTGACCCAAGCTCTGTTCCCTCATATATACCTCTAGTTGCCACTTCTCTCTGTTTCTGCTTGACCCTTCATTTCTGCCTTGTGCGACTCAGGAAGGAAGTCTGCCCTCCTGACTCATGCCCGCCTTGCCCAGGATCTGTAAGTAAAAAAGTCTTTGGAGTTATTTTCTATTGTGACAGTGTATTGAATTTGTACCTTCCATCTGCCCCAAGGGAGAATAAAAGGTTGGACTCACAGTGCCCGAGCAATGGTCAGCCTGGCATAAACTAGACATGGGCCAAAGGAGCCACAAGGGCATCTCCCAGTATAAGCGGTTATCTCATGTGAGGGATCCCCTGGTTACTGGTTGGACAACTAGTCACCAGGTCAAAGAAGTACCCTATAAAAATACCCATGTCCAGCTCCCCTTCATTTTCCATTAGGACAGGGTTGCTAGCCACTCTGGTCCTGGAACCCTTATTTAGCTTGGTGCTCTCAAAATACCTCTCCCCTACTTTCTTCCTCCTTCTCTTCTTCTACCTCTTCTCCTCCTCCTGGCTAATCCCCTTCTAATTCCTCCCCATTTTCCTTTTGTTTCCCCTTTATTCATCCTTCCTTCATCTTCGCCCTAAAGACCTTTGTATCCTCTGTTGCCACAACTCTAAAAACAGATGCTCTATATTAGGATTTAATGGATATGTTGGTTTGTGGTCTGTTATAGAAGTATCACATATCTGATCTCTTTCTCTAACTTCTGGATTACATGAAGAAGAGAATTTTAAAATCCTGTTTTCTTACGCAGGTATATCTAGACCCTTGACAATTTTTCTCTTAATTCATTACTCCCATTAAAGCCTTGGTCATTTTCACACAAATCTTCTTGCCTTTTTTCTGTTCCAACAAACTTTCTTATTTTTTAATTGTCCCTAATGTAAATGTTGGCACAAGCCACTCTATTAGATACTTTAAAAGTATATTTATAGAAGTTTATTCTTCCAGAGCCTTTCAATACAGAATAACCCAATTAAAGACAATATATCTAATGTCATTCTATTTGACATGATTTTAGATGTTGCTCATAGAAGGTAAAAGTTTTGATATGGTTCCAAAGTAAATTTATTAAATTTCTCCCAGAAAATCTACATTCCTCTGCTTTTGCACACTTCAGTTTATGTCATTTAGGGTTGCTGTATATATTTCATTAGGGATGCTAATTGATCTGAACACATTATTTACAGAAAATACCTTTAGCCTACAAAGTTCCGTTGTTAATACTTAAGATGTTACTTGCATTGTATATGGCATCTTAACAGGTACAAACCAAAAAAGAAATCTAATTTATGTTTCCCTAAATCTTTTCTTAGGCTCACTTAATTCTTAATTTTTACGAGAGTATTGTAATATTTCACAGCAGAGGTAACTTCCCAGAATATTATATATAAGGAGTATTCTTTTTCTGATGTTGTAAATGTTGTCTTGATAGAACTTCTGTTACTACCATTTTAAACATTTTCAGAGCATAATTGATTTTACTGTCAAAAATGTTTTCATGGCAATTGACATATCTCAGCCTCAAAAGAATGATATACGCTTTCAAAAATGAGAAGGATTTGGCTCCAATCATAAAGGCATTTAGATGTAAGTTGTCTGATTCATGATGGGATTTTAGGAGTTATTTAGTTCTCAGTTTTCATGCCAGTAAAAGTGGGAGGGATGAGGAAAAGGTGATATTCATTAAAACACACAAGCTCCTTATCCTAAGAATCCATTAGTACTGGAATTAGGTTTGTATACAGTCCTTCCATTTTAATGTATACATACCGCATTCCAGTTAAATTAGAAATGTAAAATTTTGGCAAATTCCTTTTGTAATCCAAGCTTAAGTTTCACTGTTTAAAAATATTAATAATGTCCTCCATCTCTTAAAGGGATATGTTAAATATTAAATGAATAATACCCATAAAGAACTCAACACAATGCCTGACCTATGGTAAATTTATAAGTTATAGCTATCATTAATATTTTTATTCCATAGTATTTAACCTATAAAATAAATGAAAAAATACTACCATATTATTGATCACCCTTATCTATCCTGAATCCTTTAAATAGGAGTTCATTAATGTATAATTGTTAGATAATCCCAGCTGCTTAAACATCTTCAAGAGATGTCTAACATTACTACAAATTCTAAACTGTGTAAAACTGGACTATGTTCTAGTATCTTCCTTTTCAAGTTGTACATCAACAACCTCATAGACAATTAGCTTAATTGGCATTGTATAGAAAATAATAACATAAACATTCTTTATACTGATGTGGTTTTAATATCTTGACCTAGAGGCAGACTTATGCATCAGATCAACTTGCTGGCTATAAGAAGAGTTTGGTGATGCTCTCCAACATTTAAAATTTAAAAAGCTAAAAATTATGTTCTACAGGTAAATTTCTTCACAGTAGTCAAGTGAACATTTTAAAATTCATTCATTTTAGTGGGGCCTGAATTTCTCTAAAAACTACACTGATTGACAATGTGTACCTTTTTAGATCAAATCATCTCTTTTATATTAAACAATGCAATTTGGCATCTCAACTTGCTACCTTCACAAGCTGTTATGAAGCCACTATTAGAAGAAAATATAGAACCTACTTTTGAGTGAGTTTAAGTCACATCTCTATATATAAAAAAAGATTTGTCATGAGGGAAAGATAGAAATTGAATTTCTAAACTTGTACAACAAATACCACGTAGACCTTTTGTGCACATATAACTTTCTTAATCAACTGTAGGTTTATTATTATCAGGACACTGACACCATTAATATTAAGTAGTCTCACAGTTATGAGTCACCTGCTTAAGCCATTTGGCTCAGAGAAACAGCCACAAATGTATGAATATTTTTTCTTTCCATTTTTACTAAGCTCTTTCCCTCTGCATAGAATAGTATCAGAAGCAATGTACTTAAAATATGTGCCATTAAAATACTTAACGTTTATAATGTGGCATTATTAATAATAGGGCAGGGAAGGGGCACAAAAGTGTATCAAGAGTTTCCTATTAGCTATTTCTCTGTTGGGCACCTTTTGCCTAGTCTCTCCCACTTAATATTCACAACTCCCCTTTGAGATAGACAGCAGTATACTCATTTATTATTGAAATCCTCATATATTAATAACCAGCTCAGGACAAAGTTCTAGGATCTCAATTCTTCTTACTCCAGTCATGTGATTCTTATAATATATAATAATACTTTAAGAATCCATCAAAATAATGTGTGCATTTAATGCATTTGCCTATTTATGGTGTGAACATTTAAAACATATTTTTGCCAGGCGTGATGGCTCATGCCTGTAATCCCAGCACTTTGGGAGGCTGAGGCAGGTGGATCACCTGAGGTCAGGAGCTCGAGAGCAGCCTGGCCAACACAGCAAAACCTCGTCTTGACTAAAAATACCAAAATTAGCTGGGCATGGTGGCAGGTGCCTGTAGTCCCAGCTACTAGAAAGGCTGAGGAAGCAGGAGAATCACTTGAATTGGGGAGATAGAGTTTGTAGTGAGCCAACGTCACACCACTGCACTCCAGCCTGGACAACAGAGCAGGACTCTGAAAAAAAAAAAAAAAAAAAAAAAAACAACGACAAAAAAAAAAACCCAGCATATTTTGATCTGGAGAAATATTTCAAATATATTTAAGATCTAAACTATTGTATTGGATTCAATCCCTAGCAACTAACTCAGACTACATTGTCGGATGACCAACTTATTTTTTCATTTCTTAAAATCTTCTGTTTCCTAGCACTGTTGTTCTCCCAGTTCTCTGTCTTCTGCTGGATTCCCACCATTCATGGTGATTTTTTTCCACGTTTTGTTTAGACTCTGAGGAATGAAATATTTCCCTTGGCTGGTTACCTTCTCTAGGAGGGAACACATGATGGACTATAGGCCATTCATCATTCAATATTTAGAAAACATATCTTTTATCTGGATAAGATATTTTGCTGTTATTCATTGAGGTGGATCTACAAAAATAGCGAGAACAGTGTGCTTCCATCTATAAGGAAAGAGGCTTTGTTCAACATTCAGATATACATGTTGGCAATATGTTTGTAGAAATTTTGCCTTATAACCTTTCTTATTTTGGATCTACAGGATTTTTCTACTTCCTATTATGGCCTGGAGTAGAATGTGGGGAGCAATTTTTTCTAATGCATTGGAGAAATACTTTTTCTGAAAATGAACTAGTTAGGAATATTGTGCTAGTCAAGAGAACTTGGAGGTAATTAATCCTAAATCATCAGTTTTTCAAAGCTATTTATGTCATCAAGTATTAAAAAGTGTTTGACAGTATAATTTATCACATTGATATCTAAACTGGAAAAACTTTATATAGCTTATGGAGTTGGCATTTAAAATTTCACAGAATTTTTTTGTGACAGGCTTTGATAATACAATTTGTTATCAGGTATGAAGCAGCAGAAAAGTCTTAAAATTAAGAAGCACCACTAGTGTAACTGCTGAGAAAATGGGGAAGAATGAATGTTACATCATATGATTTTCCTGTCTTCTCACCCCTAACACTTTCATACTAAATCAAGTGATAGTTCCACTAAGGAGGGATGGGTAAATTACAAAAAGGCTGAATTGCCTTTTTTTCTCCTATCCAATGAATATATATATATATATATTATTTTCTGCTAAAAGCACTTAGAAAAAGGGGGATCTTTTTCACATGGAGGAACAACTATTATAGACTTTTATACTATCTATCCAATGGTGCTGCCTTTGTAGAATAGAACGAGATGATGGCTTGGACTTTTTAGGGAACCAATACTTGGTGAAGCAAAAAGCTCTGAAACCCCTGCCAAGTCTGGCACTGAATTGTGCTTTGACAACCATAGAGCAGAGGAGTTGTAAGTTCTTTCCTGTTGCAATACTTTGCAAATGTCAAAATAGTCCATTATGCAAGCCTGCCAATCTTCCTCAAAGCTCTCCATTCAGTTTAGGGGAAGAACATAGATGGTAATCAAATGTCTTTGATTCAAACAGCATTACAGCTGACACATGAAAAGATTCAAAGAAAAGAGAAAATAAACAGATTTCACAACTTCCATATTCTTAACGAGAAAGACTCATTGCTCAATTGAATGAAAATTTCCTATAGCCTTGACAGCCAGACTTTGAAATAGTCACTAAGCATTTTTGTACAGTCTTTTAAAATACAAGTGTGCAATTAAAATGTATACAATTAAAAGTATGAATGTAACTTCAGTTTTCTAGTACTTATTAATACAGTGTAAAGTATATCATCATAGAGGGCCACAGAGGACATGAAGAGTCACAGAGAGAGGTTGTATAGCATGGTGGTTAAGAGTGTGGGTTCAGGAATCAGACCTGCTAGATTTAAATCCCAGCTCTACAGCCAAATATGAAATCTTGGTCAATCTATTGAGCACTTCTTTTCCTCAATTTCCATATCTGTCTCTCATCTAATTGTTTTGAGAAGTAAATGTATATTGTGGAGCTGGGAAGATGGCACAGTAGGAAGCACCAAAAATCTGTCTCCATATCTGAACAATAATTACACTGGAAAAATCAGTCTCATATAATTTTTTGTAACTCTGGGTTCTATTGAAGGCTTGTAACTTCCAGGGAAAGACTTGGACAGCAAATTGTGGTTAATTTTATGACAGGCAGCTGTGCATGAGTGCTGAGAGCAGTTCACTAAAAGGTTGTAGGAGCCAGGGTAAGCAAAAAAAATAATGTGTTCTCCAAATATCAAGGATCTGTGCTGTGGTTGCTTATTGTTGCATTTGATCACAGAGGTGGCAACAAAGGTGTGAGTGGCCATTGCTTTTGCACATCCCTCCATTGTTAAAGCCCCTCCCTTCTGCTAACATTACTTCCAGGAGATTTAAAGGGCCAGCACTCTTCTCTACTTTCATTATTCTCTTTTTTTCCTTTTAGAGCACCATACATTAAAGATTGGGCCATCAGAAAGCAATTGAATATAAGGGGAAAAAATTAAAAGTGCTCATGCATGTCCAGGGAAAGATTCAGGCTCAGAAAAGACCTTGAGAATACCTTAAGTTTAGAAGTCAGTCTAATTCTGAGCACAGAGAAGACTGCAACAATTAAGAACAAAAGAAAACAATAAACAAAAAAGAATAACAAAATATAGCAATCTTGAGAAGGGGAAAATATGATTTCCAGAATTATCAGATGATTTGATTCAAATGCCCCATTTTCAACAAAAAATTAAAAAGCATATCAAGAAAGAGGGAAATATGGCCCATTCAAAGGAAAAAAATAAGTCAACCGATACCAGCCATGAAAAAGACCTGATTGTAGATCTTCTAGACAATGACTTTAAAATGTCTTAAAGTTGCTTCAAGAATCAAAGGAATATGTCCACAAAGATCAGAGAAAAATGTATTAACAAAATAGAAATGTCAATAAAGAAATAAAAAAAGGACCAAAAAGAGCTGAAAACACAATAATTGAAATAAAAAATTGACTAAGGAGATTCAAAGACAGATTTCAGCAGGCAGAATAAAGAATCAGTGAACCTGAAGATAGGATAATTGAAATGATCAAGTCTGAGAAACAGAAAGAAAAAAGATTAAAGAAAAGTGAACAGAGCCTAAGAAACTCGTAGGGTACCATTAAGCAAATCAACATGTGCATTATGGTAGTTCCAGAAGGAAAGAGAGATAAAAGAAAAGAGAATATTTGGAAAAATAATGGCTGAAAACTTCTCAAATTTGATAAAATATATGAATATAAACACCCAAGAAGCTCAATGAACTTCAAGTAAGATGAACTCAGAGATCCACAAGGCACATTACAAACTCTTTAAAGCCAAACACAAAAAGAGAATTTGAAAGCTTCATGAGAGAAATGACTTGTAACATAAAAGGGCCGTATTTTCCTCTTTCTTGGTATGCTTTGTAATTTTTTGTTGAAAACTGGACATTTCAATCAAATAATCTGGTATTTCTAGAAATCATATTTTCCCCCTTCCTAAGGTTTGCCGTTTTTTGTTATTTTTGTTTATTTGTTTATTGCTTTCTATTTTTCTTAACTGTTGAAGTTTTCCCTGTGCTCAGGATCAGACTAACATCTAAACTTAAGGTATTATCAGGTTTTTTTCTGAGCCTGAACTTTTCCCTTTTAATTTTTTTTTTCCTATATATGCAGTTGCTTTCTGAATGGCCCAATCTTTAATGTCTCATACACAAAAAAGAATAAAAGAGAATAATGGAAGTAGGGAAAAGTACTGGCTCTCTAAATCTCCTGAAAGTAATGTTAGCAGAAGGGAGGGGCTTTAACAATGGAGGGATGTGCAAAAGCAATAAGCACCTACATCTTTGTTGGCACCTCTGTGATCAAATGCAGCAATAAGTTTATCAGAAGTTTATCAGAAGATTCCTCATCAGACACTTCAGGTCCAAGAAGTCAGTGGACTTATATATTAAAAGGGCCAAAATAAAACAAAACAAAACAAAAACTGTCAAACAAGAATTTGGTATCTGGCAAAACTGTCCTTCAAAACTGAGGGAGCACTTAGACATCCTCAGATAAAGAAAATCTGAGGGAGTCTATTTCTCTGAGACTTAAAATGCCCGGAATTCTCAAGGGAATCTTGGAGGATGAAATGAAAGAAGACTATGCAATAACTCAAAGCCATTTAAAGAAATAAATGTTTCAATAAAGGGAAATATATGGCAATTATAAAAGCTAGCGTTATTCTAACAAAGGCTTATAACTCTACTTTTTTAATGCACATGACTTAAGAAACATATACATTTTAAAAAATATTTTCTTGTCTAACAGGTGGTATTAATACAACTTTAATTAGAACTCCACATGTTTTTCTACATAATTCAAAAGACTTTTAAAATACTTATTACTTTGTTTTTGGGCACACAATCTCTAAAAGCATAATTTTATGATATCAACAACTGAAAGGGTTGGGACAGAGAAACAGTATTTATATGTTATTTGAATTAATCTGACATAAATTTATGCAGGTAAATATAATCTTTATGGTAACAACAAGGAAAATAGCTACAGAATATACAAAAAGGAAAATAAGAAAGAAATGCAAACAGTTCACTACAAAAATTTCAGATAAATACAAAATTTGTAATGTAAGAAATGAAAGCCAAAAACCTACAAGATATTTAGAAACAGAAAGCTATGACAGAAGTCTCTTTTTATCAGTAATTACTTTAAATGTAAATGTATTAAATTATCTAATCAAAAGACAGGGATATGCATAATGGATTAAAGAAAACACATAATCCAACTACATGCTGTTTACCAGAGACTAATTTGAGAGCCAAAAACACAAATAGATTGACAGTAAAAAGGATGGAAAAAGATATTTCAGTCAAATAGCAAACAAAATAGATCAGGAGCAGCTATACTAATATCGAAAATAAACTTTGATATTTACTATATCAAAGTATATCAGCTATACTAATAAACAAAATAAACTTTAAATCAAAAAATGTACAAGTGATAAATATTGCATATTAATAAAAGATCCAATACAGCAACAATAAATAATTATAATTATAATTATAATTATGTATAATCATAATAAATACAATTATACTAATCACAAATATTTACATGCCTAATCACAGATTATCAAAATACATGAAGCAAAAACTGACAAAACTGAAGAGAGAAATAGACAGGTAAACAATAGTATTTGGAGACTTCAATACCCTCCTCTCACTGAAGTATAAAACAATCAGACAAAAATAAGGAAATAGAAGACTTAAATAATGCAACAGACCAACTAAATCTAACAGACATATACAGAACATTCTACCCATGAACAATGGCATACACATTTTTCTCAAGTAAACATGGAACATTTTCCAGAATAGGCCATATGTGAGGCCTGAAATTATGTCTTAATAGATGAAAATGTAGATATGATATTTTATGACCACAGTGAGATGAAGTTAGAAGTCAATAACAGAAAAAATGGAAAATTCACAAATTATTAAAAATGAAACAACATATTTTAAAACAATTAATGAAATAAAGAAGAAATTACAAGGGTAATTAGAAAATTCTTGGAGACAAACGAAAACAAAAACAGAATATATCAAAATTTATGGATGCACTAAAACCAGTGCTAAGGGGGAATTCTGTGGCTATAAATGGTAACATTAAAAAACAAGACAGATCCCAAGTCAATAACCTAACTTAACAATTTAAGGAATTAGAAAAAGGAGAGCAAACTAAATCCAAAGCAAGCTGGAGAAAGAAAAAATCAGAGATTAGAGCAAATATTTTAAAAATGGAGAATAGAAAATCAATTTAAAGATTAATGAAACAAAAAGGTAATTTTTTAAAAAGACCAAGAAAATTGATAAAATTTTAGCTAGACGTACAAAGAAAAAAACAAAATCCTATTAATAACATCAGAAAAGAAAGTGGAGATATTTCTACCGATTCTACAGGAATAAAAAGTATTATTTAAAAAGTACTATGAACAATTGTGCACCAACAAATTAGATAGCCTAGATGAAACAAAAAATTTCTAGAAGTGCAATATCTACCAAGACTAAATTACAAGGAAATGGGAAATCTGAATATACCTGCAATTGGTAAGGAGATTGAATCAACAATCAAAGATTTTCAGGCAAAGTCCTAGATGTGATAGTTTCACTGATGATTCTACCAAACATTTAAAGAATTAAACCAGTCCATCTCAAACTTTTCTAAAAATTGAATAGGAGGTAATACTTCCAAACTCATTCTATAAGGCCAACATTATCT
The DNA here is from genome assembly GCF_000001405.40 of Homo sapiens. NCBI lineage: Eukaryota > Metazoa > Chordata > Mammalia > Primates > Hominidae > Homo > Homo sapiens. Next base: position 104,106,977 of record NC_000005.10, on the reverse strand, counting down.
TAATACCAGTCAGATGAAATTACTACAAGAAAACTACAGATCAATTTTCCTTATGAGCATTTACCTAAAATTTCTCAACCAAAAAAACAGAAAATCAAATTCAGCAGTATATTGAAAGTTTTATACACAATGAGCAAGTAGAATTTATTCCTGGAATGCAAGGATAATTCAACATACAAAAATTGATCAATGTAATATACAATATTAATGGAATAAAGAAAAAAACACATAATTATTTCAATTGACACAGAAAAAGCTTTCAAGAAAATTCAACATCCTTTCATGATAAAAATTCTCAACAAAATAAGAATAGACTGAAATATCTCAACATAATTAAAGGCATATGTTAAAAACCTGCAGTAAACATCACAACAGTAAAAGACTAAAAGTTTTTCCCCCAAGATGAAGAACCAGGCAAGGATAACCACTTTTACCATTTTTAGTCAACATAGTTATCACTGGACATTCTAGCCAGAGCAATCAGACGAGAAAAACATATAAAAGGCAAACAAATTACAAAGGAAGAAGTAAAATTATCACCATTCACAGAGTATATAAACTTACATGTCCACACACACAAAAAAACTTGAAAACTAATAAATAAATTCGGCAAAATAGTAGGATGCAAAACAAACAAGTGAAAATCAATTGCATTTCTATATGCTGACAATGAACAATCTGAAAGAGAAATTATTAAGCAATTTTATTTACAATAACATCAAAAACTGTAAAATATTTGACAACTTAAAGAGGTAAAAGACTTGCACAATGAAAACTACAAAACATTGCTGAAAGAAATAAATGAAAACATAAATGAAAACACATTTTATGTTCATGAATTAGAAGACGTAATATTAGTAAGATAGCAGTGCTACTCAAAGCAATCTATAGATTCAATGTAATCTCTATACAAATCTCAATGATGTTTTTTGTAGAAATAGAAAAAAAATCCTAAAATTCAAGTGGAATCTCAAGTGATGCCAAATATCCAAATCAATTTTGAAAAAGAAGTGTGGAAAACTCATACTTCCAGATTTTATAACTCACTACAAATCCACAGTAATCAATACAGTGTGGTACTGCATAGAGACAGACATATAGACAGACGGAATAGAATAGAAAGCTCAGAAATAAAGCCTCATATATATGGTCAAATAATCTTTTGCAAGGTTGCCAACCACGCAATAGGGAAAAGGCGGTCTTTTCAAAAAATAGTGCTGGGAAAATCAGATATGCTCATACAAAAGAATGGAGATAGATCTTTATCTAAAGCCATGTACAAGAATTAACTCAAAATAGATCAAAAGTATATACGTAAGACCTAAAACTAAAAAAAAACTTACTAGAAAATATAGGGCAAAAGATTTACTACATTAGATTTGTCAGTGTTTTCTTAGATATGATACCAAAGGCACAGATAACACAAGAAAAAAGAGACAAATTTTTTCTTATAAAATTTTTAAAAATTGTGCATCTGTGTTAATCTGTTTTATGTTGTTATAAAGAAATAGCTGAGGCTGGGAAATTTATAAAGATGAGAGGTTTATTTCACTCACAGTTTTGCAGGCTGTACAAGAAGTACGGCACCAGCATTTGCTTCTAGTGAGGCCTCAGGAAACTTTCAATCATGGCAGAAGGCAAATGGGGAGCAGGCACATCACATGGCAAGAGAGAGGGAGCAAAAGGGAGATGCCAGGTTCTTTTAAACAACCAGCTCTTACATGAACTTATAGAGTGGAAACTCACTCATTACTGTGGAGAGGGCACTAAGTCTTTCATGACGGATAGATCCCCATGGCCCAGCCACATCCAGTCTGGCCTCAGTTCCAACATTAGGGGTTACATTTCAACATGAGATTTTGGGGGGACAAATGTCCAAAGTATAACAGTGAGAGGTGAAGCCAGTGGGGCTTCTCGGTCAGGTGGGGACTTGGAAAACTTTTCTGTCTAGCTAGAGGATTATAAACGCACCAATCAGCACTCTGTGTCTAGCTAAAGGATTGTAAATGCACCAATCAGCACTCTGTAAAGACGCACCAATCAGCACTCTGTAAAAACCCACCAATCAGCACTGTGTCTAGCTAAAGGATTGTAAATGCACCAATCAGCACTCTGTAAAAAACGCAGCAATCAGCGTTCTGTATCTAGCTAAAGGACTGTAAATGCACCAATCAGCACTCTGTAAGAATGCAGCAATCAGCACTCTGTGTCTAGCTAAAGGATTGTAAATGCACCAATCAGCACTCTGTAAAATGGACCAATCAGTACTCTGTAAAATGGACCAATCAGCAGGATGTGGGCAGGGCCAAATAAGGGAATAATAACTGGCCACCTGAGCCAGCAGCAGGAACCCGCTGGGGTGTCCTTCTATGCTGTGGAAGCTTTGTTCTTTTGCTCTTCACAGTAAATCTTGCTGCAGCTCACTCTGTGTCCGCACTACCTTTATGAGCTGTAACACTCACTGCGAGGGTCTGCGGCTTCATTCCTGAAGTCAGCAAGACCACGAACCCACCAGGGGGAACAAACAACTCTGGACACGCCACCTTTAAGAGCTGTAAACCTCACTGCGAAGGTCTGCGGCTTCATTCCTGAAGTCAGCAAGACCATGAACCCATTGGAAGGAAGAAACTCTGGACACATCTGAAGGAACAAACTCCGGAAACACCATCTATAAGAAGTGTAACACTCACCACTAGGGTCCGCAGCTTTATTCTTGAAGTCAGTGAGACCAAGAACCCACAGGAATGAATCAATTCTGGACACAACAGCATCAAAAGATATTACCAACAGAGAGAATTAGCAACCTGTGGAATGAAAGAGAATATTTGCAAATCTTAAGTCTGATAAAGGATTAATACCTAGGTTATATAGAAAAGTATTGAAACTCAATAACAAAAAATAAACATAATTCAAAAATGGGCAAAGGAATGAGTATATATATATTTTTAAAGAAGATATACAAATGGCCAATAGGCACATGAAGAGATGCTTAACATCACTAATCATTAGGGAAATGCAAATCAAAACTATAATGAAATATCACCTTACACCCATTAACATGGCTCCCATAAAAAAAAAAAAAAAAAAAAAACACCTGAAAATAACAAGTATCAGGGAATATGTGGAGAATTGAGAACCCTTATGCCCTGTTGGTAGGAATGCCAATTGTCAATTGGTATAGCTACTATTGAATAAAAGGGTAGGACAGTTCCTCAAAAATTAAAAATAAAATTACCATATAATCCAGCTAAACTACTACTGAGTATATATTTTAAAAAACTGATAAAAAGGTCTTGAGATATTTATACACCCATGTTCATAGCAGCAGTATTCACAACAGCTAAAATGTAGAAGCAACTCAAGTGTCCACTGAGAGATGAATGGATAAGCAAAATGTGAGATACATACGATGAAATATTACTCAAGCTTAAAAGTGAAGAAAATTATGACATATGCTATATAACGTGAATAAAACTTGAGGACATTATACTAAATGAAATCAGCCGGTCACAAACAGGCAAATAAGACAAATTCCACTTATGTGAGGTACTTAGAGTGGGCAAAACTACGGAGGCAGAAAATAGAATGGTAGTTTCCAGAGGTTGAGGAGGGGGGAAATTGGGAGTCATTTTTAAATGAGCATAAACTTTTAATTTTACAATATGAAAAGAGTTATGAAGACTGATGATGGTGACGGCTGCACAACATTTTGAATATATTAACTCCACTAAACTATACACTTAAAAATGCTTAAAATTGTAAATAAATTTATGTTAGTTGTATTTCACCAAAATAAAAAAAAAACTGTTTCCTGCAGGTAAAGTGCTTAGAGCAGTTAAACACTCAACGTTATTAAGTATTATTATCTAGTATAAAGACATATTTTAATATTATATTTATATTATAACACATATTTTTATATTATATTCATACTGTATCACACATATTTGTATGTGTGTTGTACTAGATAATATGGAGACCATGGCTGTAACAGAGCTAGAAAATGAAGACTGACATTAGAAAGTCAATCTAGTACAGTGCTTCTCAAAGCGTGGTCAGGGGATTGGTGTCACCTGTGATCTCCTTGTTACTTGTCCATGATGAAATAAATATGTACAGAGTATGCATTTAGAAAATTTTACAGAAACTTAAAAAAAGTCTGTAGAATCTAATAATAAAAAATTGGATATTGTATTCTGTATGTATTTGATATTTTAATTTGCATTTATACTATAACTTTTTAATTTAATTTTACGTAATTGAATTGGAAATTTTTTTAGAAGGATCTTTCATTACACGTAGTCTAAGGCATTTGTCTCATGTATGTATGATGTGATGCAGTCTGTTAAGATTTGTTTTTAACCTAAACCTTCCTGTTTTTGAAAGTGACTGATAATATTCTCTGCCTTAAAATTTTTTTCAGTAGAATAATTATCTCCACCAAGAAGGAAAGTATGAATGTCCAAATTAATAGACTTAATATTTTAAGGTAGAAAAGTTACTTAATATTTTAAGGTAGAAATATATCAAGTGATCTAATATTTACCTGCAAAGTATTGTGCTTGATACTGTTGAGTGTAAAAACCAGTCATACAGAATTCCTGCTCTCCAGAAGTTTACAGTCCTAGTAAAATCTGGAGACATTTTTGGAACTTAATTCTTGCTTTACATAAGAATAAATATTATTAACTTCTTGGTAAGAACAAGACTTGTGCAATGAGAAGTGGTTCATCAAATTGTTCTCAGGAATTTGCACCATATAACAAAGGACATTTTCATCCAGTCAAAATATCCATTAAAAAAAAAGTGATGGTTGATTTTTACTCAGTCTTCTAGGACTGCAAACTAATGGTTACAAGAACATTTTTTTTCTCCAATAATACCAGGTTATTGTCACATAGCCCAATTGAAAAGGCTCCATTTTATGACCAAATTGTCCCCTTTCCCCTCTGAGCCTCTGAAATGAATAGAGGAGATAAAGTGGGATCTGAGTAAAAAAGTATAATTTAGACAGATAAAATATGATTCAGAGGAGAATTTGGTGACAATATGGAGACACAAAAATAAAGAAATCGAATCTATTGTTAGAATAGGCCCATTGTATCCTTTCTTCATGCCTTGTCCCTAGATGATTTTTCAATGTATAAATGAATTCATGGTGACAAAAAAGCTAGACTTTATCTATTAGCCAAGTACATTGCTGTCAGTGAACAACTTCCACCAATCTATCAGTTTATGTTATAAAGTTATCCTTTCTTGTAAAATAAGCCATCTGTGTGAAAATAATTCTTTTTAATCTATGATCAAATTAATACATAAATATTTATCTTTCTTATGTGAAGACTTCAATTTGGCTAAGGAAAGATATTTTTTCTAAATGTTGCTTGAGCAATCCCATTTTACCTGAACTAATTTAAAATGAGGCCTTCATTTATATCAGCAGAGGCTGAACTGTGTGGAAAATCTAATGTTATTGATCTATGTGGAAATTACACTGTGAGGTTCTCCTTAATTGTGTGTCAAAATCCAGTTGGCTACAGAGGATATTTATTGTCAACTTCTACCACAATATCATGTCTTATTGCCAACATTAAATTTCAGGTAAGTGCAGAAATACATACCTGTTCCCAAAAAGGCCAATAAAATATAGTACATATTAATTCATACTTGAATGAATAAAAATTTAAAATTTTTTGATGGAATATTCATTTTGAGGCACTCAGAAACCATTACAATATATCACATTTGTCAAAAAATAATGCACTCTGTTAGCTACAATAATATATGAGAAGTTAATATTCTTTTATATTGCAACAAGCATAATTGGCTGCTGCACATAGGAATACTGTAGTGCATCCTTAAATACTGTATCTCTAAATTGTAGATATAATTTAAATATAAAATTATTTCATATATATTATAACATGTGCAATTTAATTTAAATACAAATTTAGAAAGAATTACAATAAAAAGAGCTTCCTAATCATTCTTATTTTGAATTTTTCTGTTATTTATTACTGTCTTCTGGGAGGGCAAGATTTCCATTTTTGTAAAAACACATTGAGGTGTTAGCCTGACACTGCTAAATTACATGTGTTATCTCTCTCCATCTGGTACAATGGCAAGGCTGTTTGAAGAAATAGGATTCAGGGGAGCTGTATTTCTCAAGCAATACTTTTCCAAAAGAAATTTTCAATGATTTTTTTTGGAAATTTTTGCAAGAAGATATTTAGGAAGAGGTATATTCTACTCATATGATTCCAAATTACCTTACTTGGAAAGATGTGTATTGTCATATATATCTTTAAGTGGTGGATATGAAATAAGTAAAGGAAAATCTTTACTACAGTTTAACTTCTGAAGTATAGATCCCTTGACACCCTTAATACGTTGTTTGGGGATTCTTTATTTTGGCTGTCTATTATTTGCTGATTTTAGACAAAAAATAAAATAGGTGACCCATTATCTCATTATTGCAGCAAAAACCATATAAATATATATTCAGTATTCAAAGTATGATAGCAAAACATCTAGAAGACAGGTTCTGATTCAATTACTCTCCAAGCTTACTTATTTTTGCCATAATTAATCATGCATTGGAAATGATTCAAAAATATCATTGAAACCAAGAATATGTTAGACATGCATCTCTTTTTGAGTTACCTTTTATGTTTATGAAATATCATGTAATTTTACCAATATTTTTCATGTATTTTATAGAAGATAAATCCAATTAATGTTGCACAGTCATTCACATTTCAATTGTATTGACATTATTTGTTTTAGTATTAACACTACATCTTTCTGTTTTCCTGAAGCACACTATCATTGATATTTGAGCCAAAGCCTGATCGGAGACAAGTTAATTCTACTGTTCTTGATTGATTTAAGTATTTTAAGTGGGCAGTAGCCCCATTGCTATGTGACTTTTGTGAATTTTCAATTCATTCTACAAAGGTATTTTTCAGGTATCTAATATGTACTTTTATTATTCTAAACTTTTTATTTTTAAAATGTAGGGTTGTAAGTAGGAAGATAAATATAATTTTAAATATAATCATATAATTATACATGGGAAAGCAGGCTTAATGGCTTCATTAAGAGCCTTTGTTATCCTCTTCCACTTCCTCACAAAATAACTGGGAAGACACAAAAAAGATTTAAAACATCAATAACTTGAAATTAGTGCTGAAAGACAAGCCAAAAATCTTGTAGGAACTTAAAAAAATATAGGACTGATGAAATTTAATTGAAGGAAAAAAAAATACTATTGAGACCTAAGTCCATTAGGCAATAATATATTCAGCTTCATACAACTACACTAGGTAATCCAGAAAACAATATTGATAGACATGCATTCAACCCTCATTTGTTGCCTGATTCAGAGAATATACAAATCTGAACTGTGGCATAAATTCCTCTTCTCCCTTGGGGTATGTTCTGTATTTAAATTCAGGCTACAACCCCAACACACACATGTGTATACCTCCCTCCAACATGCACACACCACACACACACACACACACACACACACACGATTTTCCTTGATAAGATATAAATTCTAAATAACAATTTGGTAAAAACTAAGAATGATAGGGTGTTTAGTCATCACACTTTACTCACTGAAGACAACTTTTTCATAAAAGTTTACAATAGTATAGGAAAAGGGTAGAAATCCTAATTTTTCATGTAATTCTATAAAATTCTATAATGCTGAGCAAGGTTTAGCATATAGAAGAGGTAAGCAATCATATAAAGTCTGTTTAAAACCTAAAATTGCCCTTGGAGTTGAACATATCAAGTTTCTTTTCAAGTATTTATTGAAGCATAAACAGTAGGGCCGAAAGCAATGGTTTTTTTAATCTTTTAAAAATTTATATCAGACATATAAATTATGATAACTGTGATATCATAATATCAGAGATTGATATCACAGTCTCTGTGGGAGATTATGAATGCAGTCCACCACTACCACAAATTATGCAGTCAAGTTTCCCACAATTGGGGAAATCACAGGGGTCAGCATATCTGGAATATAATGGATAAGCCTCACCCTGTGAAAACCACTTTTGTGATCCTGGTATCTCCCCGGCCAGATAAGCAGAAAGGCAATCTTTTGACTCTTACCTATGAAAAATATTTACCCCAGTGTCATTATCTCACATTATTCAAATATGAGTATTAAGAAAAAATAAAACCACGGAGCCAAGCAAGTATTGAAGAACAAAAAAACAAAAAACAATATGAAGATTAATTAGAGGAACAGCATACTTCAAGAGATGATCTATTGTGACATGCAGAAGAAAGTATCTGGGAGATGGTATTCTCTAATAATTGCAGTAAGTTATGGCCTTTATGTATCAAGAGTTACAAGTTAGTAGAGCAAAAAAAGGATGAGGACGGAGATCAAGAGCAACTACGTGAAATAAAAAGAATATAAGATAAAACAAGACAGAATCCTAAAAATGGCTTTTAGTAGAGAGGGTGAAAATTATAGGAAAAGAAAGCTTAAAATGTTTTTGAAAAACTAAAAGATAACAAAGCAGTAGAATTGAAAATGGAATATATAGTTCCAAAAACACTAGATAATTTAAAGACACATAAAAAATCTATGAGGCAAAATACAGAAAGCAAAGAGATAAGGGAAACATAAATAAAAGAAAGCACACATAATGAGACAATGTTTCAAATTTATGTTTTATTTTTCAGTACTAGTAATTCTTTCATCTTCTTGTTTCATTCTTCAAACTATCCTAGCAGCTTAGGCAGGTTGAACTTACCCAGGAAAACATCCCAGCACACAATAAAACTGGAGTCCTCAGTTTTTCAAAATCAAAACATTTTTATGAATGAAACGGTAGGAGAAGAGAAGGGATTTTTAATTCTCAAGTGCAAAGGTTAATGCCAAAAGCTACATATTTGGAATAATAAAAAGAGATGTAATAACCAGCTTTCTAGGGCAAGGTTCCCTGCCTCTGAATGAATTATAGCATCAAAAAGGAATATCCTCCTTGTGTGGGGCTGAGAGGGGGTTCCTCTGACACTTCATGGTTGGCTTCAAAAGATGATGGTAGAATATACTCCGCAGAGAAGTGTCACAATCTGGAATTTTACGGAATTTACCTCTTGCTGCGCGTCTGGAGTACTGGAGAAATGTCGTGTATCACCTTGTGTGGGGATAGTAGAGGAGATGGCTACATTTGGATCCAGGAGCAAAGAGAGCTGATGCTGTTCCACCTACTCTCTCTTGGCTCTGAACTTTTATGGGACAGCAGCCTTAGGGAAGAGACTGGAAACAGATCGTTAGGAGTGTGTGCTGGATGCAGTTGGCTGAAGTGGCAAGATACTGCACAGTAATTAGCCAGTTAGAAAGTGGTAGTGAAAGAGAATGATTGAGATCTAAAAACCAAGAATTTACCATTTTAAAGAGGTAATTTCTTTTCAATACTAACTGGTAAAAGATTAAACTGAGAAGTCCTAAGAGAGACAGAAGACAAAGTACAAATTAAATCTCACGTGCTTACAAAGATCAAATCAAGCCGACGGGTATCTATCGCATTTATGACAGGCAGCTTGGAAGACGGACACAATTGTTGCTGCCTCTTTGTATCCACACCCTGTAGGAATTCTCTTCCCTTGACTTTGGAGAGGACCTGTGTGTTACATCTTAGTGATGGCGAAAATAATAGACTGTTACTACCCTGATTACATTACATAAGATGATGGCTTCCACTGTGTTTGCAAACTCTTTCTTTCTCACTGGCCTTTATGGAGTAAATTGCTGTATTTGGCAAGAAGCTTAGGGTGGCCCCCTCTAAGGAGTGAGTCATGGAGTTAATGAGACCCTCCCTCTAACGATCCTGGAGAAATTGAATCTTTCCATCAACCATGTAAGTAAGCTTAGAAGTGGATCCTTTCCAGGTCAAATGAGATCTCAGCACTAGCTGATAACGTCAGTGAAGCCTCATAAGAAATCTTCACACAGAGGACCCATGTAAATTATGTCCAAATTCCTGACCCACAGAAACTGTGAGATGATAAATATGTGTTATTTTAAGCCACTAAGTTTTGAAGTAATGTGTTATGCAGTAAAAGATAACAAATCCATCACCCACTGTTAAAACCTCTGAATGAATTAAGGTGTCTTGGAACACTGCCATGTTTGTGCTACCTAGCAAATCATTTCAGTTGGACAAAATAGTGTAGGAAAAAGAGGCTAAAGACTTTCCAAGAAAGGTTAGTGATATGGTTTGGCTCTGTGTCCCCACTCAAATCTCACCTTGAATTGTAATAATCCCCACATATCAAAGGCGGGACCGCATGGAGGTAATTGAATCATGGGGGTGTTATCTCCCATGCTGTTCTTGTGATAGTGAGTTCTCATGAGGTCTAATGGTTTTATAAGTGTCTGGCATTTCCTCTGCTGGCACTCATTCTCACTCTTGCGCCCTGTGAAGCGGTGACTTTCACCATGATTTTAAGTTTCCTGAGGCCTCCCTAGCCGTGAGAAACTGAGTCATTTAAACCTCTTCATAAATTACCTAGTCTTGGGTATTTCTTCACAGCAGCGTGAGAACAAACTAATTCAGGAAATTGATATTGGGAGTGGGGTGTTGCTGTAAAGATACCCAAAAATGTGGAAGCAACTTTGGAACTAGGTAATAGGCAGAAGTTAGAAAAGTTTGCAGGGCTCAGAAGAAGATAGATGTGGGAAAGTATGGAATTTCCCGGAGACTTGTGGAATGCCTTTGACCAATATGCTGATACTGATATGGACAATGAAATCCAGGCTGAGGTGGTCTCAGATGGCGATGAGGAACTTTTTGGAAACTGGAATAAAGGTGACTCTTGCTATGCTTTCTCAAAGAGACTGGTAGCATTTTTCCCCTTCCCTAGAGATCGGTGGAACTCTGAACTTGAGAGAGATGATTTAGGGTATCTGCTGGAAGAAATTTCTAAGATGCAAAATGTGCAAGAGGAAGCAAACCATAAAAGTTTGAAAAATTTGCAGGCTGATTATGTAATACAAAAGAGAAACCCATTTGCTGGAGAGAAATTCAAGCTGCCTGCAGAAATTTGCAGAAGTAACATGGAGTTGAATGTTAATCACCAAGACAGTGGGGAAAATGTCTCCAGGGCATGTCAGACACTTCACAGCAGCCCCTCCCACCACTGGCCCAGAGGACTAGAGGGGGAAAGTGGTTTAATGGGCAGAGCCCAGGGTCTCCCTGCTCTAATGCAGCCTTGGGACATGGTACCCTGTGCCAGCTGCTTCAGGTCCAGCCGAGGCTAAAAGGGGGCAAGGTACAACTCAGGCTTCAGAGGGTACAAGCCCCAAACCTTGGCAGCTTACACGTGGTGTTGGGCCTATGGTGCAGAGAAATCAATAATTCAGGTTTGGGAACCTCCAGTTAGATTTCAAAGGATGTATGAAAAAATCCTGGATACTCAGGCAGAAGTTTGTTGCAGGGACAGAGCCCTCATGGAGAACCTCTGCTAGGGCAGTGCAGAAGGGAAATGTGGAGTTGGAGCCCCCACACAGAGTCCCCACTGGGGCACTGCCTCGTGGAGCTGTGAGAAGAGGGCCACTGTCCTCCAGACCCCAGAATTTTAGATCCACCAACAGCTTGCACCCTGCACCTGAAAAAGCCACAGGCACTCAATGCCAGCCCGAGAAAGAGGCTGGGAGAGGGTCTGTACCCTGCAAAGCCACAGAGGCAGAGCTGCCTAAGACCTTGGAAACCCACCTCTTGCATCAGTGTGACCTGGATGTGAGACATGGAGCTAAAGGAGAATATTTTGGAATTTAAATGTTTAATTACTGCCCTATGGGATTTCAGACTTGGATGGGTCGTGTGGCCCCTTTATTTTTGCCAGTTTCTCCCATTTGGAATGGGTGTATTTACCCAATGCATGTACCCCCATTTTGTCTAGGATATAGCTAACTTGCTTTCAATTTTACAGGCTCACAGGCAAAAGGGACTTACCTTGTCTCAGATGAGACTTTGGACTCAGACTTTTGGATTAATGCTGAAACGAGTTAAGACTTTGGGGGACCATTTGAAGGGCATGATTGTGTTTTGAAATGTGAGGACATGGCTGGGCATGGTGGCTCACGCCTGTAATCCCAGCACTTTGGGAGGCTGAGGTGGGTGGATCACGAGGTCAGGAGAACAAGACCATCCTGGCTAACATGGTGAAACCCCATCTCTACTAAAAATACAAAAAAAGTAGCCAGGCATTGTGGCAGGCACCTGTAGTCCCAGCTACTCAGGAGGCTGAGGCAGGAGAATCATTTGAACCCAGGAGGTGGAGGTTGCAGTGACCTGAGATTGCACCACTGCCCTCCAGACTGGGTGACAGAGTGAGACTCCATCTCAAAAAATAAAAAAATAAAATATGAGGACGTGAGATTTGGGAGGAGTCCGGGGTGGAATGATATGATTTGGCTCTGTGTCCCCACCCAAATCTCGCCTTGAATTGTAATAATCCCCACGTGTCAAGGACAGGACCAGGTGGAGCTAATTGAATCATGGGGACGGTTTCTCCTATGCTATTCTCGTGATAGTGAGTTCTCACGAGATCTGGTGGTTTTATAAGTGTCTAGCATTTCCCCTGCTATTCTGTCTCCTGCCACCGTGTGAAGAGGTGCCTTCCACCATAATTGTAAGTTTCCTGAGGCCTCCCCAGCCATGCAGAACTGTGAGTCAATTAAACCTCTTTTTTTTGTACATTACCCAGTCTCAGGTATTTCTTCATAGCAGTGTGAGAACAGACTAATACAGGTGGATTAACTCAAAGTAACTGAAACTAAGTGATAAAAGTGAAACATGAAGGCCAAGAAAAGAGGAAAACAAAATGTAAACCTAGGAACTCTTATATTAGTATTCTTTATTGAACCAAGTAGAATTAAATGGAAAAAAAAAGGCTTTAAAAGTTATATTCCTAAAGCATGAGCTTACACTCAAAAAGTCTGGGATTATTTAAGCCTTAAAATGACCTATAGATCTCAAATCTTGTGCAGGCAGGAATCAAGCTGAGAAAGATGCTCAGCCCCCAAGGAGGATATATTTTCTGATGCCAACTTTGGATGTGATGTGGCCCAGAAAGGTAACAAAGAAGGAAAAACAAAAAACAAAAAGCTTCCAGAGGTCACAGCCAAGAGACTGAAGGTTGCTACAAGGGAGCAGAATTCAGACCTAATTAAGAAACTTTGCCTTATTCAATGTAGGAGTCCTCCTGACCTCTGCTAGGCAGGATTTCAGAATTTCAGGAGCAGTAACTGCTGGTGTTTCCCATCCTCTTCCATCAGAATGAAACAGTTTACTATGGTTTATCCCCATCTGGCCACTGAAAATTAGATAGTTCCCATCCTCTTCTATCAGAATGAAACCGTTTACTATGGTTTATCCCCATTTGGCCACTGAGAATTAGATAGGCAAGGGGCACAGAACTTCACTTTTGAGTTCACAAAACTTGGTGTCAAGAGCCTCTATGTTGAAACAGATGTTGATGCTACTGAATATCACATAGAAATCTTGAATTTTGAGATTGAAGCTGTGAATAGATGAGATATTTTGGCTTTGCCTCACTTGAGTAAGGATGAGTATATTTTGCCTATGGAAAGGTGTGGTAAATATTTGTTACTAAAAGATGAGCAAAAGTAGCCATTCATGCTTATATAAAATAGTTGCTTTTTTCTCCCTCTCCCCTTTCCAGGCACCTGGTAGAACTGGACTTCTCTCCCACCTGTGAAATTATACATGACTCTGTGTGGCTTTCTTTAGCTGAGAAAATGTAAGAATACATGATATGTGTTATTTCCTAGCTGAAGTTCTAAGAATTTGATGCACTGTTTGCCGTGTCTCTTCCCACCTCTGAGGTGATCAAGGAAGACTGGGAAAATTAAAACTTCTATTAGCCTGGGTCTCTTTGTAACTAGAGAACCAAGCCTTAAGGCAACCTCTGTTGGCGTATCATGAGCTACTGAATTAAATCAGTAAGAGTATCAGAATATTTGTTACTACAGGGTAACCTAGCCTATCCAGAAATCAGCCATCTTATATTTCTGCATAATAATTTGAAGAATGTGATTCCAATTTCTAAAGTGTAATGGAAATAGTTTAGAAGAAAGGGTGTGAACTTTATAATTGAACATATCTAAGTCTTAATTCCAGTTCAGTCATACTGTCTAATTTTCAGAAAACTGCTAAAGCTCTCTGAACCTTTTTGTTCTTCTCCAAAATGGTATAATAATTAAACACCTCACAATGATATTTTAAGGAATAAATAAGAGAGCTGGTGAAGTTATGGCCATGAATAATATGTGAACATAGTATATGCCCTGTAACTTCTATTTATCTCTTATTCCTATTAAAGACATTATATGCTATTAAGTTTAAGACTAAATTAAGAAATAACATTTCATGGGTGTATAATATGTTGGGAAGTTAACTTCAAAATTTAATGCATGAGCTATACAAAAGAAGTAGGAACTAAAATTAGTTTAATTCAATGAATTTTATTAACCATGATTGAACCAATTTTGACTGACTGCGGCAGAACTTGATTGATAATACATATACACTTTACATATACCTGTATACATATATGTGTATAGGTAATATATACATACATGTGTATGTATGTGTGTGTGAGAGTTTGTGTGTGTGTATGTGTGTGTGTGTGTGTGTGTGTGTGTATATATATATATATATATATAACAATGACATTGAACTTACCAGTTTGTTCTTTGGGCATTGTATCTGATAGATATATTAGACCTGGATTTTAAAAAATGTATACATATTAGTAAAATCCTATGACCTCTCCAAAAGCAAACAAACAAACAAAAACCCAACAGGCTTCTACTGATTCATTTATAAATAACTTTGAGATTATAAATACCAACTTATATATACATCCAGTTCATAAAATTTTTATTTCTGCTGAAATTTTTAAATTTCTAAAAATATCTGCACCTTTAATTTGGATCCTTAGAACAATAAGATGTAGATACTAACTTGAACTCATAAAATATAAATTTTAATTTTGTTTTGTATATTTTTTGTCTATTATGCTATCTGTTGGGTTTTTGTTTGTTTGTTTGCTTTTGGAGAGGTCATAGGATTTTACTAATATGTATACATTTTTTTAAATCCAGGTCTAATATATCTATCAGATACAATGCCCAAAGAATAAACTGGTAAGTTCAACGTTATAATATATATATATACACATACACACACACACACACACACACATACACATGTATGTATTACCTATACACATATATGTATACATGTATATGTAAAGTATCTATGTATACATATACATGTGTATATACAGATGTATATGTATATAATGTGTATATATATATAATGTGTATATATGGAGAGAGGGTGAGACCACTTAGTAATATGTAATATATAAAATATTATAAAGTAGATTAACCCAAAACTTTACAGTACATTTCTAGTAGTTACATAAAAGTTCATTATCAAACTTTTTCATTTAACAACCATTCTTTGGTAATATTGCACAATTCCTGCCAACTAGGCAATGAAAAATATTCATTGTTAGATATATTCCAAATGATTACTTTATAGTATAGACAGTAACTGATTTACTTGATTTAGCACATAACTGGTTTTATAAAAATCACAAGGAAAAAGGAATACAGCCAATTCAAAACAATTCTAAAGTCTCCATTGTGATTATGTGTGTATAACTTGTTCCGGACCTCACACTAATTACATCCTGTGCTCTGCACAAGATACAGTCAATTCTGAGGGCTAAAACAGTACTTTAATTTTGAAATTATTTTATTAGTTTCATTTTGTTTTCCCAATTTTATAATATTTCCCCCTCAAGCTTCCTGCCAAGATGAGGCATTATAATGTGTTACTTATAAAAAAAAAAAAAGCCACTTGCCAAAGCAGGTACTTAAAATAAAAATAATTTTAGCTAAATTTGGAAACAAAAATATATGTACCTACAACAGGAAGAGAATAGACCTAGCTGTATTTGTGTTTTTAATGCTACAGTAGTTTACTTGTCAAAATTTTTGAATTACTCAGTACTTCACACAGATAACTTTCTTACTTCATATATAAACCCATTTATTTAAAGGAATGAAAATAGGTGTATTACTGATTCATTATCTCTTAATATATATTCCTGAACAGTTAAGGGATTGTATGAATGAATATTCTATAACTCCCTAGTGAAAAGATATATGGCTTGAGTCTTATTATGAGAGTCTTCAGAAACACATTTAAAGATTTCCTCTAGGAATAAAGATGATTCTAAACATTGATAGAAAAATAAACTAAGATAATGTAAATTTTAACCTGCTAAATTTTAAATTTTACATGTAAGATGTAAAAACTCACATAAAAATTAGGGTTGTGTCTCTACTTTTTTCTTAAAAACATATGTTACATATATGATTGTTACATATCTTAAATGTGATATATAATGAGATGTTATATATGAAATATGTCATATACAAGATAAATATGCAATTACATATACATATATAGGCATGTATATACATGTATAAACTATTAATAGGTTCTAAAATTATCAAAAATACTTAATACAAAGATCTCTTTATGAAATCTCCTATTTTTCCATCTTTTATTTACCGGCCCATAACATAACATTATGACACCATCCATCTTTATTAGCTGTCTACTATGTACCAAATGCAGGCATTTTCTTTGATTCTATAACCCTCACAAAGTAGGGTCTTGACCACTCTATGATTGAAAAAATGAAATTATATGTATATATGAAACTGGCCCAATTTTCCCATAGAACTGAAATCTTGAATTTTGAGATTGAAGCTGTGAACAGATGAGATATTTTGGCTTTGCCTCATTTGAGTAAGGATGAGTATATTTTGCCTATGGAAAGGTGTACTAAGTATTTGTTACTAAAAGATGAGCAAAAGTAGCCATTCATGATGCCTCTTGACCAGCTACTCTTCCTTACCCCTCCCTGTTGTATAAACCCCTAACTTTAGAGGGCTGGGGAGAGGAACTTAATGGTTAGGCTGAAGTACCCACAAAAAAGTCTTTCTTCCCAGCTAATACATGTTATCTCAGTGACTGACTTCCTACTCTTCTAGCAACGGGACCCCGGTGGAACCAATTATCCTAAATAGTGCGTATGAGGGTCAAGATTTAAACCTGGGCATATTCAATCTAAAAATTGTGTTTTCTTCCAGTGCACAACAAAACATTCTTGCAAGATATTTGGGACTGACACAGCATCAGGGCCTATGATACAAAGTCCAACCCAAAGGGGCATAAGTGTTTCTAGTGTCAGGGTTGACTCAGCCTAATTGTACTAACTCCAACAGGGAGGCCGGAAGGTTTCACAATGACTCAGTGGCTAATTAAATTCTTCTGAATTCATGGTTTGTTGAGAGGCTTTCACACACCAACCGTCATGCAAATATATTCAACACACACAGACAGTAATAAGAGAGTGGAGGAAAAGAATCATAGGAAGTAGCTATGATTTTCCCTCGGAACTCCAACCAAGGTGAATGAAGAGTTGTCAGTTGTTGGAGTGTCCATAGCCATTATCTGTCTTTTGGTTTTACTTTCTTGTCAGCCCTTGGGGGTGCCTGGCCACAGCAGGTATTATCTTATAACGTCAGTCCACCATACATATGCTTATCACTCTAAGGGGTCAGCAATTTCACTCTAGGCTGAGTCTTGGTCATAAATCGCTCTATTTTGAGACATTTAGGATCACAAAACATTATTGTATATGAGTGTTTCATAGAAATCTTTCAAAATGCTCTATTTTTTGTGTGTCTTTTTTTTTTCCTTTTTGTGGAGAATGGGGTCTCGCTATATTGCCCAGGCACGTCTCAAACTCCTGGGCTCAAGCTATACTCCCACCTCTGCCTCCCTAAGAGCTGGAATTATAGATGTGAGCCACGACGTCCAGTGCATTTAAAATGCTCTATCTTAAAACATCTCTGGCTGGGTGCAGTGGCTGATGCCTGTAATCTCAGCACTTTGGGAGGCCCAGGTGAGTAGATTGCTTGAGCCCAGGAGTTCGAGACCAGCCTGAGCAACATGGCAAAACCTCATCTCTACAAAAGATAGAAAAATTAGCAGGGCCTGGTGGCACACACCTGTAGTCCTAGCTGCTAGGAAGGCTGAGGTGGGAGGATCACCTGAGCCCAGGGAGTCTGAGGCTGTAGGGAACTGTGAGAACTGTGATTGTGCCATTGCTGGGCAACAGAGTAAGACTCTGTCTCAAAAAAATAAATCTCTAACCACATATGTTTATCTTTTTATTTCTTGCAAATAGATTAGTTGAGCCTTTATATCAAGATAAATAATGTGATTTTTAAACTTACCCATATAAGGCTTTTGTATCAGAGACAAATGTACTATTATGCTCACAATAAAATCAACATCCACCTTAACTTTGCAGTGTTAAGGTGCCCAGCAGCCCCACAGTGCAATGGGATGAGAGCTAGGAAGAAAAAGTGTCCTACATGTGTTATGGGTTGAATCTGCAGATGAAGAATGGAGAAATATATGTTTCTTCTATTTCTGTATGGAAAAGAGACCATTTTACTACTCCCATTTTGAAAGTCTTCTTGGAGGTGGGATAGAAGTATACTTACTGTAGTAGGCCCCTCTGAAAGCTATCAACCACCTAATCTCTGAAACCTAGGAATGTTATATAGGTTGACTTTGAAGATGTGAATAGGTTGAGGTCTTTAGATGAGAAGATTATCTGAATTGTCTAGATGGGCCTTAAATATACACTCACAAGTTTCTGATAAGAGTAAAGCCAATTTGACACAGAGAAAATATTATGTGAAAGAAGCAGAGTGAAAAAGAGAGGATCCTACAGCACTGAATTTAAAGATGGAAGAAGGGACTATGAGCTAAAAAGAGCTGCTCTAGAAGCTGAAAGGGACAGGAAAGCATATTATCCTCTAGGGCCTCCAGAAACAGTACAGTCCTGGCTTTGGCCCAGTGAAAGTGATTTTGAATTTCTGGCCTCAAAAACTATCAGAGAGTGAATTTGTGTTGTCATTTGCAATACAGCATGGAGAAAGTCAAGCCTACAGGTACCCTAAGAAACACTGGAGGCTTCAATGAAAAGCAATTAAAGAGAAGATTCAGATTACAAGCTCAGTGGTAGGCTGGTTGGTTTGGAGGGGAAAATGGAAATAAGTCAACTGAGAGTAACCCTCCTGAAATATATATAGATATAGATATAGATGTATAGATAGATATAAAATATGTTACATAATATTATATATATAAAACAATGACCTCAGTCGTTATTCATTCAAAGGACCCACAATATGATTAGAGTAGGGTTGAAGAGCAGTTTATGTCCCAGAGCATTGTTGAAATCAACTGAACAATAGGCAGCAGTTGGTGGGGCTAGCCATCTGCCTATGGTTAAAGAAGAGAGTTCTACCAAAACCACTATTCTGCTATAGTGACTGTGGGCATATCCAAGACTTTGCTTCCCTAAGGAGCAACATCAGATGCTTAACACAGTAGCCTGAATAGAGACCTTACTAAAATAATCCAGCCCGTCACTAGACAAATGAACAAGTACATAGCAATAAGCACTTTTGTCCCTCAATGGACACCATGAAGAAAATGTAAAGATAACCTACAGAATGGGAGAATATATTAGAAAATCATGATTCTAATAAATAATTTATATTCAGAATGTATAAAAATTTTTGCAACTGAATATATTAAAAGTCAACTAACTCAATTTAAAAATGTGCAGAAAAGGTAAAGAGAAAATTTTCCCAAGAAGATACATAAATGGCTGATGAAGACAAGAAAGTTGTTCAATGTCATTGGTCAACAGGGAAATGCAAACCAAAACCTCAATGAGGTACCACTTCACACACACTAGAATGGCTAGAATCAAAAAATCAGAGTATGGCAAGTATTGGTGAGGATGTGGGGAAATTAAAATCCTCTTACGATACTTTTAAGAATATAAAATGGTGCAGCCACTATGAAAAATAAGCTCAAATGATTAAATATAGAGCTACCATTTGTCCTAGCAATTTAACTCCTAGGTATGTACCCCCCCCAAAATAAAAACATATGCCCATGAAGAAACTTCTATACAAACATTTTTAGCATAGTAGTGATAGAGAAAAGTAGAAAGAACCTAAATATTTATCAGCAGATAAATTGATAAACTGTGGTAAATTCATACAATCTAATATTATTTGGCCACAAAAATAAATGAAGTACTGACAAATTCTTCAAAATACATGAACCTTGAAAACATTTATGCTAAGTGAAAAGTCAGTCACAAAAGTATCACATAGTCTATAGTTTCATTTATCTGATATATACAGAATAGGCAAATATATAGACACCAAATTAGATTGGTGGGCCAGGTGTGGTGGCTCACACCTGTAATCCCAGCATTTTGGGAAGCCCTAGTGGGCAGATCACCTGAGGTCAGGAGTTTGAGACCAGCCTGGCCAACGTAGTGAAATCCTGTTTCTAAAAAAAATACTGTAAAAATTAGCCAGGCGTGGTGACACATGCCTGTAATCCCAGCTACTTGGGAGACTGAGACACGGAAAATCGCTTGAGCCTGGGAGGCAGAGATTGCAGTGAGCCGAGATCGCACCACTATACTCTAGCCCAGGCGACAGAAAGAGACTCCATCTCAAAAAAAATGTAGATTGGTGGTTATCTGGAGTGGCAACTAGGGAGCTAGAATAAGGAATATTGCTAGTTGCTATGAGGTTCCTTTTCAGGGTGATAAAAAATGTTCTAAATTTGACTGTAGTGATAGTAGAACATATCAGTGAATATGCTACAAACCATTGAGCTGTAGACTTTAAATGGGTGAATTGCCTGCTGTGTAAATATCTTAATATAGCTGTTAAAATAGTATGGAAAATTCAAAAACCCATTTATGTCTAGGCAGTATAAGGATGAGGGATGAAGAAGACATTCAGAGACTTAGGAAAGTTGAGAATGTTGTATTTCTAATTTTGGTGATAGACATAAATATTTTTAAATTTTTATTTGTTTATACTTTACATCCATATTTTATATGCACATATGTTTATAGATAGATAAAATATCAAGTAATTCCAAATTAATAAGACAACAAATAGATTGAGTATGATTACTTCAATTTCATTCTTACCAATATTTCCATCATAGTTTCTGCCGTACTGAAAACTGATGTACATGCCCAATTCTGGTTTAAAGCTGTACTTAATAATGCACTTAAAAAAAATCTGACATTGGCTTGTGGTGCAAGCAATGTTTGCTCTAACTCAAAACGAAAAAAATATTGATTTTTAAAGAGGTTTGGTTATTTAAGTACCACACTTGGCCTATTATAAGTAATTTAAATTGAGCAAAAAAAAGTTGTCCCCTAAAATCATTCTCATAACAGTTTATATCAACTATGCAAAATTGTAAATGCAGATACTTTTTTAAAGCAATTATTTCCCCAGGCTTATCAGCTCTTCTTAGTAGTTCTTATAGAACTACCTGGAATCACAAGATACTAAATAGTGAGTTAAACCTTCTTAGTCATATTTATTGGCCTGCTATATCCCAATATTACTATGCAATCTGTTTAATAATAGATTATATAATTGCCCATCCTTTTGCCTCAGAAGTAAGATAAACTCGGGTGGAAAACAATTAAAAATGGAAGAACCCCAATGACTGATTCCCCAATGCGAGTCTATCTGCTATTCCAACATGGTTAATGATTCACTTTGTAGAATGATGTCAGAGCAAACACAGGTGCATTTGCACATCTCTTTTAGCCCCATCAAGAGCACCTTTCAGCAAGCAAAATGTGTCTGTTGTCTCCTGGGGACAGAGAGTAAGTAGATTTGGGAACTAGTGCCCATGGGTAGTGTAAAGGAGCATGGTTCACACTGTCTGAAATTGCTCATGCCCTGGTTCATCCAGCTGGTAATGAAGCAGTCAGCATCCCATCTCTGGAGTGGAATAGGCAATTATTCTAGCTTGAAACTCTGCCCTTGCAAATTGAGTGTGGCAACAATTCACATTGGCTGTCATTATAAAGTCCCTTGAAACAGGGTTGCTATCCATATCAGTTCAAAAGAAAAAAACCAGAGATGCCTAAAAAGTTTACCTGAACTCTCAGTAGATTATTGTATATTGATGGTATGGATATTTATTGTGCTTTCTGGGAGATCTTTTTTGTACAACTTTACGCTTCCATTTTATTTCAAACTGATTCAAATACAGCTAAAATTACAGTCACATAAAATATTTCTGTGGCTTCTCATTAAATACTCTTCTATCTTGCAATACATTTAGAGAAAGAAAACATTTCTCTTTCTTCTTCTAGTTACATATGAATGCTGTTATAAACAATGAAAGAAAAAGAAAACTGCCTAGGGAGTCGGACTTTTGGATGTATAGTTAACACCATTCTTTCTCTACCTGTAGCTCTCAAACTTGGCTCATATTTGTATTTTCTGGTGGTGGTTTAAAAGAATACCCAGTGCTTTGGCCCTACCCTATGCTAATTAAATCAGCATTTCTGTGGGTGGGGCCTACAAGTGGTTGTTTTCTTTTTTTAATTTTTTCAATGAATAATTCATTATCTTTATTTGATGTCGTTTTTTAGGTTTAACAGAAAGAAAACTATGACAGCTTAAAAAGAAAATGAAGGCTGATGAAACATTCCTGCCAAACTTAGTTATGTGTCAATATGAGTATTTTTTTCCAAAATACTTATTTTACCATATCATGTATATCATGTCCAAGCATAAGTGAACTCTTTCTTCATAACCCTAACCCTAACCCTATATAGGGTCATTCTCTTAAAATAAAAAAAAAAAAATCAAGTTAGAAAATTTCTGTTAAAATAAATAGCTTTGTTTATCATCATCAGATAATTACTCTGGACATATTATATAGTTTTATTAGCAACAATGAAGTCTTCTTTATATTTTATTACCATACTTAATTCTTTTCAGAGTAAAAATATGTCTTGGATTTGCTCTTTATGTTGTTGTTAAATATTTCTTCTGTTTATTGGCAATGTGTATTTTATTTGTGCTAATTAACTGCCTAGTGCCCTTTGTCCCCCTTTTTTTACATTTTTTTTAAAATTTATTTTACTTTAAGTTCTGGGATACATGTGCAGAATGTGTAGGTTTGTTACATAAGTATACCTGTGCCATGGTGGTTTGCTGCACCTATCAACTCATCATCTAGGTTTTAAGCCCCACATGCCTTAGGTATTTGCTTAAATGTTCTCCCTCCCCTTGGCCCCCACCCCCGACAGTCCCTGGTGTGTCTTGTTCCCCTCCCTGTGTCCATATGTTCTCATTGTTCAATCCCACTTATGCGTGAGAACATGCGGTGTTTGGTTTTCTGTTCTTGTGTTACAGGAACTAGGTAGTTGTTTTCTAAAAGCACCACAGATAATCCTAGCATGTTCAAGGTAAGCAGTACTAAAAAGTTAAATCACTTGAGGAAGCATTTAAACTGCAGATTCTAATTCAGGTATTCTGCGATAGAGACTAAAAATCTGGATTTCTATCAAGTTTCCAGATAAAGTGGATGTTACTGGCTTGTGAATTTCTTTGGTAAGTGGACAGAATCTAGATCAGAACTTTCCTAGCTTAATAAAAGAGTTTCCTAGAGAGTTTTTTTTTTAATACCTATGCCCATGACACACTCTAGACACATTACATGAGAATTTCAGTGGGTGCAATCGAGTCACTAGTGGTTTTAAAAATGTCACAGATGATGTGCAGACAATGTTAAGAACCCCACTGATTTAGATGTTCTCCTCATCCACTATTACCTGCCCATTTTCCTCTGACTTTTCTCCTTGACTTAATCACACCAAAAATCTTCCATTTCACAAGTCTTAAAAATGTTGATTTCTCCCTCTGAATTATTTGCATATCAGTTGTCATGTGTTAGTCAATATTTGAAATATACGCTGGCTCTCATCTTCCATTTTTTGTAATAGTCGTCATATTTAAGATCTTTATTGCCCCCTGTCTGTAATAGTCTACAATGTTTGTTTCCAATAATTTCTAACTCAAATAATTAGCAAAATCATTCAATATATTTTACTTTCTTGTGTATGACTATTTTTCTGCTCTGTCTTTAGCCCCTTATAGTTAACCACATCTTTATAGCTTGAAAAGTCTATTCATCTTAAAAACTACCTTTAAATTTCCTAATACATCAAACCAAATAAGAGTCTCCTCTTTGGACTCCTGTATTTTGTATTTTTTATATGTCACGTGCAGAACAAATTATGTTATAATTGTATATGAAGCTTGCTTTATCTTTCGCCCACATTTCTCGCTCTAGACCTTAAAATAATCTATCAGAAAATCCTGTTCAAGATTAATGATAAATAAATGTTTATTAAATTAAAAATGTATAAATTGTTTCTTTTTTAACTATTACACTCATATTAGTTTGAGAAATGATTTCTTCCCATAAGAAGTTTACTATATACAGAGTTTGAATCTGTAAACCAAATAACACACAAAAGGATATAGCTAATTCTGCAATTAATCAATGAATTGCATGGCAAAACTGAATATTCTGGAACTGAAGCAACTCTAATTGTACATAGCATTTGAGACATAATAGGTTCCCAAAAAATAGCTTCCCAGAATTTAAAGAGAGGAATTCTTCTGTCAACATAGACTTTCAAGTGACATTTTAGGATGTCACTGTGAGTAGAGATTAGAAAAAAGGTATGTTAAATAAACAACAATATAATTATAGAGGCTGAAGGAGAAGAAATGCAAATGTCAAGTTGAATGGAGAGTGAAGAGCCTGGTTTGACCATACCAGTGTGTCGTGGTTTTGCATGTTCTGAGGCTGAAATTGTCTAATAAACAACATTTTTTCATTAGTTACATGTTGCAAAAAAGATACAAAGAATTAAAAATATTTCAAATAGCATTTAACCAGGGGAAGAACATGATTGAAAACAGGTAAATTTTTGTTATTACCTTGCATCATTTAGGATGTGTCCAATGTGTAATATAATTTGCTACTGGTTGCAGGATTTTTTGGATGGCTGTTTAAGAGTAAAACAACAGTAAAAACTTTGGATGAGGATGATTGGCAATGTTTATATGCTTAGAAAAGGCTATTCCTATCATTATAGAAGAAAAAATCATTTATTATAAAATTGTTAATAAATCTGTTATTGTAATAATACACAGAATTAGTTCACATATAATTATATTATTATTTAAGACAATGAAGATTATGTTACAAATATTATTACCTCAAAATAAATATTGTGGTAGTATATAGATTTCTTAAGCTGCTATCAAAATATAAGAGTTTAGTTTTATAGCTACAAAATTTTATAAAACTTTCCAATTTTTCAAGATATAATTTGCCATTAGTTTAATATGCTTGAACTTTTGCATGTACTTTTATATTTACAGTGGAATTTGTAAATGAAGAGGTTTTCCATTGTCTCATATACCAAGTATTTTTTAAAAATGCTTTCTACTGTTAATTAGATTGCTTAATGTCAAATTTTTCCCTTTCTGTGGCACTTCCCTTAATCCAATTATTTTCATACATTTTCTTTCTAAAGTATCCTACTGAGAGGATAGCAGGAAGACTTAGATACTGACAAATAAAGCTAATAGCAGTTTATATAGTTTTTGAGTTCTCATGTTTTATCTTTAGACTTCATGCAGAATTTATACATATACCATAATATATTAATTTTAATGTAAAACACTGCTCTAAATGATTTATCTTTATGAAAAATATGAAATTCAATAAAATATGCCACACTTAAGCCTGATAAAAAAATAACACATGCTCATATCCTTTACAGGAAAAGTTTCTTCAACTAAGTTTCAAGGAAACAATTTCAACCCCATCTTACCTACCTATGTATGTGTATCATCCTTTCTTTTCAAATAAGTACACCATATTTGTCTCTGAAAAAACTGGTACTATTCAGTACACTGCCTTCTAAACAGCATGCAAATACAACACGTTTCTGCCTTGAAGATGTTTGAAACTGAGGAAAAGATGTAAGACACAAATATAAATGATAGAAATCTACATACCATAAGTATATTGTACAATGAATACTATGCCCTTTAAAGGGGAGATAAGATCAAACTTTCTAATGAGTATACTTGGGAAAATAGTCACGAAGAGGTAGCATTTAAGTTAGTCATTAAAAATGTATAAGGTTCTGGCAGATAGAAATAGAAGGTATGGGAAGAAGGAAATATCTGAGCAAAGGCAGAAAATAGAAATGTACAAAGCCCTTTTCAGGAATTAAATCATAAGTTGGTTTTAATTGTAAGGGAGAATACATATAATAAATGGAGCTAAGATTAAATGGTTTTAAATTGAGAGTGGCAAGATAAAAATTGTTTTTTAGAAAGTTATTCTGATTATGAAATACGGGATGGTAAAAAAGCCACTCCAGAATTGAATAGCTATCATCCATATGTATGCTTTTGTCAATATAATATGATTTTTAAAGTTATTGCTCCCCCAAAATTGAAAGAATCTATTTTTTAAAAATATCTTCAGGAGGAGCCAAGATGGCCGAATAAGAACAGCTCCGGTCTACAGCTCCCAGCGTGAGCTACGCAGAAGACGGGTGATTTCTGCATTTCCATCTGAGGTACCGGGTTCATCTCACTAGGGAGTGCCAGACAGTGGGTGCAGGTCAGTGGGTGCGCACACCGTGCGCGAGCCGAAGCAGGGCGAGGCATTGCCTCACTTGGGAAGCGCAAGGGGTCAGAGAGTTCCCTTTCTGAGTCAAAGAAAGGGGTGATGTACGCACCTGGAAAATCGGGTCACTCCCACCCGAATACTGTGCTTTTCCGACGGGCTTAAAAAACGGCGCACCACGAGATTATATCCCACACCTGGCTCAGAGGGTCCTACGCCCACGGAGTCTCGCTGATTGCTAGCACAGCAGTCTGAGATCAAACTGCAAGGCGGCAGCGAGGCTGGAGGAGGGGCACCCGCCATTGCCCAGGCTTGATTAGGTAAACAAAGCAGCCAGGAAGCTCGAAGTGGGTGGAGCCCACCACAGCTCAAGGAGGCCTGCCTGCTTCTGTAGGCTCCACCTCTGGGGGCAGGGCACAGACAAACAAAAAGACAGCAGTAACCTCTGCAGACTTAAATGTCCCTGTCTGACAGCTTTGAAGAGAGCAGTGGTTCTCCCAGCACGCAGCTGGAGATCTGAGAACGGGCAGACTGCCTCCTCAAGTGGGTCCCTGACCCCGACCCCCGAGCAGCCTAACTGGGAGGCACCCCCCAGCAGGGGCACACTGACACCTCACACGGCAGGGTACTCCAACAGACCTGCAGCTGAGGGTCCTCTCTGTTAGAAGGAAAACTAACAAACAGAAAGGACATCCACACCAAAAACCCATCTGTACATCACCATCATCAAAGACCAAAAGTAGATAAAACCACAAAGATGGGGAAAAAACAGAACAGAAAAACTGGAAACTCTAAAAAGCAGAGCGCCTCTCCTCCTCCAAAGGAACGCAGTTCCTCACCAGCAACGGAACAAAGCTGGATGGAGAATGACTTTGACGAGCTGAGAGAAGAAGGCTTCAGACAATCAAATTACTCTGAGCTATGGGAGGACATTCAAACCAAAGGCAAAGAAGTTGAAAACTTTGAAAAAAATGTAGAAGAATGTATAACTAGAATAACCAATACAGAGAAGTGCTTAAAGGAGATGATGGAGCTGAAAACCAAGGCTCGAGAACTACGTGAAGAATGCAGAAGCCTCAGGAGCCGATGCGATCAACTGGAAGAAAGGGTATCAGCAATGGAAGATGAAATGAATGAAATGAAGTGAGAAGGGAAGTCTAGAGAAAAAAGAATAAAAAGAAATGAGCAAAGCCTCCAAGAAATATGGGACTATGTGAAAAGACCAAATCTACCTCTGATTAGTGTATCTGAAAGTGATGGGGAGAATGGAACCAAGTTGGAAAACATTCTGCAGGATATTATCCAGGAGAACTTCCCCAATCTAGCAAGGCAGGCCAACGTTCAGATTCAGGAAATACAGAGAACGCCACAAAGATACTCCTCGAGAAGAGCAACTCCAAGACACATAATTGTCAGATTCACCAAAGTTGAAATGAAGGAAAAAATGTTAAGGGCAGCCAGAGAGAAAGGTCGGGTTACCCTCAAAGGGAAGCCCATCAGATTAACAGTGGATCTCTCGGCAGAAACCCTACAAGCCAGAAGAGAGTGGGGGCCAATATTCAACATTCTTAAAGAAAAGAATTTTCAACCCAGAATTTCATATCCAGCCAAACTAATCTTCATAACTGAAGGAGAATTAAAATACTTTACAGACAAGCAAATGCTGAGAGATTTTGTCACCACCAGGCCTGCCTTACAAGAGCTCCTGAAGGAAGCACTAAACATGGAAAGGAACAACCAGTACCAGCCACTGCAAAATCATGCCAAAATGTAAAGACCATCGAGACTAGGAAGAAACTGCATCAACGAACGAGCAAAATAACCAGCTAACATCATAATGACAGGATCAAATTCACACATAACAATATTAACTTTTAATGTAAATGGACTAAATGCTCCAATTAAAAGACACAGACTGGCAAATTGGATAAAGAGTCAAGACCCATCAGTGTGCTGTATTCAGGAAACCCATCTCACGTGCAGAGACACACATAGGCTCAAAATAAAAGGATGGAGGAAGATCTACCAAGCCAATGGAAAACAAAAAAAGGCAGGGGTTGCAATCCTAGTCTCTGATAAAACAGACTTTAAACCAACAAAGATCAAAAGAGACAAAGAAGGTCATTACATAATGGTAGAGGGATCAATTCAACAAGAAGAGCTAACTATCCTAAATATATATGCACCCAATACAGGAGCACCAAGATTCATAAAGCAAGTCCTGAGTGACCTACAAAGAGACTTAGACTCCCACGCATTAATAATGGGAGACTTTAACACCCCACTGTCAACATTAGACAGATCAACGAGACAGAAAGTCAACAAGGATACCCAGGAATTGAACTCAGCTCTGCACCAAGCAGACCTAATAGACATCTACAGAACTCTCCACCCCAAATCAACAGAATATACATTTTTTTCAGCACCACACCACACCTATTCCAAAATTGACTACATACTTGGAAGTAAAGCTCTCCTCAGCAAATGTAAAAGAACAGAAATTATAACAAACTATCTCTCAGACCACAGTGCAATCAAACTAGAACTCAGGATTAAGAATCTCACTCAAAACCGCTCAACTACATGGAAACTGAACAACCTGCTCCTGAATGACTACTGGGTACATAACGAAATGAAGGCAGAAATAAAGATGTTCTTTGAAACCGAGAACAAAGACACAACATACCAAATCTCTGGGACACATTCAAAGAAGTGTGTAGAGGGAAATTTATAGCACTAAATGCCCACAAGAGAAAGCAGGAAAGATCCAAAATTGACACCCTAACATCACAATTAAAAGAACTAGAAAAGCAAGAGCAAACACATTCAAAAGCTAGCAGAAGGCAAGAAATAACTAAAATCAGAGCAGAACTGAAGGAAATAGAGATACAAAAAACCCTTCAAAAAATTAATGAATCCAGGAGCTGGTTTTTTGAAAGGATCAACAAAATTGATAGACTGCTAGCAAGACTAATAAAGAAAAAAAGAGAGAAGAATCAAATAGACGCAATAAAAAATGATAAAGGGGATATCACCACCGATCCCACAGAAATACAAACTACCATCAGGGAATACTACAAACACCTCTACGCAAATAAACTAGAAAATCTAGAAAAAATGGATAAATTGCTGGACACATACACTCTCCCAAGACTAAACCAGGAAGAAGTTGAATCTCTGAATAGACCAATAACAGGAGCTGAAATTGTGGCAATAATCAATAGCTTACCAACCAAAAAGAGTCCACGACCAGATGGATTCACAGCCGAATTCTACCAGAGGTACAAGGAGGAATTGGTACCATTCCTTCTGAAACTATTCCAATCAATAGAAAAAGAGGGAATCCTCCTTAACTCATTTTATGAGGCCAGCATCATTCTGATACCAAAGCCAGGCAGAGACACAACAAAAAAAGAGAATTTTAGATCAATATCTTTGATGAACATTGATGCAAAAATCCTCAATAAAATACTGGCAAACCGAATCCAGCAGCACATCAAAAAGCTTATCCACCATGATCAAGTGGGCTTCATCCCTGGGATGCAAGGCTGGTTCAGTATATGCAAATCAATAAATGTAATCCAGCATATAAACAGAGCCAAAGACAAAAACCACATGATTATCTCAATAGATGCAGAAAAAGCCTTTGACAAAATTCAACAACCCTTCATGCTAAAAACTCTCAATAAATTAGGTATTGATGGGACGTATTTCAAAATAATAAGAGCTATCTATGACAAACCCACAGCCAATATCATACTGAATGGGCAAAAACTGAAAGCATTCCCTTTGAACACTGGCACAAGACAGGGATGCCCTCTCTCACCACTCCTATTCAACATAGTGTTGGAAGTTCTGGCCAGGGCAATCAGGCAGGAGAAGGAAATAAAGGGTATTCAATTAGGAAAAGAGGAAGTCAAATTGTCCCTGTTTGCAGATGACATGATTGTATATCTAGAAAACCCCACTGTCTCAGCCCAAAATCTCCTTAAGCTGATAAGCAACTTCAGCAAAGTCTCAGGATACAAAATCAATGTACAAAAATCACAAGCATTCTTATACATCAACAACAAACAAACAGAGAGCCAAATCACGAGCGAACTCCCATTCACAATTGCTTCAAAGAGAATAAAATACCTAGGAATCCAACTTACAAGGGATGTGAAGGACCTCTTCAAGGAGAACTACAAACCACTGCTCAAGGAAATAAAAGAGGATACAAACAAATGGAAGAACATTCCATGCTCATGGGTAGGAAGAATCAATATCGTGAAAATGACCATACTGCCCAAGGTAATTTAAAGATTCAATGCCATCCCCATCAAGCTATCAATGCCTTTCTTCACAGAATTGGAAAAAAACTACTTTAAAGTTTATATGGAACCAAAAAAGAGCCCGCATCACCAAGTCAATCCTAAGCCAAAAGAACAAAGCTGGATGCATCACACTACCTGACTTCAAACTATACTACAAGGCTACAGTAACCAAAACAGCATGGTACTGGTACCAAAACAGAGATATAGATCAATGGAACAGAACAGAGCCCTCAGAAATAACGCCACATATCTACAACTATCTGATCTTTGACAAACCTGAGAAAAACAAGCAATGGGGAAAGGATTCCCTATTTAACAAATGGTGCTGGGAAAACTGGCTAGCCATATGGAGAAAGCTGAAACCGGATCCCTTCCTTACACCTTATACAAAAATCAATTCAAGATGGATTAAAGACTTAAACGTTAGACCTAAAACCATAAAAACCCTAGAAGAAAACCTAGGCATTACCATTCAGGACATAGGCATGGGCAAGGACTTCATGTCTAAAACACCAAAAGCAATGGCAACACAAGCCAAAATTGACAAATGGGATCTAATTAAACTAAAGAGCTTCTGCACAGCAAAAGAAACTACCATCAGAGTGAACAGGCAACCTACAAAATGGGAGAAAATTTTCGCAACCTACTCATCTGACAAAGGGCTAATATCCAGAATCTACAATGAACTCAAACAAATTTACAAGAAAAAAACAAACAACCCCATCAAAAAGTGGGCAAAGGACATGAACAGACACTTCTCAAAAGAAGACATTTATGCAGCCAAAAAACACATGAAAAAATGCTCATCATCACTGGCCATCAGAGAAATGCAAATCAAAACCACACTGAGATACCATCTCACACCAGTTAGAATGGCAATCATTAAAAAGTCAGGAAACAACATGTGCTGGAGAGGATGTGGAGAAATAGGAACACTTTTACACTGTTGGTGGGACTGTAAACTAGTTCAACCATTGTGGAAGTCGGTGTGGCGATTCCTCAGGGATCTAGAACTGGAAATACCATTTGACCCAGCCATCCCATTACTGGGTATATACCCAAAGGACTATAAATCATGCTGCTATAAAGACACATGCACACGTATGTTTATTGCGGCATTATTCACAATAGCAAAGACTTGGAACCAACCCAAATGTCCATCAATGATAGACTGGATTAAGAAAATGTGGCACATATACACCATGGAATACTATGCAGCCATAAAAAATGATGAGTTCATGTTCTTTGTAGGGACATGGATGAAATTGGAAATCATCATTCTCAGTAAACTATCGCAAGAACAAAAAACCAAACACCGCATATTCTCACTCATAGGTGGGAACTGAACAATGAGATCACATGGACACAGGAAGGGGAATATCACACTCTGGGGACTGTTGTGGGGTGGGGGGAGGGGGGAGGGATAGCATCAGGAGATATACCTAATGCTAGATGACGAGTTAGTGGGTGCAGCGCACCAGCATGGCACATGTATACATATGTAACTAACCTGCACAATGTGCACATGTACCCTAAAACTTAAAGTATAAAAAAAAAATACAATAAAAATAAAAAATAAATAAATAAATAAAAATATCTTCAGTACCTTTTTAACTATAAATTCAGTTTTATCAAAACTTTCTGCGAAGTGTCAGAACACATACCAACTCAAAATTAAGAAAGCACAAAGAAAAATCAGCATTTCTCCTCTGGTAAAGACTAATTAATTCAGGTTAACCTGTCAACTGAGAGCCACTGAAAAAGATGGAAAACTTTAATGTTTAAATATATTGAATAGCCAAGCAATGGGGAATTAGAGAGTCCGTTTCTGGAACAAGAAAAGATAATGATATAGGCTCTGATATTGTAGATAATTTTTAACTGAAAAATGTATATGGCATTTATATTATGGTAAGATGACTAGGGGGCTGATAAGCTGAACAGAGCTTTCAAAAGACTCACAGGACTAGGAAAAAAACAAATGTAGTTTGAGCTCCAGGCATTTAGACCTTGGCAAACCTGCCATGATTTGTGCAGGCTTACATCCAAGGATTAAGGGAAAAGTGCAAACAGCCCTTGAAGGGACTGTGGCTCAGCTTTGAATCTTTTCAATTCCTGGCTGAATAAGGTGATCTGGGATACCTGAGTGCTCTTAGTCCTCTAGGAAATATCTGTAATTCTCTGTGGAAAAGATAACATGATCTGATGTCTCAAGTTACTTCTGTAATGTTTCATGCTGTAAAATGTATGCAATTCATGAATTCATATATGTAATTCAATAAAAATAATCAGGCACAGGTGGTAACAACACGACTCACAACCGTTTTTAAAAATAAAGAATAGAAACAGCCCATTTGGCATTTAGATAATGAAGATATCAGATACAGATTTAACTATTAATATGGCAATGGGTTTCAGAAAATAAAAGGAGAGACTGAAAATGTCAACGGAGTACCACAAATCATAGTAAATATCCAAATAAAAATTCTGAAATGGAAACTATAAAAACTCAAATAAAAAATTCAACAGTTGGTTTTAATAGCAGATTTATCGTCTGAAGAAAGAATTAGTGACTTGGAAAATATGTTTTAAAAAATCCAGAATGAAGTACAGAAAGAAAAAAAATGAAAATTCACAAAAGAGTATAGCTCTATAGATGATAAAATGAAAAATTCTAACATGCATGTAATTTCAATTTCAGAAACAGAAAAGATACAGAACCCATATTGGAAGACAAAATAGTCTTTTCTTTTTCTAAATCATGAGTGGCATTGAAGCACAGATTCAAAAAGCACTACAAATCACAAACCAGAATGCACACTTATACAAGTTTTAGTAAAACTGTTGAAAACTAAAGACAAAAAAAATCTTAAAAACAACCAGATGGTAAAAAGAGAGAAAATGGGGGTAAAATAATGAGACTAAGAGCTGAAACTTTATAAGCCAAGAAATTAATTAAGTTATATTTCTGCATACATTTTTGTAGTAAAGAAAGAATGTATCTACCAAAGTACAACTCTATGTCTCTGAAAAAAAAGCTTTAAAAATAAAATTGAATGACCCTCTTGTTTTAAACAACCAACAGTAACAAATAATTAAATAAATAAACTTGAACACTAGATATATTATTAAGCAATTATCATTAACTATCTTAAATATCCTAAGGATAGTGTTTATCATTTTTAAAAGAATGCTTAAATGCACAGAAATACATACTGAATCTCACTGCCAACTTATAAATTTATTTAATGTATCCTTGATGAAATTGATTAATATAGTTTCTTGGATGGAAAATTATTACAAGATTCTCTCCTCTTTTCTAAGCTTTTGTCTCTTTACTCATTTATTCAACAATAATTATTTGTATGCCTGATATTTACCAAGAATTATGTTAAACACTGGAGAATAAAATATAAATGAAACAGTTTCTCTCTTCCTAGAAATCACATTGTATTTGGGGATGCAAAATGATAAGCAAAAGCTTATGTTACAATATGCAGAGTATGAAGCAAATTGATGAGTGTCTTGTTAGTATCTATTGAATAGACAATTATAATAAATATATAACAATTTATCATAACCTTCCATAACAATAATGATGAGAATGGCAAAAAAAAACTATGTAACATCTGCATTATTTCAGAAAACATTTGCATCATATCACATATATTAATGCTGGAGTCACCCAAAAATTCCCCTGGACATTTTTATTCCACCCTCTTCTTCGATTCTGGCCAAACTAACATACGAATTGAGGAAGAAATTTTATATTTGGTAAAACCAGAAAGTAGAGAAAACTGAAAACCACAAACTATATATAATAGCTGTCAACCACAATGAGTGTTAGATAAAATTGAGCAGAAGACACAAAGACTTCACAATGAGTTCTCAGAGCTCCTAACCAGTGGTCTGTAGATTTTTGGAATAGGAAATTCTGGTAGCATGAAGGCTGGAGGACATGACACTGTGTCACATTATATTATAGCAAGTAAATTGGGCTGAATAAAAACACTTGAAGACACCCTCAATTCACTTGATGCACATTGTTAGCATGAAAGATTGAAGGAGTTTTTGCAGGTGGTGATTATATTTGTGTCTTGGTAAAAATACTGTTATAATGAGTTATCTTGGTTTTAAATCATTACATACAAAAAGCAAAAAATCTTTAAAATACTGGATTAACTGTGAGCCATAAATAAGTCTTATTCTTGATAAAAAGGGAAAAGTGGATCACTCAATACTGTGATCGATGATAAATGACCAGGATGGAAAGGACACTTGACTGGTGATGCTGGTGAGAGTTGGCTCTGTATTAATATCAGTGTCGACTGCAGGTGGATTGAACCAAAACTGAGTGCAGAGGCTCAAAAAATCACATCAAGATACTCTTTGTTTTTCTTTTTTTCTTTTTTCTTTTGAGACGGAGTCTCGCTCTGTGGCCCAGGCTGGAGTGCAGTGGCACGATCTTGGCTCACTGCAAGCTCCGCCCCCCGGGTTCATGCCATTCTCCTTCCTCAGCCTCCCTAGTAGCTGGGACTACAGGCGCCCGACACCACGCCCGGCTAGGCTAATTTTTTGTATTTTTTTAAGTAGAGATGGGGTTTCACCATGTTAGCCAGGATGGTCTTGATCTCCTGACCTCGTGATCCACCCGCCTCGGCCTCCCAAAGTGCTGGGATTACAGGTGTGAGCCACCGTGCCCAGCCTTGTTTTTATGTGCAAACTTTGCTTTCCTCTATATTGTCTTTATTCTTAGAATACCTCTTCTATTGGCAATGATGAGTACAGATTTATTACTGAAAATGTCTTCAAAGACAGCACTTTGTTCCCTTGATTTCAGTAAATATTCAAACACTAAATCTCACTATTCTATCTTGATAAAGATTGAGTCAATTGCTGTGGCCAATTAGATGGGATCACCTATTTGGTTATATTTGGGTCGTTCTTGCTGCTAGATGTTAAAGCCAGCCTCATCGAAGCCATAAGTACTAAGACTAGGAGAGGTTGATTTCATGTAGGCAAGTATATTACTAAAATTTTAAAATATGATACACTAGGCAAGCAAAAAATAACAATGTACCTCAAGAGTCCTTCTTAGAAAAACTTAAGATGATGAAGTTGATTTAATCAGGAAAGTAATGAAAAAGCTATGTCGAAATACCTGGTAATGAGTGTCAAAAACCTAAAAACAGAAAACTATATTCAATTATGTTAAGAAATTATGGGAAATATAATTATTGAGAGAATATTTATGTTATAGATTCTGGTGATATAGAAATGAGACTATAGCAAAATTGGAAAATAAAATTTAGGGGAGAAGGGTGAAGGGGAAAATTAGAAAAAATGAAGAAATATAAACAAATTGATTTTAGCATTTTTGACAGCAGGGTGGTTATAGCTTAAAAATGGGAAATAAGATTCATTTTAGAGGAAACATATTGTCAGGCCTCTGAGCCCAAGCCAAGCCATCGCATCCCCTGTGACTTGCATGTATATGCCCAGATGGCCTAAAGTAACTGAAGAATCACAAAAGAAGTGAAAATGCCCTGCCCCACCTTAACTGATGACGTTCCACCACAAAAGAAGTGTAAATGGCCAGTCATTGCCTTAAGTGATGACATTACCTTGTGAAAGTCCTTTTCCTGGCTCATCCTGGCTCAAAAAGCACCCCCACTGAGCACCTTGCGACCCCCACTCCTGCCCGCCAGAGAACAAACCCCCTTTGACTGTAATTTTCCTTTACCTACCCAAATCCTATAAAACGGCCCCACCCTTATCTGCCTTCGCTGACTCTCTTTTCAGACTCAGCCCGCCTGCACCCAGGTGAAATAAACAGCCATGTTGCTCACACAAAGCCTGTTTGGTGGTCTCTTCACAGGGACGCGCATGAAATTTGGTGCCGTGACTCAGATCGGGGGACCTCCCTTGGGAGATCAATCCCCTGTACTCCTGTTCTTTGCTCCGTGAGAAAGATCCACCTATGACCTCAGGTCCTCAGACCAACCAGCCCAAGGAACATCTCACCAATTTTAAATCAGGTAAGCGGCCTCTTCTCACTCTCTTCTCCAACCTGTCTCACTGTCCCTCAACCACTTTCTCCTTTCCACTCTTCAATCTCTCCCTTCTCTTAATTTCAATTCCTTTCATTTTCTGGGAGAGACAAAGGAGACACGTTTTATCTGTGGACCCAAAACTCCGGCGCAGGTCACGGACTGGGAAGGCAGCCTTCCCTTGGTGTTTAATCATTTCAGGGATGCCTCTCTGATTATACACCCACGTTTTAAGGGTGTCAGACCATGCAGGGATGCCTGCCTTGGTCCTTCACCCTTAGCGGCAAGTCCCGCTTTTCTGGGGAAGGGGCAAGTACCTCAACCCCTTCTCTCCTTATCTCTACCCCTTCTCTGCTTTTCTGGGAGAGGGGCAAGTACCCCTCAACCCCTTCTCCTTCACCGTTAGTGGCAAGTCCCACTTTTCTGGGAGAGGGGCAAGTACCCCTCAACCCCTTCTCCTTCACCCTTAGTGGCAAGTCCCTCTTTTCGAGGGCAAGAACTCCCAATCCCTTATTTCTGTGCCCCAACCTCTTATCTCTGTGCCCCAATCCCTTATTTCCATGCCCCAACCTCTTATCTCTGTGCCCCAATCCCTTATTTCCGTACCCCGACCTCTTATCTGTGTGCCCCAATCCCTTATTTCCGTGCCCCAACCTCATATCTCTGCACCCTAATCCCTTATTTCTGTGCCCCAACCTCTTATATCTCTGTGCCCCAATCCCTTATTTCCATGCCCCAACCTCTTATCTCTGCACCCCAACCCCTTTTTCCACTTTTCTGGAAGGTAAGAACCCCCCCAACCCCTTCCCTCCATTTCTCTACTCTCTCCTTTCTCTAGGCTTGCTTCCTTCACTATGGGCAACCTTCCACCCTCCATTCCTCCTTCTACTCCCTTGGCCTGTGTTCTCAAAAACTTAAAACCTCTTCAACTCACACCTGACCTAAAACCTAAATGCCTTATTTTCTTCTGCAACACCGCTTGGCCCCAATACAAACTTGACAATGGCTCTAAATGGCCAGAAAACGGCACTTTCGATTTCTCCATCCTATAAGACCTAAATAATTTTTGTCGAAAAATGGGCAAATGGTCTGAGGTACCTTACATCCAGGCATTTTTCACATTTCGTTCCCTCCCTAGCCTCTGTTCCCAATGCGATTCCTCCCAGATCCTCCTCCTTTCCCTCCCGCCTGTCCCCTCAGTCCCAACCCCAAGCGTTGCTGAGTCTTTCCA
The DNA here is from genome assembly GCF_000001405.40 of Homo sapiens. Classification (NCBI taxonomy): domain Eukaryota; kingdom Metazoa; phylum Chordata; class Mammalia; order Primates; family Hominidae; genus Homo; species Homo sapiens. The sequence continues at coordinate 104,068,639 of NC_000005.10, read as the reverse complement.
GTCTTCCTTTTCTACAGACCCATCTGACCTTTCCCCTCCTCCCCAGGCTGCTCATCACCAGGCTGAGCTAAGTCCCAATTCTTCCTCAGCCTCCGCTCCTCCACCCTATAATCTTTCTATCACCTCCCCTCCTCACATCCGGTCGGGCTTACAGTTTAGTTCCGCAACTAGCTCTTCCCCACCTGCCCAACAATTTCCTCTTAGAGAGGTGGCTGGAGCTGAAGGCATAATCAGAGTACATGTACCTTTTTCTCTATCAGACCTCTCTCAGATCACTCAACATTTAGGCTTTCTCATCAGACCCCACTAAATATATACAGGAATTCCAATATCTAACTCTGTCCTACAACTTAACCTGGAGTGACTTAAATGTCATCCTGACTTCTACCCTCTCCCCAGATGAATGGGAAAGAGTTTTTTCTCTAGCCCAATCTGAAGCTGATAACCACTGGCTTCACAAGCCAGACCTCCAGGAACGCATTAGAGCATTTCCCTGAGAGGATCCCCAATGGAACTACCAGGCAAATTCCCCAGGTATAGCCAGGCGAGATTAAATGATTTCCTGCCTAGTTGAAGGGCTTAAAAAAGCAGCTTACAAGGCTGTTAATTATGACAAGCTTAAAGAAACTACCCAAGGTGAAGACGAAAACCCAGCCCAGGTCATGGCCCGCTTAGCAGCAACCCTTAGACGCTTTACCACCCTAGACACAGAGGGGCCAGAAGGCCGCCTTATTCTTAATATGCATTTTACCACCCAATCCACTCCTGACATTAGGAAAAAACTTCAAAAATTAGAATCTGGCCCTCAAACCCCACAACAGAACTTAATTAACCTCACCTTCAAGGTGTACAATAATAGAAAAAAGTTGCAATTCCTTGCCTCCACTGTGAGACAAACCCCAGCCACATCTCCAGCACACAAGAACTTCCAAACACCTGAACCGCAGTGGCCAGGCGTTCCTCCAGAACCTCCTCTCCCAGGAGCTTGCTACACATGCCGGAAATCTGGCCACTGGGCCAAGGAATGCCCACAGCCTGGGATTCCTCCTAGGCTGCGTCCCATCTGTGTGGGACCCCACTGAAATTCAAACTGTTCAACTCACCTGGCAGCCACTCCCAGAGCCCCTGGAACTCTGGCCTAAGGCTCTCTGACTGACTCCTTCTTGGCTTAGCGGCTAAAGTCTGACACCACCCAATCGCCTCGGAAGCCTACAGGACCATCACAGATGCTCTGGGTAACTCTCACAGTGGAGGGTAAGTCCATCCCCTTCTTAATCAATACGGAGGCTACCCACTCCACATTACCTTCTTTTCAAGGGCCTGTTTCCCTTGACTCCATAACTGTTGTAGGTATTGACGGCCAGGCTTCTAAACCTCTTAAAACTCCCCAACTCTGGTGTCAACTTAGACAATACTCTTTTAAGCACTCCTTTTTAATTATCCCCACCTGCCCAGTTCCCTTCTTAGGCTGAGACACTTTAACTAAATTATCTGCTTCCCTGACTATTCCTAGGCTACAGCTGCACCTCACTGCCACCTTTTCCCCCAGTTCAAAGCCTCCTTCACATCCTCCCCTTATATCTCCCCACCTTAACTCACAAGTATAAGACACCTCTACTCCCTCCTTAGCGACCGACCATGCACCCCTTACCATCCCATTAAAACTGATTCACTCTTACCCCACTCAATGCCAATATCCCATCCCATAGCATGCTTTAAAAGGATTAAAGCCTGTTATCACTCGCCTGCTACAGCATAGGCTTCTAAAACCTATAAACTCTCCTTACAATTCCCCCATTTTACCTGTCCTAAAACCAGACAAGCCCTACAGGTTAGCTCAGGATCTGCACCTTATCAACCAAATTGTTTTGCCTATCCACCCTGTGGTGCCAAACCCATATACTCTCCTATCCTTAATACCTCCCTCTACAACCCATTATTCTGTTCTAGATCTCAAACATGCTTTCTTTACTATTCCTTTGCACCCTTAATCCCAGCCTCTCTTCGCTTTCACTTGGACTGACCCTGACACCCATCAAGCTCAGCAAATTACCTAGGCTATACTGCCACAAAGCTTCACAGACAGCCCCCATTACTTTAGTCAAGCCCAAATTTCTTCCTCATCTGTTACCTATCTCGGCATAATTCTCATAAAAACACATGCGCTCTCCCTGCCAATCATGTCCGACTGATCTCTCAAACCCCAGCACCTTCTACAAAACAACAACTCCTTTCCTTCCTAGGCATGGTTAGCATGGTCAGAATTCTTACACAAGAGCCAGGACCACACACTGTAGCCTTTCTGTCCAAACAACTTGACCTTACTGTTTTAGCCTAGCCCTCATGTCTGCGTGCAGCGGCTGCCGCTGCTTTAATACTTTTAGAGGCCCTCAAAATCACAAACTATACTCAACTCACTCTCTACAGTTCTCATAACTTCCAAAATCTATTTTCTTCCTCACACCTGACGCATATGCTTTCTGCTTCCCGGCTCCTTCAGCTGTACTCACTCTTTGTTGAGTCTCCCACAATCACCGTTGTTCCTGGCCCAGACTTCAATCCGGCCTCCCACATTATTCTGGATACCACACCTGACCCTCATGACTGCATCTCTCTGATCCACCTGATGTTCATCCCATTTCCCCACATTTCCTTCTTCCCTGTTTCTCACCCTGATCACACTTGGTTTATTGATGGCAGTTCCACCAGGCCTAATCGCCACTCACCAGCAAAGGCAGGCTATGCTATAGTATCTTCCACATCATTCATTGAGGCTACCGCTCTGCCCCCCTCCACTACCTCTCAGCAAGCCGAACTAGTTGCCTTAACTCAAGCCCTCACTCTTGCAAAAGGACTATGCATTGATATCTATACTGATTCTAAATATGTCTTTCATATTCTGCACCACCATGCGGTCATATGGGCTGAAAGAGGTTTTCTCACTACACAAGGGTCCTCCATCATTAATGTCTCTTTAATAAAAACTCTACTCAAGGCCGCTTTACTTCCAAAGGAAGCTGGGGTCATTCACTGCAAGGGGCATCAAAAGGCGTAAGATCCCATTGCTCTAGGCAACCCTTATACTGATAAGGTGGCTAGACAAGCAGCTAGCCCTCCAACTTCTGTCCCTCACGGCCAGTTTTTCTCCTTCACATTGGTCACTCCCACCTACTCCCCTGCTGAAACTTCCACCTATCAATCTCTTCCCACACAAGGCAAATAGTTCTTAGACCAAGGAAAATATCTCCTTCCAGCCTCAAGGCCCATTCTATTCTGTCGTCATTTCATAACCTCTTCCATGTAGGTTACAAGCCACTAGCCCATCTCTTAGAACCTCTCATTTCCTTTCCATCACGGAAATCTATCCTGAAGGAGATCACTTCTCAGTGTTTCATCTGCTATTCTACTACCCCTCATGGATTGTTCAGGCCCCCTCCCTTTTCTACACATCAAGCTCAGGGATTTGTCCCTGCCCAGGACTGGCAAATTGACTTTACTCACATGCCTTGAGTCAGAAAACTAAAATATCTCTTAGTCTAAGTAGACACTTTCACTAGATGGGTAGAGGCCTTTCCTACAAGGTCTGAGAAGGCCACCACAGTCATTTCTACCCTTCTGTCAGACATAATTCTTCAGTTTAGCCTTCCCACCTCTATACAGTCTGATAACAGACCAGCCTTTATGAGTCAAATCAGCCAAGCAGTTTTTCAGGTTCTTAGTATTCAGTGAAACCTTTATATTCCTTATAGTCCTCAGTCTTCAGGAAAAGTAGAACAGACTAATGGTCTTTTAAAAACACACCTCACCAAGCTCAGCCACCAACTTAAAAAGGACTGGACGATACTTTTACCACTTTCGCTTCTCAGAATTCAGGCCTATCCTTGGAATGCTACAAGGTACAGCCCATTTAAGCTCCTGTATAGACGTTCCCTTTTATTAGGCCCCAGTCTCATTCCAGACACCAGACCAACTTAGACTGTGCCCCAAAAAACTTGTCATCCCTACTATCTTCTGTCTAGTCATACTCCTATTCACCGTTCTCAACTACTCATACTTGCTCTGCTCTTGTTTACACTGTTTCTCCAAGCCATCACAGCTAATATCTCCTGGTGCTATCCCCAAACCGCCACTCTAAATTCTTGAAGTAAATAAATAATCTTTGCTGGCAGGACTATGCTGAATCTCCTTAGGCACTCTCTAATCAGATGTCCTGGCTCCTCCCAATTCTTAGGCCTTTTATAGCTGTTTTTCTCCTTCTCTTATTCCATTTAGTTTTTCAATTTATACAAAACCGTATCCAGGCCATCACCAATAACTCTACACGACAAATGTTTCTCCTAAAAACCCCATAGTATCACCCCTTACCACAAAATCTTCCTTCAGCTTAATCTCTCCCACTCTACGTTCCCACGCCGCCCCAATCCAGCTCGAAGCAGCCCTGAGAAACATCACCCATTCTCTCTCTCCATACATACCACCCCCCAAAAATTTTCACCGCCCCCACACTTCAACACTATTTTGTTTTATTTTTCTTATTAATATAAGAAGGCAGGAATGTCAGGCCTCTGAGCCCAAGCCAAGCCATCGCATCCCCTGTGACTTGCATGTATATGCCCAGATGGCCTGAAGCAACTGAAGAATCACAAAAGAAGTGAAAATGCCCTGCCCCACCTTAACTGATGACGTTCCACCACAAAAGAAGTGTAAATGGCCGGTCCTTGCCTTAAGTGATGACATTACCTTGTGAAAGTCCTTTTCCTGGCTCATCTGGCTCAAAAAGCACCCCCACTGAGCACCTTGCGACCCCCACTCCTGCCCGCCAGAGAACAAACCCCCTTTGACTGTAATTTTCCTTTACCTACCCAAATCCTATAAAACGGCCCCACCCTTATCTGCCTTCGCTGACTCTCTTTTCAGACTCAGCCCGCCTGCACCCAGGTGAAATAAACAGCCATGTTGCTCACACAAAGCCTGTTTGGTGGTCTCTTCACACGGACACGCATGAAACATATAGTCTTGAAAAATTAATTAAACATTCATCTAAAGAAGTTAGAAAATGCAAAGAAGTGTAAGGAAAGCAGAGATCATTTAATTTTAAAAAGTAGAGATTAATAAATTTGAAACCTTAAGGAATATTTGAAAAAAAAAGATTTTTTTTGGAAAAGAAACTAGATAATCCACTAGTTAAACAAAGGAGACTGGAAAGATAAAAAAAAAAAAATGCTAGTTTAAAAGTAAAAATGGAAAAACTGTTACATTGGGAAATAAAATCCTTCGCTAAAACATATTCATATTAGCCTTAAAATCTGGATAAAACAGATTTTTTAGAAAAATATAAATTACCTAAATTTACTCAAAAAATAACTTACAGGAAAAAAAGGCAGATAGGAGGCAGTACTAACTTGCAGTTCCCACTCGGATAGACAGAACAGCGTGTAGAGACTCCCTTTGTAAACATTTGCTGAAGAACTACCACAGGAACATACCAGGAAAACTGAAAGAATTCACAGACCCTTTGAAAGAGGCAGCTTGTCACTGCAAACTCCATAAGACGGCCAAAAAACTGAGTAGCCAAAGTGTGAGGGGGGAAAGTCCACCTCGAGCACACATCCTCACTGGGGAACCTGAAAATCCAGATCACAGGAGAAAGATTTAACCTTACTGTAACCGCCCACGGGGTTCACCTTGCCTGCTGCCTAGACAGAGCTGATTCATCAAGACAGGGGAATTGTAATAGAGAAAGAGTAATTCACGCAGAGGCGGCTGTGTGGGAGACCAGAGTTTTATTATTACTCAAATCAGTCTCCCCAGCATTCAGGGAGCAGAGTTTCTAAGGATAACTTGGTGGGTTGTGGGGAGCCAGTGAGCCAGGAGTGCTGATTGATTGACTCCTGAGCCAGGTGTCAGATATGAAATCATGGGGAGTTAAAGCTGTCTTCTTGCACTGAGTCAGTTGTTGGGTGGGGCCACAAGATCAGGTGAGCCAGTTTATTGATCTGGGTGATGCCAGCTAATCCATCAAGTGCAAGTCTGCAAAATATCTCAAGCACTGAATTTAGGAGCAGTTTAGAAAGGGTCAGAATCTTGTAGCCTCCAGCTGCATGACTCCTAAACCATAATTTCAAATCTTGTGGCTAATGTTAGTCCTACAAAGGCAATCTAGTCCCCAGGCAAGAAGGAGGTCTGCTTTGGGAAAGGGCTGTTACTGTCTTTGTTTAAACTATAAACTATAAATTAAATTTCTCCCAAAGTTAGTTCAGCCTAACTTTGGAATGAACAAGGACAGCTTGGAGGTTAGAAACAAGATGGAGTCAGTTAAGTTAGACCTTTTTCACTGTCTCAGTCATGATTTTGCAAAGGCAGTTTCATTACCTAGAGCCAAAACAAATTTAGAGAGCTGAGGGAAATATACAAGTAGAAGAAGCAGTGGGAAGAGCCCTATAGACACTCCTGGTTGGCAGGGAAACCATTTCTGACTTTATCTCACACGGGTCCTTGGGGAGGGCTGCCAGTGAAACTGGGGAAGGACCACAGGGAGAAGGAAACTTCCAGCTGAACTTTGTAATAATTTCAATTGAGCACAGATTTTCCTGGGCAGAATCCAGGCAGGGTGAGGGGTGGGGGGAGGCGGGCTAGGCACGAATTACAAGTGCAGATAGGAGCACAGAAGTCAAGACAGGTGGGGAGAGGGAGGGTCTGAAATCCCAGCAGGGATGCTCGTAGCCTGGGGAAAGATCACAGTCCTCCTTACCAGCTGCCTGGATATAAACTCAGTGCTGTTGGTGGGTATGGTGGGAGTGAGACTGGCCTTGCTGGCTACATGGGAACTGAGTGAGTCCTGTCACTGCCAGCTTTCACCTACTTCCCTGGTGATCTCTATGATGCAGGAGAGGCAGCCATAATCCCCCCAGGAACATAACTCCATTAGGCTGAGAACCACACCCTCATCCCCCACAGTGGCTGCAGCAAGCCTCACCCAAGGAGAGTCTGAGCTCAAACACACCTAACCCTGCCCCCACCTAATGGTCTTTCTCTACCCGCTCTGGTAGCTGAAGACACAAGACATAATCTCTTGGGAGTTCTATGGCCCTGCCCATCATCTGAGAAATTCAAATATTTATTCGGGTGATCTTAGAGCTAGCTCCCATACCCCTATACTACCACTAATGCGCTCTTGAAAGTGCCACCTCCTGACTGGAGGCCAACCAACTCAAGTCATTACAGCAATTAATACAAGAATAAACCTGCTCCAAGAAGAGAGAAAACAACAGTTAATTCCACCGCCTGTAACATCCTGGCTAACCAGAGGTCTTGCGTCTGTCCACAAGACAGCTTCACTGCTAGCACAACAAGCATTCAAGAATCAGCACGCTAAAAAAAACTGTAACCAAGGACCCTCACAGAGTCCACTTTACTCCCTTGTTACCTTCACTGAAGCAGGTGCTGGTATCCATTGCTGAGAGACCTGAAGATGAATTGCGTCACAAGACTCTGTGCAGACACTTCCCAGTACCAGCCCAGAGCCCAGTAGCTCTGTGGAGAGGCTAGACCCAGAAGAGCAATAACAATAACTGTATTCCAGCTCTCAGGAAGCCCCATCCCTAAGGGAAGAGAGAGAATACCACATCAAGGGATCACCCTGTGGAAAAAAATATCTGAACAGCAGTGTGTTGAGACCCAGGTCTTTCCTCTGACACAGTCTACCCAAATGAGAAAGAACCAGAAAAACAATTCTGGTAATATAAAAAAGCAAAATTCTTTAGTACCACCAAAAGATCACACTAGGTCACCAGCAATGGATCTAAACCAAGAAGCAATCTCTGAATTACCAGAAAAAGAATTCAGAGGGTCAATTATTAAGCTACTCAAGGAGGCACCAGAGAATGGTGAAAATGAACTAAAAGAAAGTTGAAGAATAATACAGGATGTGGACCAAAAAGCCTCCATAAAAATAGATAGCATGAACAAAAAAACAATCACAACTTCTGGGAAATGAAAGACACACTTAGAGAAATAAAAAATGCACTGGGAAGTTTCAATGACAGAATAGAACAAGTAGAAAAAAGAACTTCAGAGCTTGAAGACAAGGCTTTTGAATTAACCCAATAAGATAAGGAAAAAAGCATCAAAGAATAAACAAACAAACAAAAACCAACAAACAAAAACAAAGCCTCCAAGAAGATTGGGATTATACTAAATGACCAAACCTGAGAATAATTTGTGTTCCCAAGGAAGAAGAGAAATATCAAAGTTTGGAAAACTTCCTTGAGGGAATAATTGAGAAAAACTTCCCTGGCATTGCTAGAGTTCTAGACAACCAAACACAAGAAGCTCAAATAACACCCAGAAAATTTATCCACAAAATGATCATCACCTAGGTACACAGTCATCAGGTTATCTAAATTCAAGACAAAGGAAATAATCTTAAGAGCTGTGAGGCAAAAACATCAGGTAACCTGTAAAGGAAAACCTATCAGATTAACGCAGATTTCTCAGTAGAAACCCCACAAGCTAAAAGGGATTGGAGACTGATCTTTAAAGCCTTTTTGAACAAAACAATTATCAGTCAAGAATGTTGAATCTGGCCAAACTAAGCTTCATAAATGAAGGAAGAATAAAGTCTTTTTTGGACAAACATATGCTGAATGAATTTACCACAATCAAGCCAGTACCACAAGAACTGCTAAAAACGGCTCTAATTATTGAAACAAAGCATCAAAACACACCAAAAAAGAACCTCCTTAAAGCATACACTTCATAGGGCCTATAAAACAATAACACAATAGAACAACAACAACAAGGTATTCAGGCAACAACTAGTATAATGAGTACAACGGTACCTAACATCTCAATTTGAACATTGAATGTAAATAGCCTGAATACTCCACTTAAAAGCTACAGAATGGCAGAATGGATAAGTATCACCAACCAAGTATCTGCAGTCTTCAAGAGACTCACCTAAAACATAAGGACTCACATACACTTAAGGTAAAGGGGTGGAAAAAGACATTCCATGTCACCCAAAGTGAGCAGGAATAGTTATTCTTATATCAGAGAAAACAGACTTTAAAGAAACAATAGTTAAAAAAAACAAAGAAGGACATTATATGATAAAAGGACTAGTCTGACAGGAAAAATATCATAATCATAAATATATATACACCTTACACTGGAGCTCCCAAATTTATAAAACAATTACTACTATACCTAAGAAATGAGATAGACAGCAACACGATAATAATGGAGGACTTAAATACTCCACTGACAGCATTAGACAGGCCATCAAGACAGAAAGTCAGCAAAGAAACAATGGACTTAAACTGTCAGAGGCGTGTGAACCAGAGCAATGCCATCTTAAATAGGAGCTGGGTAAAATGGGGCTGAAACCTACTGGGCTGCATTCTCAGATGGTTAAGGCATTCTAAGTCAAAGGATCAGATAGGAGGTCAGCCCAAAATACAGATCATAAAGACCTTGCTGATAAAACAGTTTACAGTAAAGGAGCCGGCCAAAACTGACCAAAACCAAAATGGCGACGAGAGTGACCTCTAGACGTCCTCACTGCTACACTCCCACCAGTGCCATGACAGTTTACAAATGCCATGGCAATGGCAAGAAGTTACCCTATGTGGTCGAGAAAGGGGAGGCATGAATAATCCACCCCTTGTTTACCATATCATCAAAAAATAAGCATAAAAATGGGCAACCAGCAGCCCTTGGTGCTGCTCTATGGAGTAGTCATCCTTTTATTCCTTTACTTTCTTAATAAACTTGCTTTCCTATAACAAAACTATACCCTAGAACATATAAATGTAATGAATATTTACAGAGCATTCTACCTAACAACTGCCAAATATACATTCTATTCATCAGCACACAGAGCATTCTCTAAGATAGACCATATGACAAGTTACAAAAGAAGTCTCAATAAACTTAAGAAAACTGAAATCATATCAAGTACTCTCTCAAACTACAGTGGAAGAAAATTAAAAATCAACTCAGAAAGGAACACTCAAAACCATGCAAATACATGAAAATTAAGTAATCTGCTCCAAATGATTGTTAGGTCAACAATGAAATCATGATTGAAATTAAAAAATTATTTGAACTGAATTATACTAGTGACAAAACCTATCAGAACCTCTGGGATACAGCAAAAGCAGTGCTAAGAGGAAGGTTTATAGCATTAAATACCTACATCAAAAAGCCTGAAAGAGCACAAATAGGCAATCTAAGGTCACACGTCAAGGAACTAGAGAAACAAGAACAAACCAAACCCAAACACAGCAGAAGAAAAGAAATAACAAAGATCAGAGCAGAACTAAATGAAATTTAAAAAAAAGCAATACGAAAGATAAATAAAAAGTCTGTTCTTTCAAAAGATAGACAAAATAGATACACCATTAGCAAGATTAACGAAGAAAAAGAGAGAAAATCCAAATAATCTCAATTAGAAATGAAAGAGGAGATATTACAACCAATACCACAGAAATACAAAAGATCATTCAAGGCTACTATGAATATCTTTATGCACACTAACTAGAAAACCTAGAGGAGATAGATAAATTCCTGGAAATATACAATCCTTCTAGATTAAACCAGGAAGAAATAGAAACTCTGAACAGATTAATAACAAGCAGTGAGATTGAAATGGTAATAAAAAATTGGCCAACAAAAAAGAGTTCAGGATGAGATTAATTCACAGCTGAATTCTATCAGACATTCAAAGAAGAATTGGTGATAATCCTATTGAAACTATTCCAAAATAGAGAAAGAGGGAATCCTCCCTAAATCATTCTATGAAACCAGTATCACCTTAATACCAAAATCAGGAACGGACATAACAAAAAAAGAAAACTACAGACCAACATTCCTAATAAACATAGATGCAAAAATCCTCAACAAAGTAATAGCTAACTGACTCCAGCAGAATCAAATAGATAACACACCATGATTAAGTGGGTTTCATATCAGGGATGCAGGAATGGTTTAACATACACAAGTCAATAAATGTAATACACCACATAAACATAATTGAAAACAAAAATTACTTTATCATCTCAATAGATGAAGAAAAAGCATGTGACAAAATCTGCATCCCTTTATGAGTAAAACCCTTAGCAAAATTGGCATAGAAGGGACATACCTAAAGGTAATAAAAGTCATCTACGATAAACCCACAGCCAACATTATACTAAATGGGGAAAAGTGGAAAGCATTCCTCCTGAGAACTGAAACAAGACAAAGATGCCCACTTTCACCACTTCTATTCAACATAGTACTGAAAGTGTTATCCAGAGCAATCAGATACCAGAAAGAAATAAAAAAGGCATTCAGTTTGGTAAAGTGGAAGTCAAATGGTCACTGCTGATGATATGACTGCATACCTAGAAAACCCTAAAGACTCATCCAAACAGCTCCTAGATCTAATAAATGAATTCAGTAAAGTTTCAGGATACAAAAATCGATGTATACATATCAGTAGCACTGCTATACACCAAGCTGAGAATCAAATCAAGAACTCAACCCTTTTTACAATAGCTGAAAAACAAATAAAATACTTAGGAATATACCTAAACTGGGAGGTAAAAAAACCTCTACAAAGAAAACTATGAAACACTACTGAAAGAAATCATAGATGTCACAAACAAATGGAAACACATCCCATGCTCATGGATGGGTAAAATCAATATTGTGAAAATGACCATGCTGCCAAAATCAATCTACAAATTCAATACAATTACCATCAAAATACCACCTTCATTCTTCACAGAACTAGATAAAACAATCATAAAATTCATATGGAGCCAAAAATGAGCCTGCAGAGCCAAAGCAAGACTAAGCAAAAAAAGCAAATTGGGAGGCAGCACTTTACCCAGTGTCAAAATATACCACAAGGCTATATTCACCAAAACAGCATAGTACTGGTATAAAACTAGGCACGTAGACCAATGGAATAGAATAGAGATCTCAGAAATAAAGCCAAATACTTTGATCTTCAACAAAGCAAACAAAAACATGAAGTGGGGAAAGGATACTCTATTCAACAAATGGTGTTGGGATAATTGGCAAGTCACATGTAGAAGAATGAGACTGGATCCTCATCTCTTACCTTACACAAAAGTCAACTCAAGATGAATTAAAGACTTAAATCTAAGGCCTGAAACCATAAAAATTCTAGACATTTGCTTAGGCAAAGATTTCACGACCAATAAACCAAAAGCAAATTCAACAAAAACAAAAACAAAGATAAATAGATTATACTTAATAAAGCTAAAAAGCTTCTGAACAGCAAAAGAAATAATCAGCAGAGTAAACAGACATCCCACAGAATGGGAGAAAATCATTGCAAACTATGCGTTTGACAAAGGACTAGTATCCAGAAGCCACAAGTAACTTAAACAAATCAGCAAGAAAAAAAAATAATAATCACATCAAAAAGTGGGCTAAGGACATGAATAGACAATTCTCAAAAAGAAATAGACAAATGGCCAACAAACATATGAAAAAAATGCTCAACACCACTAATTATCAGGGAAATTCAAATCAAAACCACAATGCAATATCACCTTACTCATGCAAGAATGGCCATAATTTTAAAATAAAAAAAAAATAGATGTTGTGAGGTGATGAAAAGGGAACACTTTTACACTTCTGGTAGGAATGTAAATTAGTACAATAACTATGGAAAACAGTATGAAGATACTTTAAAGAACTAAAAGTAGATCCACCATTTGATCCAGCAATCCCCCTACTAGGTATTGACCCAGAGGAAGTCTTTATATGAAAAAGACATTTGCACATGCATGTTTATACCAGCACAATTCACAATTGTGAAAATATGGAACCAGTCCAAATGCCCATCAAAGAACAAGTGGATAAAGAAAATGATACACACACACACACATACATATACACCATGGAATACTACTCATCCATAAAAGGAATGAAATAATGACATTTACGGCAACCTGGTTGGAACTGGAGACCATTATTCTAAGTGAAGTAACTCAGGAATAGAAAACCAAATGTCATATATTCTCACTTATAAGTCAGAGCTAAGCTATGAGGACGCAAAGGCATAAGAAGGAAACAATGGACTTTAGGGACTCAGGGAGAAGGGTGGGAGGGAGGTGAGGGATAAAAGACTATATATATTGGGTGCAGTGGACACTGCTCGAGTGATAGGTGCACCAAAATCTTAGTACAACAACTGTGGAAAACAGTATGGAGATTCCTTAAAGAACTAAGAGTAGATTCACCATTTGATCCAGCAATCTCACTACTGGGTATCTACCCAGAGGATCATTTCTATGATTATATCATAGAATCATTTAGATAGAATTATAGAAGCATTTCTAGGATTCTACCATAGAAATATATTCTGCTTTACTCAAAGATGTGCCTACAAGAATGTACACTAAAATGTTGTCCGTAATAGCTGAGATCCAGAATCAACGTACATGTTTATCTATAGGGACTTGGTAAGTTAAATTATAATTTTGTATGACAGAATCCTGATCAGTGATTAACTATCTTCATATATGTTGATATGAACGGATCTCTCAGTTTTGTCATTGGATAGAAAACTTCAAATGCAAAAGTAGTTTTCAAGGGACATATACATCCCCTTTATATCACACCTGTTTGAGTCAACTTGGGTTGCCATAACGACATAGATTGTGAGGCTTAAACAACATAAATTTATTTTTTACAGTTCTGGAAGCTGAAAGTCTGAGATCAAATTGCCAGCATAATCAGTTCCTAGTGAGGGCCCCCTTCCTGACTTGCAGACAGAAGACTTCCCTCTTGCTATGTTCTCAAATGGCAGAAGGAAAGCAAGCAAGCTCTCTCGTGTCTCTTTATTATAAAGTCATTAATCCCAGGGCCCCACCCTGATGGCCTCAAAGGTCCAGTCTCCTACTATAAGCACATTGGGGGATAAGGCTTCAACATATGAATTTGTGGGGGAATACAATTCAGTCCATAACAGTACTTTATGCATATTATATGTGTATGTATTTTTCCTTTATATCTCTACAATAATTACAGCTACATGTGCATACTTGCGAAGTTTCTGAATAAACATAAAATATTGCTTATGGCTGTTGTACTAATCAGTATAGTGGGATATCATGTTTATTAAGCATAAATTTCACTTTTCTCTGCATCTCTCTGAAATGTTTTAATTTATATTATTTATGCTTTATTTTATAACAATAATAAGGAACAACAAAATAATAAAAACAGTTATAGTCTCTGTTTGAAATGTCATTTAACCTGAGGTAACTGAGACTTAGGAAGAAAATTCATATTGTACCTGTGTATTAAACTTTATTCAGATAAATAGTCTCTTCTTAGAGACAAAAAGAGACAACACACTATGAGAATTGTATAAATATTTAGGATGATAATTTATTAAAAATTATAGAATATTAATACCCTTAATAAGCATTTTTATCTAGCTCATTATATATGCTAAGTTATTCACTAGATATAAAAAGAGAAGCACTTAAAGATGTCTGTCGTCACGTAGTTTAGAATACAAAATAATGTTTTGTGAACCAACAATTGTACAAACTACAAGTGACAAATCAGTGGATGAAGACTTATACAAAATATTATACAATTTAACTGTAAACTCTAATATTTCAAATTGTTCAACTTTGTCCTCTACTCTTCACCACAGCTTGATTTTGCTAACCAGTCTATTTAATTGAATTAAATGTCTAATTAATTAGTATTAAAATATAAAGTAGTTTTGCTTCTTTTTCAGAAAGGAAATTACCCATTATGCCCCCATGTGAACATAGGAGAAAGAGAAAATGTTTCTTTTCTCTAGAATATTTATATACATGGAATTATCTCTGAATTGTCTTTTGCTATAAAAGTTAAGAATTGTTTTAGCCAAACTTGTAAATACTTAAAGATGAAATGCAAATATTATCAAATAAATTCTGGCACTCCCAAATGCAGTGATTCTGAAATATCTAGAATTAAATCAATTTAAAGTAGGTTGATAAGTTTATTTCTTAAAAATGCAAAACTTCTGCATGGAAATATTTAACCACAAAACAGAGTGCCATTACTACGTGTTTTACCTTGAGATTTTGTGGGATAGGCAAGAGATGGTAGCTTTCACATGTCTAATTCATAATGAATTCTGAAGCCAGGAATGAAGTAACAAACCCTTCAGTACGATGAGACACCTCCTTCATGATAGCCTTCAGTGATTTACAGTTTAAGAGCTAATTAGAAGCAGGTTTAAATATACATTTCTTTATCTTAGCCTTAAAAATGAGAACAGAGTCAGCTTTTTGAGCTCTAGCCAGATGCTGATTTTATAACCTTAGCTTTGTAGGCTAACTGCTAACAGCTCAGGAACTGAGACTTTCAAAGTTATTTTTAGGACAAATCAGTTAATGAGCAGGTACAAACTTAAGCATAAGTGAGCAGCAGGGCAGAGGCATCCAAATGTCAGGGAGAGTCTCAGATGGTTAAGATGAATTATAATTATTTAATCCAGTTATGGACAGTGGTGAATAAAAATGAATCATGGCCAACTGCTAACCAGTCAAAAGGTTTAATTTTTTATGCATAGACAGAGAAATGCACAGAAAACATCAACACACAATGCATGTTAAAGTAGCTTTTTCTTGCTGTCTTTCATGCAGAAAGAAAACATAGTTTTCCTTTTTTTCTAGAGCTTCCCCCATTCTACCATGTTAGCTCTAATACTTGTATTATAGATCGAATGAATACTGCATCTTTGTTTTGTACTAGCTTATTTGTAATGACAAGGCATTGAATAATCCTTCAACGTGTTATAGAAGGCTCCAAGAAATCAACACAATCATAATTCACTCCGTCCGCTACCATCGCATTACCAACCTCGGGGCCTCGCCTCCATCAAGAATTAATAGTCAGGGTCAGGGAAAGGCTCAAATAAATCAGTTGATTTGCATTGAGGAAATTACATTAGGTTACCAGCATCTAGGGAATGGCTAAATCTGGGGACAGAGCAGGAAATTTTCCCAAAGACATGTCTTTATAAAGCCTGAAACTTTTAGTTGCTACTCTGCTTGGTTTTCAAAGCAGAATGCAATACCAGGAAAGAGGGGATCAAGAATCAAGTGGCTTAGATAAGATGATTTTATCATTTTTTTCAAGCATGTCTTTTTGTACCTTGTTGTTGATAATTTACCTAGGAAGCATGTTATTGACCCAAAACTTCTTCCCAGAATATTTTTCTGAAAATGTTGCTCTTTACATTAAGGAGAAAAATATTAAAGTTATATTCTTCAAACATTTTACATTCATACAACAAGGTGAACTGATTACAGGCATTTTTGTTTTGTTTTATGGCTACCACACAACCACTATCACTGTTCCTAAGAATGGTAACATAAGGTACTGTGCTCTGCCACCAACAGAAGAAGAGAAAATTTGTAACCCTGGAGACTTCTTCCATCAAAACTACATAATTCTTCTCACTGCAAAGATACAGTAAAGAATGAGTGGGCAAGTAATCAAACTAAGTTTAACCAATCAACCCTCTCTCTTCAGAAATTGAATCATTAGAGGAGTGACTAAGACAAGAGAAAATTTGGAATTTGTTTATTCATCTTAGCAATGTAGAAACAACCTAACAATCAGTGCCACTGAGTCTCTACAGCTTCCTTTTCATATCTGTTTCAAGTTTAGTTCTTTAGCCCTCATTTAAACCCTCTGAGCTACCTCATGTGCACCCATTAAATATATTTTAGCTTAATTTTGCCAAAGTCACCTGGTAGTGCTTGCAACCAAAGTACTTGCAATCTGAGACAGAGTGCTTCGGAGAATTAAAAAAAAAAACTTAAAAATGAATTGTTGTATGGTACTTTCAATCAAAGAGCCAGGCATGGGTTTTGATTCTGGAGGAAATTTTTCCTTCTCCTTTATGGATTATTGACCGATGACAGCTAGGCGAGCTTGAGCTGATGTGCTCACCAATCCATGGCTTTCATAAACATAAGTGCAACTGATGATGATGATGGAGGTGGGCGTTTAATGGTGATTTAAATGGTCATTTAATGGCCAAACAGGTACAACTCTTGTCATCAAAAGGAAAATTTGTTTGTGTCTCACATCTGTCACCTTGAAATTTATCCAGTAGGGCCATAGAATGAAAACTGTAGATAGATCCATAATTTTTTTCTTGCTATTTGATAATAAACAGTCCAATGACACCTAGAGTCATAAAACATAATCAACTTAGGGTGATCAATATAATGCAATAATCAAAACTCTGAACATTATTTACAATTAAATATTATTTCCTCCCCTGGCAGGGGTCAACATCGAGCAGGCTACCCATTGCTTGGGAGGTTAGTTTCATGATCTTTTCCTTTCCTAACTCTGGTAGCAACCATGTTGCCTCAGCCATTCATGATGTTTTCCACCTGAGTGCACATGGGAGAACTGCATTTCTTGGCCCCTTTGTCACTGGGTGCAACTGTGTCAATAATTGTAGCCAATGACCTGCAAGTAGGAAGTGGCATAAGTCACTTTTGTAACAGAATATATAATGGTTGATAAAGAACCCTCCAAAAATCTCTCCTTTGGACTGGGGGAACAGCTACATTCAAGAGAGTTATTCACCTGGGTCTCTTCTGAGAAGGCACTCCCTTCCTATCCTCACTTCGCATTCCATTAACCACAAGGAAATGTAATAGCAACAAAAAATAAACTGTTCTACTAAATTACTGATATTTTGGGCTGTGTCATTACACAAGGACAATGTAACCTCTCCTGACTAGAAATATGTGGCACTGGTTTAGGGACCACATAGCAAGCAATAGAGAAACTGCTATTAGACCCTGTAAAATGTCAGTTGAGTTAATAACTTAAAAGATATTTACTTAATGAATTTGTAGCTTGAAGGGAAAAGGTTAAAAAACAAAATATTACCAGTGTGTTTTTGTTGTTGTTGGCTGAGTTGTTGGCTGAGTTTGGCAACTTACTGCAAGGAGGAGGGTCTGTCAGGAAATAATTTGCTGCTTTTAGAACAGGAACAAGAAATCAGGAGAGTCCTGAAATTTGGGAACTTTCAGAGCTGAAAAATGAAAATGCAACCACTTTTCATCAGCTACTAGAAAAAAATTAAACTGAGAAAGTCTTTGAGGAAACAATGACAATTAAAATTTAATTTTGTAGCAAGAATCAAATCAATAGTATAGTCCTCACATGCATTGCTAAAACCACAAAATAAATTTAACTAGATTTAGGACAAAGACCCAGTTGAAAATGTGGTGCCAAATGGCTTTGAATTGGACAACATGGCTCAGAGATATAAGATCAATGTGTGACTTTCCCAAATGACACAGGAATTTTCTCCCAGCCTCTATAAAAGACTTGCAGCAGGGGTACCCCGTCTACTCTGCCTGCCATGCTCAGCCCCTTGTGGGAGGGAGCGCCCGAGTGAGTGAGTGCAGGATCCGGCCAGCCACTCCAAGCACCGACAAAGGTTCAAGCTACCTGCGGGGCTCACAGCCAGACCAGGCATGTCACCTCAAGGGGAATGTGGCAGCACCCAGGCAAGGGTACCCACAACCCTGAAGCCCCAGCAGGGTGTTAGTGTGTTCATTAGCTCTTTTAATTGTGCTGTCCACCGCCCAATGGACATGGTGTGTTCACAGCTCAATCGGCCCCTGGCCCCATTGCGTGGGGCAGCTGCCCTCTGCTGGCAAGGGCAAAAGGGCAATGGGACAGCCTTTTGGGGTACCCACACTCAGTGGGTCCTGAGCTCTCGTCTGGCGCCCAAGAAGAATGAAGATATGCTGACAATTGAAGAGTGAGCAAGGCAGAGTTTTATTGAGTGATGAAACAGCTTTCTGCGGAGAAGGGATGCGGGGGTGGTCTCCCTACCCAAAGACTGAAAAGATCCCCCAGTGTGGCTGAGTCCCGGGCAGTCCTGGACACCTATGGGCTCAGAATAGAGGAAGGGCAGGCCATAGGTGGTACTGGAAAAGGCAACATTCAATTGGTTAAGAGGCCTTATTCAGAAAGAATCAATAGGGAAAGGGGAAGTAAACAGGAACAGAAGTTCTCACTCTGGGTCGCGGGCTTCATCTGGGACCAGCAGTCCAGTCTTTCAGCCTTCAGGCTGTTTTTTGAGCTTGAAGGAGTTTCACCAGGGACCCGCCCCTATCTGCTTAGGCGTTTGTCTGCCTCCTGCTGCTATCACATAGATGTATGAAAAGCTCAAAATGCCGACAGTTAATTCTAGAGAAAGAAATAATCAAGAGTAGAAAAAAGCATAGAAATACAGCAAATCTGCTGGGCATGGTGGCTCACGCCTGTAATCCCAGCACTTTGGGAGGCCAAGGCGGGTGGATCACGAGGTCAACAGTTGGAGACCAGCCTGACCAACATGGTGAAATCCCGTCTCTACTAAAAATAGAAAACTTAGCCAGGCTTGGTGAGCGTGCCTGTAATCCCAGCTACTCAGGAGGCTGAGGCAGGGGAATTGCTTGAACCCAGGAGGTGGAGGTTACAGTGAGCTGAGATCGCACCACTGCCCTCCAGCCTGGGCAACAGAGTGAAACTCCATGTAAAAAAAAAAAAAAAAGAAAGAAAGAAAAGAAATATAGCAAATCTTAGAGATATATCTAGAGGAGAACTGAGGATATGGCCATTGCAACATGGAAATGACTGATACCAAATTGATTACGTTCTCATGTCCAGAAATTTCCTAAGTCATTTGGAAATTACTACTACAAAAAAAACCATCAGCCTTGTTTAAAACAAATTGTGAACGCTTAAGACTGAAAATGACCTTTGGGTCTCCCACCACATGTTGGCAAGTTACATGCTTCAAAATCTGCTTAACTCCGAGAAGTATTCTTTGTTATCAAAGAATACTGTAAAAGACACAGGTCAGATACCACACAGGTATCTATCACAGAGAACACTAAGGGTTTCTTAGTGGGAATGGGGGTACAAAATTAGGGCCTAAACTATTCCCCATCATCAGGAAAAGGGAGCGTTTAAAGTATGTTTGTAAGTCTGCTATCGGCCAGACATTTTACAAACAGGATTGTTTCCTGTGGTTATTTTGTCCCTGTTTCATTGTTGTATTTTGTCTGTGTGGGTAGCAGAGAACTTGTCCTTTTTTTCATTGGCCTCAAAGTCAAGAGGAAACATATCAGACCTGATACTGAGACTATTAGTCATCCCCCAGCAGTTTTAGAATTAGATAAGGCTTTGAGGTTGTATCTGTGAGGAAGAGGGTAGCATGTTTTGACTGTGAAAGAGAGAGTATATAAATTTTTAATTTTGGCCAAAGGGCAGGTTATGGCAGTTGTTAGTGATGTTTATCAACTGTTTCTCACTCTCAATCTTCTGTATATAAGGTGGCATTGCTCTTCCTGGAATACAGTGATTGGCTGGACCACAGGGCTAGTTCTGGACAGGTTGTGAGTGATAAAGTGTTGGCATTTAATTGTTAATGTGAGATCCTCCTGAGTCTCTTTTCTGTGTAATCTGAAATGTTTATGTAGGTACAGCTTCACTGATCTATGTTTCCAAGTACTGTAATAAGCAGAGACTTCCTGTTGACTTGCAAAGGGCATATGACATAAATGAAAAATTAAACTTTTTGTTTTAATCCAAGAAGATTTAAGATTTGTTTGTTGTTGCAACTCACCTAATCTGACTGATACATGGGGTTTTTGGCTCCTTGGAATTGAAACAGAGAAAAGGAAGAGGGAAAGAAGTATGTAAACTTATTATTTGACCATTGTAATTACAGAATTTTACAGCCTCTGAGCATGGCTACTGTTTAATTCTGATTTTTTCCTTTGGGGGCATTTTGGGAGATTCTTTAGAAATGCCCTGATGTACTCCTGTTACCCTCGTACTTTTGCCTTGGGTGGCTGCTTTTGCATCCACGTCAGCTTCAGGTTTCCTCTAGGGCCTACCTACACAGACTTTCCTTGTTGGGCACCCAACATTCTAACAGAAGGCATTTTGGAAAGATCCCATTTAATAAATACCTGCATTCTCACTGGGTTTTGCACAACTCATCTCTGGAGGTATTGCACTTTCCTCCACCATTGCCAGGTTAATCTCTTGCTCCCTAATGCATCAGTAGCTCCCTCTACACTGTGGCCTCGGGCTGTTCCATCCTTTGGATACTTCATACATGCACAGATAACCCTACCAACATTTTTCCACAATTCCTGGGGCACCAGCCAAGCTTTCAGAATTGTCTTCTTGAAGGGAGTGCACACAAGAATTGACATTAGAAGTGAACACCTCAACCTGTCCCTTAAAGAGGAATGAGTGAGAGTCAAATCACTTCAGCAACTATATCACAATAAATCTCTTCAAAAGAATCTCTTCCTTTAGCCCTTTTATTGTCTCCTTTGAATTTTAGAGCTGCCCAAGGAGTATTTTTTGGCATACTTTGAAACCATTCATACCTTTCTTTGGGAATTCTTTATCTATTCTATCTATCTATCTATCTATCTATCTATGTATCTATTATAATTGACATCTAAGTTGAAATTTTAATTTACTATTTCCTCAAATAATAATAGTAGTATCTATCCTTTATTGATCACTTAGAATGTGCTAAACACTACACCAAACATTTTACTTTATATCTGTTATCTCTTTTAAGCCTCATAGGATCTTTAAGAAGCTGGATTATTATTTCAAATTTTAGATGATAGCCCTGAGGCTTGAAGAAGTTTTGTATTCAATTGCTAAGTGATTTTGTTGTCATTGTTGTTGTTGAGCTATATACTACATTAACTACTATTAAGTGGCATGTATATTAGTTGATGGAAAGAAATATAGGGAAACAATTTGCCACATTTCTGTATGGGTTTCTATATACTTTGGATATGATTTTAAAAGAAAATAGTAAACTTAAAATTATCCAAAGTGCTTATGCTTAACCCTATTTTACAAAAGTTTAAACATGGTTTCACTATAGGGGTGAAGATCTATCAGCATATTTTACTTCTATTTTTTCTTGTACTGCTCTGAAATGGAGGACATGATATATCCATATTGAGAAATATCTATTGCAAAACTAAATGTTTTATCTCACTTTTAATTTTCTGGCAGAAGATTTTCAAAGCATATATACAAATATTCTCTATGTTTTCTCTATTTTGAAAACAGCTTGAAACCTTCACATTTCAAGGGAGACTTCTCCTCAGATTTCTTCTTGCCACCACCTACACTTCTTTTCTTCTCTTGTTCTTTTCAAGCTTGTTCTGTTCATTATCTTGTTACAATTCTTTGCTGTTAGTCAAGAGGCTCTCTTATGGCACCTGTCATCCCCAATCAAACTTGAGAGCAGCACAGTAAGGGATTTCACAGGATTAAACTTCTCTTTTGAATATGTGAACACTTTGGTATTAATCATTGATCTTGCAGTTAGTATGACTGCAGGCCAGCTGGCTTCCTCACTGAGCTACTTCATCAAGTACATGCTAACTGACACTTGAGAAAGCTCTGAACTTTATAAATGTGTGCCTTTAAGTCTTAAGCTGCCACTTAGCCCTGCAATGAGCAATCATGCCCATTTCTCTATACACACAACTTCAGCAGAGCTATTCTGAAGCAGCAAGCAGTATCCTTGAAGTTAAAGGATAACTGGCAAATATGTAGAGGAATAAATGTCTTCCATAATATTTGCTCTGAAAACTGCTTTAAAATAGTTTGGTTGGATCTATTGCTGGCTAAGTAGAGCTCCTTTTTGTTTGTCTAGTTTTTTATTAATTTTTTAAAAAACATTGTATTTTAAAAAGTAAAGACTTCTCTTTTCTTTCCTATTTTATTCTTAAGACCTACACAATGCAGCAATTCACTTTAAAAGAATTTGATGTATTCCAAAGTATGCCAATATTTACATTGGTTTAAGTAATTTTTACTATCAAAATTTGAGTTCAGTTAAATGACATATTTTTCAGAAAGATACATGAATATATGGCACAAAATTAACAGGTAATATTTGCATTTTATTTTTAAATTAGTTGCTTCATCTTTTGAAGAGACATTCAAGGTCATAGCCCTAAGAAAGCTTTTCCGTATGTGATTGTGCTTCCATCTGTGCCTTGGAGACCACAGAAAAGGATCTGATCTCAGATTTCAATTCAAACAGCATTCTGAGCACCTCACCCTAACTTCTCTAAACCAAATGAACCCAGTCAAAGATGTTAAGAGATAAGCATATCTGTTTTCATTTTACGTAGATTGCTTTTAAGTTTAAAGATGAACTGATGAAAATTTTATTTCAAATTTTACACACATAAACACACACACACACACACACACCACACACACAAATGAGCAATGCAAGGAAGGAGTATGCGAAACACATCCTTGGCATTTATGGTTACCCAGAACTACAGAAAGAAAAAAGATTTTATAGAGTATATAGAGACAAACAACTTGGAATTGAAGGAAACTGGTGGAAGGCTAGAATCAGGGAAAGAAGGGAAGCTTAGAAAAAAAAATCAAAATTTCTTTCCCATCCTCAGAGAAAGCTGTCTTGTTTAAAACACTGTTAGGAACGCTGTTATGCTATCAAAAAAAGTTGGCTTAGTATAAGAACATGGACCTTTCATGACCTACTCACCTTAATTTGTTGTTAAAATAAACAACTTTTATCCCATAAAAAGTGCTAATTTTTATTTTCCGTATGACTATAAGATTTTCTGGATTTCATTGAAAATTTCAAATCTTGGTAAAATGTAAGCCATCAAAAATGTATTTAAAAGTTATAAAATTTTCTTGAGAGCTGTTTTCTTTGTGTTTTCTAATTCATATTCTCTTGCTGTTATGAAGAACACATAATGTAACCTTTGAAAAGGCTGAATGTTTGTACAGATACACCATGAGAGACTTATAAGGATCTACATTTTAGTGACAGTGAGTCTAAAACTTGACAGTGATTTGTATTAGAATAAAAAAGACAAAAGGCTAATGAGAGCACTGAGAAGAAGAAAAGTATAGCAAGGATTACTGGCCACAAAAATCAGTGTAATAGTCTATACTGAAGTCCAAAACGTGGCAAAGAATAGGGATATTTCAGTCAACTCCTGTAGGCTTTTAGTAATAACATATTTACCCAGGATCCATAATATCAAATCTATAAAAAGAATAGCAATAAAAATAGCATTATTTTTTCCTTATAGTTATACATAGAGTTGACAGTGCAATTTGGTAGTACTTGATGTTCATAGTTTTCTTCCAAAAGAAATGTTTGCTAAAATGCAATGTGTGTCCTTGACTAAATATTTCAAAATAGTTCTAGACAAAACAATAAATACCGTCTGCCATCATTGCTTACATTTAAGGAACATATTGTATTACCTTGAATAGGGTGTCTTGGAAAAGAAAGGGAAACTAAAAACAAAATGGCTCTCCAATTGAAAAGTATATACAAAATTTCCTTGAAATTGCATTGCTTGTTACCAAGAAATGTTGCAGGCTTATCAGAAAGATAGAATGTACAGAATCTGTGCCAGCATTTGGGTTTTAGGGATTCACTGTTCATTACAGCAAGTCATTAAGTATCAACTACAACAAAGCCATCTGTCTCGTTGTATCTCTTTATACCAGAAAATTTGATGGTAGCAATAATAGACTTCAAAACAACTGCAGTAACTAAAGAAGATTAAGCTCATAAGATTGAAAAACAAAAAGGGAAGGCATTTATTCATGCATTCAACATATATGCATCAGAGCCCAGAATGCAGCACTATTCTAAGCACTGGAAATTCAACAGTAAACAAAATAGACAAATAGCCCTACCTTGAAGGGGCGTACAGTGGAGGAGGGAGACAAGAAACAGGATAAATACGTAAAATATATAGTTTTTAAAAAAATAGACATCATTTTAGCACTCTTTGTCAAAGGCTTGTTGACTGTATTTATGTGGGTTTATTTCTGGACTCTATTCCATTCTATTTATTTATTTGTCTATTCTTTTGCCAATACCACACTGTCTTGATTGCCATAGCTTTATAGTAAGCCTTGAAGTTGAGTAGTGTCCGTCTTCCAACTTTGTTCTTTTTGAATGTTGTGCTAGATCTTCTGGTTTTGTTTTTGTTTTTGAGACAGAGTCTTGCTCTGTCACCCAGGCTGGAGTGCAGCAGCACAATCTCTGCTCACCGCAACATCTGCCTCCTGGGTTCAAGTGATTCTCCTGCCTCAGCCTCCCGAGTAGGTAGGACTACAGGCATGTGCCACCACACTCGGCTAATTTTTTGTATTTTTAGTAGAGACGGGGTTTCACCATGTTAGCCAGGATGGTCTCAATCTCCTGACCTCATGATCCACCAGCCTCAGCCTCCCAAAGTGCTGGGATTACAGGCATGAGCCACCACGCCTAGCCAATCTTCTGGATTTTTTTAACCTCTCCATGTAAAATATAAAATTAGTTTGTCAATAGTCACAAAAATTGTGATTCTCTGTATTTGCTTTTCTGTCTTTCCAATTTTGGGGACAATGGTTTGCCCTATAACCTCACTTCTCTTACAGACCTAAGAAGAGTTGTTGATTTTGTAAGTTGTCCAGCATTTTGTTGTTAGGATGGAACGGCAACCTCTAAACTTTTTATATGCCATACCAAAATTGGCAGTACTTCAGTTAATATACAACTTTTTAGATAATGATAAATGTTAAGAAGGAGGAGAATAGGCAACGTGTTTGGAGAATACAAGCTTAATATGTTAGACAGAGTGGTCTGAGGACACCTTACTGAGTAAAGACCTGCATAAAAGGAGAACGGAAGTCATGTAGACATCTGAGGAAGGACTTCAAACTGAGCAAGTGTAAAGCGAGGAGGCCAGGTCAACTGTGACAGAGTGAGTAAGGGAGAGGATACTAGGAGGTAAGGTAACAGGCAATGACCAGCCACACATGTATGACTTTACAGATCCTTCTAAGGGCTTTTGGATAGGTTTGTGTTGGGAGGATTTTAAGCAGAGGAATGACATGTCTTTTGTTTTTTGTTTTTGTTTTTTCTATTTCAGCTACATCACTCTGGATCCTGTGTTGAGAGTAAGCAATAGGAGGAAAAGAGAAGGTGAAGGGAACTAGTTAGAAAGTGTCTCAGAAAACTGCCTTTTAGCTTTCCAGAAGCACCTTCCACCCTTTTCACCCTTTCTCTGCCCTAGGAAGCAAACCTGTATGCACTACATTAGCAGCTTTCAGGAGAACCTGGGAGAACAGAGGGAGGCAGCAGAGTGAGGTCAGAGTTTATTTCCTTTGCTTTACCCCATGAGTTTGCCTATGGCAGGTTATACTACTTAATAAAAGGTCAGTGACACTTTCAAATCTGCTAAATTTATTCAACTCTGTAACCTGGGTTTGTCACATTCTTCTCATTGGTATTAATTTCCTGGGCTGTCATAACACAATGCCACAAACTGAGTGACTTAAATAACAGAAAGTTATTGTCCCACAATTCTGGAGGCCAGAAGTCTGAAATCAAAGTATCAACAGGGATAGTTCCTTCTGAAGGCTCTGGAGGAAATGTGTTCCATGCTTCTTTCCTAGGTTCCTTATAGCCTCAGCTGTTTCTTGGCTTGTAGCTTCCTTGGTTCTTTGTGTGTTGAATTTTCTTCCTTCTGTACATATCTATCTTGTTCAAATTTCTGCTTTTCATAAAGGCACCAGTCATATTAAAGTGGAGCCCACCCTAAAAGAAACCTTAACTTAATCATCTTCCAAGACCCTACTTTCAAATAAGGTCACATTCACAAGTATCCAGGCCCAGAAATGAAAAGAGTCTCGCTGTCACTACTTCCAGTTCCAGTCTCTTTATACTCATACTGATATGGTTTGGCTGTGTCCCCACCCAAATCTCATCTTTAGTTGTAGATCCCACAATCCCCAAATGTTGTGGAAGGGACCTGGTGGGAGGTAATTGAATCATGGAGGCAGTTGCCCCCATGGCATTCTCATGATAGTGAGTGAGTTGTCCCAAGATCCGATGGTTTTATAAGTGGCTTTTCCCCCTTTCCTAGGCATTTCTCCTTCCTGCTGCCTTGTGAAGAAGATGCCTTGCTTCCCTTTTGCCTTCTACCATGATTGTAAGTTTCCTGAGGCAACCCCAGCCATGCTGAGCTGTGAATCAATTAAACCTCTTCCCTTTATAAATTACCCAGTCTTGAGTATGTCTATATTAGCAGCATGAGAATAGACTACTACACATACCTTTATAAAATGTCTTCATAAATAAACTTTCTAATTAACATATTTTAGTATGTTATCTGTTTACTTTTGGGAGACTAATTAATTAAAAGTCTATTACAATAATCTAAAAGACAAACAATGGCAGCATGCTCCAGAATGCTGGCAATAACAGTGATGAGATGTGGTCACCATTCTGGATATAATTTTAAAGATGAGTGTATTGTATTAGGGTTTTCCAGAGATATAGAACCAATAGAATAGGTAGATATAAATAGATTGATAGAAACATAAATATAGATATTTTATCTATAACATAGATATAGACATTTTTATCTATATATACATATGTTCACAGATATATTGATAGCCTGATATATAGAATATGTATACATACATATATAAAGAGGACATCTATATATACAAATCCAGATATATTTAAAGAAGAATATAGGGTTTGACAGCAGAAGCTAAGTCCATGATTGTTGAACTGAGTACCTGGAAGAATGATGCTGTTGATTACTGAGCTGGAGAAGGCTGTGAGAGAAGCAGACTGGGGAGAAGTATGATATCAGCTCTCATCTTTGACTATGTGAATTTAGAGATTCTCGTTAGTAACTAAGAGCATACGTCTTGGATACATGTGTTTGAAGTTTAAGGAGAGTTCTAACTGCTGTTGAACATTTGGGAATCATCAGTGTATAGATAACATTTAAAGTTATCAGTCTGGTTGAAAATCAGAAAAGATTTAAGCATAGAGAGAAAAGAGATTCAGAAATCTAACTCAGGACTGCAAAGTTCTTAGGTCAGGTGTATAGATACAAATATAGATATAGGTATCTATATGTATAGCTAATATATGGACACAAATATTTGTATATATATAGATAGAGAAAGAAACAAAAAGAAACAGAGAGAGAGATTTATTATGAGAATTGGCTCACATGATTATGGAGGCCAGGGAGTTCCACAATCTTCCTTCTGCAAGCTGGCAAACCAATAAAGACGATGGAAATTCAGTTAAGTCTGAGGGCCTGTGAACCTTGAGACCAGAGGGTGTAACTCCCAATCTGAGTCTGAAAGTATGAACACAGAGTTGCAGAGTTCCTGGGATAAGTCTTGAAGACTAAAGGCCAGAGAATCTAGAGCTTTGATGTCCAAACTCAGGAGATGATGGAAGCTCTAGCTCAAGTAAAGAGAAAGAATTCATCCTTCATCTGCCTTTTTGTCCTATTCTGGCTGTCAGGCCTCTGAGCCCAAGCTAAGCCATCATATCCCACATGACCTGCACGTATACATCCAGATGGCCTGAAGTAACTGAAGAATCACAAAAGAAGTGAAAATGGTCTGTTTCTGCCTTAACTGATGACATTCCACCACAAAAGAAGTGAAAAATGGCCGGTTCCTGACTTAACTGATGATATTACCTTGTGAAATTCCTTCTCCTGGCTCATCCTGCCTCAAAAGCTCCCCCACTGAGCACCTTGTGGCCCCTGCCCCTGCCCACCAGAAAACAACGCTCTTTGACTGTAATTTTCCACTACCCACCCAAATCTTATAAAACGGCCCCACCCCTATCTCCCTTCACTGACTCTCTTTTCGGACTCAGCCTGACTGCACCCAGGTGAAATAAACAGCTTTACTGCTCACACAAAGCCTGTTTGGTGGTCTCTTCACACGGACGTGAGTGAAACTGGCCATTCACAGATTGGGTGATGTCCACCCACACTGGCGAGGTGGTGGAACTTCCTTACTCAGTCTACCCATTCAAATGCCAATCTCTTCTGAAAACACCCACACAAACACACCCAGAAATAATTTTTTGCCAGATAACTGTGCATGCCTTAGTCCAGTCAAGTTGACACATAAATTGGACCATCACAGTGAGGTAACAAAATTTTCTCAATAATTGAATATAGGGTTTGACAGCAGAAGCTAAGTCCATGATTGTTGAACTGAGTACCTGGAAGAATGATGCTGTTGATTACTGAGCTGGAGAAGGCTGTGAGAGAAGCCGACTGGGGAGAAGTATAATATCAGCTCTCATCTTTGACAATGTGAATTTAGAGATTCTCGTTAATAACTAAGAGCATACGTCTTGGATACATGTGTTTGAAGTTTAAGGAGAGTTCTAACTGTTGTTGAACATTTGGGAATGATCAGTGTATAGATAACATTTAAAGTTATCAGTCTGGTTGAA
Source organism: Homo sapiens (assembly GCF_000001405.40). Lineage (NCBI taxonomy): Eukaryota > Metazoa > Chordata > Mammalia > Primates > Hominidae > Homo > Homo sapiens. Next base: position 104,039,241 of record NC_000005.10, on the reverse strand, counting down.
AATTGGAAAAGATTTAAGCATAGACAGAAAAGAGATTCAGAGATCTAAGACTGCAAAGTTCTTAGGTCAGGGAAAAGAGTAGCAACCAATACAACTGACTGAGAAGGAGCAGCCATAGAAGTATACGGAGAACTAGGAGGTTTAGGAGTCAGAAAGGAAGTGGAAAGGTGTTTCAGGAAAGACGGTGTTCAACTCTATCAAATGTCTGCAGTGGTTCAGATACAATGAGTTCTGGGAATTGAACACTGGATTTAATTAAAGTTTATGGAAATGTGAACCCTGACTATTGGAGACAGGTCTCAGTTAATTTAGAAAATTTATTTTGCCAAGGTTGAGAACATGTGCCTGTGACACAGACTCAGGAGATCCTGATGACATGTGCCCAAGGTTGTAGGCGAACAGTTTGGTTTTACACATTTGAGGGAGACATGAGACGACATCAATCAATATATGTAAAATGTATGTTGGTTCTGTGCAAAGAGTTGGGACAACTCAAATCAAAGGCAGGACAACTTGAAGCAGGAAGGGGGCTTCCAGGTCACAGGTAAGTGAGAGACAAACTGTTGCATTATTTTGAGTTTCTGATTACCCTTTTCAAAGGAGGCAATCAGATATGCATTTATCTCAGTGAGCAGAGGGATGACTTTGAATAGAATGGGAGGCAGGTTTGCCCTAAGCAGTTCCCATCTTGACTTTTCTCTTTAGCTTAGTGATCTGGGGCCCCAAGATTTATTTTCCTTTCACAGAAATAAGCCAGAGCTAGAAACAGGTAACACAGATTAAGTCTTGTGCACAGCTTGGCCTATAAGTTATGCTACTTGAAAACTACGGAAGTGATGTGAGAAGGGTTGAAATAACTGTGTCACGTGCAGTTTACAAGAGATACCTGTTACTGTCAAGTTCAATTTATGTTATTTAAAAGTTATTTATTTACTTTACTTAGCAGTAGTTTATCCTAGGGAGTGGAATTGGCTGGAGGGTAAAAGGAGTTTAACTATACTATTTTTACAAAGGTCTATATCGTTGAGAAGTGTTATAAGAAAATTGTGTAATTAAAAATAAAAATATTTTTGTAATTAAAAGTAAAAATAGCACATTCAGAAGTTTACATGGGGGAAGAGGGAATCAACTTCCAGCCTGACAGTATAAGGAAGTCTGCCAACCCACTCCCTGGTGAAACTGGGGAAAATTATTTTTAAAACAACTATCTAATCTTACTTCTGATTAAATCCTATGGGAATAATTCTTAAGGCAAATAGAAAATGAGAAACAATGGTAGCATGATCCAGAATGCTGGCAATAGTAGTGATGAGATGTGGTCATTTCTGGATATAATTTTGAAGATGAGTGTATTATATTAGGTTCTTCAGAGAAAAAGAACCAATAGGATAGATAGATTAGATAGATTGATAGAAACACAGATATATAGATAAAAATATCTATATCTATCTATATATACACATATGTACACAGATATATTGATAGCTATGTACATATGTATATGTAGCTAGAAATAATATCTATAATTAGATATTATCTAATTATCTAATTATAGATATATCTAATTATATATAATATATATCTATAATTATATAATTAAATATTATATAATTATTATAGATATTATATATAATATACAGATATTATAAATATCTATAATTAGATATTATCTAATATCTAATTATAGATAATTAGATAGTTATAGATAATTAGATAATATCTAATTATAGATATCATTTATATCTACCTAATAAAATCTGTGGAAATGTGGTAAGGATGGCAAGCATCTGGTAGTTGACCAAGACCTCTCTCTCCTTCCGAAACAGGAAATTTTCCCTGACCCCATCATAGGTCTCCCAACAGGAATATCTTGCTACTCAGCCCGCAGCTCTCAGCTCCTTGCAGAAGGGGAAGCACACAGGTGAGTTTCATGCACTTCCCTGTGAAGAGACCACCAAACAGGCTTTGTGTGAGCAACATGGCTGTTTATTTCACCTGGATGCAGGCGGGCTGAGTCAGAAAAGAGAGTCAGCGAAGGGAGATGGGGTGGGGCTGTTTTATAGGATTTGGGTAGGTAAAGGAAAATTACAGTCAAAGGGGGGTTGTTCTCTGGAGGGCAGAGTGGGGGTCACAAGGTGCTCAGTAGGGGAGCTTTTGAGCCAGATGAGCCAGGAGAAGGAATTTCACAAGACAATGTCATCAGTTAAGGCAGGAACAGGCCATTTTCACTTATTTTGTGGTGGAATGTCATCAGTTAAGGCAGGAACCGGCCATCTGGATGTGTACGTGCAGGTCACAGGGGATATGACGGCTTAGCTTGGGCTCAGAGGCCTGACATTCCTGTCTTCTTATATTAATAAGAAAAATAAAATGAAATACTGGTAAAGTGTTGGGACAGTGAAAATTTTGGGGGGTGGTATGGAGAGATAATGGGCGCTGTTTCTCAGGGCTGCTTCAAGCGGAATTAGGGGCGGGTGGGAACCTAGAGTGGGAGAGGCTAAGCTGAAGGATGATTTTGTGGTAAGGGGTGATATTGTGGGACTGTTAGAAGAAACATTTGTCATTTAGAATTATTGGTGATGGCCTGGATATGGTTTTGTATGAATTGAAGAACTAAACGGAATAAGAGAAGGAGAAAAACAGGTATTAAAGGTCTAAGAATTGGGAGGACCTAGGACATCTAATTAGAGTGCCTAAGGAAATTCAGCATAGTCCTGTCAGCAAAGATTATTTATTTACTTCAAGAGTTAAGAGTGGCAGTTTGGGGATAGCACCAGGAGATATCAGCTGTGATGGCTTGGAGAAACAGTATAAACTGGCAGTGTAAACAAGAGCAGGGCATGTATGAATAGTTGAGAATGGTGAATAGGAGTATGACTAGACAGAAGATAGTAGGGATGACAAGTTTTTTGGGGTCACAGTCTAAGTTAGTCTGGTGTCTGGAATGAGACTGGGGCCTAATAAAAAGGAGCATCTATACAGGAGCTTAAATGGGCTGTACCCTGTAGCATTCTGAGGACAGGTCTGACTTCTGAGAAGGGCAAGTGGTAAAAGTATTGTCCAGTGTTTTTTAAGTTGGTGGCTGAGCTTGGTGAGGTGTGTTTTTAAAAGACCTTTAGTCCGTTCTACTTTTCCTGAAGATGGAGGACCATAAGGGATATAAAGGTTTCACTGAATACTAAGAGCCTGAAAAACTTCTTGGCTGATTTGACTCATAAAGGCTGGTCTGTTATCAGACTGTATGGAGGTGGGAAGGCTAAACTGAAGAATTATGTCTGACAGAAGGGAAGAAATGACTGTGGTGGCCTTCTCAGACCCTGTAGGAAAGGCCTGTACCTATCCAGTGAAAGTGTCTACCTAGACTAAGAGGTATTTTAGTTATCTGACTCGGGGCATGTTGAGTAAAGCTAATTTGCCAGTCCTGGGTGGGGGCAAATCCTCGAGCTTGATGTGTAGGGAAGGGATGGGGCCTGAATAATCCCTGAGGAGTAGTAGAATAGCAGATGGAACACTGAGAAGTTATTTCCTTGAGGATAGATTTACACGATGGAAAGAAAATGAGAGGTTCTAAGAGGCAGGCTAGTGGCTTGTACTATAGGATAGCCTGCCTTTGCTGGTGTGTGGCGATTAGGCCTGGTGGAACTGCCATCAATAAATCAAGCGTGATCAGGGTGAGGAATAGGAAAGAAGGAAATATGGGGAAATGAGGTGAATGTCAGGTGGATCAGAGAGATACGGTCATGGGGGTCAGGTGTGGTATCAGGAATAATGTGGGAGGCCAGACTGAAGTCCGGGCCAGGAACAATGGTAATTGTGGGACTTAACAAAGAGTGAGTACAGCTGAAGGAGCCGGGGAGCAGAAAGTATATGCGTCAGGTGTGAGGAAGAAAATAGATTTTGGAAGTTATGAGAAATGTAGAGAGTAAGTTGAGCATAGTTTGTGATTTTGAGGGCCTTTAAAAGTATTAGGGCAGCGGCAGCTGCTGCACGGAGACATGAGGGCTAGGCTAAAACAGTAAGGTCAAGTTGTTTGGACAGAAAGGCTACAGGATGTGGTCCTGGCTCTTGTGTAAGAATTCTGACCGCACTAACCATGCCTAGGAAGGAAAGGAGTTGTTGTTTTGTAAGGGATTGAGGTTTGGAAGATTAATCAGACACGATCAGCAGGGAGAGCACCTGTGTTTTTATGAGACTTATGCTGAGATAGGTAACAGATAAGGAAGAAATTTGGGCTTGACTGAAGTAATGGGGACTGTCTGTGAAGCTTTGCGGCAGTACAGCCCAGGTAATTTGCCAAGCCTGATGGGTGTCAGGGTCAGTCCAAGTGAAAGCGAAGAGAGACTGGGATGACAGGTGCAAAGGAATAGTAAAGAAAGCGTGTTTGAGATCCAGAACAGAATAATGGATTGTGGAGGGAAGTATTGAGGATAGGAGAGTATATGGGTTTGGCACCATGGGGTGGATAGGCAAAACAATTTTGTTGATAAGGCATAGATCCTGAACTAACTTGTAAGACTTGTCTGGTTTTAGGACAGGTAAAATGGGGGAATTGTAAGGAGAGTTTGTAGGCTTTAAAAGGCCATGCTGTAGCAGGCGAGTGATAACAGGCTTTAATCCTTTCAAAGCATGCTGTGGGACGGGATATTGGCATTGAGCGGGGTAAGGGTGATTAGGTTTTAATGAGATGGTAAGGGGTGCAGGATCGGTCGCCAAGGAGGGAGTAGAGGTATCTTATACTTGTGGGTTAAGGTAGAGGAATACAAGAGGAGGACACAAAGGAGGCTTTGGATTGGGAAGAGGGGCAGCAATGAGATGCAGCTGTTAATCCAGGAATAGTCAGGGAAGCAGGTAATTTAGTTAAAGTGTCTCGGCCTAATAAGTGAACTGGGCAGGTGGGGATAGCTAAAAAGGAGTGCTTAAAAGAGTATTGTCTAAGTTGGCACCAGAGTTGGGGAGTTTTAAGAGGTTTAGAAGCCTGGCTGTCAATACCTATAACAGTTATGGAGGCAAGGGAAACAGGCCCTTGAAAAGAAGGTAATGTGGAGTGGGTAGCCTCCGTATTGATTAAGAAGGGGATGGACTTACCCTCCACTGTGAGAGTTACCTAAAGCTCGGCATCCATAATGGTCTACGGGGCTTCCGAGGTGATCGGGCAGCGTCGGTCTTCAGCTGCTAAGCCGAGAAGGAGTCAGTCAGAGAGCCTTGGGTCGGAGTTCCAGGGGCTCTGGGAGTAGCTGCCAGGTGAGTTGAACAGTCTGATTTCCAGTGGGGTCCCACACAGATGGGACATGGCTTAGGAGGAATCCTGGGCTGCAGGCATTCCTTGGCCTGGTGGTCAGATTTCTGGCACTTGTAGCAAGCTCCTGGGGGAGGAGATTCTGGAGGAACGCCTGGCCACTGCGGTTCAGGCGTTTGGAAGTTCTTGTGTGCTGGAGATGTGGCTGGGGTTTGTCTCACAGTGGAGGCAAGGAATTGCAACTTTTTTCTATTATTGTACACCTTGAAGGCGAGGTTAATTAAGTCCTGTTGTGGAGTTTGAGGGCCAGAATTTAATTTTTGGAGTTTTATTTAATGTCGGGAGCAGATTGGGTAATAAAATGTATATTGAGAATAAGACGGCCTTTTGACTTTTTAGGGTCTAGGGCTGTAAAGCATCTCAGGGTTGCTGCTGAACGAGCCATGAACTGGGCTGGGTTTTTAAAATTTGATGAAAAAGAATCTAAATGCTAACTGATTTGGGAGAGGATGGATAAAGAAAAAGGAGAATTAACCTTGACTATGCCTTTAGCTTCAGCCACCTTTTTAAGAGGAAATTGCTGGGCAGGTGGGGGAGGGCTAGCAGTGGAAGGAAACTGTAAGCTGGAACCGGTGTGAGGAGGAGGGTGATAAAAGGATTATAGGGTGGAGGAGCGGAGGCTGAGGAAGAATTGGGATCTAGCTCAGCCTGGCGAGGAGGGGAGAGATCAGATGGGTCTGTAGAAAAGGAAGATTAGAAAGACTCAGTGATGCTTGGGGTTGGGACTGAGGGGACAGGTGGGAGGGAAAGGAGGAAGATTTGGGACGAGTTGCATTGGGCACAGAGACTAGGAAGGCACCGATGTGTAAAAGAATGCCTGGACGTCAGGCACCTCAGACCGTTTGCCTATTTTACAGCAAGAATTATTTAGATTTTGCAGGATGGAAAAATTGAAAGTGCCTTTTTCTGGCTATTTGGAACTACTGTTGAGTTTGTATTGGGGTCAAGCGGCATTGCAGAAGAAAATAAGATGCTTAGATTTTAGGTCAGGTGAGAGTTGAAGAGGTTTTAAGTTCTTAATACAGGCTAAGGGAGGAGGAGGAGGAATGGAGGGTGGAAGGTTGCCCATAGTGAAGGAAGCAAGCCCAGAGAAAAGAGAGAGTAGAGACATGGAGGGAAGGGCTTTGGGGGTTCTTACCCTCCAGAAAAGCAGGAAAGGGCTCAGGGCACAGAGATACGAGGTCGGGGTGTGGAAATAAGGGATTGGGGCTCAGAGATATGAGGTTAGGGTACTTGCCCCTCCCCCAGAAAAGTAGGACTTGCCGCTAAAGGTGAAGGAGAAGGGGTTGGGGGTTTCTTGCCCCCAAGAAAGGCAGAGAGGGGGTAGAGACATGGAGAGAAGGGGTTGGGGTACTTGCCCCTTCCCCAGAAAAGCAGGACTTGCCGCTAAGGGTGAAGGACCAAGGCAGGCATCCCTGCGTAGTCTGACACCCTTGAAACGTGGGTGTATAATCAGAGAGGCATCCCTGAAATGATTAAACACCAAGGGAAGGCTGCCTTCCCAGTCCGTGACCTGCGCCGGAGTTTTGGGTCCACAGATAAAACATGTCTCCTTTGTCTCTCCCAGAAAATGAAAGGAATTGAAATTAAGAGAAGGGAGAGATTGAAGAGTGGAAAGGAGAAAGTGGTTGAGGGACAGTGAGACAGGTTGGAGAAGAGAGTAAGAAGAGGCCGCTTACCGGATTTGAAATTGGTGAAATGCTTCTTGGGCTGGTTGCTCTGAGGACATGAGGTCATAGGTGGATCTTTCTCATGGAGCAAAGAGCAGGAGGACCGGGGATTGATTTCCCAAGGGAGGTCCCCCGATCCGAGTCACGGCACCAAATTTCATTCACGTCCGTGTGAAGAGACCACCAAACAGGCTTTCTGTGAGCAACATGGCTGTTTATTTCACCTGGGTGCAGGCGGGCTGAGTCAGAAAAGACAGTCAGCAAAGGGAGATAGGGGTGGGGCCGTTTTATACCATTTGGGTAGGTAAAGGAAAATTACAGTCAAAGGGGGGTTGTTCTCTGGTGGGCAGAGTGGATGTCACCAGGTGCTCAGTAGGGGAGCTTTTGAGCCAGGATGAGCCAGGAGAAGGAATTTCACAAGACAGTCATCAGTTAAGGCAGGAACAGGCCATTTTCACTTATTTTGTGGTGGAATGTCCTCAGTTAAGGCAGGAACCGACCATCTGGATGTGTACGTGCAGGTCACAGGGGATATGATGGCTTAGCTTGAGCTCAGAAGCCTGACAGTGAGTGGGTGCATGAGCCAGGGCGAGTGTTTCTGGGCACTGGCAGGAGCAAAACTCTGTGGGCCCTATGGCAGAATCTAGGGGAGAGTACCCATGACCCCCCACAAAGCCCCAGAGGGCATGTGTTACAGTGTACTCTTTAGCTTTGTCACTCATGGACGGCTTAAGTGTTAAGCAGCTCAGTGAGCACTCTGCCTTTTCACATGAGGTGGTTGCTCTCCACCAGCAAGGATAGAAGGTCAGTCTCACTGCCTTTAGTGTCCATCCCCATGACACTCGAGCTCTTGTTTGGCATCCAGGAAAAAGCAGGTCACACAAACAAATTGAAGGGTGGTGAATGCAGAAGATTTTATTGCCGATGGAAGTGGCTCTCGGTGGGAAGGGAAGCTGGAAAGGGGATGGAGCAGGAAGGTATTATTCCCCTGAAGTCTCACCATTAAGCTATCCCTCTGAAGTCAAACTGTTTCTCTCCAATGTTCAGCTGCTGCTTCTCTTCTCCCCTTCTCTGCCCTCTGCCAGAAGAGCCTGGGGTTTTAGTGGGTACAGGATTGGGGACAGGGTGTGCCAGGGGTGGTTTTGGAAAAGGCAATATTTGAGCAGGAAAACGGCCGTGTAAAGTTCACACTTTGGTCCATGGTTCCAAGCTTGAGGGTGGGGTCCTTGCCAGGTACCCTTTCCTTTTCTGCCTAGAATTTCTCTGCCTCCCATCCCTATCATATTCTCCCTCTGAAGAGGCACATCTAACTACTATTAGATTATGGACAATGGCCATTCTTAGTTACTTCCTGCTAACAGGGGGCATTGTTTTTGGGAAAATGATGGTTGGATTCCTCCCAGAGGTCTACCTAAGCATCCCTGGCAAAAGGGAGCCATCATCTGAGGCTCTGGTGCCTGACTATTTGGAGTTTCATGGTCTCTAGGTGAGAATAAACAAGTTTTATAGGGTTTAGTATGCATGGATCAAATATGTATATTATAAAAAAAGGAGTTAAAAAGGAGAGAACCTAATGCCAAAGATTACAGAAATAATCATTCTGAAAACAATATTGTACTCCATGGTATAGAACAGAACAAAGGTAAGAACAGCAAGCGTAGGCAAGAATATAAAGAGAATATCCTTAGGAGGTTAATTATTAACACATATCTTTTGTAATTTTTAGCTTGAAGTCCCTGATCTCTTTACCTTGGTACTTTGGGTGCTCTTCTGGGTTGACAGAGGTGGCTCCATCAGCTTTCCAGGCCTTCACTTGGGTGTAATGAATCCAAGAGTCTATTCCAGTGACCTCCACTGCCATAGGAGTAGAAAGAAATACAGTGTAAGGTCCCTCCCAATCTGGGCCTATAGAGGGAAAAAGGGAAGGAAGTAACTTTACCAGCACCAGGTCATTTGGGTTGAACAGAGGTGGCCCTAGTTCACAGGATTGAACTAGGCTGCTTTTAAGAATTTTCCATTTGATGGCAACTGGTAGATAAAAGCTTGCCATCCTCTGATTGTAGCCATTCTGGGGACTGAAAAATATATCCCCAAGAGAAGGCCCATTCTATTTCCATGACAGTTATTTCAGTTTCTGTTGGAAATGGGCCAAAGAAGTTATGTGTTTAATCAAATCAGATATTTCTTGGTCTAGCAAGAAATCATCAGTGAGAAAAGGCCATCCATGCATCCTTTCAAAGGGTCTCAAGCCTTGCTTTGAAGGAGTGTTTCTAACATGTAGTAGGCCTATGGCAGGGAGGGTTGTCCAGGGGAGATGAATCTCCTGAGGTACCATTTGATAATATCATTTGTCCTTTCTACCTTTGCCAAGGATTGTGATCTCCAAGCACAATGAAGATGGTACTGTATACCTAGTATACAGTATACCTTTGAGACCCCTGGGTGACAGCTGCCTTGAAGGGAAGCTGCCAAGGGGTCATTATCACTCTGGAGGTACTTAGGGAGTCCAAAGAGAAGAATTATCTCATTAATTGGTACTTTCATCATCTCAGAGGCTTTCTCTGTCTGACATGGGAATGCTTCTACCCAGTTAGTGCAAGTATCTATCCATACTAGGAGGTACTGGATGCCCCTTGTCTTTGGCATATGGATGAAATCCCTTTGCAGTCTTTCCCCAGGTAGCCTCCTGTCCTTTGGGTTCCTGGGGCAAGAAGCTGTCTGTTAAGGGGATTATTTATTAGGCAGGTCTTGTAAGCATTAACCACCTGTTTAATCATTTGTACAAGTTTTTACCTGAGAACAATCTCTGGGCCAATTGATAGGTTTTATCCTTACCTAGGTGTAAGATCTGGTAAAGGCTTTTAAGAATTTTCCATTTGTTCGCAACTGGTAGATAAAAGCTTGCCATCCTCCAATTGTAGCCATTCTGGGGACTGAAAAATATGTCCCTGAGAGATGGCCCATTCTATTTCCGTGGAAGAGTATTGAGGTTTTATTTCTCTGATGGGGCCTTCAAGTGGGGATCATCTTGCTACTGATTTAGCTGCTTGGTCTGCCAACCAATTTCCCTCAGTTACTTCATCCATCACGTGTTGGTGGCCTTTACAATGTATACTGCCACTTTCTCTGGGAGAAAAACTTAGGATAATAGTCTGTTAATTTCCCGATGGTACTTAATGGCAGACCCATTAGCTGTAAGGAAGTTCCTCTCTTTCCAGATAGTGGCATGGGCATGGAGGACTAGTAACACATACTTAGAATCAGTATAAATGTTAACTGTTTTTCCTTTGCTTAATTTGAGTCCCTTTGTGAGGGTAATTAGTTTGGCTAATTGAGTACCTGTACCCTAGAAGAGAGGTGCATTCTCAAGAATATCATTAAGAGTAATTATTGTATACCAGGCTTTAAGCATCCCTTGTTCTACAAAAGAACTTCTGTCCATAAAGAGAATCCAGTCTAGATTCTCAAAGGGGATTTCTTTGAGGTCCTCTTTGGCTGCATAGGTTTCTACTACTATCTGTTCACAGCCATGTTCAAGCTCCCCACCTTACTCTGGGAGGAAGGTGGCTGGATTTAGGGAGGGACAGGTTCTTAATTGGACTTCAGATTCCTGTAAGAGTAGAGTTTGATACTTGAGGAGGCAATTGTCTGTTATCCAGAGTCTCCACTGACAGCACTCCTGCCACATTATGCAGAATATAAATGGTTAAGTTCTTCCCCGTGATTAACTTAGTAGCCTCTGGTACCAGCAAGGCTACCGCTGCAACTCCTCAGAGGCAGACTGGCCATCCTTTGGCTACCAAATCAAGCTGCTTACTTAAGTAGCCTACAGGCTGCTGAACTGGACCTCAGGCATGTGTTAGAACTCCCAAGGCCATTCCCTTTCTTTCTGACACATGAATATTAAACATCTTCCCTATAGGAAGACTAAGGGCTTGTGCCTTAAGCAAGGCTTGTTTTAGTTGGTCAAAGGCCTTTCTAGCCTCTGGTTCCCAAATTAGACACTGGGTTTTAGCTGTCTGAGTCTCCTTTATTAGGTGATATACGGGACAAGCTATTTCACCATACCCAGGTATCCATAGTCTGCAGCATCTTGTAATGCCTAAGAATGTCCTCAGTTGCTTGAGGGTTTTGGGAAGGGGAAAGGAGGAAATGGGCCTAATCTTTTCTTCGCCCAATGCCCTGGTCTCCTCTGACAAGAACAGGCCTAGGTACTTCACTGATGTCTGACAAAGCTGAGCTTTAAATTTTGAAACCTTATATCTTCTGTTAGCCAGAAAATTAAGAAAAGCTTTACTTTCCACCTTAGAGATTTCCTCAGTTGGAGCACAGAGGAGAATGTCATCTATGTATTATAAAACTTTAACCTGAGGATAATGGAACGTGGAGATGTCTCTTGACAATGCCTTCCCAAACAAGTGGGGCAGAATCCCTGAGGTAAAACTGTCCAAGTTAACAGGGTGGTTTGGTTGGAGGGATCCTCAAATGCAAATAAATATTGAGAGTCAGGATGTAGCAGTAGGCAGAAGGAGGCATCCTTTAGGTCCAGGACTGTGAACCATTTAGTTCCCTCAGGTATTTGAGCTAGCAGGGTATACGGATTGGGAGCCAGTGGGTGAACTGGAACCATAGCCTCATTAATGAGATGGAGGTCCTGAACTAGTCTCCATTACCTGTTGGGTTTTTACCTACAATATCAGGGTATTACAAGAGCTGTTGCAGGGCTTAATGAGGCCCTACAGCATTAAGTTATCAATGATGGCTTCCAGTCCTTTCCTAACCCCTGGTTTCAGGTGATATTGTTTCTGGTTAGAAAAGGATCTGGGATTCTTAAGGTAAATCAGACCAATATGGTGGTTGTGGCTTGGCCAATTTTCTCCTGAATTGCCCAAACTTCTGGGTTAATATTGGTCTCCACTAGGGAGAGACAAAGAGTTTGTCCTGGGGCCATCAGTCTGGTGGTCCCTATACGGGCCAGAATATCCCTGCCCAACAGAGGAGTTGGACTTTCAGGTGTAATTAGAAAAGCATAGGTGAACAAGGGGTCTTCCCAACTACAACTAAAGGGTTGGGAAAAATATCTGGTTAAAGGTCTTCCTGAGATGCTCCTTATGGTCATGCTAAGAGATGAGAGGGGGCCCAGATTGGAGAGGAAAACTGAGAGACCAGCCACAGTGTCCCAAAGGAGGTCCACTTTCCTCCCTTTGATTTCCAGAATTATCTGGGGCTCCTGGATGGTAATGGTAATCTGGATCACCAGAGCCACAGATAGGAACCCTATGATCCATCAGTCCTGCTGCTGAACAATTTGGGGACAATCCTTCTTAAAATACCCTGGCTTGCCACATCTGTAGCATTTACAGCGGCACCTCAGGGATTCTGGAGTTTTTGGGCTTGCATGTTGGCCATTAAAGCCTGTGTCTCTTCCCTCTGTCTCCTCTCTCTCTCCTGGGCCTCCCTGTCTCTATTATAAACGACCGAGGTGGCCACTTTCAGGAGGTTGTCTAAAGTACTGTTGGGTCCCAGGACCTGTTTCTGCAGCTTCCTCTCAATATCAGGGGCTGCCTGAGTAATAAATTTATCCTTTAGGATTAATTGTCCCTCGACTAAATCAGGAGATAGAGACATGTGCTTTACCAAGGCCCCTCTTAGCCGTTCCAGAAAATCAGTAGGATTCTCATCCATTCCCTGGTCTATCATGGATACATTGGTATAATTGAGAGGCTTGGTTCTAGCTCTGTGTAAGCCCTCCCTTATGCGCACCTGAAAGTGTCTCCTCTTCCATTCTCCCATCTCATCATTGGGATCCCATTTAGGGTCATGCAATGGTACTTCCTCTCTTCCAGTTGGATAAAGTTAGACCCCTTTCCTGACAGTATATGTGATACAAAGCTCATCCCCAAATTCCTCTGCCACTTGCAAAGCAGCCTCCTTTTCAGTGTTAGTCAGGGTTTGATTCAAAAGTAACAGAAAGTCTTTCTAGGAGAGTTCAAATACTTGGGTTAAATAATGGAAAGCCTCTATATATCTGTCAGGGTCATCTGAAAACTTGCCAAGATCTCCCAAATTTGCCTTAAGTCCTGTAGAGAGAAGGAGACCCGGACCTGGCATATCTTGGAGGGGCAAGAGTGAGACTTGGGCTAGTCTAGGGTGAGGATTTCTAGGAGGAGGCAAGTGAGAGAGAGAGAATCTGGATAGGGAGGACGGGGTGGACCCAGAGGAGGGCTAGAGGGGGCTGGCTTACCGGTTGGAGGAGCCTCTGGGGTTCATTTCTTTAGTTCCCTGGGATTGCCCCTTGCAGCCTCTCCTGAAATGGCAAACAGGAGGGCTGGATCAATCTTATACCATTGGGAAAGTATGGATTACCCTGCAAGATAAAAAAAGCCTGCACATATGAGGCCTCAGACCATTTGCCCTCACGTTTACAGAAAAGGTCCAACTACAGGATGGTATCGAAATGAATAGTTCCTTCCTGAGGCCAACCCAGTCCTTCCCGCAGATAAATAATTTGGCCAAACCATTGTGCAGAGGACTATAAGGCATTTTTCCTCCAGAGTCTGAGGGTCAAAGCAGTCCCAGTGATTCAGGATATACTCCAGAGGAGTATAGACTGGGGGTGGTGAAGATAGCTGGTTGCCCATTCTTAAAGATAGGAAAATAGGCATCCCTCATTTCCCTTCCTTCTTTCAGCAGAAACTTGGTGTGTGAAGGAGACAGAAAGCAGGCATCTCTGCTTTGTCTTCCATCTTTTTAATCCCTGAGACCTGGTGACCTTAGATGGATGCCACCCACAGGTGCCATTGAGGCCCGCACTTGTGAAACGGCAGGGGCCTAGAGATAGGAATTGTCTTCACTCACCTATGCCCCCATCCCCACTACTGTCAGCAACCCTTGGGTTCCCTGGGCCTTATCTATGTCATGGAGCGTGGCCTCCTTCTATGAAGCTGGAGCTTAATCAGCAGGAATCAGTCCTGCCCATTTACACTGTGCCTGTTGTCTCATTTTGGATCCCTCAGATCTGGTTTTCCTTTCTAGGGCTTCAACCCGAAGCTTGGAATCAAGTTTGAGAAAAAAAAAAAAGGTGTCTCAGGGTGTGCCTGGGTCCATTCAGATTAAGCCCCCGATGGGCCCTACCAAACTTGCAGTTATTAGCCAGTCGGGGGTCACTCCTCCGTTGCCTCCCTGGGCCCTACCAAACTTGCAGTTATTAGCCAGTCGGGGGTCACTCCTCCGTTGCCTCCCTATCATAAGCACAGTGCCAAGGTAGGAAAAGAACTCTCTTACACAGAAAGGAAAAAGGAAATAAAACAGTTTAAGGGATAAAGGGTGAGGTTTGCAAATGTTTTCCTTTAATCACTCTATCTCTCCACCAGTTTGGACCGAGTTGAACTCCTTGGCCAGGGGAAGAAAGACTCTATGGGTGCCTAGCCAGAGGGGATAGCAAGTGGAATGCCCTGGCCAGCCAGCTGCCTGGGGTCCCTGGCACGTGAGGCTGCCCTGGCCCGGGGCGATGTGTGCAGCTCATTCCCACCCTGTTGGGCACTGCACATGCACTCGGTGAATATGCCCAGGTGCCCCAGTCTGGAGGGGAGGGAATGAGGAGAGGAGCTACTGTGGGCAGCCTGCACCCATGGCTGTGGGTGTTGGGGTGGGGATGACATCTCTAAGAACAGATGGAAATCATGTAGTTCTGAATTGTATATCTGATTGCTGAGCCAAATGCTGATTCTACTTAATAACATTTGTGCAGCCTATATAAAAATCATTAAAATTATAAAAGTAGAGATAGGAGCTATTTCAAACCATGAAAGAAGAAAGGAAAGATAACCAGAGAAAAGTCTGGAGGTCTTAACTGATGCCTTGACTGGTGGGCAGTTGGGAACTGGGTTCAGTCTGGGGGCTTTCTAGCAACACCAAGGAGTGGCCTTGGCCAGATGCCTTCAGTTGCCCCAGGACTCCTCCATCACCCCAACTCAGCAAGGCAGAGACTCCACCCCAGATAGCTACAGCCAAGAACACTGGGCTTCCATTCTCCCCAGCTCCTAGCCAAGAGCTTTGTTCCCTGGAGAAGCAAGACTTTTAACTTTTCTCATCCTGCCCTCAGCTCTCTGCTGCTGAAGCTAAGTCCAGTGCATCCAGCAATAGTATGTCTAAGCACATCTTCTTAATAAAAAACCAATTTCACTTTAAGCCTGTGAAAAATTATCATATATTTTCTCTGTTCATTTTCCCAAAACATAGAATGTTGCATCCTAATAACGGAATTCACAAGTATAAAAGGCTCAGCTAGGCAGTCAACTTGAACAAGAACATGTTCTCATGTATGAATAATGTGTGGTTAATGTGATTCAGCAGCATATACTTTTTATATAAAAATGTTACTATGACTACATCGGGAACAGTGTAAATGTGAAATTCATTTTTAAAAACATAAGGTATCTTTTTCAGAAAATCAATCAGTATTACACATTAAAGCAAAATTTTAAATCATGTGTTTCAAACTACATTTCTAAGCCTTTTTCACCCTCTCACAAATATTACCCAGTGTATGTCCATTATAGCCCCCCATCAGTTGCTGTTCACTTTGGTCAACATTGCAGTATATCTAAACGCCTTTCTCCTGAGAACTCTCATCTTGCATTCACATCCTTCGCTACTCCCTAATTCTTTTTACCTAACCACTTTTCAAGTTCACTAGAAAATGTTTGCTTTTTATTTTCTCATGATTCTCCAAATACTTACAAACTTAGTCCATCATTCAAACTCTCAATTATTTATGGAAATATAGTTGGGCAATTATATCTAACTACCAGATTTATGTAAGAATATGCAAGAAGTATATTCTTATAAGTGCCCTAAGAAAGGGTATTTCAAAGTGAAATGAAGTTACTAGTACGTATAGACCAGAAGACTTGTCCTTTAAACATTTCAGGTTATTTAGAAATATGTTATGCTATGTCCTGTGAGGTAGATAGAATATTAATTCAACAAATACTTACTGAGCATCTATGCTGTGCAGTGCATGCTTACTATGCTAAGCAGTGGAATTATATTACTGAGTAAGACAGGAGTGGTCACTGCTCTCTTAAAGGCTAGAGAATTAAATATATATATATATATATATATATATATATATATACATATATATACACTTAATCATTGACATGTACTGAAATGGAGGATCAGAGAGGATATGTGAGTTAATTTATTCAAAGTTAGTCTATCGCTAGTGTTAAAATTTTGTTTCACTTACCTCAGTTTGTTTTCAAAAAATTCTTGTTACCCTATTTTAGTGAAAGCTCTTCATCCATACAGATAGATAGATAACCAGAACAGTTTGAAATTCAGAACTGTTATTCTTAGGGGATGTTTACAAAATAGGCTAAGGTTTATTACCAACTTGGAAAAGCAGGGCCTTTCACTTGAATGTGTTTTCGTACTTATGGGCTTTGAGGTATTGATCAAGTTATTTAACTCCTCTCAAATCTGTTTGCTCATCTATATAAAACGGAAGTAGTAATATGTTCTTCATAAGTTAGTGTGATCAGCTTTATAATATACTTAAAGAACTTAGCATAGTCAGTGATTAAGGGATACTAGTAAATATTCTGTTCCATTTTAATATATATATAAGTATATATGAATATATATAATGTTCCATTATATATAATTTACGTATATATGTGTATGTATATATGGAAGGCTTCTATTCACTTTGTTTTCTCCTCATCTGCTGTAATAAAACTGTGAGAGAAAGAGAAATGGGCCACAAATATGAGCACATTCCAGTCCCCAGAACCTGTGAATATGTTACCTTGGATGGCAAAAGGGACTTTGTGTGATTAATTTCAGGATCTTGAGATGGGCGGATTATACTGGATTACCTGGTATGTCTGTCCAATTTAATCACAAGAGTCCTTATAAGAAGGTAAAAGTCAGAATAAGGAAATGTGATGGTGGAGGATTACGTCAGGGTGATGCCATTGTTGGAAGATGGCCATGAGCCAAGGAATTTGGATACCCTCTAGAAGCAAAGAAGTTTCACCCCCAGGGCCTCCAGAAAGAACATAGCTCTTTTGGCAGTTTGATTTTAGTCTTACAGACCTGTTGTTAGGCTTCTGACCACTAGCATTTTAAGATAATAAATTTGAGTTGTTTTAAGCCACAAAATTTGTGATAATTTATTTGAGCAGCTGTAATAAACTACTATTAAAACAGGCAAGCAGGCCAGGCATGGTGGCTCACGCCTATAATCCTAGCACTTTGGGAGGCCGAAGCGGGTGGATGACCTGAGATCAGGAGTTCAAGACCAGCCTGGCCAACCTGGTGAAACCCCGTCTCTACTAAAAATACAAAAATTAGCCGGGTGTGGTGGCAGATGCCTGTAATCCCAGCTACTCAGGAGGCTGAGGCAGGAGAATCCCTTGAGCTTGGGAGGTGGAGGTTGCAGTGAGATCGTGCCATTGCACTCCAGCCTGGGTGACAAGAATGAAACTCCGTCTCAAAACAAAACAAAACAAAAAGACAAAAACCAAGCAAGCAAATCAAATGAGACTTTAAAGAGAGCCAAATTCTGGTTAATTGTTGAAGAAAGAAAAGAGGCAAGGACAAGCTGAGAGAAGCCACTCCTAGGCAAAGATAATTTGAGTTTGTCATCTCTTTTTCAAAAATGTCCTCTAGGCATGCTCTTACTTTCATTCAATTTACTTGGTTACGATGGGATTTCACAAATTAAAGATTCTCTTACTGAGAGTAAAAATTGATCTTTATTGCTAATTACTCTATTTCAGGCATAGTCCTAAATGCAGTGATATAGTATATCATTGTTTACTCCCAATGATATGAGTCAGTATGACATAGGACTATTATTCTTTGATGTTTATAAATGGAGAAATTGAGGTATGGAAAGAAACTTGCCTAGCATCATGCAACTAGTAAGTGACACAGCACAGATTCAAGTTAATAGATAATCAAACCAGATAGCCATCCTTCTCCTCACATTTAACCAGTGCAAAACTACAAATATCAATCATAACCTTGTGGGAATTAAGTCTGTCTGACTGCTTTCTAGATAATAGCTGGTAGCATGGAATTTCAGTACAGGGAAAGTGAAAACATTTGATGTATAAAGAACAGATTATCTTTTGCTTATTTAAAACTTATATGACTGAGGATGTTAAGTATGTATGAAAAAAATACATCAAGAAGCAGTTAAAAGGGAGGCCTAAAACGAAGATAGGGTGTACATTAAAAGCAAACTTGTATTTTCCTTTTAAAGTTTCTTAAGATTGGCCAGTCTTCCATAAATAGGAAAAAGAAAAACTTATCCTCATTAAATCAATTCACCCATTCCCAAGTCTATAATCCTAAGTCTTTATCACCATTACTCTATATACAGCACACATTTTATTCTTAGAAATCTGTGGTCTGATCTAAAATCAAACTATGATTTATAAGATTATTTTTATGGAAAAAAGTGTAATTGACAAATGACAAATTGAGAAAAAGCCAATTGACAGATGAGTTTTTGAATGACAACAAGCTTGGGGACTTTAGAGATTTCATGTAGGACAGTTTGGCAAATGATATAGAACATAAAATTAATCAGATAAAAATGGTTGTGAGTTGGTGAGCCTTGAGTTATTTAAAAAACTGTTGTCATTCAAGCCACAATTTTTAAATGAAACAATAATTCTGTCTACTTGCAATCCAAACACTTAGGATATCACATTTAAACGCACAACAATGGAAAATTTTATACAATATGGCTTTTCTCTAACTATTCTATCATGAATTACCCGGGGGAAATCTTTAATCGAACTGTTTAAACTTAAGTTTTCTTTGTAGCACAACAAACATGTTTATTAGATCTGCTCCAATAAACATTTAATAAAAGCCACTTTGACTTTTAAATTAAATAGGCCCTACCTCTAAATTTTCCAGCCTGGTACTCCATGTTTCTCAAAAATATCTTTTGTATTCCACTGGTTTTGATTTTCTTGAAACTGTATACTTGAGACAGCAGTCTTCTATTTTCCAAGTGAGAAATTTTAATTGGTAAATTTAAAGCAACCATCTCTCAGTATTCAATGTTTATCTTCAAAAGGGTGCTTTTACATTTGAACGACTTCCAAGAACACATAAGTTGCAAAGACGTCTGTCACTATTTAAAATAACAGGATTTGTGCTTCCCTATCATATTTCAGAATATGTACATCAGTGTACAATTTGGTTTCTACCAATGCCTTAGAGTCCATACTTTCCTAATTAATGTTGATTTTTGAGACTATTTGTATGTGATAATTATATAAGTTATTATAGAACTGTTCTTATCTTGCTTAGACATTTACTTTGATTCTTTTTATCTCGTAATGCTGATGGAACCCTGTTGTAAGGATTGTTAAACCAATTATACTGCCATGAATGATGATAGTTAACAATGATCTGGATCTTGTTTGTGCATGGCCCCTTCTGCTGAAAAAAACAGTTTGATTCAAAATATATTTAAAATCTGTTGCTGTAACACAAAGGGGAAAATAAAGTTATCTTCCAAGTAAATAGGTTTTCAGGAGACATGACTTTAGTGAAAACAGCACATTAGAAACTTCCAAAATTTTTCTTCTACATGTAAGCAATTAGGAATCTTGCAACAATTGTCAGAATCAACTTTTTCAGAACTCTGGAAATTAACCAAAGGCTTGCAGCAATTCTGGGGCTATATAGCCAATAAAAGCAGCTGAATCTCAGTAAGAACAGTTACCTCTGTGGCATTTTAACTTGTCTTCATCACTATCCCAGTTCTCTATCTTGGTGATAACCGTGAAAACCACCAGTCTGTAATCACAGTGAAAACCAACAACCTGACAGCCAACAGAGGAGCAGAAAAAGAGTTGTAACTCTTTCAAAGCCCAACATACTTTTCATTATTTGACCTGCCAGGTGATTCTCTGGAAGATCTCATTTGCAAAACTGTCTTTTTTTTAACATTATTTTGAGCTCAACCAGTAGGAAAAACCTTTTCCTTGGGGTGTATATTGAAAAAAATTACAGATAATTGTTTAACTTTGCAGCTCCCTGGGGCAGTAGACAAGAATTAAAGCAAACAAAAGACTAATCAAAAAGCTTACAAGAAAAACATGGAGAAGTATATATCCATAGGGTCTTTGAAAAGTTTAAACCTATTCATGGCAAATAATTTACATCAGCTACTTTAATATGTTTAAAAAGTAAAAAGAGCCATGACTAAAAAGAATTTATGACAATATTGTCACATTAGAGAATAGCAATAGGGAGATGGACATTATATAAAGAAAACAAATAGAAATTCTGTAATTTAAAAATAAAAAACTAAAATGAAATCCTCACAATGGGAGCTAAACAGCAAATTTAAGAACATAGACAAAATAACAAACTTGAAGATATGTCAATTTAATCATCCAGATTGAGGACAAGAAAGAAAAAGAAAAATGAACTGAGTCTCAAAGACCTATAAGACATCATCAAGCCTGCTGATACATGCATAATGGAAATCCAGTAGGAGAAAAAGAGAAAGAATGGAATAAAAAATATTTGAAGAAATAAAAGCCCCAAAGTTTCCAAACATTGAGGAAAAATATGACTCCACAAATCCAAGAAATGTAACAGTCTCTCAGTAGTAAAAACTCAAACAGTTCCACACCTAGACTCATCATAGTCAAACTATTGAAAGGCAAAGACAAAAAGAGAATCTTTAGAGCAGTAAGAGTGAAGTGCCTTATCATGTATAACAGATTCTCAATAAGATTAACAGCTGATTTTTCACTGAAAACCATGGAGGACAGGAGGCTATGGGAAACATATTGAAAAGTGCTGAAAGTAAAAACAAACAAAAAGTATCAAATTAAAATTCTGTATCCAAGAAAACAAATCTGGAGAAAAAAATGAAAAATTACCACATACATTAAAAAATGGAGAAAATTTTTTGCTATCAGATTTACAATGCAAGTAATATTTTACTAAAATGAAAGGACTCTAGAAAGAAACTCAAATGAAATTACCCCTGTGTCACACAATATAAAAAGATTACTCAAAATGAATCAAATACCTAAATGTATGAGAACTAAATGATCAAACTTTCAGAAGAAAATAGGTGTAAATTTTCATGACCTTAGATTAGTCAATGGTTCCCTAGATATGATACCTAAATCACATGCAATGAAAAAAAGAAAAGGAAATACATTGAACCTTATCAAAATTTAAAACATTTTTGAGTCAAAGGATATTGTTACAAAAGTGAAAAGAATACCAACAGAAATTAAGAAAACATCTGTAATTCATGTATAACCAGTAGATACATCTAAATATATATCAGTATCGTTTGTAACTAACATATCATATATCTAGTATCCAGAATATTTAAAAATCACTTATAAATCAAGAGTACAAATAATCAATTAAAAAAATGGGCAAAGGATTTGAATAAAAATTTCTTCAGGGAAGATATAAAAATACCCAATACATCTAGAAAGACACTCAACATCATTATTCATTAGAGCTGTAGTTTGAATGTTTGTGTCTCCTCTAAAATTTGTGTTCAAGCTTAATCCCCAATGTAACAACATTAAGTTGTGGCTTTGGGGAAGTATTAAGAGCTGGGCTTTGCCCGCCTGACTGGATCAGTGCTTTTACAAAAGGGCTAAAAGGGACTACCTAGGTCTGTTTTGCCCTTCCATTCCTCCTGTCGTGTGAGGAAAACGTTCAAGGTGCCATCTTGGAAGCAGAGACCAGGGCATGACCAGACAAAACCTGCTAGCACTTAGATCTTGAACTTCTCAACCTCCAGAACTGTGAGAAATAAGTTTCTACTATATATAAATAACCCAGTCTTAGGTGTTTTATTATAGCAGCAGGAATAGACTAAGACAATTAGGTAAACATAAATAAAAACAATAGTTGCTAAAATGGTTGTAATCAAATAGGCAAACAATAACTAGTATTGGCAATGACGTGGAGAAATTGGAACCCTGATACATTGCTCATGGGAATTCAAAATGGTAGTTCTGTTTTGGAAAACAGCAGATCATCAAAAAGTTAAACACAGAGTTACCATATGACCCAGAAATTCCACTCCTAGGTATATACCCAACAAAATTGAAAACATGTGTTCACACAAAAATATGTACACAAATGTTGGCAAGCAGCTTTACTTATAATAGCCCAAAAGTGAAAACAATCCAGATATCCATCACCTAACAAATAGATAAATAAAATGTGGTATATCCATACAATAGAATGTTATTCACCCAAAAAAAGATGAAGTAGTGACATATGCTATAACATGGATAAATTTTGAAAACATGATGCAAAGTGAATAAAGCCAAACACACAAGGGCACATATTTAATATGATTCAATGTGACTCAAAGCCTTACGATTCAACGTGACTCAAAGGCCTTATGATTCAACATATAAAATGTCCAGAACAGAAAACTCCATAAATACCAGAAGTAGATTTTTGGTATCCACGGTCTGTGGGGGAGTTGGAAATGGGGAATGACTGATAATGGCTGTAGGATTTCTTTTTGGAGTGGAAAATAATCTGGAATTAAATAGTGGTGATGGTAAACAACTTTCTGAATATAGTAAAAACTACTGAATTGCATACTATAAATTTTTTAATTGAATTGTATGTGTACTATATCTCAAAAAGAAGAGAAAAACAAAAAAATAAATAGGTATTAATGACAACAATTGGTTCAAAATTAAAAAGAAACAGAACCTGTGGGATGCATAGCAAGCAGCACTTTGCGTTTGGTTCCAGTTAATTCAGGAAAGTCCCTAAAACATCTGTGGATTTAAATGAGAAGAATGAATGCCATAAGCATGGTCTTTTAACCGTTGTAGTATATCTCAATGTCTCATTGAGATCAGTTTTTCCTATAAAAGCTACCAAAATAGTTTCTGAGAAACTAGACCTAAAAAGAATATAAATCATTTTATTGTGTCACATGTGCATGATATGTCTACTCAATACTAAAAAAACAAACGTGGCCTTTAAAATGCTTTATAACAGTGGGTTTTTACCCATGTATATAAACTGGTAGGAAATTATGCAAATTTCTGTTTCTGCTCCTAGGCTTGGAGGCAGATGGTTATTTTTAAAGTGCTGAGTTTATATAAACACACAATGGGACTGACAGCATCTGAGCTGATCCAGATATATCAATTACTACATATTAATGTATAGTTTAAGAGGCTTTCTTCATCCATAAACCCAGAAAGGAAAAAACACAGTTGACATTCATTTCTTTCTGCCCAAAGTGATTTGTGGCCTGTCATTCTTAAACCTGGTGGGAAGAGAAGATTGACACCCTGACAGTTTCCTTATCTCTTCTTGAGAAGACACGACTGGCTGGGGTTTTCTGAACTCATATCGTAGAAGCTGGGAAATTACTGAGCAGCAGATGTTAAAAATTTAAGTAATTATGAACAATATAGAAATAACTTTTTCTGGTCAATTATTCCTTTAGAAAAGAGATTTTCCAAAATACATCAAAGATTTTTAGACATTTCCACAGTTAGGACCCAACTAGAATTGATCCTTCTTTCCTTGGACTGATATTTTCTATGTACCTCTGGAAATTAAATCCTCAAAATGCAAATAAACTAAAAAGGAGCATTTGTGTCATATTTTACCTTGTGTAGAAGTTATCCTTATTAGTGCTATATTTATGTATTTCTTATTAAATTTTAATTTCCTTGAATGTCGGTAACATGTCATTTTTAACATTCCCTGTGCATAGAACTGAAGATAATTATTGAATAATTATTTATTAAAAGAATAAATGAGCAAATGGAATCCCATTCGTCAGTCACAGTGAAAGACAACCTAAGCCCTTGAGGACCCAAAAGAGCCTCCATTTATTTCTGATGAATATATTTTTGCTCAGATATTTTTCAAGTCTGTCATGTAGAACTTATGATTGGCATAAGTTAGTTGTCTTGTAAAAATATGTCATTAAAATGTTACATTTTCTGCAATATACATTTTAAGTTATGTAGATCAGTAATTTCTACTGTAGAATTTTATTTTATGTAAATTGCTTAAAGAACTAAAAATGTTGTTTAAAGGTACATGCAGTTACTCCGCAGCTTCAGACACCTTTACTAAGTTTGGGGAATTATCTAACATATGAATTCATGACTCCTGTGTCAGAGATGAGCAATCTTTTCCTCTTCCATAATAGAGTTGTAGCAGAGCACGTGGCTGGCCAGCTAAAGATGACATTTCCCAGCTACTACGGCCTGAGTATGTTCCCCCAGATTCATTCATATTGAAACTTAATCATCAATGTAATCATATTAACAGGTGAGATTTTTAGGAAGTAATTATGTCATGAGCACAGAAGTCTCATGGACAAGATTAGGCCACTTATAAAAGGCCTTGAAGTAATGAGTTTGCCCCCTCTGGAGGATGCAAGCACAAAGCAGCTCTCACTAGACATCACATCTGCGGGTCCCTTGACCTTGGATGTCCCAGCTTCCAGAACTGTGAGAAACAAATTGTTGTTTATAAATTATCACACCTCAGATATTTTGTTATAGCAGGGCAAATGGACAAGAGACACAAGCCTCCTTTGCGAAAGTATTTGAGTTGTGAGGAGAATGATTACTACAACTTTTGAATCATCTCTTATTTCAAAGGTAGACCACTTCTATACTAATGTTCTCTTTTCCTCTCCCTCTCAATTGAAAGAGTGATGTGTCTGCAATCTAGCTGACTATACAGATGTAAACAGTAACCCTGCAGGTTACAGAGCAAGAGAATGGAAAGATCTAGGCCCAGAATGCCCATGCAGAGCATAGGCACCCCGCAGCCTGGACATTCAGCTTGGGACAGATATATGAGAAAAAAAATGTCCTACTGTTTTCTGCAAGCGATTGCCCTTAAGTATACCTTTGCTTCAATGACTTAGCCCTTACAATGATTTAAAAATCTTCAAGACAGAAATGAGAAACACAATTTTTTGGACTCTCTTAAAGTTAGATTTCAGGCAAGGGACCTAGCTCTGCCAATCAGACATACTTAGGCAAAACTGTGATTCAGAAACTAGTGATACAAAAGAATAGGCATAAAGCCTCTTCTGTGAAAATCATGCATGTATACTTCTAACTATTCGATAAACACCATTTTTTAGAATTTGGAATTAAATAAATTGCAAAGATATGAGAAAGTGAAACAAGTACCAAGTCTCATTCTGAAGACTATTAAAATATAATGTTACAAAGTGAAAATTTTCTAACATTATATTCATGTTAGCCAATTGCAGTCATTTTTCTTTGTTCTGTTTTAATCTAAATTCCCTTTGGCCCCCAATGAACACGTATGATAATCAAAATAAGTATCACTTCATCTATCCTTCATCATTTACAAGATGAGACATCTTTCAATAGCTTAGCATTTAAACCAAATGCTAAGATATAAGGTATTATCTTAGCATTGGTTTAGGCATATTTTAGAATATAAATGTAACGTACAGCTCTCAACTTTTTCTCTATAAAACTAGAATGCAACTCCCATCCCTGAAAGTAACATGAAATTTAGAGATTTCTCCATTTATCTAGATCTTATTTTTCTCATATCTGAGTTGAGAGGTGAAGCCAGCTGGGCTTCTGGGTCAGGTGGGGACTTGGAGAACTTTTGTGTCTAGCTGAAGGATTGTAAACACAGCAATCAGCACTCTGTAAAATCACACCAATCAGCACTCTGTGTCTAGCTAAGGGTTTGTAAATGCACCAATCAGTGCTCTGTGTCTAGCTAAAGGTTTGTAAACACACCAATCAGCACTCTGTAAAATGGACCAATCGGCAGGACATGGGTGGGGCCAAATAAGGGACTAAAAGCTGGCCACCTGAGCCAGCAGTGGCAACCTGCTGGGGTCCCCTTCGAAACTGTGGAAACTTTGTTCTTTTGCTCTTCACAATAAATCTTGCTGCAGCTCACTCTTTGGGTCTGCACTACCTTTATGAGCTGTAACACTCACCGTGAGGGTCTGCAGCTTCATTCCTGAAGTCAGCGAGACCACGAACCCACTGGGAGGAACAAACAACTCTGGGTGTGCCACCTTTATGAGCTGTAACACTCACTGCGAAGGTCTGTGGCTTCACTCCTGAAGTCAGTGAGACCACAAACCCACTGGAAGGAAGAAACTCTGGACACATCTGAACATCTGAAGGAACAAACTCCAGACACACCATCTTTAAGAGATGTAACAGTCACCATGAGGGTCCGCGACTTCATTCTTGAAGTCAGTGAGACCAAGAACCCACCGGAAGGAATAAATTCCAGACGCAGTGACTAAGTTTGGTCTATGTTGCATAGTTCTATAATTATAACTGCACTTGTGTTATTTTATAAATAACAGCAAGGAAGACAGTTGACTGATTAATTAGACAACAAATATTATCATAAAGTTAAGGCATTTAAGTAATAGTTTATAATTTTAAGCTTAAGGACGTGTCTAGCAATTAATATGTATTATATTAATCGTATTATATGTATATTATAATATATGTATTATATTAATATGTAACATATATACATATAATTAATATGTATATATTTGTCAGTGATTTTAGAATGTTGCAAATGAACCAGCCAATTGACAAACTTCTTTTAAATTTAAGTATCAAGATAGCTGAGGTTTCTTTGTTTGTTTGCTTTTTATTTTTTGGGTTTTTTTTTTTTTTTTTGTATTTTTAGTACAGACAGGGTTTCAGCACGTTAGCCAAGATGGTCTCGATCTCCTGACCTCGTGATCCACCCACCTCAGCCTCCCAAAGTGCTAGGATTACAGGAGTAAGCCACTGCACCTGGCCTTTGGGTGGTTTATAAAAATTTAATTCACATTGATAATAAGATTCATTGTAGCACATCATCACAGATTGGAAAAGTTCAATGGAGCCATCTCTGCTCACTGCAACTTCTGCCTCCTGGGTTCGAGAGATTCTCCTGCCTCAGCCTCCCAAGTACCTGGGCTTATGGATGTGCACCACCACACGCTCCACTAATTTTGTATTTTTAGTAGAGATGGAGTTTCACCATGTTGGTCAGTCTGGTCTTGAACTCCTGACCTCAATATTTTTAATTACCTATAAATGAAGAGTTAATAAAATGAAGAGCCAACCATCACATAAATAATGAAAGTAGTGTGAAAGTTGTTGATATAAATTGGCTCATTCTTGTCATGCCCAACCAAATCAGAATCAAGACGCTGCGGAAAAGCATTCAGTGTACAAAACATTACTCCAAATGTGTAATCTCTGCAAGCATGTCAGCTGAAACTGCCCACTGTAACCTGAAACTAATTTTATTTAATGGCTACTGAAACAACCTGCTGTACAACTCTAAGACTAGTTTTACCTGCTGCTGTCACTTACCAACCAGAACTTGACAGGTCCTCAAAATCTTGCTGGTACCAATGAAATTTCTCAAAAATCAATATGTAACATTTCTCCTTTTTATAAAACTGCTAGCCTTCCCTTTGTTCATCGAACATACCAAAAAGCAGCCAATCTGCATGTATGTCCCAAATTGCAATTTTTTCTTCTCAAATACAGTGTCTTCATTTCAAAGATTCCTCTCATATTTTATTTAACTTTAACAGTAGTTATTATAGACACCACTGCATATCTCTTTTACAAAATTAGCCATGAGTGGATTACCACAGGTTCCAGTGATCCATTATTAAACAGCCATTTCTTTACAATAAGCAGGGTATCCCAATTAATATTAACAATACTAATGATATAGTAATCATTTTATTACTATCTTCACTCTAACAGAAACCTTCATTGATATAACCTAAAGTAAAAAATAATATGAAAAGTTGAAGAATTATGCCAGGGCTAGGAGGTGAAGGATTTTCAGCACTCAAAACTCATACCACAGGGCAGGGAGCGGTGGCTCACGCCTATAATCCCAGCACTTTGGGAGGCCGAGGCGGGTGGATCACCAGGTCAGGAGATGGAGACCATCCTGGCTAACACAGTAAAACCCCATCTCTACTAAAAATACAAAAAATTAGCCAGGCATGTTGGCGGGCACCTGCAGTCCCAGCTACTCAGGAGGTTGAGGCAGGAGAATGGCATGAACCTGGGAGGCGGAGGTTGCAGTGAGCGGAGATTGCACCACTGCACTCCAGCCTGGGCCACAGAGCGAGACTCCATCTCAAAAAAACAAAACAAAACAAAACAAAACCTCATACCATATA
The DNA here is from genome assembly GCF_000001405.40 of Homo sapiens. Classification (NCBI taxonomy): domain Eukaryota; kingdom Metazoa; phylum Chordata; class Mammalia; order Primates; family Hominidae; genus Homo; species Homo sapiens. Next base: position 104,011,025 of record NC_000005.10, on the reverse strand, counting down.
GAGATGTGTCTGTTTTCTTCATTTATGGGGGAAACTTAGCTTTCTGAATGTTCAGCCTATGAAACTCCAATTTTTGTTCTAATCTTTGCTTGTAATTACTCCTACTTTCTAGTTCATAGCCGGTAAATGCTAGGCCACCTTTCTGATCTTTTGTCAATCTCAAACTTTTTCTCAATTTTAACTTGTAATCATCTTCATTAAACTGACTAAACTAATTCCATGTGTGTTTACATATTTATCCTCATCTTTACTTGAGTCCTTTTCTAATTTTTTTGGCTCATCTTTTCCTGTGATATCAAAGTGACAGGCAGATGACTCTCTAAAATTAATTTCTCTACTAGTCTTATTAGATCCTCTTCTAATTATTGGGGAATATTATTTTTAAATGTCTTCTCACTAGTTTTGCAGTGGCAATTCATTCTCATTTTCTTCTAATTCACATAGGAAAAAACTTTAAAAAAATTATAAAACACCAGATATATCAAAACACACACATACACAAACACAATCTTCTGCTATGGTTATTTCTTCGGATTGTTATCCTATTATTCATTCTTCCCTTCTTTCTCAGTAAAAATTCTTGCATAGTAATATCCCACCCCTGATTTTTCATTTATCTCTTTAAATTTCCATTAACCACTATAATGAAATTGCTGTCAGGTCAACAAAAATCTTGTTACAAAGTCTATTGATTCTTTTTTTCTATCCTTGTTTTTCTTTCAGCCACTTATCACTCTCCTTGAACTTTGTTCTAAAGGTTGTAACTGTTTATGACATCCTCCTTCTGAATGTTGTCTTCTCCTTTGCAAAAACGCAGTATTCTTGTTTTTCTTGCTTTTCTCATTCTCCTAGTCTCTTTCAATTTCCTCTTTTACCATATATTTTTAAAATATGTTCATACTCCTTAACTAAGATTAAGGACTTCTAGGGTTTTTTTGTTTACACTGACTTTCTAGAAATGTGCATTCCTTTATCCTAAAGAGTTAGAAAGTTAAGATATGTCGACTACCATAGTTAAGATATGGACTCTACCATAAACTGTACCTCTCTATTTTTTTCCAAATCCTACTGCAGGAGCACTTGATTCTCACACCTTCTCTACCTTTTACATTCCTTCTGTAAATAGTTCTGCATTGAAAATCTTTCTCATATAGGACATCATATGACTCAACACCATTTTTTACTCTTGCCTGCTTGTTGTGTTGGTGCATCTTTTCTAATTTTACTGTGATTTTTTTTGTGAATAACAATTTATCTATTTAGATATTCTTCATAAATACCTAAGAAAGCTTCTTGAGTTGATTTCACTTAATGCCTCATCAAAATGATGTGGTATTTTTATTCCGTTTTATGACTATAAGTCATGAATAGCCTACAGTAGTCCAACAATTCCATTTGTTTTAGTAACTGCCCTTAAAAAGTAAAGAAAATCCAAAAAGTTTAAGAAAATAAACCACTAGCCTATTTTTCAAGTTCAATGGGCATATATGTCTATTTTTTTTTAATTTCAGGATTTCTTATTTGCCCTTGAGAAGAAAAACCAAAATCTCTTGACCAAAGCTTAAAATTTCATCCAAAGAGAGAAAAGAGAGAAAATAATTGATTTTAATTCTTTGTGTGAAACTGACAGCATTACTTTCATGAGAAGGCTGCCATGTTTTCCAGCTTGTAAAGGTGTCCTATACCATTAAGAGTTGCCATAAAGAACAACCAGGAAGCAATTCAGTGAAGGGAAATTGTTAAGGATAGATTTCTTGCTGCATTCCAATCATATTCTTTTCAAAATCTGGCTTTATGGATTTTAAAGACATCCTGAGGGGGCACTCTTTTCCTTTTGTCCCACTGAAATATCATTAAACTCCTCTAAAAATGGTGTCTGATATGATTCTGCTTTCCAGCTGAGGCAACATTGTCTATAAGTAATAACAAAAGAGCTGAACTGAGTAAAAGCAAACTGGGCCAATAGGAATGTCAATCCTGATGCGACCAAAGGGAGCCCTGTGTTAACTTCTGAAGTACCTGAACTTTTCTGAACCAGTTGGTTTTTACTGAAATTGGAAATGTTCTCTTACTTTCAAATCCCTGCCAGAAAGGGCTGCTATGGTAGACTTCTCTAGCTATTTTTCTTCTTTTTCAGAAGAATTCAAGACAGGAGATGTCAATGTGTATGCTTAAGCATAAAAGTGATCATTTTTTAACCAGTGGTGGGAAAGTAGTTCGCCAGGGGGGAGCTAAGTGTTGAAATCTGGCTTCAATCCAGCAGAGCTGGACCAATAGATCACGGATAACTATACAGTGTATGACAGTGAGTTGCTCTTGCTTAAGATGAAAAAAAAAAAAGGAAAGTATTGAGAAGTGAGGCAGGAGATTTTTCAAAAGGTACACTACACTGCTCTATTGACTTAAGCCAGCCACAAGAAAATTTAAAAACAATTTAGAGAATAGAGTGCAACTACCTCTGTGAAGATCACTCTTCATAACATAGGTGGATGGGGAATATTCCAATATGAAATATCGTCTGGCCTGTGTGTTTGTTTACCTTAAGGCTTTAGCAGATACTAAATTACATTCTAAAAGTCTGGTGAATTTAAGCTGAGCAGGCTGTTTATGTCATGCAGAAGCAGCAACAATGACACCCCAGAACAGGAAGTAGAAGTAAATAGCCAAGTGTTTTTCTCTTTGGGGAAAGTTAATAGAAACAGAAATCCAATCCTTCCACCAGGATCATGGTGAGCTGTGCTTCTGTATAACTGTGGCTAAAAGCTCCAGCTGATGTGCTTTTCATATCAGGTAACAAATATAAGCTGCTTGATATTCAAAAATGATTATCACAATATTTGACTTAAGGAATCATTTTCAAGTGAGAAATCAGAAGGGAATTCTGAAAACAGTTTGCTTCCTCTTTTAAAATGTAACTGAATTATCATGACTGGAAGTGGAATTTAGAGCCCTAAATATTTAAATTTAGAAAAAAAATTACCCCAAAAATATATCTCTTAAGGTTAATCTTTAACTAAAATATGTAGAAAACCAAAAAGCAACACTAAAACGATTATATATAAGTATTATATATATTATATATAAAACATATACAAGACATGTTTCCCATAGGTCTCTTCAAGTAGATAGAATCAAGAGAGTCAAAAGTTGAATTTTTAATTCTCATATGGTAGGTGACAGATATTTTCTCTTTCTCATCTTCCTTAAGATGAAATCAGAGTGCATTTAATTGTAAACATTGTTTCTCTCTACTTTGTACCATATTGATTGTTTTGAACCATGTCTTCTCAAGTATTCATTTATTCACTCAGCATGTGTTTGGTAACCATTGTGCATGATATTGAGCTTGGTCCTGAAGTAATAATAACTGGAATTTTGGTCCTAACTCTTGAGAAAGTAAAAATCAAATGTGTGAACAAACCTAAATACAACTAAGTAAGAAGAAATTGGGTTCTCAGAAACCTTGCCCATGAAACTACAGGAAATAAAGGTAGTGTTTAGGGCAGTCATGGGCATTTTTTTTTCATTGCTAACTTGGACCTTGGGTAGAGAATTTAGAGCCCTAAGCTCTTTATTTTTTTTCTTCTTATTTTCCAATGCATTTAGAAACAACCAGTCATCTCCCATTATATTTCTTATGTACCCTTATGTTTTTATGGCAGTTACTCCTTGCTTACCTAAAACTTTCCTTCTGTTGGCATTAGTTACAGGTGACTACATGTGATCATTCAAATAACTGTTTTGCCACTGCATGCCATGAGCTACTCATGCTAACAGGCCCATGGATGTCTCTAAATCTACTTAGATCAGACACTTCCTTACAGATTCCCATATTAAGGCTCTGTTTCTCTGGAACCATTTCTAGTGCCAAGCTACCCTAAAACTTAATATTTTAAAATAACAGCTGTTTTTATATCTTAGAGTTTGGGAGGTTGACTAGACAAATTTAGGTGTTTGTGCTGCTCTCACTTGGGGACCCCCATGTACTTGCAGTTATATGGTAGTGAAGAGGGGATTCATCCGTGTGTGAGACTGAAATGTTGGTATAGGTGGGTTTCTTTTCATTCACGCAGTCTCAGGGCTTCCATTGATGTGGGCGCTCCACGTGGTATTTCCAGAAGGGGAGCCAGACTTCCTCTATCATGGCTTATGAAAAGGGGTCTCCCAAGAGCAAAGAAAAGGATGCTGACAGTTGTCTCAAAGGCACAGCCCAGAACTGGCAAACAACCACCTCTTCCACATTCAGTGAGACAGGGTACTACGGGAGGATATACTGGGAGATGTAGTTCACTAGAGATCATTGTTGGAGACTAGGTACCAAAGACAGTTTGGAATTTCTGTTTGTGGTTGTTTGGTTAAAGACTTATTATTCTCTGTGTCTATAATGCCAAAGCCCACTTTTTAATAATTATCACTTAATAACATCTGAATTTTAAGCTAAGTTATTGCGTCTGTCATGATAGTTTTGCCTATTATGTATACTTTCTCATTTATTCTGGAAATCAGATTGGATTGAAAATGAGACAGATGTCTGAATGTGGCATTTTTAGTCTGAGCAAGTAAGATATCAAATCCTCATAAAAACAGCTCTTATGTGGTGAGAAATAAGATGATATTTGCTATGAGGGAGATAAAGCTTGAAAATGTGATGTTTGTTAGCTACTGTAAGGTCTAAAATGTATTTTCAATAATAGTGACTGTCATCATAAATATTTGTATATGACTCCACAATATCAGAACATATGCAGATAAGAAATGCTAGAGAAATACATCTTTTCTCTTAATGTGTTTGTTCCTGCCTGAACTTTGATAGTTAAGAATATGATAGGAATTTAAGATTACATATTCATTTTTTTATGTTACACTCTTACAAATGTTCTGTCCTGTGTCCTGTGTAGCCATATTGGTATCTTTAATTGCCATAATTTTGAAATTCCTAATAGATGGAAAAATTTTACGTTTACTCTGGCTTTCCATTCCCACATTACGCATGTTATGGGCTATAGCTATATTTTTTGACTTATCAGAGTTTGTTTTCTGAAACGCAAACTACACATCTGACTATGTCCACAATTCTGTCCATTCATATTTTCTTCTAAGTTTCCTGGCCTATTCATAAGTTGGTCTTTCATAGAGGTAAAAGTTAAATCCAGACTTTTTAATTACCTTCTTTTCACCTTCAAAGAAAAGTGGGTCGGGCGCAGTGGCTCACACCTGTAATCCCAGCACTTTGGGAGGCCGAGGAGGGCAGATCACCTGAGATTGGGAGTTCGAGACCAGCCTGACCAACAGGGAGAAACCCCGTCTCTACTAAAAATACAAAATTAGCCAGGCATGGTGGTGCATGCCTGTAATCCCAGCTACTCGGGAGGCTGAGGCAGGAGAATTGCTTGAACCCAGGATCAGAGGTTGCGGTGAGCCGAGGTCGCGCCATTGCACTCCAGCCTCGGCAATAAGAGCAAAACTCTGTCTAAAAAATAAATAAATATATATATATATATACACATAGCTGGTGATCAAACAGCTTACACACCAATCTCTACATATCCCAATATGAAAAATATTTCTTCATTTTCAGAATGGCTAGAAAAAAATTGTGTATACTCTTCAATAATACACTACTTTCATTTATTTATTAGTTTGGAGAAGAGGTAATGCTTACTCAGGTTCTACAGCCCAAGGTTCTTTAAAGGTGCCACTTCTATTGCTCTATTCTGTTTTATTTATTTTGTATCCTTAATGTCCCAGTCTCATTTAGATCCTGAGACAAAATAGAACATAAAGTACTGTATAACAAATACAATTAAACGCTTAAGCTTTACATTGCATTGTTTAAGTACCAACACGTGTTAATTCACATTTAGATGAAATCTCCCTATGTCAAGATCTTATATCGGGAATATTTCAGACACCAGGATTTTATTGGAAAGAGAAATTCAACATGCATCGAAAAATGTCCAGGTATTAAAACAGCCATTTAAACTAACCAAATGGAGATCTTACACCTATAAAAACATTGTTTTTACTTAAAATTTTTGTTTGTTTGATTCATAATGAGAGAAACTGTCAAGTAAATCCACTGTAACTCATTCTTACTCTCATTGACATTGACTTTTACTTTGCTTAATTCGTATTACCACTTAGGTATATCAGCTATCCTAGATATGTGAAGCAAATTATTTTCCAATAAACTAAATGGTACCCAGAAAAAAATGTTTACTTTACATGCATGAGGCATTAATCCCAGAGTTTATCGATGCTTACTACAATGCTGTTTCAAGTGTCTTTCTTATTAGCAAATGACTTTTCAAAATCGTCTTTTATTAGTTTTTTTCTTTACCACAAAATTCTCCAGTGTAAAGCTGATTTTCCTTTTCCATGTGGATTTTAGTTTGCTCTACCTCAGCAAATTCAATTTCTAAATTGATTGCATTTACGTATTCATTAATATTCAGGACCATAATAGGGCTTTGGTTTTTTATTAGATTTTTTTTAAAAGAAGAAAGTGAATATTCAAATTATATAAGATGGTCAGAAAAACCATGAGCTTATAATTCCTGTAGCCAAGACAAGGAGAAAGGATGAGAAAAATAAATTGAGCAACTTTTTGAAAAGGATAATTTAGAGGTCTGATAATATGAAATAGCTGCAATCATTTTCAAAACATGCATAGGCAAACACCGCAGCCAAGGATTATAGTCAGGATTGCATTCTTCTAGAATCCACAGGGAGGTAATACAAGGGTGATAATGAATTCTTGTATTAAAAAAAAATCTACTTCCTGCTGTTTCTCTACATGAGGAGGGCAAGACAAATAAAGGCAAGTTTTGAAAGGATAAATAAAAAGAAAATATTTTCAGTCTAGTAAAACAATACATTTTTGTTCCTTTTTGGTAAACAATTAAAATAATTTTTCAAAGTATGCTCACAAATTTAACTATTTTATAAGCATTAATTTTCCTTTACTGTAAAGTCTACAGACAATCCCAACAGAAGGCAAGAAAACAACAGGATAAGAAAATAAAGTTTTTCAAAAAGGAAAGAGTATTTATAATAAAAAATACTGCCTACAAACAGTTCAGCTTTTTGCAGAGGAAACTTTCTCTATGTGGGATCCAAAAAGGAGCCAACATGTTTTTTTTTTTTTTTAAGAAAATGTTTTATTGGTCAGTTAATTTGTTGTTTGATTTGTACCAGCTGTATGTTTAGCCTACACCCTTCCCTAAATTTCAGCCCTTTCACATTCCCCCTAGATAGCCTATGCTTTAACTTTAACATGTCACAAACTGTCCTTTTAATAAACCATCTCTCCTTGCCTTCTGTCTACTTTTCCTTCTATAGAACTATCAAACTTGGCAATAACCCTCTCTTTGGACCTGGGAAAACCTCAGCCTTTCTCTAACAGCATCCCAACTAATCCCTGTCTCTAAGCAATGCTCCTCCTTAAAATCTCTTTGAAGTCTGCTCATCTTTCTATCCCTTGTACCCCTTCTATTGCTACATTTAAGCTGTTATTACATGTCCCATAGACTTTAGAAAGTCCAAATAGCCCAAATTTTATTACTCACAGATAAATAAGCTTGGTATGATGCTGTGTATTTTTAAATTAGATATCCCCATGAAAACTCTACAATATTATGGAATTCTAGAGGCTTCATCAGATTCAAGTTTGGTTTTTTTTAATTGATTTGTTTGACAAGAATGCTTTATAGGTATTAGTTTGTTTTTTTGTTTGTTTGTATGTTTTCTTTTTTTAAGAGGGAATCTCGCTCTGTTGCCCAGGCTGGAGTCCAGTGACACAGTCTTGGCTCAGTGCAACCTCCTCCTCCCAGGTTCAAGCAATTCTCCTGCCTCAGCCTCCCTAGTAGCTGAGACTACAGGCGTGTGCCACCACACCCGGCTATTTTTTTTTTTTTTTTTTTTTTTTGGTATTTTTAGTAGAGATGGTGTTTCACCATGTTGGTCAGGCTGGCCTTGAACTCCTGACCTCAAGTGATTCACCCACCGCAGCCTCCCAAATTGCTGAGATTACAGGCATGAGACAGTGTTACTTTGTATTATCTTACATTTTGAAATAAGCTGATTAACAGAAAATTCACAGTTCTCTACTCCAACCAAACTCCAGTGTGCCAGTATCTTATAGACTGAAGAGGAAGTAAGTGTCTATCAAAAATGCAGATGGCACAATTAGTGTTTAATACCAACTAAATAATTGAGTAGATTAATGTTCATCCCATTTCGAATATGTTTATATGGGAGTATGTATAGTTATCATTATATTGTCATAATAAAAGCAAAACATATTGGGAGCTTATAATGTGCCAGTGACTATACTATGCTTTCAAGTTTATCTCATTTAATTCTCAAGCTGACTTTATAAAATGTTTACTATTGAATTAGGATACCTACATGACTTGTCTTCTTTTTTTTTTTTTTTTTTTTTTGAGACGGAGTCTCACTCTGTCACCCAGGCTGGAGTGCAGTGGCACAATCTCGGCTCACTGCAACCTCTGCCTCCTGGGTTCACGCCATTCTCCTGCCTCAGCCTCCCTAGTAGCTGGGACTACAGGTGCCCGCCACCACGCCTGGCTAATTTTTTGTATTTTAAGTAGAGACGGGGTTTCACCATGTTAGCCAGGATGGTCTCGATCTTCTGACCTCGTGATCCACCCGCCTCAGGCTCCCAAAGTGCTGGGATTACAGGCGTGAGCCACCACGCCCAGCCCTGCATGACTTGTTTTCTTGTCACAACCCTGCTGACCAAAGTAGGATCTGTTCCAGATAGGATAATGTGAAGAAATCTGCTGAACCCAGCAGATGGCAAGGAAAAATGATCCCCAGCTGCCCTCCTTGCATATTACCATAAGACGCTTCCACCAATGCCATGACAATTTACAAATAACATGGCAATGACCGGGAAGCTACTGGCCCTTTCCATGGCAATGACCTGGAAGTTACTGCCCCTTTCCTACAAAGTTCTAAACAACTCACCCCTCAATTTGCAGTAACATGTGCCTGATTTTGCATTAATCAAAAGGGAGCATAAGTGGATTTAAATACAGTTGCCAACAGCCCAAAAATAAGGCTCTGACACGCTGCCTACATGTTAGTCTCGCTCCACAAAGGAGAAGCTTCAGTTCAATAAAAGATTGCTATTTTAACACCACTAATTTACCCAAGAATCCTCCCAGACTAAGCCCCAATTTTAGGGCTAGCTAGCCTGCCTACGTCTCTACTGTTTCTGTTTTATGGTTGAGGAACCTAAGACATAAAGTGGTTCAATCACTTTCCCAAGATGATTTGCTGAATGAAACTATAGCTAGAATTTAAGGTTTTGTTTTTCTCTGTAGCCTATAGCTTTGTTATTAGCGGCACTGCATCCTCATCATCAATATTTGATTCTTATTTATTGCTTACTAAAGCTCACTATTATATTTGGATTTTAACAAAGTTGGGTCCTTTTACAATATCAAATCACCGGTCTTGAAAAATGGAGACAAAATCTTCAATTGCTCTCCTTGGGTTAATCAGAAAATAAAATAACACTTAAAGCTCTCTAGAAAACAGAACAAAAATCAAACAGAGAGATTATAATTGTTTTATTCCCAAGACGACATGTTTTTCTTCTACCATGAAAAACTTATCTGCTCTTTGAGGAACTGTGGACAAGTTTGCCATACTGTAGATGAGCACATATGCTGTCTTGTGATGCTGTAAAATTCAACTGTGAGATGGAATTCTCTTGTCTGCAGCTGTTAACTTTTTAAGCAGCATTAGAAAATTGTGTCAAAACAATACTGTATGGATTTACAATACATATCACGATAAAAAATTTCTTCTGTTTCTATCTAAAAGTAAGCATATAGTCAAAGAAGGAGAAGTAGAATACAAAACTGTTATCCTTGGAATTATATTAAATTTTGAGAGAACACTTTCAATTGGCCGAATAGAACTGAAAGAAAAAGAGATGGAATAGATTTATCTTATACCCATGTAACAGTAAAAAGAAATGTCCAATAAGTGTAATAGGTAGCTAATATCAGATGTGTCTCATTTCCTATGGAAGAAGAGAATTGAACACTCATTGGACAATTTTTGTTTGGTGGGCAATGGTCCAGAAAATTCAGAAATTGTTTTATTTAATTCATGTTCTTCTAAAAAAGCACTTAACTTTATTGTTGCCATCTTATAGATGAAGAAGCTAGCACTTTGATTCTGTAATCTTCAAAAAATCCAGTATCTTTTTAGTGCTAGAGCAAAGTTTCCAAGTCTGGTTTTATGACTCCAAAATTATTGCTCTTTCCATCTTACTAGATTGTGTTGCAGGCTATAAAATAAACCAAATATATAAAAATCCAAAAATAAAAAGAAGGCATTTTATTCAATATTATTGCTGTAGTTGTTCTTTAGCACTAATAGTTTAATTGTTTTAAGTAGTAAATAGGTAAATAAATCTAGCTAGAAGTTCTGGGCATTTAAGTAGAGGAAACAACATTGGCCATTTTGAAGAATTTTAAAAACTACTGAGCTGTTTTGAATGTAGGGGTTTTAAGTGTCACCTTCTGGTCTCATGTTTGAAAGAGAAACATCTTCAAGCTTATGTTTGAAAGAGAACAAGTGGTATCCAATTCTGTGGCCAATTAATATTCAGCTGACACCTTTACCACACCTGCCACCTGCACCCTCTAACCAATTGTCTGGAAAAGTATTTCTTCATGTTAGCAAATCGCCCCCACTCAGACATTGCAACCTCATGTGCAGGAACCTCGCTGTCAAATCAGAATTTTTTTTTGTTATTGCTGTTAATTTTTGTCAAAATTCCTCTTTTCTGATAAAAGCACAATCTCCCAGACCCAAAATAAATGTGACCTTTTCTGATCTTTCTTTTTCTTTTTATTCATTGTCTAAAAATCCCATTGATATATCTTGAAAGAAAAGTTCAGGGTAGATGTTTTCACATGAACTCACTCCTTTAGTATTTCCCAAACAAGATTCATAAATCAAACATCAGTTGACCCTTAGACTCAAATCCTGATAAGTTTTTTTTTTTTTTTAATCTGTGAAATTTCTTTCCCTTACTGATGACAGTTTGTCTTCAGCTGCTTTGCAAATTCTTTTGGGGGACACAGATAGGCAGACGCAGCAACTCCCTTTGCTTCGTTCTAAACTATCAAAAAGTGTCCAAAAGCTGCATCCCGACTTCAGAATAAATGGACACTGTTCCCTGTCTAAAGATAAAGATAATCAAATTCCAAATTAGCTACATCAATTTTAAGAATAAATCAAAGTGTCTATAGGGATAATCATTTCATATAATATGGAAAGTATGTATTGGCTCAGACCTTACAAAGTTTGTTACCTCTAAAACCATAAGAATTCAGTTTTTAGTAAATGTTGTTCTTCCATTGATCTGCCAAGCAACTCTCATATATATATTTATTACTTAGGTAGTATAAATCGTTTTCTTTTTTTTTTTTTTTTTTAGATTTCTATTGGTTTTTTTTAATTAATTAATTAATTTATTTTTATTATTATACTTTAAGTTTTAGGGTACGTGTGCACATTGTGCAGATTAGTTACATATGTATACATGTGCCATGCTGGTGCGCTGCACCCACTAACTCGTCATCTAGCATTAGGTATATCTCCCAATGCTATCCCTCCCCCCTCCCCCCACCCCACCACAGTCCCCAGAGTGTGATATTCCCCTTCCTGTGTCCATGTGATCTTATTGTTCAATTCCCACCTATGAATGAGAATATGCGGTGTTTGGTTTTTTGTTCTTGCGATAGTTTACTGAGAATGATGATTTCCAATTTCATCCATGTCCCTACAAAGGACATGAACTCGTCATTTTTTATGGCTGCATAGTATTCCATGGTGTATATGTGCCACATTTTCTTAATCCAGTCTATCATTGTTGGACATTTGGGTTGGTTCCAAGTCTTTGCTATTGTGAATAATGCCGCAATAAACATACGTGTGCATGTGTCTTTATAGCAGCATGATTTATAGTCCTTTGGGTATATACCCAGTAATGGGATGGCTGGGTCAAATGGTATTTCTAGTTCTAGATCCCTGAGGAATCGCCACACTGACTTCCACAATGGTTGAACTAGTTTACAGTCCCACCAACAGTGTAAAAGTGTTCCTATTTCTCCACATCCTCTCCAGCACCTGTTGTTTCCTGACTTCTTAATGATTGCCATTCTAACTGGTATGAGATGGTATCTCATTGTGGTTTTGATTTGCATTTCTCTGATGGCCAGTGATGATGAGCATTTTTTCACGTGTTTTTTGGCTGCATTAATGTCTTCTTTTGAGAAGTGTCTGTTCATGTCCTTTGCCCACTTTTTGATGGGGTTGTTTGTTTTTTTCTTGTAAATTTGTTTGAGTTCATTGTAGATTCTGGATATTAGCCCTTTGTCAGATGAGTAGGTTGCGAAAATTTTCTCCCATTTTGTAGGTTGCCTGTTCACTCTGATGGTAGTTTCTTTTGCTGTGCAGAAGCTCTTTAGTTTAATTAGATCCCATTTGTCAATTTTGTCTTTTGTTGCCATTGCTTTTGGTGTTTTAGACATGAAGTCCTTGCCCATGCCTATGTCCTGAATGGTAATGCCTAGGTTTTCTTCTAGGGTTTTTATGGTTTTAGGTCTAAAGTTTAAGTCTTTAATCCATCTTGAATTGATTTTTGTATAAGGTGTAAGGAAGGGATCCAGTTTCAGCTTTCTCCATATGGCTAGCCAGTTTTCCCAGCACCATTTATTAAATAGGGAATCCTTTCCCCATTGCTTGTTTTTCTCAGGTTTGTCAAAGATCAGATAGTTGTAGATATGTGGCGTTATTTCTGAGGGCTCTGTTCTGTTCCATTGATCTATATCTCTGTTTTGGTACCAGTACCATGCTGTTCTGGTTACTGTAGCCTTGTAGTATAGTTTGAAGTCAGGTAGTGTGATGCCTCCAGCTTTGTTCTTTTGGCTTAGGATTGACTTGGCAATGCGAGCTCTTTTTTGGTTCCATACTGCTCAATGAAATAAAAGAGGATACAAACAAATGGAAGAACATTCCATGCTCATGGGTAGGAAGAATCAATATCGTGAAAATGGCCATACTGCCCAAGGTAATTTACAGATTCAATGCCATCCCCATCAAGCTACCAATGCCTTTCTTCACAGAATTGGAAATCGTTTTCTTATAATAGCTACAGTGGTAATCGAATTAAATCAAGTGATTAAAATATGCTCTTCAGCTTTGGCTTCCTGTCAACTCCATAAGGGCACCAATAATGCTTTGGCATCTTTGAAAGACCATTTCATTTGCAGGGTTTACTTCTATTGCTGGATGTATTACTTTGTCCACCAGGTTCTAGAATATAGACATTTTCAAAATATCAGCTCTTGAAACTTATAAAAAATCTTCAGAGTGTTATTCAGAGCATTAATATAGCATATCCCAAAAGGGGCTTTAACTAAGAGTATAAGCCTTTGTTATAAAAAGAAACAAACAAAAACAAACTCAGAAAATTGGTTTTTGAACATGGATAAGTGAAAATATCACTTTAACTACCGTATCTATTAAATTTAATAACTTCATCTGGTGTCCCACGTCTTTTGTTGAGACAGGGTCTTGTTCTGTCACTGAGGCTGGAGTGCAGTGCCATAATTATAGCTCACTGCAGCCTCAAACTCCTGGGCTCAAGTGATCCTCCTGCCTCAGCCTCCTGAGTAGCTGAAACTACAGATGTGCACCATCATGCCCAGCTAATTTTTTAAAAAAACTTTGTAGAGCTGGGGTTCTCACTATGTTTCCCAGGCTTCTCTCAAACCCCTGGCCTCAAATGATCCTCCTGCCTCAGAGTCTCAAAGCCACTTATATTACAGGCATGAGCCACTGCACCTGGCAGTGCCCATTTTTTGACAATTCAGAATGTTTGGCATTTCTTAATATGAGAAACCTTTAATTTCTGCAAGCGATTTTGCATTAAATATCTATTAATTACAAAACTGAGAATATTGAATTGTGTTTCCGTATGTATACTATTTCATTTAATCAGCATTTTGACCTTGTAAGTTAGAAAGGAAAGGTATTATACGTCATTTTACAGGTGAATTGGTTAAGGTGCTACAAATTTAAGTGACTTTTCCAAAGTCACACAACTGTACCAAATTACAAAAATGGGAGGCTTTGGAGCCAGATTTAGGGCATAGTCTTTTAATCCAATTCTTCTATTCAATACAAAGCCAGAGATCTGTATTTCTTCTCCCACACCTGCTAATTTTAAGTGGCTTCTGGAAACACTGAATAAATTACCTAATTTTCATTGCTTCTGTTTCTCGACTGGGAAACTTTTAAGTAATTTTATTTATACAGTGAGAATTACAGTGAAAAGTGGGTGGGAGAAAGAAAAGGAAATATTTGTGTTGAAACTCAATTATTTTATGTTTGGGATGACTTTTGAAGATTTTTGTTTTGATTAATTTGTTTTGATTTTTGTTGTTATTGTTCTTAGTTGGAAAGTCCATAAGAGTTGAACATGCAATAACTAGATGAATACATAAAGTCTCTAGTTTATTCATTATGCATCTCAGTGTCTGATATAGTGACTGCAACAGAGTAAGTGCTCATTAAATGTACATTAAACTGAATTGAACATTTTCTTCCTCATCTGAACAAAGAATCAAAATGCTAAAAGCATGTATTGTCAAATATTTCAATCAGTTCAATGATTCTGTCATCATGATAACGAGAACAAAGTCAATGAGGTCAATTTACTAAAATAAAATTTTATACAAATCCACGTAACTTGTGGATTATCTTATGATGATGCAAAGAAACTATGTTTGTTTTCTGTCCTTTATCATGTGAATCCATGGCATGTGCATAGGTAATCAAAATTTGTCCATTTTTCGTAATGGGATTTTAGGGCAAAGTATTTTATTCACATCCAGTATTTTTTCTTAGCTCTGAGACATATAATTCTTCATATTTTTAAAGCAGTTCAGCACAAATGACACTTGGCAACATCATAATAAGCGGTAAACAACTATTCCAAAAGCCACATTTTAAAAATAAGAGCAGATTTGATACTGAACATTTACCTCTAAGCAGTCTGCATTCTGACAGAGCCAGTTTCTCATATTTTCAAACCCTAAGGGATCGTCTCAGTTAAATACATAGGCTAGAGAGTCTGTATTTTGGAATCAGCACCACAGAAAAATATTGTAATTGATATATGACATGACTGAAGCCCCACTGAAATCTTAATTTTTTAGTGTCTTGAGCTTTCAAATTCAGTTTTCTTTTTCTCTCATATTCTGATTATTGATTTTTCTAAGGATAATGAAGTCCTCTGAAACTGGAAATGAAATTTAACTTGGGAGTATTTTTACTTATCACTTATTAAGAGTGGTTACATAATTCCTAAAATATTTGGCTTTGCCTGTAAAACATGAAAAATTGAGAGTTGTGGTTAATGACATCTGTTTCACAGGTATCATACCCTTATGGGAGAAGTAGTTTATGCTTCTGGACATTGTTCTCAGAGTGCCTCTCAATACTAAATTACAAGCACTATGGACTTTTAGAAGAATAAGAAGGTAATTTATTCTCTTTTACGTGCAACCTAGAGTGGTGTTTAAAATCAAGGCTGCCAACATAGCAATTGTGTGGTGTTTCTTTAATGAGGGTGTTGCTGGACCAGAAACACAGCTGAGACATTTAGATTTATTTTATGGCATTCCTGAGAAACCGTCTAGTCCTAATCAGAATAATTTACCCATAAACGACTTCTGACAGAGCTCCGTAAGAAAAGCAAATCTAAAATTCTTAATCTCCCGAAGCTGCAAATCCCAAGAGACACATGTACCTTTGTTCAATATGTTTGTAAATTAACATATCAGTTAAATAGGTATAAACAGAATAAATTATATTAAACTTCCTCCATAATAGGATAAATAAAATTTTAGTTGGCTTTTCGTTTTGATCTTCTAGTTTTAGGGATCTTAATCTTAATCAATATCCAGATGTCAAAAATACACGCATTTTTCAGTCTCTCCCACTAAATTTAAACTATATTTAAACTATATTTGCTCATTGTGGGACATAGTTTTGAAGTTGTCCAATTGCCATCCAATTTTTAAATAACAAATTGAATAAAAATAATTTTTTTACTCTGAAAAATTCTGTGGTTTTTTTTGTTCTTTTTATTAAAAACTAAATTTAATTATTAACTTGTATATCTCAGAAACTCTGGGTTCACATGTTTTAACAATCAATCAAAAAAGCAGGATGAGCAAAAAGATCTTTGATTCCAAAATAGAAAAGGAGAAAATTATTTCCAGAAGGTATGAATTGGATGGAAAGTGATGATGATAAATTTTACCTGATCATTTTAATGGTGATTCTATGATAATAATTCTTTACTAGAGTTCACAAATTAAGTGACCATAAAGTTTTTATGATAAGCTTTTGTAATTTAATAAATTGTGCATTTTCTTTTAAAATATTATTTTCAAATATTCTACATATGGCATATTTGTTAAATTAGAAAATAAGTTATTAATCTTTTTCTACCTGTTATTTGATAGGAGACAACTGATCAACAATTTAGCATATGATTGGACAATGCAATTTTCAACAGGCATAATGAACAATACTTCATCTTTTTTAAAAACCAAGAGGTTTTCCAATACAGCACTTCACAATGAACTGACATTTGGCAGTGAACAACCTTTCTAAAGTTCAGGAACTGCATTAAAAAGAGAATTATAAAGGGCATCATTAGAATTTAGGTAGAAAACTATTACTGAGCATTTCAATTACAAAGCCACCTGACTGGCAGTAAGAAATAATAGACACAAATTAGGACTATTGACTGTTTCTTAACATCTACTCAACTGGCCTGAGGAGTTACTGCTTTGGATAATGTCATAAATTCTGTAATGTTCAGAAATCTTACTTGTCTGATTATCTTCACTTTCTGACTGTGACCCTTCTAAAGAAATTTTGTTGGTGCAAAAATTATAGACCCAAAACATTCACCTTATTAGCCTAACTACAGTTCTACTTAGCATTTTCTCCACCTTTCTCTCTGCTGTAGACATACCTCATTTATTTAAATTTTACACAGTAGTTAGAGACCAAGAAAATAAGGAGGAATGCTCATTCCATAAAATGTGATACTTCTAATTAGTCTGCTGAGACATTTGGAATATGCATAAAGCTGTGAATGTGGCATTAAATCACATTTTTATTACCCAGAAATTAATGTTTACCATGTGTATGCAAAGGTGTTAAGGATCTAAAGAGTAAATTTCAAAGATACTAAGAGGTATTTTTTTACAGTATAATTCACATGCATAGGTTTTTTTTCCCTTCTTTTAAAAAATTGAATA
Source organism: Homo sapiens (assembly GCF_000001405.40). Lineage (NCBI taxonomy): Eukaryota > Metazoa > Chordata > Mammalia > Primates > Hominidae > Homo > Homo sapiens. The sequence goes on along the minus strand of NC_000005.10, from coordinate 103,993,632 downwards.
AAGCATTTTGCTTTTCTTACTTTAACTTGATTTTCAATTTAATTTTATTTTGTACTCGACCGTTAAAGAAACATAGACTTTTGACTTAATCTTTGTTGTTTTTGTTGCTCTGGGTAAAATATTTCCTGTTGCTTCAGATAGTTTAAATGAGCTAGAAATAAATAAACTCTAAATAACAAAGAGGGCATCTTTGAGGCCAACACTTTATTTAGCTCACTAACAGAGATATAGCTTTATAGATTTAAATAGTATTTGGCTGTCACGTTTACTCATAAGAACTGATAAATTTGTAAAGGCTGACAGAAATTGATTTATGAGTTTGCAGGAATGTAAGGAAACCAATGGAAATGGCTTTATTAAAATTCTGCAATTTTTCACTTGTACCAGGTTGCCATAATAAATGTGAGAATAGCTTTGATTTCATTCAGAATTAATGTAGTTTGAAATTGAAATGAGTCTCACTTCCTGCCTCCAGGAGGTCTGCTGACATTTCTTGGGTTGCTTTAGAGAGTCTGCATGACAAATAGAATGCATGTGCATATATGTGTACCCATGCATACATTATATACAGCAAAAGGACAATTAATAAAGTAATGATGTGTCCAAAGCAAAGAATATTGTGGAGGTAAAACCCATACAATTTCGATAATGTCCATTTGGTAAGATTATGAATAAGTTTAGAATATCAATAGCTATTAGTTCTATTTCAGCTGGTGAACTTGGTTAGGAATAAATATTTGTTAATTAAATTATCTTAGACCTTTCTCACTCCTGCTCTCATTTGAACTATTCCTTATCTCAGAAATTGCAAATACCCCATTCATGTTGCAGAAAAAAATCAACGTTATTCCAAAATAAGGATCACTAAATGAAATGGAATCAATCTTAGCATTACCAACATATAGTGAAGTTTAAATAACTTCAACTTCACAGAGAAAAGTCAAAGCAAAGGAAGAAGCAGTGTTCAGCTTGAAATAGTAACCCTTTTTAGGTGAGTTCTGTTTGGAAAATTAGTTTCACCTTGTAATATTGAGGACTTTATATCTTTTCTAAAGTGAAGTTCTCAGCCATATATTCAAAGGAGTCTACAACAATCTGGAATTTGGTATTTAGAATAAAGTAGTTAAAATCATTATTATATATAATGTGGCAGTTGAAGTTCTATACTACTCTTTCATTTTCCTCCCCAATAGTGCCCATGAGGCTTTTATAAAGGTCATCTGGTTTGAATTCAGTCAAATTTAAATTGATAGTCCAATTCACTGATGGATCTTTCAGCAGAACAAATCCGGTCACCAATTCATGTGGTGACAGACTTTATGGTTCCATTCAGAACAATTAGCTCTTATTCTTTTGCTGGCACTAGGTTTATATATGATATGGGCCTGGACTGTATCGCTGTGATACCCAGAAAAGTGAAATTTTTATTACGTAAGAGCCCTTTTATTAGCACTGACTACCACAAATACCCAGAGAAACTGAGTACATATCTATTCTAATGAATGCCCAAAAGTTCTGACACACCAAAGATAGTCTAAAATAAAATGTCTACATTGTTTATATAAATAAAGATATACCGTAAAAGTGTTTAAAATAGAATCTATGGAAATGTAACATTATTTTCAAAAACTATAGATTAAGTTAAAATAACTGGGCTCAAAGTAAATTCCAGGGACAACTACGTAAAACAAAAAGGAACAGAGAAAAGAAAAAAATAGAAAAAACAAGGCATCTGAGATTAATACTGGTGACCTAGAAGTGAATGGGAGGCACATCAGACTCTTCAGACAAAAGAATAATCAGAGGTAATGATTATCTTATCATTTGACAAATTGAGGGATTCTTTTGAAGTGTAGTAATTTACATGATAATTCTAGGACTACATAAAAGAAAGCAAATAATATTTAATTTAGGAGAACAGTGGTCACTTTATATCAATTATTTAACTTTGTTATTCAAAACAACTTTAATTCAACAAATAATCTACTTAAAAATACTCTTTTGTCTTTGCCATGTAGTTTAGAAGAAAACTAAACTATTTAGGTTCTTGATTATGTATGAAAAATCCCTTCACAGCAGTAGCTAGATGAATATTTGATTGAATAATGGGAGAAGGCATGTGTACACCAGAGTCCAGAAATCTCTGAGGTCACTTAAAATTCTGCCTAACACAGTCTGTCCTCTGTTCCCAAAAAAGATTCATGTATCTCCCAAATGCAAAATAGACTCATCCTTTCCTAAGCTTTCCAAGAATCTCATTCCATTATAGTGGCAGCTCAAATCTAACATTTCATCATTTATTAAATCTAAATTTCACCATTTAACATTTAAATGCTCGAAATTAGGACTGATCAGACCCCAGGTTATAATCCATCCTGGGTCAGATTTTCTTTGTATCTGTGGACCTATGAAACTGAAGATAAAATCATGCGCCTAAATTATGTTTCCTTGCAACAACAGTGGAATTGGCATACGTTAAAGTTATAGACATTCTATTTCAAAAAAGATAAAAGTGCAAAGTAAAAGGAGTCGCTGGGCCAAAGCAATTTTGAAATCCAGTTAGGCCAGAGTTCCTTGATCCGGCTTCAAGGCCTGGGACCAATCCTTTATGGCTCTCAGCGTCATAATCGGGGCTCTTGATTTCACATTCTGAGTCATCCTTCTGTAGTCATTAAAGACAGCAAGCATTTGCAATTAAGCAGTTTCATCAGCCTGCTTCTACACAGTGGAATTTCAGATATATGGTAGCTTCTTTTCATTTCCTACTTTCTCTGTCCTTTTCAATCCAACCTGGATGTATTTTTGTTGATATAATTTTCTCAAGAAATATATCAATCTTCTGGGAATTGTGCTGGATTTCCTGATTTCCCGCTATTAAACAAAAGCCACAGCTACAAATCATCTTTTGGAGATTACCCCCCACCCTTTTTTTTTTTTTTTTGTGCTCCTGCTGCAATGGTCAGGAGCCAACTCTCTTAAGCTTCCTACAGGTGATCTAGTCTGTTTGAGAGGATCTGTAAGGCATACTCTTAATCTTTTAAAATATCCTTTCCTGTGACTGACTTTTTTTTCTTTCTAAGGTTTTAGCAAACAATTATATGGCCACAGCCTTGTCTTTTACTCTATGCCATATTTTGGAAGCAATATCTTAATTTTAGAATCTTCCACCATATGGATAGGCTACACACTTCCCCAATCATCAGATCCTTGTTTAATTTGGGAAGGCAGTCTGATGTGTTTCAGTCTTTGGACCCTCTTTCGGCCGTATAAGAATAGGAGTTGAGCTTGCAACTCAACCAAGAGATAGAGTCCTCACATCCTGTACTGGACTTATGACCTTGTGTGGGAATATCTTTCCCTCTTTCAGATTCAGCATGTGCTCCAGTGTTCTGCCTATGTATGTGTATCACACAGCATCCGGCTAACCCCTCTACTGTATCTTTTCCTGCAGGGGACACTTGCTTAACAATTGATTTTGTTTAATGTGTTTTTTCCGTAATTTTTGTCTCTCCTCTCAAATTTTACCATAAGTGACAAGAAGAAATGAGAAAAACCTTTTGCACCTTGCTTGAAATTTCCTTATCTATACAGCTGCATTTATTACTTAAAAGTTCTGCTTTCCAGATAGCTGCAGAATATAGTTTTGCTCTACATTCTGCCACTACCTAACAAGGATCTCCCTTCCTTCACTTTCCAGTAACATACTCATAACTTCCTTGTGAGCATCACCATCAGAATCCTTAAGTTCAAGATTTCCACCTGCAATCTGTCCAAAGCCAGTTGGGATTTCTCTATCATGCTCTTCATTTCCTTCTAAGCCTTCACCGTTAGTGTCTTTCATGTTCACATTTCTTCTAACTGTTCAAGGGAATATAGGCTTCCTCTACCATATGCCTCAGAATTCTTCCATTCTCTCCCCACTATCCAGTTCCAAGTATGTACTCCACATATTTTAATTATTTATTATAGCAGCACACCACTTTTCATACCAAAATCTGTATTTGTTTTATATTACTACCTAACAAATGACTATAAGCCATGTGGCCTAAAACATCAAAAACTTACTACCTCATTCTTTTTGAGGGTCAGGAGCCCAGGTAAAGTAGGTGGGCCCTCTGCTCAGGGTCTTGTCAGGCTTAAATCATGATTTCAGCTGGAGCTATTATTCCCATCTGAGGATCAGGGTTTTCTTCCAAGTTAACCAGTTGTAGACATAATTTATTTATTTTTGTGTGACTGTATGAATGAATTTCCCATTTCTTGCTGGCTACCAACAGTGGACCACTCTCAGCTACTAGAGACCACTTCCATTTCTTGCCAAATAATCTTCTTTGTCTTCAAACCAGCAACACTGCATTGAGTCTTCATGCTTCCAATTTCTGATTTCATCTTTTTCTGACTTCTTAACCCAGATGTAAAGATCTGTTGGGATTAGTCAGCTTGCCCAGATAATATCCCTATGTTAATGTAAACTGATTTAGGCCTAGTTAAATCTCTAAAATCCCTTTATAGCAGTGCCTAGATATTGTTTGAACCATTGGGAGAAGGTATGTATATTAGCAGAAGCTAAGAATCTTGGGGTCCATCTTAGAATTATGAATACCGCAGTCCCTATGAGGCTGGTGAAACTACATTTCAGTAAAACCATCCTTCTTGTATCTCTTCTCACTGAGTTTTGAATAGACACAGTTTCAGCTCCTTTCTTGATCAAGAGTTAGGTGTGTGACCTTGGGCAATTTTATTAAAGTCTGTGATACTTTTCTCTTCTGTAAATTGAAAGTAACTTTATAGATTGCTATAATAATAAAACAATTGCTCTGGCACATAGGAGCATTCAATAGATATTCATTCCTTTCTTAATTTCCCTTGAAAGTCTGTGATACTGTCTGGCTCTTTGTCCCTACCCAAATCTTATCTCAAATTGTAATCCCCATGTATTGAAGGTGGGGCCTGGTGGAAGTCATTGGATCATGAGGGTGGTTTCTAATGATTTAGCACCATTCCCCTAGTGCTGTCTCATGAGTGGGTTCTCATGAGATCTGATGGCTTAAAAGTGTGTGGCAGGGCCAGGCGAAGTGGCTCACATCTGTAAGCCCAGAACTTTGGGAGACCAAGGCAGGTGGATCGCTTGAGGTAAGGAGTTCAAGACCAGCCTGGCCAACATGACGAAACTGTCACTAGTAAAAAAATACAAAAATGAGCTAGGCATGGCGCCACACACCTATAATCCCAGCTATTTGGAAGGTTGAGACATAAGAATCACTTCAACCCAGCAGGCAGAGGTCGCAGTGAGCTGAGATCACACCACTGCACTCCAGCCTGGGTGACAGAGTGAAACCTCATCTCAAAAAAAAAAAAGTGCGTAGTGGTTCCTCTCTCTCTTTCTCTCTCTCTCCTGCCAACACATAAGACGTGCCTGGCTTCTCCTTTGCCTTCCACCATGATTATAACTTTCCAGAGGCCTCCACAACCATACAGGATAGTGAGTCAATTAAACTTCTTTTCTTTATAAATTACCCAATCTCAGGTAGTTCTTTATAGCAGTGCGAAAATGGACTAATACCTCCCTTTCAATAAAAAGAAAACAACTCTGTGTTACTTCCTGAACACCTTGTTTATAACTGCATTGCACAGTAATTCTCAAACTAATTCATGCGTCGGAGTCACCTGAGGACTTGTTAGAACACAGATTTCTGGGCCCCATCCTCTACTTTCTGAATCAGTAGGTTTGAGATGCAACTTGAGAATATGCATTTTTAATAAGCTCCCAGGTGATGCTGATGCTGCAATTTGAGAAACAAACTTTGAGAAACATTGGATCATAGCCTTTACATTATTTGTCTTAAAATTCACATATGAATATGCGTATATTATTTTTCCTGATCACATTGTATTATAAATATCTAGGGGGTGGGTTAGACTCTTACTCTTCATCTTAAATCTCATTGTGCCTGGAAAAGGGTTTTACATAGTAGGTGCCCATTCAAAAATTGAATAATTATCACTACATGTTAAGTGGTTCAATAAAAGGGATAAGAATCTATTCTGTGAACAAGTTATTTTCCATACATTTTGAAATGAGTATATTTTTGCCAACTGGCTCATACAGTTTTCTCATTTTATGAACCATGTGACTTTCATGAAATCTTAGCAAAACACATTACTACTTATTTTTTAAAATCTTGATATACATGTAATTTGTGTAGCTAAAAATGTGTCATTAAACTTAGTGAAAAATGTGAAATGATGGGTAAGAGGAAAATAATAATAAAATAAGCACAAACATTGTCACACCAACCAGTATCCAAAGTAAGTCTTACAAATCCCAGATATGGCATAAATGTTTTGGCATTAGATATCAAAGGGCAATAGCGCCCTTTGAAAAAAGCAGTCCAATAATGATGTCTCAGGTGCTGTGCTATGCTCTGCAGACAGCCAAGGGAAAGTTAAAATTTTTCCTCCCAGGCAGGGATGATTTATTCCATGTTGATTTTATTTGACAGCAGGTGCCTGGTCTGCATTAAACTACTTTTTTCCCTCCTGCTTCTGAAAACCTGCCCTGAACAAAGCTAGATAGCCAAAACCTGGGCATAGCACCTGCTAAAGTAATGAAATCAAGAGAATAATGGTCCCAAATTTAGGATACCTATAAAATGAAAGGAAAAATCCATTTAGAATACAGCCAAAATAGCCACATAGGTATGATGTCAGTTTTTATAGAGCTAAAGAATGAGATACTTAGGATATAGTGAAGGTTAAGTAATGACTAATTAAGGAAAGTGTTTTAATAAACCATATAGAGAATATCTTTAAATTACTGAAACCAGAGTGATTTTAGGTTCATTATGAAAGGTTTAACTCCTTACTGAATTCATACTCTAAATAGCTTTATTACATTTCTTTTGTAAAATTACAAACACATAAAAATGCTATTTTCTGAAATTTTTTCCAAAACCACATTCTTCAGTTTAGAGCTTTAGACTCTTACAGTACCATTCAAGAGCCGTTCAATTTGTTCTTTTACAATTACACCTAAATATTGATTTAGTGAGTGTAATCATTTTAGGACACCTGTAGTTAAACTCATGTTTTCTTTTCTAGTTTGTACAATTTTATTTGGGTAGTAAGCCTCTAAGGACTTTCTGTAATTTGAAAGACAGACTTGAGATTCAAATGCAGAATTTTTCCCCCATTTTAAATCCCACCCAAGACCATTCTAACGGCTCCAGCTGTGATAGAATAGTCTTGATTCTAATCACCAACAGCTCACAGTCATAGTCATGGACAGCTGAATCCATTTATACTGCACATGTAGTGTTGCTTCTCTATTTCTCTATTCTGATTTTATGGCTCTAGGGAAACTATAACCTTTTATGGCCTTTCCCTCTACTCTTTGACCAGTCAATACTTTAATAACTTCAAATGTTTTTACTCTTCTACCCTAGATATTGAAAACAGATATGATTTCTATTGTTTTAATTATATCATCTATTCTTTTTTTTTTTTTTTTTTTTTTTTTGAGACGGAGTCTCGCTCTTTCGCCCAGGCTGGACTGCAGTGGCGCTATCTTGGCTCACTGCAAGCTCCACCTCCCGGGTTCATGCCATTCTCCTGCCTCAACCTCCCGAGTAGCTGGGACTACAGGCGCCCGCTACCACGCCCGGCTAATTTTTTTTTTTGTATTTTTAGTAGAGACGGGGTTTCACCGTATTAGCCAGGATGGTCTCGACCTCCTGACCTCGTGATCCACCCGCCTCGGCCTCCCAAAGTGCTGGGATTACAGGCGTGAGCCACCGCGCCCGGCCTATTCTTTTACATAATCCAGGTTCTAATACCTATCAACATCCCAGGAGTTAACGCTACTTTGCTATTAGCCTTCTGAAAGGAAACCCCAACTTACTCTATTTCATCCCATACCTTGACCTTGGATGTTGCATTGATTGGATTTTTTTATTCTTCATTAAACTGACGTGTTGATCCCTGATAGTCTCAGAAGTTTAGCTCTAACAGAGGTGTCAAATCCATATCCCTCTGTGAAGATTTTTTTTAAATTGATAGCTGTAAATTGATTTTGGATAAAGTCCAATCTCCCCAAACTATTTTTTTATACAGAAATAGCTAAAGCTTAAACCTCAGTGTGATGGCTTGTAATTTCCTATTATATAATTTCCAGCCACATGATGTATGTTAGCCTTCTCTCCTCTATTCTACCCCCTCCACCCCTGCAACCAGACTCATTTACTTTAGAGTTCATAGGCTGCCACCAAATAAATGGTGTGCAGTCGAGTGATGAACAGTGCTGAGAATCAAAATGAACAAGATGTCCCAAGTTATGTGGATTGTTTCAACATATGTCTCTAGGCAAGACAATTGCCATTTTGCAAAGAAGATAGAGATGCCTTTTAGAATCACATCAAACCTAATTCCCATTCCAATAGGTAAGAGACATTTTTAACACTCAACTCAAAGTAAACTTGACATGTTGTTCAAGTGATTTTTTTCTGTGTGATTTTGCATACCAAAAATTAATAAGTAATTTTTGAAAAGCTTTTAAAAAATTAACGCTCGAAAAAAACAAGATGTCAAACTGTATCTAACTTCATCATATTTATAATCCTCTGCAAACCTCACTCACATTGAAAAGTGTGGATTTGCCTAAGATTAGATTAATCCCTGTTTACACATATCACATAATTCTATCTCTTTCACCCCAAGGGACACCACAGAGAATTTCTGAGACATGAATGAGCATGCTGATTTTATTCCAAATAAAGTGTAAAGACCTAACAAATGTTCATTATGATAACAGTAGAATACAGAAAAGAACTGAAATACCACTCACCAGTCATCTATTACTCTCAGCCAGACATGTAATTTCATTGACAATCCTGGTTTCAGACGTACAGTCTTAGGTAATTTCATGGGCATATTCTCTACCTCATGACTTCTCAATTTTAAGAAAGTGTGCTTAAGTTTATCAGGATTTACAATATCCTTTTAAGGAAATAAGTTCATTAATTTATGGTAAATGATAAAATACTACCCCTTAATATAAAGACTACATATAAACACTTACATTTTTCTCCAAATTTAAAATAATAATTGGTAAATTATTCAGGGAAAAATCAGATTGTTGAGCCCTCTATGAGATGACTAGAAAGGAAAAAAAAAGTTAACATTCTAGAAATGTATTGAATTCTTAACACAATATTGTAATATTATTATGTTATCTTTATCATACAGATTATTTAAATGTACGTTCATAAGAAGGACAAATTTTCATATATGAAAGAGTTGGAAAGTGATAAATTCATCATAATTCAAAACCAGGTTCCTGTGACTTCAATGGCTGGGTTTTCTTTTGTTATATTTTCTTTTTAATGTTAACAGCTCCTGGAAAAATGAGAATAACTATAAAAACCTTACATAGTCTATAAGGTTATGTATTTATTTAATATTAATTAAAAATATCTCTTTCATTGTTATTAAATTGTTAGTGTGAAATAAATAGCAAGTTAAGAAGTCATTATGTCAGTACATTTATCTAAATGTAGGTAAAGCTAGCTTTACATTTTATTGTTTGAGGACAAAATCACTGTATTGTATCACAGCATGAAAGAAAGAAAAATGGTCCTGAGTTGTGATTTGAAAATATAACAAATTACAGAAGTTGGATTGTCATTGTGGTTGCTTTATGAATGAATGGAGTCATTTTGTGATGTTTATTGAAGAGCTTATCTGCCCCTTCCATCTCTTTATTGGATATTTCAAACATATCTGGGTGTTTTGGGAGTTATGAGTCTTTTTTTTCTTTTTATTATTACTATAATTTTAATTTCTGTTGGTACATATTAGGTATTATTTATGGGGTACATTAGATATTTGGAAATGGGCACGCAATGTGAAATAAGCACATAGTGTAGAATGAGGTGTTCATTCCTTCAAGCATTTATCCTTTGAGTTACAAACAGTCCAATTACACTCTTTTTTAAAATGTGCAATTAAGTTATTATTCACTATAGTCACTCTATTGTGCTATCAAATAGTAGGTCTCATTCATTCTATTTTTTTGTACCCATTAGCTATTCCCACCTCCCCGCCCCATCCAGCTCTCCCCTTTCCCAGCCCCTGGTAACCATCGTTCTACTCTCTATGTCCGTGAGTTCATGATTTTTAGATCCCACAAATAAGTGAGAACATATGATGTTTGCCTTTCTGTGTCTGGCTTATTTCACTTAACATAATGATCTCCAGTGCATATGTACCACATTTTTTTATCCATCCATCTATTGATGGACACTTAGGTTGCTTCCAAAGCTTAGCTATTATAAATAGTGCTGCAGAAAACATTGAAGTGCAAGTATCTTTTCAATATACTAATTTCCTTTCCTTTGGATATATACCCAGCAGTGGGATTGCCTGATCATATGCTAGCTCAATTTTCAGTTTTTTGAGGAACCTCCAAACTGTTCTCCATAGTGATTGTACTAACATACATTAAGTTGGGAGAAGTTTGGCTCTGGACTCTGTCCATCCTATCCCATGTCATTAGGGCTCTAATCCTCATATTTCTAGATCTGCATTCCTAGATCTTTGCACAAGCTGTTAGCATCCAAGTAAATTGTCCTAGTTATGGCTGTCATTCAATCATAAAGAAACAGTTGGCTGGCTGCAGTGGCTCAAACCTATAATCCTAGCACTTTGGGAAGCTGAGGTGGGTGAATCACCTGAGGTCAGGAGTTCGAGGCCAACCTGACCAACATGGCAAAACCCCGTCTGTACTGAAAAAACAAAAATTAGCTGGGTGTGGTGGTGGGTGCCTGTAATCCCAGCTACTCAGGAGGCTGAGGCTGGAGAATTGCTTGAACCCAGGATTTGGAGGTTGCAGTGAGCCAAGATTGCACCATTACGCTCCAGCCTGAATGACAAGAGCGAAACTCCATCAAAAAAAAAAAAAAAAAAAAGAAGGAAACAGCATTTGAGTTCTTGGTAAGATAAAAATTTAGGGATAGGAACTGAGAAGGGATGAAAACATCCCTTTTCCTCCTTCCTGCCATATATAGAAATCAATACTAGGGTAAATGGGAGTAAAGCCTACTCAAACCTTCTCACATAGATGGCTTCTCTATGTTTACCATATTTGGAAATAGAAGGTTACACATTACAGGGCCAGTCAAATGAGTGCTGCTTTATTGATTAAGGGCAATTCATATGATTCAGAGCAATGTTGTAAAGAGTCTGAGGGGAATCAGCATTTTGTTCAAAACTCTATAAAGTAGCCCAATTTTAAATTCAGCATGGTGAAAATGTGCATGGCCAGCTCAAGTCAAGACCATTATAATAAAAGCGAGAGGTAAAATTACATATTCCCTAATGAAATTTAACATAATTAAACTAGGTTTTTAGGCTTCATCTTTATCTATACTTATATATTTATATCTGTGTGTATATATATAAAGGGAGACTTTAAGGATATATATAATGTCCAATAGCCTCTGCCCTGCCTAAATGTCATTGAATAGTTACAAAGACAGTAACATGTTGTTGTTTTAATATTGTATTCAACTTTATCTATTAGAACAGTTTTAGATTCACAGCAAAACTGAACAGAACAAAGTGACATTTCCCATATACCACCTCCTCGCCACCTCATTCATAGCCTCTCACATTACTAACATCTTCCACAGAGTGGTACTTTTGTTATGGTTACTGAACCTATATTTCTACATCCTTTTACTCTCTTCAGGCTGCTATAACAAAATACCATAAACTGTGTAGCTTATTAAAAAAGAAATTTATTTCTTATAGTTTTGGAAACTGGGAAGTCAAAATCAAGGTGTCAGCAGATTTAGTGTCTGCTGAGGGCCCGCTTCTTGGTTCATTGACAATCATCTCTTTACTGTACACACATGGCAGTATAGAAGGACTAGCCAGCCCTCTGTGGTCTCTGTCATAAGGGTGTTAATCCCAATCACGAGGGCTCCACTTCGAAAAGGTCCCATCTTCTAACACTATCACCTTGAAGGTTAGGATTTCAACATATAAATTTAGTGGTGGTGGGGATAAACATTTAGACCATAGCACACAACGATATAACCCAATGTCTATAGTTTACAATAGAGTTCACTCTTGGTGTTGTACATTCTATTGGTTTGGATAAATACATAATGACATGTATCCACCGTTATAGTATCACACAAGGAGTAGTTTTTCTGACCCTGAAACCCTCTGTGTTCCATGTATTCATTTCTTCCTCTCCCCAGCCCCCAGCAATCACTGATCTCTTTACCATCTCCATAATTTTGCCTTTCCGGGATGCCATATAGTTGGAATCATATAATATGTAGCTTCTTTTTGTTTGTTTGGGTTTTTTTGAGACCGAGTCTTGCTCTGTCACCAGGCTGGAGTGCAGTCGTGTGATCTCAGCTCACTGCAAGCTCCGCCTCCCAGGTTCACACCATTCTATTGCCTCAGCCTCCGGAGTAGCTGGAACTACAGGCGCGTGTCACCACGCCCGGCTAATTTTTTGTGTTTTTAGTGGAGATGGGGTTTCACCATGTTGGTTAGGCTGGTTTCGAACTCCTGACCTCAGGTGATCCACCTGCCTCAGCATCCCAAAGTGCTGCGATTACAGGTGTGAGCCACAGCACCCGGCCGTGTGTAGCTTCTTTTAGATTAGCTTCTAAAAGTCTAAAAGACATCTCCAAACCCAAGATCATCTAAATATTGTCCTGTGTTTTCTTCCAGCCATTTTACAACTTTGCTTTTTTTTTTTTTTTTTTTTGAGACGGAGTCTTGCCCCGTCCGCAGGCTGGAGTGCAGTGGCTTGATCTTGGCTCACTGCAACCTCTGCCTCCTGGGTTCAAGCTGTTCCCCCGCCTCAGCCACCTGGGTAGCTGGGACTACAACCGCGCGCCACCACGCCCAGCTAATTTTTTGTATTTTTTAGCAGAGACGGGGTTTCATCATGTTGGCCAAGCTGGTCTCAAACTCCTGACCTCGTGATCCACCCGCCTCGGCCTCCCAAAGTGCCAGGATTACAGGCGTGAGCCACTGCGCCCAGCCAACTTCGCATTTTACATTTAAGTCTGTGATTCAATTTGAGTTAATTTTTGGAAAGGACATAAGGTCTGTGTCTAGACTCATCTTTCCACATGTGGATGTCCAGTTGTTCCAGCACTGTATCTTAAAAAGATTATCCTACTCAATGTTGACAAGCTGAAAGCTTTTTCTCTAAGATTAAAAAAAAAAAAAAAATACCTGTTCTTACCAATTCTATTTAGTATATTACTGGAATTCCAAGTGACCAAAAAATTAAGCAAGCAGTCATTTTCACAATAAAATCAAAATAAATGGAACACATAGTAATAAATTTAATCAAGGAGATGAAATATCTATATACTGAAAACTAGTAAACATTGATAAAAAGAAGTTGAAGAAGACACAAATAAATGGAAAGGTATCCTGTGTTCATGGATCAGAATTAATACTGTTAAAATGTCCATATTACCCAAAGATACAAGATACTTACCATGAAATTCCTATCAAAATTCCAATCACATTTCTTAAAAAAACAGAAGAAAATCTAAAATTAATATGGAATGACAAAAGACCCCAAACAACCAAAGCAATCTTGAGCAAGAAGAACACAACTAGAGGTATCACACTACCTGATTTCAAAATATACTACAAAGCTGTAGTAATCTGAACAGTACAGTTCTAGCATCAAAACAGATATATATATATATACACACACACATACACCTGTGGAACAAAATGGAGAGTCCAGAAATAAATCTAAACATATATGTTCAATTGATCTTCAACAAGTCACCAAGAATATACAATGGGAAAAAGTCTCTTCAAAAAAGTATGTTGGAAAAACTGAATAATTACATGCAAAATAATGAAATTAGACCCTCATCTCACACCATATACAAAAATCAACTTAAAATGGATTAAAAACCTAAATGTAAAACCAGAAATTGTAAAACTACTACGAGAATATATAGGGCAAAAGCTTTTTCAAATACATGAAGTGCTTTTGAACTTTCTCCCATTTATACAATCTAAAAATTGTTGCATGTATATAATCAAGTCAGGGCATTTAGGGTATCTAGCACCTGAGTACAATACATTTTTGTTAAGAATTGTCACCCTACTCTGCTATCAAACATTGAATTTATTACTTCTAGCTTACTGTGTGTCTATAAACTTTAACTCACTTCTTTACATTCTCTCCCTCCCCCCCACTCACCCTTCCCAGTCTCTATTATAGTCTTTCCAGTAACTACCTCCATGTGATCAAAGTTTTTAGTTCCCACATATGAGTGAGAATGTGAAATATATTTCTGTGCCTGGCTTATTTAACTGGCTTATTTAACTTAAGATAATGATATGGCCTTGCAAAACTGTGGGTCGATTAAATCTTTTTTTTTTTTTTGTAAATTACCCAGTCTTGGGCGGTTCTTTATAGCAGTGTAAAAACTAATACAGACACTATTTCCATCCATGTTGCTGCAAATGACATGATTTCATTATTTTTATGGTTAAATAGTATTCCATTGTGTATATATATACTACATTTTCTTCATTCATTCATGGACACTTAGGTTGATTTCATATCTTTGCTCTTGCGAACAGTGCTACAATAAACATGCAAGTAGTGCAAGTATGCCTTTGATATATTAATTTCTTTTCCTTTGAGTAGACTCAAAGTAGTGGGGTTGCTGGATCAAATGGTAATTCTATTTTTAGATTTTTGAGAAATCTTCATACTATTTTCCATTGTAGCTGTACTAGTTTACATTCCCACCAAACAGTGAGTAAGAGTTACCTTTCCTTTGTATCCAAACCATGAGTTATTTTTTGTCTTTTTAATAATAGCCATCCTGACTGGGGTAGAATATTTCATTGTGGTTTTGATTTGCCTTTCTTCTATGATTAGTGATGTTTAGCATTTCTTATATAACTTTTGACCACCTCTATGTCTTCTTTTGAGAAATATCTATTTGTATTCTCTGTCCACATTTTAATGGTATTATGTGGTATTTTTTTCTTTTGGATTGAGCTCCTTGTGTATTCTGGATAACAGTCCACTATTAGATGAGCACTTTGCAAATATTTTCTCCCATTCAACAGGTTATCTCTTAATTCTGTTGATTATTTCCTTTGCTCTGCAGATGCTTAGTTGAATTGTCCTATTGGTCTATTTTTGTTTTTGTAACCTGTGCTTGTGAGGTCTGTGAAAAAAGTATTTACCAAGACCAACAATCAGAAGACTTTTCCCTAAATTTTCTTCTAGAATTTTTGTAGTTTCATGTCTTATGTTTAAGTCTTTAATCCACTTTTAGTTGATTTTTGTATATGATGGAAGAGACAGGTCCAGTTTTATTGTTCTAGATGTTGCTATCCAATTTTCCAAGCACAATTTATTAAAGAGGTTGTCCCCTCCCTATTAAAAGTTTTTGCCAGCTTTGTTGAAGATCAATTTACTGTAAAGCATGTGGCTTTATTTCTGGGTCCTTTATTCTGTTTCATTGGTATATATATCTATTTTGTACCAGTACCATGCCATTTTGGTTACTATAGACTTTCAATAAATTTTTAAGCTGGGTAATGTAATGTATCTAGCTTGTTCTTTTTGCTCAGGATTACTTTGGCTATTCAGGCAATTATCTTTTTGATGTGCTGTTGGATTGTGTTTGCTAATATTTTTCAAGGATTTATACATCTATATTCATCAGGGATATTGCCTGAAATTTTCTTTTTTTATTGTGACTGTCTGGTTTTGGTTTCAGGGTGATGCTGGTCTCATAGAATGAGTTGGGGAGAATTTCCTCCTCTTTCATTTTTGGAATAGTTTCTGGATGCTTAGCATTACATCTTTTTTGCATGTTTGGTAGTATTTGGCTATGAACCCATCTGGACTTTTTTTTTGTTTGGAGACTTTTTATTAGTGATTGAATCTCACTACTCATTATTGACTCTCACTACTCTGTTCAAGTTTCTCATTTCTTCCTGATTCAATCTTGGTAAGTGGTATGTCTCCAAGAAAGAATCCATTTCCTATAGGTTTTTCAGTTTGTCAGTATCCTAGTTCATCATAATAGTCTGGTGATATTTTATATTTCTGTGATATCTGTTTTAATGTCTCCTTTTCATTTCTCATATTCTTTATTTGGGTCTTCTCTTATCTTTTTCCTGATTAGACTAGTTAGTAGCTACTAACTTATCAGTTGTATCTTTCTGAAAAATCACCTTTTTATTTTGTTGATCCTTTATATTTTTATAGTTTCTATTTCATTTACAGCTGCTCTGATTTGTATTATTTCTTTTTCCTAGCTAATGTTGGGTTTGGTTTTTTCTTGTTTTCTAGCTCCTTAAGGCACATTGTTAGATGTAAATTTGTAGTCTTTTTGTTTTTTGATGTAGGCATTTATTGCTATAAACTTCCCTCTTAGTACTGCTCTTGCTGTATGCAATGGGTTTTTGTATGTGTTTAATTTTCATTTGTTTTAAGTTTTTTAAATTTACATATTTTTTGTTGACCCAGGTCATTCAGGATCATGTTATTTAAATTCTATGTATTTTTATAGTTTCCAAAGTTCCTCTTGGTATTGATTTCTAGTTCCATTCCATTGTGGTCTCAGACAATTTTTGATATCATTTTGATTTTTTAAAAATTTTTTGAGAATTGTTTTGTGGCCAAATATATGGCCTATCCTGGAGAATATTTTATGTCCTGATGAAAAGAATGTATATAGTATGTTCTGTAAATGTTTGTTAGGAACATTTGGTCTAAAGTCCAGTTTAAATCCCATATTTCTATGTTTATTTTCTGTCTAGATGATCTTTCTAATGTTGACAGTGGGGTGTTAGAATCCCCCGCTATTACTGTATCATAGTTTAGTTCTCTTTTTAGATAAAATATTTGCTTTATGAATCTGGATGCTGCAGTTTTGGGTGCATATATATTTAGAATTAGATCCTCTTACTAGATTGATTCTTTTATTATTATATAGTGACTTCCTTTGTCTTTTTCTAATGTCCTTAACTTACAGTCTGTTTTGTCTGATCTAAGTTTAGCTACTCTTGCTCACTTTTTGTTTGTATTTACATGGGGTAACTTTTTCCATTGCTTTACTTTCGGTCTACACATGCCTCTACTGGTAGGATGAGTTTCCTGTAGGCAGCACATGTTTGGATCACGTTTTTTAATCCATATGCCATTCTATATCTTTTAAGTGGATAATTTAATTCATTTATGTTCAGGCTTATTATTGATATGTTAGGCTTTTTTCCTATCATATTGTTCATTGTTTTGGAGTTGTAGTATGTATTTTTTGGTCCTTTCATTTTTATCTTATTGATTGTTATTGTGGTTTGGTAGACTTCTGTAGTAGTACCATTAGTGTCCTTTCTTTTTCTCCTTTGTGTGATTACTTTATCAGTGTGTTTTATACTTTTGTATTTTTTTCATTATGGCACATATCATCCTTTCACTTCCAGGTTTAGGACTCCCTTGAGCATTTCTTGTAGGGCCAGTCTAGCGTTAACAAATTCCTTCTGCATTTGCTTGTCCAGAAAGACTTTATTTCTCCTTTGTTTATGAAGGATAATTTTGCTGGATCTAGTATTCTTTGCTAGCTGGGATTTTTGTTTTGATTTTAATGTCAGCACTTTGAATATATCCTCTCATACTTTTCTGGCCTATAAAGTTTCTGCAGAAAAATTCACTGTTAGTTTGATAGGTTTTCATTATGGGTGATTAGACATTTTTCTCTTGCCCTTGTTAGGATACACTATTTATCTTTGGCTTTAGGCAGTGTGACTATCATGTGTCATGGAGAAGGCCTTTGCACTGCATATTCCTGAAGATTGCTGAGACTCCTCTATCTGAATTTCTAAATCTTTTGCAAACTTGGGAAGCTTTCATCTATCATTTTATTAAATAGGTTTTCTTTTTTTTCTTTTTTTTTTTCTGAGACAGAGCCTTGCTTTGTTGCCAGGCTGGAGTGCAGTGGTACACTCTCAGCTCACTGTAACCTCCACCTCCTGGGGTTCAAGTTATTCTCCTGCCTCAGCCTCCTGAGTAGCAGGGACTACAGGCATGCAGCATCTCACACCCAGGTAATTTTTGTATTTTTAGAGATGGGGTTTCACCATGCTGAACAGAATGATCTTGATCTCTTGACCTCGTGATCGGCTTGCCTTGACCTCCCAAAATGCTGGAATTACAGGCATGAGCCACCATGTCCAGCCTTAAATAGGTTTTCTAATCCTTCCTTTGTCTCTTCATTCTCAGTGATCCCAATAATTGTAATATTAAATTACTTTATGTTGTTCTAAATGTCAGAAAGGCTTTGCTCATTCTTTGTAAGCTATTTTCTTTATTTTTGTCTGTCAAAATTATTTCAAAAGACCTGTCTTCAAGTTCTGGGATTCTTTCTTCTGCCTGATCTAGTCTATTATTTAATCTTTCAAGTGTATTTTGTATTTCCTTCAAATAATTCTTTAGTTCAAGAGTTTCCATTTGGTTCTTTTAAAAATATCTATCACTTTGTTAAATTTCTCATTCATATACTGAATCGTTTTGATGATTTATTTGTATTTTTTTTCAGAATTCTCTTATATCTCACTGGGCTTCTTAAAAATTCATATTTTGAATTGTTTTTCAAAAATTCCTTTTTTGTTAAGAATTTACTGCTAAAGAATCATTGTGTTCTTTTGGAAGTGTCATATTTCCTTGCTTTTTAAAATGTTTTCTGTGTCTTTACATTGATATCTGCATATCTAGTGTAACAGTTGATTCTTGTTTCTGAATTTACTTTCATAGAGGACATTTTTCTGAAGATGTATTGGTGGTGTTGGTTGGATTAAGCACTTTGGCTTTAATTCTGGGTGTCTGTACTGGTACAGTCTCTGTAAGATGTACTTAGCTGTAAACAGCATTAGTGCTTTCTGTGATTTCCTCAGAGGGTTAGAGTGTGGTTATTATTGAAGGCTATGATAAGGTTGTGCTAAGGACTAGGAAGCCACGTGGTCCAGTCTTCAGGTCCTGGTGGTTGCAGAGGTGGCCTGAGCATGCCTATCTTTGTGCCCAAAGGCAGTGCACAGGAGAACTTGTGTTGGTGGTTACCAGTGGGCTGATTCCAGGTGGCTTGCATGAATTCTAGTCATGGCGGTGGTGGGCCAAGTGGGTGGGCTGGTGCTCAGGTCCCTGGGCAGCCAGCATGGTGTGGGTTACAGCAGTGCTAGTGGTGGTATGACCCTCTTGGACCCAAGTGATGCAGGCTGATTTAAGTGGTGGCTGCAGTGTGGGGTTACTGCCCACAACTCCAGACATGCTGCAGGACACAGAGCTCCTGCTCTCTGTGGCACCCCAAATAGGCAGCCCTCCAGCTCACTTGCTAAAGCATCTGGCAGAGACACTAGTTGGGTGTTTTGAGGCGGAGAAGTCCTAGTCTCTACTTCTCTACTTCTGAGCCTTAGTGCAGAGGCTGCTCTGCCAGTGGTAGGAGAATTTACTCTCTGCTTATAAAACTGGGCACAGAGTTTGTGCAACTGTTGAGGGCAGAGTAACTTCTCATAGTCCCAGACAGAGACCTCTCAGACTCTGGGAAGCACATACTTTGGTTTCCCTTGTCCCATGGGCTACCATTTTTTTGTGTGTTGCACTGTCCTTTCAACAGTGGGTAGTAATCCCTGTGAGCTAGAGTCCTGGGGACATGCAACATCTTTGGGTCTAGCCAGTGCAATGCCACTATAGTCCTCCAGGTGGACACTGGGAAATGTCAGCAGGATCTTCTAGGATGTGGAGATAAGGGGGCTGGATGTAGTCCTGTGATGGCTGTGCTCCCCAAGTGGTGCCTTGCCACAGCACTCAGGTCTTGGCAAGGGGTTGAGTAACCCTGTATAAGTTCTCTGATGCTATGGCCTTGTGTGGTCTCCAAGTCACCACCCATGCTAGTGTCACAGTTCATTAGGTTAAAGGAGTTTTCCCATGGTTCAGATTGCAGAAGTCCATACTGGGTATGTGAACCACTGAAACTCCTTCACTGAGGCTTTTCACACAATACCAAGCCCCTTCAGGCTCCCAGCCAATCTCAGCCAAGCTGGCCCCTTGCTTTTTTTCTCCTTCTGTGTCTTGGGTGTTTTCCATGACTTTGTCATTGGTCTCTAGTGTTCCATCCTAGATGTTCTATTAGAGATATGATTATGCATTTATAATTTTGCTTCTTTTACCGGGGAGGGTGGGTGTCTGATGTCTCTTGTCACCCATCTTGAAACAGAATGGGAAAAGGCTATTTAAAGGAGTCTGAATGTGTCTTTGTCCCTGTTAGCATAATATGAGAAGGTGGGGAGACCAGCCCACTACCCCCATGTCCGCCATGACCCTCTTCCCCATACTGCCCTGTGTTTCTTCCTCATTCATCTTTCCTGTTCCAGAGAGGTGGGGCTGGGGGATCTCCATTTCTGTCTCAGCTTCATGGTGCATTGAGCTGCAACTTCTGGCTTCTCTGTTAAAATAAAGTCTGAGTATAAATTTACTTTTTCAAATTCTTGCCATTAGAGGTTGATGGGTTAATTAAAGGAGGAGATTCCTAAAATTTGAGAGACAAAATAAATGGGAGACCTGAGAACCTTCTACAATAAAAAAAATCCTTTTTACCATTGGTGTAGGCAATAATTTTTTATATGACCCCAGAAAACACAAATAACAAAAGCAAAAGTAAATGGGATTACATTTAACTAATGAGCTCCTGAAAGGCAAGAAAAGAATGAACAGAATGAAGAGACAACCTACAGAAGGGTAAAAAATATTTTCAAGCTATACATCTGATATGGAATTAATATGCAAAATATAAAAGAAACACAAGCTGTGTAGTTTACATACAACGTATCTGGGTGTCATTTTTTTACTTGATGTTCTTTCAACTTCCAGCATGGTCTGGTGTGTAACATTAATTTGGGGAAATTCTCAATCATTATTGTTCCATGTATTTCTTCTGTTGCTTTCTTTCTTTACTCCCCTTTTGGTATTCTCATCACACATACATTACACCTTTTGTAATTGCCCCATAGTTCTTGGATATTCTGTTCTGATTTGTTGTTTGTTTTCATTCTTTTTTTTTTCTCATTACTTTTTAGTTTTAAAGGTTTCTATAGAGATAGCTTCAAGCTAGAGATTTTTCCTTAGTTGTGTCCATCTACTTGCAAGCCCATTAAAAGCATTCTTCATTTCTATTACATTGTTTTTGCTCTCTTCCATTTCTTTTTGGTTCCTTCTCAGAATTTCCATCTGTCTGCTTACATTGCCCATCTGTTCTTGAACATTGTCTACTTTATCCATTAGTGTCTTTAGCATATTAATCATAGTTGCTTTAAATTATTTGTTAATTCCAAAATACCAGCCATATCTGAGTCTGGTTCTGATGCTGGCTCTCTCTCTTCAAACTGTTTCATTTTGTTTTGCCTTTTACTATGCCTTATAATTTTATTTTGATTGCCACACATAATCCACTGGCAAAAGGAATGGCTCTAAATTGGAATTTAGTAATGTCACGGTAAGTTGTGGGGGAAGGGGAGCATTTTATAGCCCTATGATTATTTCTCATTTTTTTATTGTGCCTGTGCCTCTGGGCTGTGAATGTCATCATTGCCTCTCAGTTACCACCCTCCTTTAGGTAGAAAAGGATAGCTAGAGTGGATTGGAATTAGGTTTTCCATTCTCCCCTGTGGAAGGGTAGTGGACCTAAAATTTGATATTTCCCTTCCTACACATGAAAGACTAGAGTTGTGTAGACTTGGGTAATTCCCTTCCTTCAGGTCAGTTAGGCTCTAATAAAACTTAAGTAGGTCAGGCCTTGGTTAAATAGTTTCTCCTCAGGGTCAATCTTGTTAAGAAGAACAGAATGCTATGGTATATTTCAAGATGGGTCCTCTTCTGTCACCTGCCAGAAACATGAGGGAATTTTCTCTGCTGTTTTTCTGTGCTGTTCACTATGAGAACCTGGTAGCACTCCAGGAGTTAAAACTCACAAAACTGTCAGGGGTCCCTGATGACTGGGTCACCCTAGAGTGTTTATCTTTTAGTTTTTTTCACACCAAGCCTCCAGCATTTGTTAGTTACAGTTTAGGTTTTTCTACTAGCAGTGACTCCCACAGAGGTTTCTGCTCTAGTAAATTGTGATTCTCTCTTTGTTTTTGCCTGTTTATCTCTCTAATTTTGGGGGCAGCCTTTTGCCTTGTGACCTCATTTCTCTTAGGGGTCTAAGAAGAAATGTTGATTTTTCAATATTTTTTAATTTTTTTACATGTTTGTAAAATGGATTGGCAACTTCTAAGCTCCTTACATGACATACTAGAAACAGGAAATCCAATAGCAATCATTTTAAAATGCTATTATATTCATAAATATCAGCTAGATAGATAGATAGATAAAATGATTTAAACTATACACCTTTTACCCTTTTTATTTTATTTAGTCTTTGTTGTACTGTATAGATCATTTCCAAGGTTCACTGTAAGATATTTTGTAAGACAGATATCTGTATCCCTTGCAGTGAATAATGTAAGGCCAACAAAAGTAAATTTGGTTGGGGATAAAAGTCTACATTTATATTAAATATAGTTGCAACTAAATTAAGCATAATTTTAGGTACATTAAAGTAATCAATCATTTATGTGAAAAAAAGACGGAGTTCAAAATACATAGAAGTTTGTCAAGACAGCAATGAGAAAAGAAGAGAATAAAATAATTTTAACTTGTATTAGTAGAAGTACATGAATAGAATTATTTGTATTTTATCATTCACATTTGAAATTCTTCAGTTCAACCCTCAGGAATACAGAAGAGGCTGGCCAATGTTAGGAATCAACATTACATCAAATTAGGAACAAAAATAATTTACTTTTAATCTTACAGAAATTGAATAAATTTTTTATCCGGATAATTTAACATTCAATGTGGTATGAACACTACAAACATTATGCGAAAGCATGTATAAAATTGCTTACACTATTTCTTTTTGCTAATATTTTCATTACTGTTTAACACTTATAAAATCTCAATGTCACACAGTATTGGTTTTATTCTTTTCTTTTCATAACAAATTTAACAAGAGGAATATTATTCTACATTCTTTGATAGCTAGATATACATCTAAATGTATCTTTCTATACCATATCCCTAATGACAATGTTTTCTAATGATATGTTTAAAATCTATGCATATTATTCAATGAAGTTTTCAGGTAAGATAAAGGCATGTTTTTAACTACTCCATTTGCTTTAACTTACTTCTATTAGATCAAAATTCATGCTTGAAATGGAGAAGGTCTTTACATTTTTTAGTAACAGAAACCGAAACATGCTTTCCAAAAGTTGGGAAAATAATATTTAATGATATGCCACTAAAATGATAGCTATTAAATTTGTGATGCATTAAAAACTGTATAAAGTATGTTTTCATTGATGTTTATAAATTGATTCTGCCATGTGTACCTGCAAAGTAATTAAAATTTTAAATTACATTCATGCTTTTATTAATGCCCTCTATTTAAAGGTTGGAAGAAACAAAGGCAGGTCTATAATAAATGAAAAATGACTGAAAGCAAAATTAAGAGTTACTTTTGAAGAAAATTTGGAATAACTGGGTTGCTACAACAATGGAGTTGGCTATCCTAAAGTATATTGGGCTTTCCATCCTTAAATTTGCTCAAAAATAGGACAGATGACTTGATTCATATCATTTTACATGGGACTTATGGGTAAGTTAGGAAGATGTAATACATAATCTTGAATTTTTTTCTATTGTCTCAATATTAATATTCCATGTCTTTACTAAGAAAAAAATTAAATTATGGCATAATAAAGAAATAATGCTGAAACATCAGTGGCTTTCAAAAGAGCAGGGTTTTGAGTAATAGTAACTTCATACCTCAATCAAGCAAGTAATAGGGCTATCAGAGATTTTATAAACCTGAGTTTTCTGAAGCCTAAAATATTTATACACTCCCTTCCTTGTCCTTTCTTGGCACATATCACATTGCACTCTAACTCACTGTTTATGTATTAATCTCTCTTACTAGACTGTGAGATTATTCAATTCATTACAATAAGAGAATACATTCATATTATTCATTTTTGAATGCCCAGAGTAGCCACTAGTATTTGAAATATGTTAATAGTAATTGTAAATGCATGAAAAGGTGAAAGCCAGTACAAAATGTATATCTCACCTCACCTGTTCTATAGTCCTAAAGTCCTTAATTATTGGGAGGCATTATACTATAGAAAATGAATCAATGTGTTTTCAAATAAAATTTTAGTAAACTAAGTATAATAAAAGCATAAAATTTTAAAATAAATAAATTTAGGGAATTTCAAGTTTTCTAGCATTCATTAAATATTTGTTCTTGTTTACTCCCTTGTGTATGACATTTATTTTTCTCTGATATATTGAGAATATTATTTATGTTTTCTGTTTTACTTTGTTTATAAACTTTTTCTTTTTTTATTTTGAAACATTTAGATTTACTGAAAAGTTGCAAGGGTGACGTAGAGAATTCCCACATATTCCATGCATAGTTTGTTATTATGAATACTTTACATTCATATAATACAGTTTTTCACAATAAACCATTATTATTAAATATTATCAAATAAAGTCTATATTTTATTTCCTAAGTTCTTACCTAGTATCTTTTTAATTTGATTTGTTTTCCTAGTGTCTGTTTTAGGATACCGTATTACATTTCATCCTTGTGTTTCATTAGGCTCTTCTTGGTTATAACATTTTCTAAGGCTTTTTTCTTTTTTTTGACGACCAGGCAGTCTTGAGGAATACTGACCAGAAGTTTTGTAGAATGTCCCTCAATTTGGGTTTTTCTGATGTTTATTCTCATGATTAAACTGAAATTGTAGGTTTTTAGGGAGGATGAACACAGGAGTAAAGTAACATTCTATCATATAATTTCAAGAGTACACACTGTCAATATCATTTGTTAATTGTTAATCTTGGTTACTTTGGCAAGGTAGTGTTTGTCAGGTTTCTCCACAGACAAAAGGTTTGAATCTGTAGGACTGGGAAAAGGCACACAAACTTGAGCATTTTGGGGTACTTCCCTAAAAAAAACATATAGGAGGCTGTCAACTCTTGTCCTGGCTATGCAGTAGAACACATATAACCTTAAGAAATCCACACCCCAAAGAGGGAACAAAAAGCGTAAAGTAAGTGAAACAACAGAATAGAGTTTAAGAAGCCTCAGAATCTCTAGCTGGGTTGTTTTGTAAGGTTGTTTTTCTCCTGAAGACAATTGTTAAAGATTGGAGGTGATGACTCCTACTTCAAATGCAAAAACAGCAGGGCAAGACTTCAAGGTGCACAAAATCCTATGGAAACCTGACATCACCAAGGGAACAAAGTAAAATCTTGTAAACAAACAACCCCAAAGAAATGGAAATCTATGAATTACCTATAAAACATTCAAAGTAATGCTTTAAGGATGCTCAATAAGCTGTGAGAGAACAGAGATAGACAATGCGACAAAATACAAAAACTAATACAAGAACAAAAGAAGTTTAATGATGAAATAGAAGTCATTAAAAGGGACCAAAAATATATTTTGGAGTTGAATAATACAATGAATGAAATGAAAACGCAATAGATTCTGTAAACAGCAGACTTAATCAAGGAGAAAGAAGAACCTATGAGCTCAAAGACACGTTATTTGAAAATACTCATTCAGAGGAAAAATAAAAGAACAAAAAAGAATGGAGAAAGCCTGTGGGATTGATGCACACCACCAAGAAAGCTCTATTTCACATAATAGAAGATACAGAAGAAGAAGCAAGAGAGAAAGGGGCAGAAAGTTTATTTAAATAAAGACTGGCTAAGAACTTTCCAAATCAGGGACAAATGCGGACATTGAGATACATAAAGCTCAAAGATTGAAACTCAAGTTCAGTTCCAAAAAAGCTTCACCAAAACATACACTCAAACTGTCAAAAATCGAAGACAAAGTGGGAATCTTGAAAGCATCAGGAGAAAAGGGATCCCTTGCAATGAGGGCAACTCCATAAGGCTATCAATAGACTTCTCAGCAGAAAATTTACAAGCCAGGAAAAAGTAAGATGAAATATTTACATTGCAGACAGATAAACTTGTCAACCAAGAATACTTTACCCTGCAAAACAGTCCTATAAATGAGAAATAATGACTTTTACAGATAAAATCTGAGAAGTTCATTACCACTAGACCTTCATTATATGAAATGCTAAGTAAGGTTCTTCCAGTTGAAATAAAATGACACTAATTAATAACATGAAAACATATAAAGTATAAAACTCACTGGCAAAAGTAAGTATATAGTCAAATTCAGAACACTCTAATACTGTCATGATGGTGCGTAAATAAATCATATCCTTAGTATAAGGGTAAAAAGACAAAAATATTAATAATAACTATAGCTACACTATTTTTAAATGGGTATGAAATATAAAGAGTTGTAAATTGTGACGCCAAACCATAAAATATGAGACAGGTAGAGTAAAAGTGTACAGTTTTTGTACGTGATTGAAGTTAGGTTTTTATCAGCTTAAAATAGGCTAACCATAAGATATTTTATGTAAGTGTCATGGTAACCACAAAGCAAAAATCTATAGTAGATGCACAAAAAAATCAAGAGAAAGAAAGCACACCACTGCAGAAAATTATTAATTCACTTGAAAGTAAATGGATTAGACTGTCCAGTCAAAAGGAGAGGTGACAGCATGCTGGCAGTCCTCACAGCCCTTGCTCGAGGGCTCCCACTTTGGTGGCACTTGAGGAGCCCTTCAGCCCACCACTGCACTGTGGGAGCCCCTTTCTGGGCTGTCCAAGGCCAGAGCCGGCTCCCTCAGCTTGCAGGGAGGTGTGGAGGGAGAGGCGCCAGCGAGAACCAAGGCTGCGCACGGCGCTTGCGGGCCAGCTGGAGTTCCGGGTGGGCGTGGGCTTGGCAGGCCCCCACTCGGAGCAGCTGGCCAGCCCTGCCAGCCTGGGCCATGAGGGGCTTAGCACCCAGGCCAGCAGCTGCGGAGGGTGTACTGGGTCCCCCAGCAGTGCCAGCCCAGCAGCGCTGCGCTCGATTTCTCGCGGGGCCTTAGCTGCCTTCCCACAGGGCAGGGCTCGGGACCTGCAGCCCGCCATGCCTGAGCCTCCCACCCCCTCCGTGGGCTCCTGTGCTACCAGGAGCCTCCCCGATGAGCGCCCCCACCCGCTCCACGGCGCCCAGTCCCATCACCACCCAAGGGCTGAAGAGTGTGGGCGCACAGCGCGGGACTGGCAGGCAGCTCCACCTGCAGCCCCAGTGCGAGATCCACTGGGTGAAGCCAGCTGGGCTCCTGAGTCTAGTGGGAACTTGGAGAACCTTTATGTCTAGGTAAGGGATTGTAAATACACCAATCGGCACTCTGTATCTAGCTCAAGGTTTGTAAACACACCAATCAGCACCCTGTGTCTAGCTCAGGGTTGTGAATGCACCAGTCAACACTCTGTATCTAGCTACTCTGGTGGGGCTTGGAGAACCTTTGTTTCAACACTCTGTATCTAGCTAATCTGGTGGGGTCGTGGAGAACCTTTGTGTCTAGCTCAGGGATTGTAAACACACCAATCAGTGCCCTGTCAAAACAGACCACTCGGCTCTACCAATCAGCAGGATGTGGGTGGGGCCAGATAAGAGAGTAAAAGCAGGCTGCCCAATCCAGCAGTGGCAAGCTGCTCGGGTCCCCTTCCACACTGTGGAAGCTTTGTTCTTTTGCTCTTTGCAATAAATCCTGTTGCTGCTCACTCTTTGGGTCCACACTGCCTTTATGAGCTGTAACACTCACTGCGAAGGTCTGCAGCTTTACTCCTGAAGCCAGCGGGACCACGAACCGACCGGAAGGAACGAACAACTCCAGAGGCACAGCCTTAAGCACTGTAACACTCACCGGGAAGGTCTGCAGCTTCACTCCTGAGCCAGCGAGACCACGAACCCCACCAGAAGGAAGAAACTCCGAACACATCTGAACATCAGAAGGAACAAACTCCGGACATGCTGCCTTTAAGAACTGTAATACTCACCACGAGGGTCCGCGGCTTCATTCTTGAAGTCAGTGAGACCAAGAACCCACCAATTCCGGACACAAAAAGACATATAATAGATATAAAAGAAGACCCATCTATACACTGCCTACAATAGACTCATTTCAGTTTGAAGACACAACATACACAGAAAAAGTGCAAAAAGCTATTCCATACAAATAGAAGCTAAAAGAAAGCAGAAGTAGCAATACTTACATCAGATAAAAAAGAATTTAAGTCAAAAACTGTGAAAAGAAACAAAGATCATTATTTAATAACAGAAGGGTAAATTAAGAAAATATAAAAATTATAAATATATATATTCCCAATATCATAGCACCTAAATATATAAAGTAAGTATTGACAGAACTGAAGAGGATAACATACACCACCAAAATAATAGCAGGAGATTATCAGAGTGAAAAGGAAACCTATAGAAAGAAAATATATTTGCACACCATATATCTAAGATGTGGTTAATCTCCAAAATATATGTGGAATTCCTTCAACTCAATAGTAAAAGATCACGTAATTACCCAATAAAATTTGGCTAGCCAGACATGATGAAGCATACCTTTAATTCCAGCTACTCAGAAGGCTGAGGCAAAAATATCCCTTGAGGCCAGGAGTTTAAGGCTGCAGTGTGCTGTAATCACACCTATGAATAGCCATTGTACTCCAGCCTGGGAAGCACAGTGAAACTCTGTCTCTATGGCTCACGCCTGTAATCCTAGCACTTTGGGAGGCTGAGGCGGGCAGATCATGAGGTCAGGAGATTGAGACCAACCTGGCTAACACAGTGAAACCCCGTCTCTACTAAAAATACAAAAACTTAGCCAAGTGTGGTGGCACGCGCCTGTAATCCCAGCTATTCAGGAGGCTAAGGCAGGAGAATTGCTTAAACCTGGGAACAGAGGTTGCAGTGAGCCGAGATCGCGCCACTGAACTGCACTCCAGCCTGGGCAACAGAGCAAGACTCCATCTCAAAAAAAAACGAAAACGAAAAACAAATATAGGGGAGGGGCCAAAGACTTGGATAGACAGTTTTACAAAGAAGAAATACAAATAGCCAATAGTACATGGGAAAATTCTCAACATCACTAATCATCAGGAAATGCAAATCAAAATCACAAAGAGATATCACCTCACATCTGTAAGAATAACCATTATCTAAAAGACAAGAGAAAGATGACAAATGTTGGTGAGAGTGCAGAGAAAAGGGAACCCTCATACACTAATGGTGGGAATGAAAAATGGTGCAGCTTCCATGTAAAATACAATGAAAGTGCTTCAAACATTTAAAAATTGAACTACCATATGATCCAATAATACCAGTTCTGGTATTTACTCCAAGAGTTTGAAACCAGGGTGTTGAGATATTAGTGCTCCCATATTTATTGCAACTATGTTCACAGTAGCCAAGATATGAAAATAACATACGTTCATCAACAGATGAATGAATAAAGAAAATGTGGGGTACACTGCAATTGAACATTATTTAGCCTTAAAAAAGAAGAAAATTCTTAAACATGCAACAACACATGTAAAACAAAGACATTATGCCAAATGAAATAAACCAGTCTCACAAAGCAAATACTGCATGATTCCACTTAAATGGGATATCTAAAATTGTTAATTTTATGTAATCAAAGAGTGAAATGGTTATTTACAGGGGGTGGTGGGGGGGACAGGATGAATTACAATCAATCGACAAAAAAATTCATTTCAGCAAGATAAATAATTTCAACGTATCTGTACCTATATTCAAAAATACTATATTGTACACTTAAATGTTTAAAAGGGTAAGTCTTATATTAAGTATTCTTGTCACAATCAAAATTTTTTTAAAAATTTAAAGCATCTTTAAACTGCACTTACATTCTTCAAATTTGTCCAAGAAACAGATGAACTTGGTATAACATTCTTAGCAATTTTACCAACTGCTAACTTGAAAAACTTTTAGCATGTTAAAATATATAATGACCATTCTTTATAGCTTACTTCTCTTATCACATCAACATCACTCCTTGTGTAATTACATGCTTATTTTGCAAAATACCATTTCAATTAAAATTAATGGCTAGTTGCCAGACTCAAACAGTAGTAATTTACTGTCTTGTTAATTGAATACACAAACCAAGAATAAATTGAAAGGGTGAAATTTTACCTTCCTTAATCTTTGTTTTATAGGAATAACTTAACCCACAAAGGTAAACTTTAGTGGCTTTCATGGTAAAAAAAAAAAAAAAAAATGCCTTGGGAATGAATTAAATTATATGTCACATTATTTAATAATCAAATAAATAAATTTTTCTTCATTCAATGCCTGGTTTTACTATTCAATGTATGTGTTCTAGATAAATATATAAACTTTTTTTACATTTGGTATAATTTTTTTCACTTGTTTGTTTTTGTTTGTTTGTTTGTTTGAGACAGTGTCTCACTCTGTCATCCAGGCTGGAGTGCAGTGGTGCCATCTCAGCTCACTGCAACCTCCACCTCCTGGGTTCAAGAGATTCTCCTGTCTCAGCCTCCCCATTAGCTGGGATTACAGGCACGCACCACCACTCCCAGCTAATTTTTGTAGTTTTAGTAGAGACAGGGTTTCGCCATATTGGCCAGGGTGATCTTGAACTCCTGACCTCAAGTGATCCACCCGCCTCGGCCTCCCAAAGTGTGGGGATTATAGGTGTGAGCCATTGGACCAGACCTATTTGGTATAATTTTTAAATTATGTAATCTCATGTTACATCAAGCCAGTATTTAATCCTGTATATCCTTAGAGATACATATATTGAGAAAAGAATTAGTACTGGTCATTCAAACCTTTGAGATCTATTCCTCTAGCAGTGCTAGAGAAAACAAAAACAAAACAAAACAAAAACAGCACATGTAGTCCCAAATACTTATTTTCCAATATCCCTAAGAAGGCAATAAGGTTTTTCTCATCACAAAGTTTTTTAACAATTGCCATATTGTAATTATCTAGACAGCAGTTTATATAATATTAGTTACAATTCCAGTTAAGATTTTGGAAACAAGAGACATATTTACAGACCTTCACTCAGAATGAAGCGTTCCAGCCAGTCAGTCATTATTTCAAGAAATATATTGTAGTGCACATTTGTGATTTCTCCCACAGGATCAAGTCCTACTTCCCAGTAATCCTCAGTTTCCATGTTGGGAGCCAGGAAAACTAACTGTACCGGTGAAGCATACAAGCTTGACTAAGCCAATCATATAGCCTATCCCCTAGGTAAACAATTATGCAACTCAAACATGAGTAACTGGTGAGAATCTCAGGACACTTAATGGGAATTATGGAACAGACACTCTTTTGTCTGTACTGTGTAATATATGGCCAAGAGACCTAGAAGACCTACAGCCATTTTTGCAACCATGCAGGAAGCTATTCAATGGATGGAACCAATACATGAAAGAAGTTAGATTTAGAAAAATAAATGACAGCCTGGTATAAAACTTCTGCATCAAATAGCACCTGAACATGAGCAACCTCTGTAAGTAGATTTGACCACATTAGGGGCACGTAATCTGGGCAGTTCCACGGGGTTCATTCTCAAAAGGGACCCCCCACCCTTGATTTAATACTCCATTGTTGCTATTTTGAAATTCATAATTATTATCTTTGAAACTGTGTTTGTAAATCAAGTCCTATGGGGCAATGGAGCATATCCCTGAGCATGGAAGATAACACTCAGCACCATCTAGCACACATGTGATTTGGCCTAGCACACATGTACATGCCTAGGGCAGTCCAAGACTCAAGAAACTCTGAGGGGAAATCCCAGCCAGGACTTGGATACAAATCTGTCTGCAACAGCATCAGCAGAAATAGCAGCGAAGACCACAGTATGAATGGTCCAGCAAGAGAAGGCAGACTCCTCATGCCTGCAGTGCGTGGAAGCTGGCTTGCCCTTTTCTCTAGCCTAGCCCACTGGCATCTGTAAAAATGTTAACTCCAGGGACTGAGATTTAAAACTGCTGACACTCAGGCAATACATTTTGTCAGAAAATTACAATTAACTCAAAGAATAAACTTGGACACTGCAATAAAATATATTAAAAAGTTATTAGAAGCCTTCAAAGAGTTTGGAATTTCTGGTTTTGAAAACTGCTGCAACATTGCAAAGAAAATATTCGCAGGCTTAGATAAATAGAAATTAAATTTAAAGAGTCTCATTTGATAGTAAATAACATTATATTCATATAGTCTCAGATTAAACAATTATTAACAAGATAATTTTAAAATTAATGTTTACTTGCAATTGCAGATACAACCATAGAACGCATAAACAGGCATTTGAATTATTTACAAATTATAAAATCACTTTTGGTTTCATGAACAATCTTTACAAGTTAAGAAAATGTCAGAAGAGAAAATAAAATGTCATTGTATAAATTTACACTTGAAGTTGAATTCAGAGTTACGGGCAATTGATTTGTATAAAGAATTAAATTCTTTTAGAAAAAAAGTATTCCTCAAGAATCATCAGCTCTAGATATATCAAAATCTATATTTTAAAATAATTTATCAGAATTTTTTTCCTAAGAGGTCACAGCCTATAAACACTCTTAACGGTTCCAGAAGCAGTTGAATCAGTTGGAGCTTTCTCTAAATTACAATTATCAAAAATTATTTGCAATCTTGATTTGCCAAGGACTATTGACATCAGCTTCAATTATATCAATTGAAAATCAAGCCACTAAAAATACAAATGTGGATAACCTAACAAATGAATTTGCAGAAAAACAAGCCAAGAAAATATTATACTCAAAAAATATATACACTAAAGGCATTATTATTTATTGTATTACATAAAATTATGAAACTTAAAAATTGTTAATTTTGTAATTTGTAAATTTATACTTTTATCAATCACTATTACCTCATTATGTACGTAAGTGTAAAATATTTTAAATGTAAAGGTGTTTTTGATAGCTTTACATGCACACATTTTCCTGCTTTTTGAACTAGGGACTCTGCCTTTTCTGTTTCCACAAGGCCCTGCGAGTATGTAACCATTCCTCTGCGAACTTTTCAGTTATATGATCCAGTCTGGTTCACGTTTTCAGTATTTTCAGTACCCATAACTGAAATCATTCTTGTATCCATATTTATTGATCATTTTCTAGGAATGAGGCATCATGCTAGACATGACGCTGTCATGATACTTGAGACCCGTAACTTAGTGGGAAATCAGAATGCATTTTCTTAGAAAAATAAGTTAAAAAAAATGATATATTGGCATAAGTATCATATTAGACATATGTTTTGTGTATTTGGAAATAGAAAGAAGGGAACATACAACCCAAACAAGAGCGGTCCATGAGACTTTGATGTGGAGCTAATGCTGGTTAGTTATGTCAGACCCATTCTATGAGAAACAAGTTGTTTATCTCAGTGGCTTCACACATAAACATTTATTTCTCACGTAACATATTGGTTGAACAAACAAGTAAGTGAATGACTAGCCATATTGCCTTTAAAGTGTATACTTGGAATCCAGGTAGCAATGTCTAATAGGTTATTTAGAAAAGGAGTTAATCCAGCAGATGTGTCTTCCCTAGTGAAAAATCATCTACAAATATGGAGAAGTTGAAACTCATGTGTATAAGTTTGGGGTTCATTTACTTCTTAGAATCTGTGGCCTTATAATTTTCATCAGATTAAGAATATTTTGGGGGATCATTTATTCAAATAAATGTTTTGTTACTGCTTTCCTTTAGAAACTCCAATTATACATATATCAGGCCATTTCACATTGTCTCACAGATCTGACGTTTCATTATTTCTTTTTTTGCCCTCTATGTTTTTAATTTTGAAGAATTTTTATTGCTATAGCTTCAAGTTTACTAATCTCTCCTTCGGCAATATCTAAATTAATCCCTTTAGGTTATTTTTCTTTAACCCATCATAGTTTTTATTTCTAAAAGTTCCACTTTGGTCTTCTTTAGATTTTCCATTTCTCTCCTCAACATGGTCAATATTTCTCCTATCTTTTAAAATATCTTGAATACATTTAAAATAAGAATTGTAATGTCCCTGTCTCCTAATACTTAGATCTATGTCAGTTCTGAGTTGGTTTTGATTGAATGGTGTTTTTCCTTTTTATAGGTCATATTTTTCTGCTTTTTTGCATACCTTACAGTTTTTTAAAATTATATGACAGATATTATAAATTTCACCTTGTTAAGTAATGAATATTTTTGTATTCCTGTAAATTTTCCTGAGCTTTGTTCTAGAATACAGTTAACTTATTTGTTAAGGGATATTTTCAGGTCTTACTCTGAAGACTTGTCAGCCAGGACTAAAGCAGCATTTACTTTTGGCAGATTATTTCCCACTACTCAGACCTTTCTGAGTATCTATTTAGTGGCACAACTATTATAAAACTGTCTGGTCTGGCTGAGGGGCAGTTGCTCACTCTTCTTATCCTTGTGAGAGCTCTAGCTATTGTTTCTTCTAATCCTTTTGGGTGGTTCTTTTTACTGTCTCAAGTAGTTTCCTTGAAAACATCTGCTGATCACCACTCCGCTGAAGACTAGAGGAGAACCCGCAAATCTCTTCTGCTCTCTCTGTGAACCTCTGCAATCTAGTATTCTGATGTGTGAACTCAACCTGTCTTGGGGTCCTCAGAATCTCAGCCCCATTTCCTCAACTCAGTGAGTGTGCTGGAGTCTACCTGGGTATCCTCTTCCTAAACTGTGACCTGGAAATGGCTTGAAGCCAGTAAGTTGGGGCAGTCAGTGTCTACCTAATTTGCTTCCTGCCTCTTAAGACTCAGTGCCATTCAATGCTTAATGCCCAATGTTTTGAAAATCATTGTCTCATAGATTCCATCTATATTTTTAGTTGTTTAGGCATGAGAGTAAATCCTGTCCTTGTTATTCCATCGTGGTCATTTGCAAGAGAACCAATTCATGTGTTTAGATAATTTCACACAGAAACTGAAGAAAATGAGACACAGATGAAGGCCTGAATAGTTTCCTAGTAAAACCAAAATAAAAAAATAATGAAAGGCCTGTAAAAAGGAACAAAGCAGGAGTGGTCATGGAAGGAAGAAAAA
Organism: Homo sapiens; assembly: GCF_000001405.40. Taxonomy (NCBI): domain Eukaryota; kingdom Metazoa; phylum Chordata; class Mammalia; order Primates; family Hominidae; genus Homo; species Homo sapiens. The sequence goes on along the minus strand of NC_000005.10, from coordinate 103,958,436 downwards.
GAAAAATGGAAAGGCAAATACGAAAGGCTTAAGGTAGAATCAAGAATACAGTAGTAATCAGTTATGCCAAATTCCTCAGAAAAGTCAGAGCTGGACAAGAAAAGGAAGTGAGACAGTGCCCTTAGAACATCTTTGGGTTCCTGAGTTACAATATGTTTGGTAATCAAGTGGAAGTGAATGTTTGCTTATAATTTGTATGTGACCACCTATAATAGCCAATATAGAATGGTCTTTCAAAAACTTTAACTGTAAACTAGAAACAGAGAGGTTGGTAGAGAGCATAATGATGTAGGGAATTAAATTTTTGTTTTCCATACGGATAAGGTGGGGAAACTAGCAATTGCTCATCTGCTGGAAGAAAAGAGCCAAACTATAAGTAAAGTGTTAAAGATAAAAACAGAAAAGCACATTTCAAAAAGAGAGTAGGCATCACTTCTGTTCATACACAAGGAGTCTGAAAGGAGAAAGACCAGAACTGGTACAGACACATATACCTTCATAGTGTCAAGAGGAAGGGAGAATGAATATATGAGATGTGGGCAAATCATTTCTAGCTTTCTAGTATCTAATATCTGCAGTATCTAATATCCCATTTATCCCTCTGGTTATTTTTTTTTCACACGTTATTGCTTTTATTTCTAACTACCTTTCTACTTTCTGTGAAGTGGGGAGGTTATTTGCTAAAGAAATGCTAAAGTAGAATGAAGGCCACATGGAAAGTGACAAAAAATGGGAGACACCCAGGGAAGGGGCAAAAAACCTGGTGATGGCCAAACAATAAATTCTGGGAAAAATGAAAGTATTGCTTGGTTGAAGCTATGAACTGTAAATCTGAAGTAAAATTCCATGACAGCGATAGTTTTTTTGTTTTTGTTTTTGTTTTCCTGTCACTATGACACTTGTAAGGCATAGAAACAGAAAAGGGTGTTGTGAATGGAATCAAAGTTGAAATCTTGCAAGTGTATGTGATGGAAGAGAAAACAAGCAAGATTATGGTGACAGCCCAAGGAGTTGAGGATGGAAAAGGGAAGAAAGAGAAAAAAGAAGGCTTAGCTGGCTCAGGGAGAAAAGGCACAGGACTGGAAATCTGGATGCATGTGAGATGAACAAATTCAATATGAGTAAGCTGGTGAGAAATAGGAACTCAGAGAATAGGAAGTTTTTAAGAGTCAAGTAATGGACTGACTCTAAGATTTCACAACTGAAAGAGTTGTCAGTGATAACTAGCTCTACTGAGGAACTTTAGGTGTGGGTTGATGCTGAAGTAGGATGGAGATCATCCTTTCCTCATGAAAATCAAATTGCTAAGGTGCTGGCTTCATCTTGCCAACAGCCCTTCAGGCTCCCACTGTAACTTGAAAGACCCGAAAGAGGGAAGCACATCCTAAATTAGTTGCCAAATTTTCAAAAGCATATAAGGAAGTTCTGGCTAAGAGTAGTGAGGAATATGAGAAAACAACATCGACTATTCAAAGAAGCGGGCTGTTGGTCAAGAGCAGAAGACACATTCCTATTCTCACTCCCAGAATTAAGCATGCGGAGAATGAGAGAATGAGTGGACTTCTTTAAAAAGGACAGTAACAGAAACAGCTTCTTAGAGATCTTTCCACTTAATTTCATGTATTTTCTGTGTATACCTAATTGTTCCAATTTCAAAAAGTATTTTCTGACTTTGAACTCTGGGGAGTAACTTATTTAATTAAATCACACAGAGAACCCTAATAGGCTATCTACTGAAACAGGAGGAAAAGCATTTAGTCACATTAGTCAATGACGGCAGTAGGGATGGTAGTTAGGAAAATCAGTTGGATGATAAGCACACAAATCTCCCTGGGGGTCTATCTGAAAAGCAGTGCTGGGAAAGGCAGGTTGCTGTCAGGGATGCATCCAACCCCAAAGACAGTCTATCAAGGAATCTTTATTCAGAGGTTATTATGTTTTACTTGTATTCATAAATATGATATTTAAAATAAAGAGATATTACTTAAGGTGAAATGAATGCCAACATCTCAACACTACTTGATGTTCCAGTGAGGCACATCCTAAATGCTAAGAATATCTTTCTTTCCCCTTTCCTGTCTCTTCTTTTCCTCCCTCCTCTCTCTCTCTCTCTCTCTCTCTCTCTCTCTCTCTCTCTCTCTCTCTCTCTCTCTCTCTCTGTCTTGGTCTCTCTCTCTCAATGAGCTTGCAATAAGAGCAGTGACAGAGGGCAAGGCTCTGGGGATAGAAAGACTAGCACTTGGGGTTTAATGGCGTCTCTATCTTAAAAATCTTAATACTTTTATCTTTGAATTTGTGTGTTGCTGGTGAAACTCTTTAGAAAACAGAGCATACTCACAGGTATTTGGAACCTCTGCTCACTAGCAGTTCCATCTCCCTCCACTTCCTCTGGACATATTCTTGGTCTCTCCCTCCCCTCTCCTTCCCAGAGACTGCTGCTATCCTGGGTCACCAGCTGGAGCCTGAGCAGAAGCGTCTGGAGGGTGGGTAAGGTGTGCTCACCCTGTGGAGTCCTGGGGAGGGGCACAATGGGACTTCGTGGAGGTCATTCTTTACCCACCACTGATATGTTTAACTAGTGCTCACCTTCCAGAGCAGAAGTTGAATATTCTTTGGAGTTGTTGGTCCACCCGAGTTGTTAGTCCACTTAGGTTGTGGCCCAGCTTGATGTCCCTGCCCTCTATAAAATAGAGTTTGTTGGTCTGGCAGCTTGAGGGAGAGGGGAAACACCAACTGGGGGCCCGTGCAAGCCTGCTTACTTATGGGACAGGGCCCTCAGTTGCCTGTGAGTATCTGCAATGGCCCCACAGGTATCCCCAAGCCTGAGGAAGAATGAGATTAAATAGTAAATTGAACATATATATTTTTTCAGGTTAAGAGAGACTGCAGAAGAAAGAAAAAATCTTTATATTTTAGTACATTTACTAGTACTTGTTTTTTACTACTTAAAGTGGAGCCTGGCATTGTCATTATGCACTGAGCCCCACAAAGTATGTAGCCTCTCTTGCACAGAGCTGTCAGCACAGAAGAGTTTAATAGTCAAAGCCATTCACATACATTTAGCAGATTCTGTGGAAGGCTCATAAGAACATTTCTATCATCTTTTATAGGTAAATGCCCTCTCCCTTTACATGGATATAGTTCTGTGTCTATTCCTGTCTATAACATTGTGAGGTCTAGAGACCAGAAATCACATCAGGTGCAACACTTAGAAATTGAATGACGTATGTTAAGTATTGCAACTTTATGGTTTGTTTTAAAATCTGTTAGAACTAGTCCCAGGGAAGCTAATTTGAATGGACACATAAAATCTGCCTTCCCTTAATCTGAGTTTCATTCCACCAGCACAGCCCAACAAGCACCATTTTTGTTCTCTCTTAGCTGGGTCAGGGAGAAAAGGCACAGGACTGGAAACAAGCACCATTGAGCTCTACCTCTTCAAACATCTACTAATGATGGGCTAATGTCATTGAATGTTGCGTCTAGTCCAGATTCTGTGCTTTGATGTGTAATCTCATTTAATCATGGAAACCCATATATGGTAGAAATTATCCTTATTTCTATTTCACATACGAAGAAATACCTCAAATGGTTTATGTAACATCACCAGCAATGAAGTGTGATGAAGTTAAGATTTACATATTGCCCGTATTTGGCAATACAATAATTGGCAGGTTGGTCATGTCCTAATACTCAGAAAATCCTTAATTTGAAAATAATCCTGGGATTTAAAACTCCCATCTAATTTTTAGTTCATATATATGATTTCAAAAATTAAAAACCTATCTTTTCAAATAATGTTTTAACTGATTTAAATCGTAAGATCCCACCCCAGTCTTTTTTCCAGCTTTACAATTGACAAATAAAGATTGTATATATTCAAAGTATAAAATGTGAAGATTTCATATATGTATACATTGTGCAATAACCACAATAAAATTAATTAACACATCTATCATCATCCATAATCACCCATAGTTACCATTTTGCCTGTGGGGGATGGAGGTAAAGAAAATCTGCTCTCATCAAATTTCAAGTAAACAATACAAAATTATTAACTGTAATTATTATTGAGAGATGAGAAGGTGCTAGCAGCCCTCGCTCGCTCTCACCGCCTACTGGGCTTTGGCATCCGCTCTGGTCACGTTTGAAGAGCCCTTCAGCCCGCCGCTGCACTGTGGGAGCCCCTCTCTGGGCTGGTGGAGGCCGAAGCCGGCTCCCTCGGTTTGGGGGAGGTGTGGAGAGAGAGGCACAGGCGGAAACCGGGGCTGCGCACCGCACTGGCAGGCCAGCGCGGAGTTCCGGGTGGGCGTGGGCTCGGTGGGACCCACACTCTTAGCGGGCGGGCGCCGCCGGCCTGGGCAGTGAGGCGCTTAGCACCCAGGCCAGCAGCTGTGGAGGGGGCGCTGGGTACCCCAGCACTGATGGCCCGTCTGTGCTATGCTTGAATTCTCGCCAGGTGTTAGCCGCCTCCCGGCAGGGCAGGGCTCAGGACCTGCAGCCCGCCATGCCCGAACCCGCCCACCCCTCGCACCCCTCCCCCCCTCGTCCCCTTCCCCCCTTCCCCGTGGGCTCCCGGGCAGCCCTAGCCTCCCCGGCAGGGCTCTGCCCGCTGCTCCACAGCACCCAGTCCCATCGACTGCCCAAGGGCTGAGGAGTGCAGGCGGCACACAGCGCGGGACTGTTGGGCAGCTCCACCAAGGCCCAGGCGCTGGATCCACTAGGTGAAGCCAGCTGGGCTCCTGAGTCCGGTGGGGACTTGGATAACTTTTATGTCTAGCTCAGAGACTGTATATGCGCCAATCAGCACTCTGTGTCTAGCTCGGGGGTTTGTGGATGCACCAATCAGCACTCTGTATCTAGCTAATCTGGAGGGGACTTGGAGAACTTATATGTGTAGCTAGAGGACTGCAAATTCACCTATCAGCACTCTGTATCTAGCTAATCTGGTGGGGACTTGGAGAATTTTTATGTCTAGCTAAAGGATTGTAAATGCACCAATCAGCACTCTGTGTCTAGCTCAGAACCACTCTTTAAAACGGACCAATCAGCTCTCTGTAAAATGGACCAATCAGCAGGATGCGGGTGGGTTCAGATAAGGGAATAAAAGCGGACTGCCTTCCGGAGCCAGCAGCAGCAGCAACCCACTCGGGTACCCTTCCACACTGTGGAAGCTTTGTTTTTTCGCTCTTTGCAGTAAATCTTGCTGCTGCTCACTCTTTGTGTCCACACTACCTTTATGAGCTATAACACTCACCGAGAAGGTCTGCAGCTTCACTCCTGAACCCACCAGAAGGAAGGAAGAGACTCCAAACACGTCCAAACAGCAGAAGGAACAAACTCGGGACACACCATCTTTAAGAACTGTAACACTCACGGCCAGGGTCCGCGGCTTCAGTCTTGAAGTCAGTGAGACCAAGAACCCACCAATTCTGGACACACTGTGCTTACATTAGATTGTCTATAACTTACCCATCTTGTAATTGAAATTTTGTATTTTCCCCCAGTATTATTCAATATAACTTGTTTTGATATTCTGAATAAAGCTTTTATCACCCCTTTATAACATTTATCAACTAATTTACAAATAATGAGATTTTTATACATGATATTATAAGGTATTAAAACAAATTGTATTTTAAAGGGATTTTTGTTCAGAATGTAGTTGAAAGTTTTCACTTTAGATATTCTTTCATATTATTCTGTTATAACACATATTCAGCAAGTTTACCCAACAAATTATATTTTGCATAGTAAATATCTTTTTTAAAGAATCTATTTGGAATTCATTTATTAAATCTAACTAAAAAAAGGAATCCGTTCATTCAGAACTGAAGTAATATAAATTTTTTTCATACATTATCAAAAAATCTTACTAATTTTTTCAATGAACTTTTAAAAAATTGTCATTTTAGTTAGAGGGGATTATGATCGTTTGTCTTCTACCTGTTTTTATTAAGGGATCTAAAGATTTCGTGCAGATTACAGAAATAACCCAAATCAGTTATCAATAAATGTGGTTAAACAGAAAAAAAATAAGCTTCCACAGATAAAGGGAAAAAATGTTCATCTATTTTTGAAAAAGCGCTTTGTTTCTAGAATTTTATTATTGGTTCAGACTAGAATATATGTGCTCCCAACTGAAGAAAGGAGAAAAACTTAAATGGTAATTGCTGAAGCAGAGAGACCATTTAGATCAAAGAGATACTGTTTAAAGGTCTAAAGATAAAATATATTTTTATTGTAGCTTTTAGCTTGCTTCAAGATCTATTGCCTTCAAGGGTGAAAAAACACTCCAAAGAGGGCAATAATGATTCCAAATACAGACATTATACTCTATTGATGATGTCCTTTCCCATCCTCCTGTAAGTGGTTTTCTATTACTGATGTACACCAGACTACATTGTGTACCTTTCTCTATGAATAATGAAAGCAGGCATAAGCACAAGAACTATAAGGGAACTGCTGTAAACAGATACTTCTGTTTCATTACCACTGTTTTATTAACAAATTACTTCCATTAAACAGATTACGAGGTTGCAAAAAGCAATCCAGAATGAAATAGTCCAGTCCTAAATTTCATTTTGTAATGAATTGAAGTGATTTGCCTGCAGTAGGTTCAGTTCCTCATTGTTTTGTGACTGCATGAGTCCATTTTGTATCTTGAATTGTGAGTGTGCCCTCTCCAATAGGACTTTATGAATCACCTTTTCTAGGGGGAAAGGATGTTTCCAATTAAGTGAAATATACACATCTCACCTCCTAATGTGAAAAGGGTTGTGCTATATATAATATACCTCACATTAGAACAATGTGCTCCACAGCCCCATGTTTTCTACTATGGTTTTTCTATAATCCAATAGTTTGTGAGAAGACTATTGGCTTTTCAGCAGTCACAACTCCAAAACTTACGATTAGCATCATTTTAATCTTAAACCAATACTTCACTTTTGAAAACTGAAACTTTAACCCTCTAAATTTCTTGGAAGATCTCTAAAGTGTTCTGTTTCAAACAATTTTAAGAGAAGGGAACAAACTATGGAAATCAGCTTTTGTGTCTCACAGCCTATAGATATTTAGGGGGGTTGTTTGGTATACAATCTTATTTTTTAGGATCTAATGAGAAGAGGCTACATTTACATTTGTTTTATTGTTGGAACTTTGACAAATGTTGGTAATACTATATCAGTCCTGAAGCTGATTTCAAAGTAGGTTTGGTCTGTGGAAACCAGAAATCTGATCATCACAGTTGCTGAAGGCATCACCTGCTGCAGGAAAAGGACTCACACCAATAGCCTCAGGTGCCCAGGTTCAGGAAATAAGGGAGATTTCCTAGAATTGGTTTCTATTGGAATGAGTGCTAGATATAGCGTTGAATACATTTTTATTTTAAAATACTCATTTGAAGTTAAACCTCTGTTTGTTCCTCAAAAGTTCCCGTGTTTGCATACTATTGTGTTTAAACTTCCTTTACATTATATATTTAAAAGACTTCATAAACAAGGTTCTGCCAATTGGACATTTTACATGCTAACTTAAAAAATGTAATTAAATCCTGCAAAATACCAATGTTGTTTTTTAAATTTAGTTCTTTCATGATTGAGAATGTTTTGCATATTTCCAAAATAAGCATTTTTTTTCTGAGACACTCCAAATATTCATAAGAATTACTTCAAAAAACAGGGGAAATCAAAAAACAATAATTAAACAAAAGAAATTATGCATTCTTTTAAATTTCTGTTTTTAAACACTTATTTGTTTTAGAAAATAGGTATTTTATGTTTATATGGTTGTCTCTTTTTTTCCCAAAAATGTATAGTTTAAAAGGAGAATTCTCGGTAATAAAGCAGAATTATAAAATCTACTTTCCTCAACATTAGATAAAATGAAAAAAATAGTAACATCCAAGCAAAAATCTCCAACAGCTAGAAGTTGTTAGAAGTAAAATTTCATGTCATAATCTTTAAAAAAAGTTTGACCAAGGTAAGAAATAAAACCTACTGCAGCCAGGCGCAGTGGCTCATGCCTGTAATCCCAGCACTTTGGAAGGCCGAGGCGGGCGGATCACGAGGTCAGAAGATCGAGACCATCCTGGCTAACACGGTGAAACCCTGTCTCTAATAAAAATACAAAAATTAGCCGGGCTTGGTGGCGGGCACCTGTAGTCCCAGCTACTCAGGAAGCTGAGGCACAAGAATCGCTTGAACCCGGGAGGTGGAGGTTGCAGTGAGCCGAGATCACACCACTGCACTCCAGCCTGGTGACAGATCGAGACTCTGTCTCAAAAAACAAAAAAACAAACAAACAAAAAACAAAAAACCTACTCCATCAATGTTTATGTCATAACACCTTGATGTCATTTTGGGCAAGAATGTGAGTCAAGAAAATCTCCAAACTTCTCAGTAGTATCAAATTTGAAAACAAATGGATAAACATAGTTACTAGGAAGTCTAGGAAAAGCAGAGGTTCAAACCTTATAGAATAAAAGCTCCTAGCCATTTTCAAGTGCTGCAAGAGGAACTGTAGGGAATGATTCAAGACCCCGAGTCTTCTGCCTAGGGATCCTGATATACTACTGCCTAAGTAGAGAGAACCCTGGTTCATAACATTAAATAAACGAAAGTTAAGCAGTGCTCAGGATACCCAATACAGGCAATAGTTGCCACAAAACTCTTTGTTCAAAGTGAAATAAAAAATCTGTATCTCAAATCACAAAGGTAGTTGGATGAGGAGGAAAATAGCTTTCAGAGAGACCACTTAGGGAGTCAAGGAGAATTGATCCACAGGATGCAACAAAAAACAAGGGTTTTGGCACAGCTAACCATATTCATGAACAAGATGAAAAGAAAATGCATGGGAAATTAGCAAGCATACCACAGAAAGAGATAAAGGAAATGCATGTCACTTTTTTAAAAATGTCATAGACCCTAATCTGAAAGAGAACTCAGTGCAAGGGACAAAGGAAAAAAAAAAAAAAAAAAAGGATATCTCTTTGCCTCACAATCAAGAAAAAACAGTGAGCTTATAGTTAAAAGGACCAATACAAAACTTATAAAAATAAAAACTAAATTAGAAACATTGTGTTCAACTAGCCGTGCCTGAAAAAATCATAGTATTTATGTAAAAAAGGCTTCCACTGGGAAAAAGTGGGTAATCCAACAAATGAAACAAACCTTTAAATAAAAGTATGTATCAATATTAAAATGGTACAATACATTTTAAAAAAATGATGTAGAATAAGAGACATCAAAATATATTGCGATTATACTATTGAAGTTGAAAAATGAAAAATTCTTCAGGGTCCATGCAGAAAATATCAAGTCACTCATGGAGATGAGAGGTAGGCTTAGTCATATTGGCCATAGATTTTTTTAGTAACAAATTGCAGACACAAGTGAACGAATTATCTGTAGATCCAAGGAGAATATATTATAACACAAGAATACTATAAACAGCTTTTGTTGGCTTACTTATAACAGCAAGACAAAAATATTCTCAAACATAATGAACTCAAAGAATCTGTATAAATCTATATACTAAGAGACCAATAATGATGTTCTCCAAATGTGCTATTTCCGGACAGAGATATATTTTGGTTATTTTATTTGACTCTTTTCCTTGCTTCTTAAAATAATGTTGACATATTAGTTTGTATAAAATAATTAAACGATTCTTCCGAAAAGTTTAAAATGTCATTTTAATGATTAGTATTCATTTTAGGGCTATAATTCAATTATCATAGTTCACATTTCATTTGTTTCTCAGTTATTTTGCCGTCAATCATATTGTGATGAATATATTTATCCTATATACAAAACTGTGTGTCACTGATTATTTCTAGGAACTGATTCTAAAAATTACTATTTCAAAGAATAATATTTTAAGATAATGAATTGCTTTACAGAGAGATTGTCTTCATTTACTCTTCTATTAAAAGTGAAATTCCCTGTTTAGCTTATTAAGTATTATTATTTTTATCGTTCCTGAATGTTTGTGAATTACTGTTAATAAATCAATTTGATTTTAATAGCATTTATAATTAAAATTAAATATGTTTAATTTTTATTTTCTGGTCATATTCCTTGTGTTGTCTTCTCACATCCACGGTCTGTTACTAGAATGCTTTTAATAGATTAGATTAAATATACCAATTTTTAGTTGCATTGCTTATAGTGTTCCTAGTTCTTCATTTACATTTAATTTTAGTAATGTTCTTCAGTACCATTTATTTTTATTTAGCAATATATTAAATTTGTGTTATATTTTCAATCATTTCATTTTATTTCCTATCCACAAATCAGTTCAATATTGACCTGTATTTTATTCAGTTTTCCATTAATATTTTCATTTTATAACTTTGATACTTTAATCAACCTGAAATTTATTTTGAGATACAAGATGAGAAGAAAAACTTAATATGACTGTTTATAAGAAATAATCTTTTCCTCAGTACAGTATTTTGGGCAATGGACTTTATTTTTTCATAATTATTCCTGGAAATTAATTTTTCCAGATAACTTGGCAAAAATTTTGGTAAGAGACAAAATCAGTACCATGGAGTTTTAATTTATTTTGTATAAACTAATAAAATGTTTAGAAAGAATTGATTTTTTAAAATCTAGGGTCAAACTGTGATTATCCATACATTTAAATTTAATTGATAAATCTAAAAATTTTTGTAATTTATTATTATTATACTATTAGTTTTTTTCTATAATTATTCCCATGTCGTTTTTGTGACTTTTTGGAGGAGCAATTGTAAATGAAATTATTTTTCATCTTTGGTTGATGACATAATTTATTTTGAGTATTTATAGTCAAAAAAATACTGAACTTATATAAATAACAAGTATTGACTGACTCTTTAAGGCTTATGTAATGTCTGTATATCCATTAGATATAATAGATATCTATATATCATCTATATATATTATATATATTACATAAAGTTTTAGATAGGATATCTTCAACCTCACCCTTTTCCTTGAAATAATTAGAAACAGAACTCTAATTCTGTTTCATCATTCACTGATCAGAATTGCCAGAACAATTATGAATGTTTCTGGTCAAAGAAAGTAAGGTCATTTTATTATTAATTTGAATGAAAATGAACAATGATGTAGGTTATTTACTATTCACTATATTCATGGAATCTCTCTTACCCTAAAATAGCTAAATTTTTAATTACAGAATAATTGAAATCTTCTAAAATGCCATTACAAAAATAAAATTATGTTTACGAAATTTTCATTTGGAATGACTTGCTTCATATTACATATTCTCAAATATTAAATCACCTTTGTCATATTAGAACTAATTTTACTTATTATTTCTATAACATACTGCTGGATTATATCGTTAATTTTTTTAAAAAATTTGAATAAATATTAGGAATGATCTGTCATTTTCTTTTTATGTGTTTTGGAAATCATTAAGAGAAGAATTTTGTTAGTTTGAAAACATGAGAATTTATTATTTTGTGTTTTCTGCAGTTGTTTACACAGTATGATGATTTTTCTGATAGTTGAAATGTTTTGAGAATTTATCAGTTAACCCTTTAGAAAAATGTAAATAATTTGTATCTGCTCAGATATAGATTCATTTAAGTGAGATTTTAAAATAATAACCCAGATAGCAGTTAAATTTATATTTAATTTTGGATATATACCTTCTTCTCATACCTAATGTTCTAATATATTTCATGTTCTCTCTCTCTTTGATGTCTGTGTGTGTATCCAATGATACAGGGATTAAATTGAATTAATTCTACGTTTCTATTTTTTAATTTATCAGTTTCTACTTTTACATTATTTTGCTCAAAATTGTTTTTGTATGCTATTTTAAATAGTGTAATAGAATTTGTAGTTTTCTCTTTTTGGACTTTTTGTTCTAATTAATATGAATCATTTGGTATATTTGAACAGTTTCAAAATGCAATGTTCACAGGTAATGTTTATTAAACAGGTTGGATTAATATTTCCTTAAACGTATTCAACCAAATTTCCTCCTTAAACCATACATTACTTTTAAAGGATCCAAGGTGGCCGGGCGTGGTGGCTCATGTCTGTAATCTCAGCACTTTGGGAGGCCGAGGCAGGCGGATCACGAGATCAGGAGATCGAGACCATCCTGGCTAACCGGTGAAACCCCGTCTAAACTGAAAATAGAAAAAATTAGCTGGGCATAGTGGTGGGCCCCTGTAGTCCCAGCTACTAGGGAGGCTGAGGCAGGAGAATGGCGTGAACCCAGGAGGCGGAGCTTGCAGCGAGCCGAGATTGGGCCACTGCATTCCAGCCTGGCGACAGAGTGAGAATCCGTCTCAAATAAATAAATAAATACAAGGATCCAAGGCATATATGATTGAATTAATCAAATCCGTAAGTCACAATACATTAGTGTCATCAGTCCATGAATGCCCTTCTTTTCTTTTATTTTACTTACTTTTAAATAATATAATGAACATATGACAACTCAGCATGTGACACGAGAATTAAATGATCACCTTTAACTTATGTGAGATTTTCTTCTATGTGCTCCTTTACTATTCAACTCCCCTTCCTCCCAATATGTGTGTGTGCACTTGTGTATTTATTTACATACAACTGAACAACATATTTTACATTTTATCTATTTTCAAATTTTATATAAAGGTGATCATACTGCATGTGACCTTCCATCCAATACTATCATAATAAGATTGCCTATGATATTACACATAACTATAATTCATTTATTATGTTTCTTGATGCATATTCTATTGTATAATTGTAATGCAATGTATTTATCATATTCTTGGGATTCATGATGTTTTAAGTTTTGTCTCTTCAAAAAAATACTTTTCTGAACTTTAATTGTACATGCTCCTTGTAGACTTCTGAAAGAGTTACTCTTGGATACTTAGGAAACTATTAGGGTTATAGGGGAAGCAAAAGCTCATTTTTACAAGACAATGCGAAATTGTTTTCCATACTGATTGTTCCAATTTATGCTCCTGCCAGAATAATTGACCTCTGTGATCCACATCATCTGTAAAATTCAGTATAGTCAGATTTAATTTCTGCCTTTTAAATGGGACTGAAATAGTATCTCATAGTTATCTTGAATTATACTTTTATTCTTACTAATGAGTTCAGCACATCTTCATCTCTTTATTGGCCATTTGTATTACTTTTCTTACAAAATACCTGATTATGTCCGAATATTATTTCTATTCTTTTTACTTGTTTTCTGATGGTTCCATAAGAGTCCTCATATATTTTGAAATGAATGCTTTGTTGTCTACGTATGTTGCAACTATTTTATGTCAGTTTGTGTTTTGTCTTTTCATTTTCTCTGAAATGCATTTTCATGACCTAAAGTTCTTAATTTTTATACAGTCAAATTTGTCAATCTTTTATGTATGGTTGCTGCCTTGTTTCTAGTTAATGAAATCCACATTTTCCAACTCTTCTTATGGATAGTCACTTCTTTGCCCCAAAACCTGCCATGCCATATCTGTCATAAAGCAAAGTTCCTCATAAGTATGGGGTCTTTTTTGTGATTATCTATTCTCTTCTATTGGTAATTGCCTATCTCTGAATGACCCCAACACAGTCTTAATATTTTGGTTTTATAAAAGGCTTCTTATGTACTTTTCTTCCCTCTTTTCTTTTTCTGGAGAGGGTTCATGTTTTTGATCCTTTGCACTTCCATGTACATTTTAGGAACAGTTTATTGTTTCAAGAAGCTTGTTTGAGGTAGTTTGTATCTAGATTTAGGAAGTTTGACACATTTAAAATATTAAGTATGTCTATGCATGAACATTAAATATCTCTCAAGTTATATAAATCTTCATGTAAGGGTTATTCTGCATGGTAATTTTTGTGAATACTAACGGTTAGCATTATTTAAAGCTTTTATTAATTTACAGTTATTTTTTAATATTATTGAAACAAAGATCTACATTTTGGGATTTATTGATTATTTTCTCTACCATTTTTTGGTGATAGATTTTTTCTATAAATATAATATAGATATATTTGATGGCTTTGTATAGACACATATAAACATACTTACATTAAAATTATTTATATGACAAAAATAATCAATATACCTCTTTTTAAACTCCTTTGATTTTTAAAATATTGATGATGCTTTAAAGAATCCCACCAAACTCTATCTATGTTTTATTGTTTGCAACATTTTTATTTGTCATGAAGCTATCTTGTTTCAAGAAAAAATAGTAATAATTTTTCAGCTTCATTGAAGATTGTATTCACTTCTATGATATAAGATAAACATTTCTTTTTTGGTTTAATATTATATGCTTTGAATTATTCTTTAAGAAGAATTCACTCTGTTTTCTTATTTTTCTGGTGATAACCTCATATCCTTGACCAGCCTTGTATTTTAACTCTTTCTGATATATTACTGCAAACAGATGTAGTCGGATTGTTATTGAAGATGTATTTTTAGGTTTATATCTAGATTGTTAGCTTTTTGGAAGGAAGAACTGTCCTTTAGATATTTTTGTATCCCCTGAGCAATCTCTACATTGTTCTGAATATTAGAGAAAGCCGTTAGAACTTTGATCTATTAATTCTGAAATAGCATCTTTTATGAATTGTCAATGTAAAAGGTTATAGTTTAAAAATCTTGGGACCTTTTACCTTAGATATTAGTTTGCTATCACAATGCCATTTAACTTGTCTGTCTTACACTGTCTCTAGGTAAAAAAGAAGGAAAATTGCGCTTCTTCATCAGGAAAACAGTCAGAGGTTCCCAGAGTAAAGGCACTTAGTGAAATGCGAGTTAACATTATTATGTCTTCCATAAAACGTAGCACAGGTGCTACCAGTTTTTCACAAAATAAATTTCCAGAGCCCAGACAATACTTACTCATCATAGAGGTCACAGTTTACATTTTTGCTGAGATGGTATTAAAGCGTCACCTGATTCAAATCTAGCTAAGAACCAGAGAAATAAACGAATTGGTTAAGTCTGCTCAAAGTGACAAGCTGCCGGCTGGCAGACAAAGCGTTTAGAAACCAGGCTGAAAATGCTACATCTAATTTTACTTAGGACATAAGAAGAGATCCAGAAGACTGGTCTGTTTACTGGCAATGAAACACATATTCCCACGCTTAATTCTTAGATCATCTGGGAGGCGAAGGGCTTGTAGAGGAAGAAGGCAGCTCATTTCCATGGATGTTTATCAAATTATTATAAAATTGTGTGTGATATAATGTAAAGTTTGACACAGAGAATGTCATATTTTTGTTACAAAAGTAAACGTTGTTATTTAAAATTTCTAACAGGAAAGAAAGCAAATGTTTAGCATTCTAAATTATATGACTGTATGTACATTTTTTTCTAATGACTTTCTATTAGAATATTGAGAAGGTTCAGAGGTATATTTCTTTCCATTGTTCATGTGCTGTGCACGCAAACACATCTCATATATTCTGGTGGTAGAATAAGAATATGCTGCAAATAGAGAGGGCAGTAAAAAGTCTACAAGTTCTAGTGGCTTCACAAGGGCAATCTAAACTCTTCCAGGGAAAGGCCCGTGATATAAAGTCTTGCTATACAGACAATGGTAAATCTTTCCACTTAGCTTTCTATTTTCTTTCGGGCTTTGATTAGCAGGCCATGTAATTATTCATTCATTTTTGGAGTTGTGTGGCCTCTAGTGGTGTGTAGAAATATCATACAATGAATATTACAAACCTGAACATGTCTGTCTCCCAAGATTGAGAATTCTAAAAGATGCTAAGTATTATTTTAACTTAAAACAATTAGGTATACATTACTTTGACGTCGTAGGATGTTCTTATTTGATAGTTTTAGATTTTGGTATCCTGTTTGGTCTAAAGTTGCTGTTATCCCTCTCTGTATATTTGTTAGAAAATTATGTGAAAATGATTATTCTGGTTTTCTTCAAATTGTTTCTTACATTTTTCCCAGAGATCAGTGCCAAAATTTAGAATTTATAAGAAGATATTTTCCTTGAATAATAAAAATTATTTTCAAGAGCATAATCAATTTTTTAAATTTTGCTTAAGAGTTTTCTAGGCATTTTGCCTTTAACCCAAAATTGAGATGTAATTTATAGTGTGTTTTTTAGATTACCTATTTTTTACCGAAAATTCTGAGGCTTCTATTTACAAGCCTTAATACCAGATCTGACAGAATTAATGCGCTGATGGAGAGAGAGCAAAATTAATGTCACTATATTGTGTTTGATATGAAAAATGGCCACTCGCTTCTTGGTCCAGAATCGCTATATGTTGAAAGATCTTAAACGGCAGGGTAATTAGGCTTGTGAATCAATTTACCAATGTGTTCATCAAGAAATATTGAACTAGCTAGTTCATATCTTCAAAACATATTACTGTTTCAACTTCATTCTATATTTTAGTAAATTGGATCTGTTCCCTATTCTGATAAAGAAAAAATAGTATTAATTCTAAGGGGGACTCCAACAAATAGGAAAAATGTACATCTTGCCACAATAGGCAGTTTGGCATTAGTGTCTTTCGACATGTGGCACTAAACGTAGTACAGGGATTACCACTGGGACTGCCAAAATTTTTTTTCTGTGACATTCTTCTTTTCTATTTTAAAACCTTATAGATTCCAAACCTTAAAAAAACACTGAAAGCAGATGGTAGTATGTTCCACAGTTAAAGTATTTTCAAATTTATTACAAAGTATTCGCCTGCTGCTGGAGTTATTCACTAGACTACAGCTTTCAAAGACACTTCTCAATTCATCATGTTTACTAGTACAATTCCCCTCAGGTTTTAATGAAGGAGTTTACGACTAGAGATTAGAAGATAAAGACAATGCTGTATTTAGTGAGAAACGTGAGGTGATGATAAGAAAATATAAACTAGGTGTCTCCTGATGCCCTTTGCAAGAGATTATTCTGCAGCTTTATCACACTTAAACTTTATAGGTAAACTGAAGAAAATGAAGCATAGAAATATGTGAGCTATTTACTAGCAGTTATTGAAAATGGGTTTTTGATTTAGTTGCCAACTGAAAATTCAGAATCAAAATAAAACCCTTTCATGGCCATCAGCAAATACGACTTTCTAAATAAGAATAATGAATATTGCCTACATAAATGATCCCCATGTTAATTCATCCAAGATCTTTTAGAGCCAGAATAGAACT
Source organism: Homo sapiens (assembly GCF_000001405.40). NCBI lineage: Eukaryota > Metazoa > Chordata > Mammalia > Primates > Hominidae > Homo > Homo sapiens. The sequence continues at coordinate 103,941,276 of NC_000005.10, read as the reverse complement.
ATTTTAATAGAATTCTGATACTCTAACATTAAAAAGTCACTTGTATACACACATAAAACCATATTATATAAAAGCCTGAGAAAAACAGCATTCCCATGCTGAAATTGACAAGGCGAGAGTGAATACTCTTTGAAAGAGCAAAATTCTTGACAGTTGCCAAAATCTCTCAATTCTAATATTACCAAAGTATTTAGTGGTGGGAAAAATTGAACTCTATTTGTTTGGAAAAAGTTTCTGGGTTGAAAGGGAATGATAAGAAGGATATACTCTGAGGAAAGGGTTTATATATTGGGGTATATTTTTATGTCAATAGAGCGAGATGTCATGTTTGAGTTTCAGTTTCATCTTATTCTTTTATCCATCAATATTTCTTGGCCATGTTGCTTCTTTTAATATTGCATTATTGATGTTTTCAAATGTGGATACAAATATAGAAATTAGTATTATGAATTCTCACATATACAACATCCATCTTGAACCATATTAATACCTTGTATTCTTTATTTGTTAAGGTCAAGACACAAAAAGTTTGGTTAAATAGACACAATATGAGACTAGCATCAGAAATTTCTAAGCCTTTTAGGGCAATGCTTAGCAATCACACCCCTCTACCCAAGCGAAATACAACTAGGGCAAACATTCAAATATAGATTTTAGCTTTGTTCACAGCAGGGTGTTAAAGCTGAAAGGCAGGTTAGTTATTAATTTATTAAAACTTAAATACTAAGAATACTAAGAATTTTAGCCTTTATTTGCCTGCTACTATATGCTTTCTCTTATCCTTCTCTTTCCACATTTGAAAAATGTATAAAGACAAGGAAACAACAAGTAGATAGATACACACACACAAGTGCTATGATAAACCAATATTTATACACATGTAAATACTAATATATAGCAAACTGATACACATCAGTTTATAGTTTTTATATATATAAACTATATAGAGTAAACTATTTTTATCTGTGTAAATAAACATGTTTATGTTCATATATTTATATAACAGCGAAATTGTTATATTTATAAAACAATAGAATTATTTATGTATATTTGTATGTTTATATATGTTTATTTACATGGATACAAATATCAGTTTACTATAGCAGTTGGTAAAAGTTTTAAAAATAAAGTATTCTTAATACCAGAAAATTTGTATTTAGGTTCCAAGCACCAAAGCTTGATTTTCTGCCAACCATTATACTACAGAGAAGTCCTCAAACTCACAGCCTTCACTTACAGACCTTTAGAAAAGAAAAGAGGAGGCTAGGCATGGTGGCTCACGCCTGTAATCCCAGCACTTTGGGAGGTCGAGGCGAGTGGATCACGAGGTCAGGAGTTCAAGACCAGCCTGGCCAAGATGGTGAAACCCCGTCTCTACTGAAAATACAAAAAAAATTAGCTGGGCGTGGCGGCGGGTGCCTGTAATCCCAGCTACTCGGCAGGCTGAGGCAGAGAATTGCTTGAACCCGGGAGGCGGAGGTTGCAGTGAGCCAAGATCATGCCACGGCACTCCAGCCTGGGTGACAGAGCCAGACTACGTCTAGTTTTGGTCAATATCTCCTTAGAATTATTTCTAGATTTAGTAATTCAGTGAAATTCAATTAAAATTTAAAGTTACTTGAAATGCTTACGAAGTTGGAGATAATATCTCTAAATCATCTCTAAATATTTAGAGATTTTTATTTATAAATATTACCTTCAACTTACTGTTTCATATAATTAAAAAAATCATTTCCACGCAGGGTAGCATGAGTAGATCTCCCAGTTTTCCTGTGAAAAGCTCACCTATCACATGTTTATCTCAATGTGGAATAATATCAGAAAGAACAAAAGACAAGGTCTTTGTTATGAATGGCCATATCTGCTGCCTCAGTGGGAGAAATTCTAAGATGAACCTCTGTGTTTTGATACTTCTGTATAGGCTTAAAGTAAACTTTTTTTTCCTAAACCTTTCTTGTTTGACAAAGTTCAGCTTGACTTTCTAAATAAGATTAATGCTTATGGTCGACACAGATTATTCTGATGTCAGTCAATGCTCTGTTCTTTCCTCGGTTACTAAAACAATATTGGTACCGGCAGGTATAAAACACACTTTCCAACATAGGCAGACAGTGAGTTCTGTTTGGACTCCGAATTCAAATTAGGTCCCATATTAATTGCAAATGGTAAAAAACATTTGCTTTAGTTTTCTAATTAAGATTAATGATGGTGGTTTGAAGAGCTGATACTAAGACCCTGGCATTAACAGCAATCATTTTTCAACTGTGGCAAACATGCTTTTCTTTTGAAGTCCTTTTTAGTCTATAATAAGAGCTGGCAAGAAGGTGGTGTTGAGAAGTGCAGAAGATGCTGTAGCAGCATTTCTGAAGACTGAACCACAAATATATGGAACACACAAATTCTCAGAAAACAACATTGATTCAAGCAGCACATATCCATCCAAAACCTGCTCTCCAGAAAAAGAGCTCAGTATTATGAAAAGCAAGGGACTCCATGTTCTTAAATGAGATTGTATTAAAAGTTACAAATAACTGGTAAAATTAAGTGTTTCCAATTAAAGTGCTTCTGGATATCTGTTGATTATGAGTGAGATGATTTAGGTAGAGTGTACAGCCAGAGCACAGACACACCATCTGGAATTACTAACAGAGAAACCCATAAAATCATCGATGTATTACATGACTTACTGTCAGGCCTCCATGGAGTAGGTATCATCAGATTCTAAAGCTTCACATTTGGATCACTTTAGAACTTGCTTAAGACAGAACATGTTTCATTCAAAAAAGCCCCTCTTTTTGGATTGTGTTGTGTATACTCTGAAAAAGAATTCCTCAGAGCTAGATGAAAGAAAATCTGGGGAAACTGCAACCAGTACGTTTTTCCTCCCAGCTGCTTTGTCAGTTTTAGACAACCGCAGAAATTATACAGTGGATTTTGTTCCACAATCAGTAACACACGTCATGTCTGAAAATATAGACCTCTTTGGAAAGATGATTGCTTGGTGCCCTTAGGATTTTGAGGTGGTGGTTAGCTTAACTTTTTTTTTTTTTTTTTTTTTTTTTACAATTATAGGAACACAAGAGAGCTTTTGTGTGCCAAGACATACACGTTCTTTAGGCAAACAAAAGTGGAAAATTTTAGCACGTTTCACATTAATAGAAACAGAATTGAATTTGCTTGAGTTCTATTTATGAATGGCATTATTTATACAGCTGTGAATTGTACTGAAACACGACAATGTGAGAAAAATCTACATTCATTGAATTAACCAGCTGACTTCTGGTTTTTTTAAATGGATACTCATAAAATCTAAAACATCAATTTTTTTAAATATTGAAGGCTTTTAGAAAATGTTTCAAACTTGTTTATTATGGTATAACTGCTTTTGAAATGAATTGTATACCTTGACTAATTGTGTACCTTGACTTTCACACTTCAAAGGAAAGATACAATTCATTGTATATCTTAACATATCTTTCCTTTCAAATGTGAAGAACTTTTTCTTCTCTAGCCCTAAATAAGGGAAGAATCATACTCTCCAACTCTAAAGTATCTCCTTAAATGTATTGGCTAGAGAGGACTTATGGGTCATTATCTGAAAATCATTCCCAAACCATGTACAGATTTATCATTCCCATAGCATATCCAGTTTTATTTATCCTTTTGAAATGGAAAACAACATCTTTTCAGAACATTTAAATTATTTTAATTTTGGGGATGCCATTATTAAAATGTTGTGATCAAAATCCAATATTCCTATAATCATTACATACTGGTATGTATACTGAATGGGCTTCTTCCGTTTCTGCCCATGGCAAAAATATGTAAACAAGTGTACTATGCAACAGTTAAGAGCACGCAGATGTGAGCTATCTCCATCACTGTCATCTCTCACCTGTCAAAAAAAAAAAAGTGGATAGGCCAGGCAGAGTGGCTTACCCCAGTAATCCCAGCACTTTGGGAGGTCGAGGCAGGAGGATCACGAGGTCCAGAGATCAAGACCATCTGGCCAACATGGTGAAACCCCGTCTCCACTAAAAATACAAAAATTAGCTGGGTGTGGTGGCGTGCACCTGTAGTCCCAGCTACTTAGGAGGCTGAGACAGGAGAATCACTTGAACCCAGGAGGCAGAGGTTACAGTGAGCCGAGATCACACTACTGCACTCCAGCCTGGCAACAAAGCGAGACTCCATCTCAAAAAAAAAAAAAAAAGTGAGTAGTCTTGAGTTTCTAAATAATACCAACTTTTCTACTCATAAATTATTGACTTTTTACATAGTTCTCTGGCCAAACTCAGTTGACCTACTGACTTGGTTTTCCTTATTGTTTTTTTTCACCCTTATAGGATCCTTCCTGATAGGCATTTGACCTTATCAAGTCTTTTCCAAGACAGGTGGAATTTTCTGTTATATTTTATTTCCTTATCCAAAGTATCCCAAGTTCTGTATTCTATAAACTGATTTTGGTATTAGTTTTCTATTAATGCTGTAACAAATTTCCATAAATTTATTAGCTGAAAGCAACACAAATTTATTATTTTATGTTTACATAAATCACAAGTCCAGCATGGGGTCTTACCATGCTAAAATGAAGGCTTTGGCAGGATTGCAACTTCTTTTGTTCTTGGCTCTAGGGAAAATTTTGTTTTCTAGCCTTTTCCAGCATTTAGATGCCACCCACATTCCTCCATTGTCAAAGCCAAGAATGTCATATCTCTCTGACCCTTTCTTTCATCCTTTATCATATCTCTTTCTCTGACCATAGCCGGAAAAGGTTGTCTGCTCTTAAAGACTCATGTGAATAGATGGGCCCAACGAATAATATAAGATAATCTTCTAGTCTCAAGGTCCTAACTTTAAATTACATCTGCAAAAGTCTTTTGCCAGGTAAGTAACATATTCATAGGCTCTGGACATAAGGGCGTGGACAACTTTGTATAATTCTAAATCTAATTCCCAATAACTTGGTTGTCTAATCCTCAGATCACTACAAAATAGTCGGGGTTCAGTCTTGGTAAAAGAACTGGAAGATTTTTGAGGAGGATCAGTATATACATATATGGCCCTAAAATGCATACTTTTCAAAGGATGAATAAATTAATTGCTCTAATATGTTAATAAAAGAAAATTATTGCTGTACCCCATTATTTTAATTATGTGCTTCCAACCAGCAGCTCAACCAGTTACAGATACACGTCTTGTCCCTATCTCTGCAGTTCCTAGTATAAATGGAAGAGAATGTAATCACCTTTAATGACAAGACCCTACTTCTCACTCAAGTCTCATGTCTGTTTTGCTGCATGCTTTGACATAATCTTTTCATTCTTATATTCTGGTGCTTTCATAGAACTTTAGACCCGCTATTTTTTCTAATCTTTAATGTCTGTTCTCCACAGTTTTGTTCCTCAGTCTGGCTGAGTGATCTTAAACTTAATGTCTGAATAACTGCCCTCTAGGCAGTGTCCGTATGTCATTTCCACTTAAGACTGCACATATAGTTAAAACCTTCAATTCTATTTTTGTCTTTTTAATCATGCAGTCTCCCCTCCAGAAAATAAATGTCATTCTTACATTACCATAATTTGAAGAGGGTTTAAAAAAGAGATTATTTATAAAAGTTGCATCACACTACAAAGAGACTGAGATAACCCAGGCCTAGTAAAAGCAGAATTGTAATCACCCTTGGTAGGCCCAAAGGAACAAAAAAGAAGAAATGATGACCAGAATACAGTCAGCTCTCTGTATCTGCATGTTCCTCATCTGCAGTTTCAACCAACTGTGGATAGAATACATATATATATATATGCATTTTTTTTCTTTGAGATGGAGTCTCGCTTTTGTTGTCCAGGCTGGAGTGCAGTGGTGCAATCTCAGCTCACTGCAACCTCTGCCTCCCAGGTTCAAGCGATTCTCCTGCCTCAGCCTCCTGAGTAGGTGGGACTACAGGTGCATGTCACCATGACTGGCTAGTTTTTCGTATTTTTAGTAGAAACAGGGTTTCATCTTGTTAGCCAGGATGGTCTAGCCCTCCTGCCCTCGTGGTCCGCCCACCTCGGCCTCCCACAGTGCTGGGATTACAGGTGTGAGCCACCACACCAGGCCAGAAAATATTTTTAATAACCCAATAAAAATAACAATGCCACAATAAAAATATGTATATAAAAAGTAGAGTATAACTACTTACATAGCATTTACATCATAATGGGTATTTTAAATAATCTAGAGAAGGCTTAAAGTATATGGGAAGATGTGTGTAGATTATACGCAAATACCATTTTATACAAGGAACTGAAAGTTTTGGTATCTGCAGTGAGGCAGGAGGGGAGTAGTGGTTGTAGAATCAACTTCTTGCGATCACTAATGGGCAACTACATAGAAGGAGCATTAAAATGAGCTAAAATAATCACCTCCATGCTAAGGTAGATAAAATTAATACTGCACCCAGGGATTTGTCAAGATAAATAGAAAGAAGAAATTGAAGATGTTGACAGCAATATCTATCGAGGTCATGTGTTGATGAGGAATTTAGCAGAATAAGAAAACTACAGTGTATCAAATATAGTCTACATCATTAGGTAAAGAGCTGCCAAAAAGAAGAAAAAGGAAAAGACATATAATTCTGCCATCTTTTCTCGAGCTCTGCAAGCGCCACATGTCTGAAAGATGCCACTAAATGCTGTTTGAGGACTCTAGCAAAAGGATGTAATCCTTAAGTAACTCAAAGTGTAACTGCACGGAAAAGGCGCTCAACTTTGCTGACATATAATACACGGATTGAGTTACAGTCATAATGCGACAGTTAAAGTTACAAGGAAGGTAATGAATAATTCAATTAAGTTTAATTTATATCCTCAAGTTACAGGGCTAGGCACTGTTCTAGATATCAAGATTTTTAAGTCCATGCCATTAAGTTTAATGGCAAAGAAAACATATGTTTGCACAGTACTAGAAAGAGTAGAAAATGTAAATTCCCAAAGGAAAGTACAGACAAAATACTATGTGCATTGGGAAGTGGGGTGGTTAGGGAAAGGAATTATCATATTGAGTTGTGGGGATGAGAAGTAATGTCATGAATAAGAAATCTGCAATTTCTGTGCATCCCCAACTCTGGTCATAAGACCTGCTACATAGGTATACATGAAATATAGGCTGAGTGCCTAACTGAATGTGGTAGAGGTTGAGGAAAAATATAAGAAAGCATCCAAATGCATAAATGAGGAGCAGTAACATGCAACAAGGGACCCAAGTAGGGAATTGTGAGTGTGCTTTGGAGAGTAACAAATTATACTTTAACAGCAACATACCTTGTGTAGGGACAAGGATGCCAGGTGTGTGGTTCTGCACTTTATGATGTTCAGCTGTGCTCTTCTAGACAAACCTTGTGCCCTGGTGTGCAAGGTGTGTCCATTCAGAGGAAGGAGACTTTTTCTTCTCACAAGGGAAACCATGTGCTCCAGCCCAGATTTGTGCCTTCAGGTTTATATCCTCCTAGAATTGGCAGATACATCTTTTGGCCTTTTAAAAATTTGTACAGCTGTGCTTGATATGCTAATGGTGGCTTTGTGTAAGAAGGTAATGAGGAATTAATCTTAAAATAAATTAAAGCCACATAGCAGAAGATCCTGAGTATTCCTAGAAGATGTCTTCATAGTTCAGGAAGCAGTGAATGGCTAATCAGAGAGCATTTTTAGCAGAGGAGGCCTTTCTTGAAGCTGTAAATAGGAAGAGATGAGAATGGTGAAAATAGGTAGAGGAGCAGGTCATAGAGTCTTGACTTGGTATAAGAAAACAGTATATTTCTTAGATTAGACCCAGAGATTGTGATAACTCTGTGATGAACAAGTTTGGTCAAATGTGGATCCACATCTGCATTTCACACCATCTACATGTGAAATCAATATTTATGACTAATAGAAAAAATCACTTATCTATATATACATTTTATATAAACAAGACAAAAGTTGTACAATAAAACAAACATATTTATAAGACATTTTCTATAAACCTTCTACTGGCCAGCTTGGCTTTCAGGAGTACAAGGATGAATAAAGCATAGTTCCTGCTATGGAGAATGAGAATAATTAACACACTAATATGCATCTTCTCTTGATGTTTCTGGAAACTATTTTAAATTAAATGTTTCCATATTGATGGCCAGGTGAGAGTATCTTTTACTACATTCTGTTTTGCCTAGTTCACTACTTTTTCACTTTTACACAAGAAAAAACACAGTTCAAAGTTGTGTAACAATAATTTTTATGAGATTTAAAGTTATATCTTGTAAGTAACCAACTTTTAAGTGTATATGCAAACACAAGAAAAACTCATGCCTATGTTACTCCTGATTCATAGGCTGGACTACCTTTAGCCTTTAGTTTACCACATTATTAACAGAAAGACCAAATTAAAGGAGACACATATTTAAGATATATGTCAGTCACTAAATTTTTCAGCAGGTATCACAAGTTATTTATTTTTTATTTGAATATTATTTGTAATCAATTTATTTCCATTTCATTTGGATAACTTCTGCTGGCATCTGCAACAAAGTCAGAATTTGATTGAAGACAATTGGAATAAAGAGACCTCAGGTCAGGATGAGAATAGATTGGGGCATAATTCAAATTTGTGGTAGGAAGGAAAAGTTAGATATTTTTTATTTGTCCCTCCCAGTTTGCTGTTCACACTTTTCCTCTGTTTCCAAGCCAGAAGTCTCATCTGTGTGATCACAGCAGTTGACTTTCTGGCTTCCAGTAGGGTTTAGTCATGGAAAGGGTTTTTATTTTCCAAACTTCCTCTTTGCAGGGTCACCTTGAGTTGGCCATATTCCAATAGTGGCCTTCTCCATTGACTTTTACCTTAAGTACAATCACCTCTCACATCCACCAGAGATTGGTTGCAGAACCTTCCACGGATACCAAAACCTGCAGATGTCAGATCTCCCAGTCAACCCTCTGTATTCAAGAATTCTGCATCTATGGATACAGAACCCATGGATATGGACAGCCACCTGTATATAATACATTGTACAATGTGTATAGTACAAAATATATAGAGAGAGACATATTAGAACATATATAATACATGTATATGAAGTACATTCTCTTTAAATATATATTGTTTGGTGAATGATGAAGTGACCAGTATGAGCAGATGTTGATAAAGATTAAGGGAGAGAAAAAAAATAAGATAATACTAGTGCTAAATATATCAAAAAATATGAATTCCCAACCAACTCATTTTTAGTCTATCCTCAAACTCATTACCAGAGAGTATAATCAGTCCAACTAAGCAATAATACCTCATTAGGAATATACACAATTTTATTACTGGAATCTGTTATCATTCTTTTTTCCAGAAGGGATACTGAAGGGGAAAATAGATATACTAAATTCTCCAATTTCAAATCATTTTTGGCAGTTAGTAGGGAAGAAGCTACAAATAAATCACAGTAACTTAATCCCACCACCTTTTTTTCAATCACCTTCTAGCTTAACTACTCCCACAGTAGCTTGTCCATATTCAATGGACTCAAATGTGCCCCGCTCCCCTCCACCCATTTCTACTTCCCTATACATCAGTCTTTATCCTTGATATTATTTAAATGGCTTATGGAAAAGTCCTACATAGTGACTGGAAATTGGAGAAAATTATTGAACATCTGTGCTTCATTTTCTACTTCCCCATCTGTAAAACTCGATGTCATAATATTTATCATCTAATACCCCACAGAAGTGATATAAGAATTTATTGATGTTGGTAAGGAACACTGAGAAGTAGGGCACAGCAGAAGTATAAAATGCTGTCATTATTTCCTGACAGTCAGGTCAAGCTCTATAAATAATATGGTCAGGCTCTGAGAACCACATTATGGTCTATAATGACTTGCAGGTGGGCCTCACTCGAGAAACTTGGAGCTCTCATTCGAAAGTGTCGTGTCACTGAGGCTGGGTAAATGTCATCATGCACATTTTGTGGTGGTAGCCTTTCAACTCCATAACTCTGAAAATTAAGATTTTACTATCCCAACACCAATGAGAATGTACTGTGGTGAGGATACAAACTCCATTTTATTTTATTTTATTTTATTTTTATTCAACATAGACTTAATGGAGAACAATTATCCTAAAGGTTCATTACTTCATTCAACACATATTTATTGTGCACTTTCTTTGTTCTGTTCCTTTTCTAATGGCAGCATACAAGAAAATCATTTAAACTGAAACCTCTAAAACCACTTAATCAAATCTTACCTATAAAATGGAGTCTGTGGCCGGGCGCGGTGGCTCATGCCTGTAATCCCAGCATTTTGGGAGGCCGAGGCAGGTGGATCACCTGAGGTCAGGAGTTCAAGACCAGCCTGGCCGACATGGTGAAGACCCGTCTCTACTAAAAATACAAAAATTAGCCAGGCATGGTGGTGGGCGCCTGTAGTCCCAGCCACTCAGGAGGCTGAAGCAAGAGAGTTGCTTGAACCCGGGAGGCAGAGGTTGCAGTGAGCCGAGATTGCGCCACTGCACTCCAGCCTGGGCAAAGAGCGAGACTCTGTCTCAAAAAAAAAAAAAAAATTGTTAATAGGGCATCTATTTTAAAGTATATGAGCTAACATGTATAAATACAATTTAAACTTCAAGATGAGAATTACTCACTGTGGAAAATGTTCTTACATGGCATTTAATTTACATTGTGAGTAAAGAAATATTACATTTATAAAATTTGAGTTGCAAGTTTCAAAACAATCAAGTTTGAGTTATTATGTTTACAACATTATTTTGTGTATTTATGGTCCTTTATCCTAATAGTAGATTTCCTTTAACAACTTGGGTTATGAAACAAAAGCTATAAAGTAAAGCAAAGTTTAAAATTTTTCTCAAAAGTACAGAGGAAGTTAATGAATTTATAATGAAATCTGTTAATTGAAATTGATTTCTTTGACTAGTTTTGTAGATTTGAAGGAATAATCCTCATTGCTACACTTAACAACGAGACTACAGAAATGAAAGTTTTCCTTCTCTAGATATTGACACTAATGACTAAATTAAATATGCAAAATTATAGTAAAACAATCACAAAAGTAAAGTTGAAGAAAACCATGAGGAAAGAAAATTTTGGTGACTGATATGAACAAGTTTTATTTTTTATTTATTTTATAAAATGGTCTAATATTGTCAGTTATTGTATTAATGACTGAATATTAGTCATTGGAAAGATTTTTCAAACTGCTAAACAAAACTACCATTAAGTCACAGAAAATGCACAACACAAAACTGTGTTTCAAATGTGTCAGGTATCTTTCAAGGGAATAGATTACAAATCTTGTCTTGAGACTAAATAAATTAAATACCATAGGCCTTCAATATATTCTCAGATGCTTTGGCATGTGGTTATTACATCATCTGCCTTCAAGGTGAAAGCAGAGGCTGAGGAGGAGCTTTGAATCATGTAATTATAGTAGTCATTTGCCACTTCCTGGGTCAGCAAAGTAATGTGAAGTGTCTCCAGCTCTCTAAGTAGATCAAAGGTCACTTGGTGTTTTCATAATTTTAGCTAAAAACGTCCCTGCCACTAGAACCAGAGTTTATACTTTCAGATCCCCTGACAAACAATGGGCTAAAATACGTGAGAACATTTATCAAATTGAGCATCATCCTAGAATGACCCCTTTTAAGGAAGCTTTCTTCAAGGCATTTATAGCAGAGGTCATTGTTAGATTACCTGTGACTCAGAGTATTATATCAATATGGAACTTCTGGAAAATCCTGAAGACTTAGGGGCAAAGGCTCTGTCCTCCATGTGCTCACTAAACAAAGCTACAGTGACCTCTCAGACTACCTCTATACCTTCCATATCCTGCACTATTCTCCCTTGCCTCTTCTTCAGAGAGGGACAGCAATTGTTGCAGGTGCTGGAGAGACTGGTGAGCCAACAATAAAACACCTCACCAGGGAAAAATAGAAAAACAAGTCCCATTGGCTTGCCTATATCAAAGTATTTTTCTCCAGTGCAAGTGTCTGCATTTTACTTGACAGTTTACCCAACAGAACTACATGGCAGGAGTCAAATAGAGAAAGAAAATCTCCTCCTTTCTGCCACATACACATACACACACACACACACACACACACACACACACACACACACACTTTAACTTCTACCACTACCCTATTCTTTCCTTTATTCTCAATCCAGTTTTATCCCCTGGTCTCTTCCTATAGAGAGAAGGAATTAACTGATGAATCACCTCAGAAAAAGGAGATCTTAACGTTGCTTAAAGCTATTTACATTTGCACTTTAAAAGAACGTTCCAAATAACTAAAACTTAACTTTTTCCACAAAGGTTGGAAAAAATATGAATTACTAACAATATCTCAAGCATTGTGAATTTATTCCTTCAAAAAATCACGGAATACTCACTTTGTCTAAATATTGAAAGATACTGGAGGATACAACAGTGAGCTAAAAAGACACATTCATTGCCCTCAGAAAGCTTCTACTCTAAGATGGGATATGGAAATTTATCACAATCCCCCCACTACAAAGGAGACAAGAGCTATGAGAGTTTCTATGAAGCTATCAGACTGAAACAGGGAGAATGTGGAAGACTATCCTAAAATGGGAAGACTGAGCTGAAATCTGAAAAATTAAGAGGTAAATAAATAAAAATGTGTGTAACTCACAGACTTTAAAAAAGCATTTCTGGTGAAGCGTAGAGTAGGGGAGACCTTTGTACATTATGATATCAGAGATCAGATTATTCGCATAGTGTGGCCATGTAGGTTCATCATCCAAACCAAGGCACATTTGAAAATGAAACAGGTTCTTCCTAATAACAACAGGCACAGCTGGGGAAGGTACCAAGTAACTTGGGGACATATAGTTGCCCTCATTATAGACCACCTTGAAGTTTCGTGTTTATCCTAAAGGCAAAGGAGTGCCCCTAAAAAGTTTTAGCAGAAATAAAACAGGTTTGAACTTGCATGATACTCTGGCTGCACTGTGGAGAATGGATAGGAGGTAAAAAACACGACGGCCGTTTATTCTAGGATGAGGGCATTTAAGGCAGTGAGGAATGGTGTTGAGGGAGAAAAACGTAACATGAGTAACTCCTGAGATTCTGTCTTATAACTGGGTAGATAGTAATCACATTTATTAAATAAGAAACCTAAAAGAACCAGCTTTAGGCTAGGTTTAGGCATAGGAGGAGGATGCCCCTTCCAATTTTAGAGTTTAGGATGTCTTTGCGAGAAGAAATCATGTAAAATGAGTTAAAAATAAAGTATTTTGCAGATGAGAAGTCAGAGCAAGAGATAGAAATCAGTGAGTCATTTGCATATCAATGGTAATTGAAGCCATGCTCATGGATACTGCCTAGAGAGAGTTCAAATAGAAGAAGAGAGGAGAAAAAATAATGAAGCCTTAAGGTACTCCAGCTTTTAGAATGGATGAGTATAGGAGAATGCCACTGCAAAAGACTAAAAAACAGTTGCTTATGAGGTATAGGAAAACTAGCACAGGATGATGTTTTGGAAGCAAAGGTAACAGAGTAGCTGAGAGGGGAAACAGCAATGATGAGAACTGACATAGGTCAAGTAAAGTGAAGACTGAAATAATGTTATTTATTTATTTATCAAAATGGGGCTTAAGGGCATGGATTTGGTAAATGAATCCCTCTTACTTCATTTACTGGCTGGGTACCCTAGAGAAAGCCACATAAACTCTCTTCATCAGTTTCCCCATTTATAAAATGAGGATAATGATGCCAACCTACTCAAGGACTATTTTGAGCAGTGCTTATCAAAGTGTGCCCTGTGGACATGTGGGGATCCCAGAGGTATTTTCGGGAGCTTTGTGAAGTCAAAACTACTTCCATAATAATGTTTAGACATTATTTGCCCTTGACTCTCACAAACCAAGGTAGTAACCCTAAAATGTATTATTATCATTGTATTCCTCTCATAATCCATTTGCAGTTAAAAAAAAAGCCATTTTCCTTTAAGGATGTTATTGGTGAATCACTAAATAGTAAAAATATTAATTTTATTATATCTTGATCTTTTATGTTGTATAATGACATGTCCAAACCCTGCCAAGACATGCATATCTCAGTAAACCGACATTTTCCAAATAATGCATGATGTTCCAAAATTGCACATGGGTAAAAATATTCATTCAGTGTGCAAAATGTTCCAATGGATTCAAATGTAACCGACTATGAAAAATTTATTGACATGATTTCAGACTCAACATTGCAAATAACCTTTAGTTTATTGAAATTATCCTTCATTTTCTAACTAGATATCTAAACGAAGCTGGAACTCTTCATATGCTTTCTGAAAACTTCAAAATTACAACAGATTGAATGCAAAGAAAGATAGGGAAGTCTAGTTGTTTTCCCTATGTAAACCATTTCCTTGGTTTTCCCTTGTAAACCAAGCATTACAAAGATCTGAAAAATTTTAAACAGTGTAACTCTTTTCATGACATTGTTTTTATGTTGGAAATATTTTATTTTTTATTAAAAATGTTATTTAGGTTAGCATGTAATGGATTCATCATTATGGTTGTTAAAAAATTAGTAAATAAATAGTTTAAATTGTCTTAATTTTCTAATGTGAAACACAAATAATAAAAAAGCCTACATAAACAGAAGGTGTTTGTTTCTTCAGTAGTTTCATGAGTATAAAAGAATTCCGAGACTGAAAACTTTGAGAATCACTGGTTTGGAGGATTTCGCAAAGTATGAGTTAATTCTTGTGAAGTACTTAAAACTGTTTCAAAATTCTATGTATGTATGTTGATAAATAGACAATGAACAAGTAGACAGAAAAATGAAAGGTAGGTAGATAGGCAGGTAGACAGAAACACAATCATTGATTAAAATAGCTAATCTGTTTTTGCAGGAATATTGAGGATGCTCACACATATAGAAGAGAGAGAGGAATATCTTGGAAACACAAACATCACCCATAGGCAAAGCAATTTTCTACCTCCTCTAGAATTTGAGCCTGTATGAAAATACGGATGTGTTATTTCACTTGCTATCATGTAGATGTGTCCTGATGCCTCTTGTAAAGAGAAAGAAAACAGGAGAAAAAAAAAATCAATGCTAGAAAAACCAAAGACTTGATAGGGCAGTGTGATAAAGACAGAAGCTTCAATGAGAATTCCGTAAGATAAGTCAGTGTTTCTGAGAACGAAAAGCACTCTGAGAAACAGAACGCAGACACTTCATTTTAAAATAAAGTCTCCTAATCTGATTTTCTCTGTGAGAGAAATCAGTTTCTTCTCTTTATCCTAGCAGAGTCCTTGAATGTACCTGCTGTTTATAGTTATAAAGTAAGTCACATAGACAAAAAACCTCTTTCTCATTTCTCTGAGTCAAGGGTTGATCTTTTCATCTGAAAATCCATCAGTAGATACTAAAGAAATTTGAAAATCTATGAAAAGAAAATGGCTCATGGTACATGATAAATGCCTTTATGGAAGCATTTAAATATATTCAAATTATGTATCTGGCAGTCTGGAACTCTAACACCCCATGTCTTCTAACACCTCAGGGGTGAGGAAAGGACAAAAGAGAGTGGTCCTTATTCTTTTGTGAGAAGGAGAGTCATTAGTCCTTTGAGAATCTAGAAATCTGTGGACAGTTGCCCCAGAAGAAGATGCAGGGGCATAGTTTTTTTAACCTAGTTTCAAGGAAGTTCACACCCTACCTAAAGACCATTATCCATAAGTCTTCCAAAGGATGACTAGAATCAAGAAAGATAATTTAGGAGCAAAATTGACACTTCTAGCCCCATTCTCCACTAAGTTACTCTAGATTAACACACTATAAGCAGTCTCTGAGTTAATCCTCATATTCTGAGTCTCTGTATTAATCCTCATACAGATAAGGATTAATAAAAGGATAAATTGTGGTCATGGGACAAAACACTTTTTTGGACCAGTTCCCTCAATTCACATAAGGAGAAATTAAAATCTAGAGATGTTAAAAGTCTTTCTCAGAGTTACAAAATCTATCATAGAACTAACTGACTTTTCTCACACTCTTGTTTGTTCTCAAGTCTCCTAAAAATAGTTACATATATTCAATGCATAAAAAAGATTACTATCTACACACTACTGTATTCTAATCTAGGAACATACATTATCAAAGCTGGAAGACTATTTAGGTAGGGAAGGAAGATGTTTCAAATCAGGAAATGAAGAGCACAGTGGTAAAATAAAAGTTAGTGAGTTACAATTAAATAGCAGCAATTGCATCCACAAGTTATAGAAAACAACATCACAAGAATGAGCCAAATACACTGGAGATGCATAATTGCTTGGATCAGTCACTCAAAATTGTAACCATTTGTTAAATTTAAACTGCTTTTGTATCAGTCAAATTCATAGCAGAAAAAAAAGATATTACATCAAAAGGGGTAACTGATGAGAGGTATCAAAGGGACTATTTATAAACATGGGTAGTGTCAAGGTAAACCAAGAAGAGATGGTGCAGAATATCAGGGCTTGCGACGTGGGGATCCATTACACTTTTAGGACTGAAGGAGCAGCTGCTGTAAAGGAATGCAGTAGGTAGGAGCTGTGGGAGTGAATGCCGCCTACCTCACTCTCCTTTCACCCTCTAATCTCCTGCCCATGCCTAACTTGATCAAACCAGAATCCAGAAGGCAAGTGTACCTATTGATGCATTTCACAATAACAGCACCTCTACGACTAAACAAAGTGGAGAATGGTGGATCTGTAGGGATAAATACCTGGAAAATCCCTGAAGCACAGTGTTGGATCCTCTCAAGCTGTAGGAAACTCAGAGCTATTCCTTGGAACCGACCAAGTTCTGTGCATAAAACCTTATACTTCCTTTAAGGAAAGGCACTGAATAGAGTGAACAACTTGACTCCGTATTCAATGTACACTAATGCACTGTTAGAAATCACCTTAAGCTAATGGGCTGTGGAAGGAATACAAGGATCCCATGCTGTGTTTCAAAATCTAACATTACCAGGCAATTGTAGGAGATCAAATAGTGCTTCCTAAAGGAGCTGCTGCATGAAAGAATAATGTTCAGCCTTGTAGTGTCCTAAGAGAAACTCTAGATTGCAGAACTTATGAATAAAGTAAGTGATTGAGGAGGGAGGGGAAGAGTCCACCCCCAAGATTATTGCTTGCTACTTCTCAAAAAGAATCACATGGATACTGATTAGTAGTCTCCTAGAATTGCATTCTCCTAAGGCTATTGGGAGTTCAAGACTAATAAGGGAAAGTTGGTGGAAGCAGCTGACAGAACTATAATACCCAGCTCTCACATTAGCAAAAAGGTTTTTTTCTGAAAGTTATCCAAAAGCCTAAGGCAGCTGATAATGCCTGGGATGAAAGATCCAATGCAAGGGGCCATCTGACTCTGCTGGGACTAAGAAAGGCCTTAAGCCCATAGGGCATTGCTCACATACCTATCTTCCCACCCCTTGCCCATTCTTGAAGACCACAATAAAGAGAAATAGGGCTGTAATCCTTACTGTTTTAGTATCTCTGGCAAGAGGACAAAAGCTGTCCAAATGTCTCATGGGACAAAGAGGAACAGTACTAGCCTGTTGGAAATTTGGAATCCCAAATGAATACTGAAGTCAACCTTCAGATTACCAGTAGTGAGAGGCACATGAAAGAGGTTTAGATGTCATTTTACTTTGTAGTTCTGACCTTAGTCAAAATAGATTTTGATATTCAAACTGAAGTATAATCCCTCACTGCTATTCTTACTTAAAACTTGAATAACTTCAGCAAATTGGGCAGACAGGTGCCTAATGAAGCTGATATTTATAAATCAGCATTTTTCTTCACAGGACTATGGACCCCAATACATCTCTTCTAATTGGAATCAAGTTTCCTGATCAGGACTCCTGTGACCTTTTCTAAGCCATATGTTCAGAGTACATGGAATCAATCCACTATGCCAGCTGTGTTCTTATTATGTGAAATGCACTATAGTTTGGAAAGCACGCTTGATACAGATTATTCCAGGTTAGCAGAGCATGCCAACAGACGTGTATGTGTAAACATGCGAGGTGAACTTAATCACTGGGAGAGTAGGTGTTGGATGGGGTATTCAAACAAGTGAATTTTCAGAACAAAGACTACTTCTAATTGTAAATAGAGTTACCTTCAAGAAAATGTAGAAGATAATGTTGTTTTTTACATAAGTTGAAAGTCAATGGAAATCATTGGTGATCTTAGAGAGTTATATAAGCCCAACATAATCTACCTAGCTGTATTTAAGATGCAGCAAAAATGGAGGGAAAATACTCTCATATTACTGTGAGATAAAAAAAATTAAAAACTCTGTGAGTCAAATTTGAAAAGAAAATTTAAGTCAATCTTATTAATATGTAAAATTATTCACTTCATCTCCCTGGAAAAATATGCACCCCCCTCCCCATTGTCATCTGGTTGTGGCATGTGACTCTTGGTGCCCTTCCTTGCCTTGTTAAACTCAGGCATAGACAAGTGATTTGTTTAGGCCAGTGAAATGTCACTGCTGAGCAGAAGTTGTAAGAGCTAGCATGTGAGTTGCTACATCTCTTTCTTCTCTTTGGAACAAGTGCTAATATTCTAGATAGAGGCAGATCTCAGCCAAAGTTCTGGAGTGAATATGCTGAACAGTAGCTTATCAGCGATGGATGCATACCACAAAGAAAAACTACATTTTGTTATTGTAAACCACTTAGATTGTTCAGGTTGTTTGTAACCTCAGCATAATCTAACCTATTCTGTCAAATGTAATGATGTCTTGGAAAATTCATGTTAAGAAAAATGACTTTTTAATCTTTTTTCCCCCACTATTGATGAAATTTTAAATAGCCTGTATTCTTTATTTTGCTTCTAAATGAGGGGATGCATCCAATCAAAAAGTCTAAAAGAAATCATACAGTCACTCTAAAGGCACTTAAGACAGTTCACCCAGGTAAAATTACATTAAATTGCTTATGATTATTGTTGTGTATGCTCCTTACACTTTCCAGCAACTTCTTATAAAGCAGCTACAAAATATTTACCAAATAGTTAAGTATGAAAATAAGATGCCAGGCCGGGCGCAGTGGCTCACTCCTGTAATCCCAGCACATTGTGAGGCCAAGGCGGGTGGATCATCTGAGGTCAGGAGTTTCAGACCAGCCTGGCCAACATGGTGAAACCCCGTCTCTACTAAAAATACAAAAATTAGCCAGGCGTGGTGGCAAGCACCTGTAATTGCAGCTACCCAGGAGGCTGAGGTGGGAGAATCGCTTGAACCCGGGAGTTGAAGATTGCAGTGAGCCGAGATTGCATCATTGCACTCCAGCCTGGGTGACAAGAGCGAAACTCTGTCGGAAAAAAAGAAAAGAAATAAAAGAAAAAAGAAAGAAAATAAGATGCCAGTCATCTTTAGTGTCACTTATTACCAGAAGTCTAAGGATTATATATAAGTCTGTCAAATAAATGCAAAAAAGCCAGGAGATGTAAATTCAGGCTGAATTTTGGCTAGTGACTAGACTCCATATTTTAGGATAACTGAGCTATCCAAAGTTGGAGATTATTTACTATAGATGAATTCAAATACCCAGAGAAAATTCAGATTTAAAAAAGCAAGTTTCTAATCAACAAGAATGCATTTGGAATTCAATATTTCACCACATTAATATGATTACATGTGTTTTTCAAGGCATTATCTTAGACCTTTCAAAGATAAATAAAGCACTGTGGACAGTATAAAGAATATGCCCACAGGAGTCAGATAGGAATGGACATAAATTCCCTCTTGAGGACAGACACAATGGCTCATGTCTGTAATCCCTGCACTTTGGGAGGCTGAGGCAGGTGGATCAACTGAGGTCAGGAGTTCGAGACCAGCCTGACCAATATGATGAAACCCCATCTCTACTAAAAATACAAAAATTAGCTGGATGTGGTGGAGGTGCCTGTAATTCCAGCTACCCAGAAGGCTGGGGCAGGAGAATCTCTTGAACCTGGGACGCGGAGGTTGCAGTGAGCCGAGATCACGCTGTTGCACTCCAGCCTGGGCGACAAAAGGAAAATTCCGTCTCAATAAATAAATAAATAAATAAATAAATAAATAAATAATTCCCTCTTGACTTCTTACAAGCTCCATGACCTTGAATAAATTCTGTTTCCTCATCACTAAAATGGGAATAATAGCCACCGTACCTCTCTGTTTTTGCATTGCTATAAAGAAACACCTGACGCTGGGTAATTTATAAAGAAAAGAGGGTTAATTGGCTCATGGTTTTGCAGGCTGTACACAAAGCATAGTACCAGCATCTGTTTCTAGTGAGGCTTCAGGAAGCTGCCAATCATGCGAGAAGGGGGATTGAAGTGGGGGAGGCGTGGGTCCCAGACTTTTAAACAACCAAATCTCATGTGAACTAACTGAGTGAGAACTCATTTATCACCAAGGGGATGGTGTTAAATCAGTCATGAGGGGTTCACCTCCCATGATCCAATCATCTCTTTCCAGACCTCACTTCCAACATTGGGGATGACCTGTCAACATGGGATTTGAAGGGAACAAACATCCAAACCATATCAGCTCTTCATAGGGTTGGTGTAAATATTAAATAAAGCATAAAATTCAGCTATAAAAATGAATGCAATATTACATGAGTTCACTTTATATTAATGTATGTATCCCAAACTATATTTTTATTAATAATAATTATTAAATAAACTTATGGAATGTAACATTTGTTTGACACCCTCTCTGTGCCAGACTCCGTTCTAGGTACTTGGGATGTATAAGTAATCAAAATAAACAACTCCCTACCCACGTGCAGCATGCATTACAATAGGGAAAGAGAGAACTACTAAGAAAAGTATATATTGTGTTAGGTGGTGAAATGCCATGAGAAAACAACTGAGCACAGATGTAAAAGAGTAAGGTGTGGTACTTTTTTTTTTTTTTTTTTTGAGACGGAGTCTCCCTCTGTCGCCCAGGCTGCAGTGCAGTGGTGCGATCTTGGCTCACTGCAAGCTCTGCCTCCTGGCTTCACCTCATTCTCCTGCCTCAGCCTCCCAAGTAGCTGGGACTACAGGTGCCCACCACCACACATGGCTAATCTTTGTATTTTTAGTAGAGACGGGGGCTTCACCATATTGGCCAGGCTGGTCTTGAACTCCTGACCTTGTGATCTGCCTGTCTTGGCCTCCCAAAGTGCTGGGATTATAGGCGTGAGCCACCGCGCCCAGCCAGGGTGTGGTATTTTTAAATAGGGTTATCATGTGGATCTTTCTGAGAAGATGAGCTTTAAGTAATGATTTGAAAAGATAACAGGTAAAAAATAGTAATAAAATATCTTCTAGAATAAAAGCTCAATACTGTACATTATCATGAATCAAAAGCTAAATATTTATTCATAGGCAGAATGAAGGACATATACTCATCTGGCCTCAAAACTTCTCTTTCACAGGGACACACTGCAGAAACACTGAGCAGCAGTCTGCAGGCTTACTTCATGGCAGCTTAGAGAAAGGAAATGATATGCTCAGTTAATCTTTAATATATAATTTCCTTACTGCTGGGACATAGCAGAATGTAGTAAATAGTCCCAGAGAAGTACACTCTGGAGCATAATGCCCTTTTAGTAGGAGGCCTGGTGTCAGTTTATTTGAGGAAATATGTGAAGAAGAAGCAATTGTGCAACCTGTATAGGGAGGAATCCTACATCTCCAAGCTTGTAAGAGTCTAAAAATCCCTTAAACAGCACATATATGAGAGAAAATTAAAAGTAAACATGGGCTCCGGACTTCACTATATGTCACTAGGGAGCTTTCTTTCATCTTTCGGTTGTCACATTAAACCACAGTGGGTCCCAGGCTGAATCCTAAACTTACTGTAAACCAGGAACTGACCTAGGCCCAAGGGAGGAAAAAAAAAAAAAAAATCACTAAGCATATCCCAGGCTTCCCAAGCCTTCCATAGCCCACTTTAAACCTCACACCTCTCTTAGTATTGAAATAGCCAACCACTTTGTTCTACCCATTCCATCCCTCTCACCACTTGAAAAAATAAAATGGCTGAAAGATTTGGTGACCCCTGGGTGAGAGAGAAATTCACAGGCTGTATATTTGCATTCTTTCATCCTGAATATCTGGCTCAACATAACCACTGAAAAGTCAGCTAAGGTGGTACTTCAGAGGCTAAAAGGAACAGGCAGTGCAACACTCAAAATTGATTTGCCCCCTGGGGATCTAACTCTTCTGCAATGCTCATTAAAACTTAACTTAAAATTTTAAAGGGTTTAGAAAACCCTTTTAAAAACATTTTCCAGTGTGACCTCACTCCAACTGACTGTCCTGCTTGGTTAAGCTTACTGTGGAGGGAATGGAATTTTTCTGCTGGGTTGCAAAGGATTGCATAGACAAAGGGAATAGTTAAAATGCTTTTACTTGTGTTAAAATTGATTGAACAAGCATAGAGGTTCCAAATCTCCCTAATTAAGCTCTGAAATGGCTTCTGCATTCTTTTTTGAAACCAGGGGGAATTCCCTTGAAATGAACAAATATTTCCTGTGGTTAAGTATTCATTAAAATGAGCAATAGGGAATGAGCACAGTATCTAATATCAAGAGAAAAACTGTAAAATGAAAAAGGATGGATAAATAAGAAATTAATAATCTAGGATTTTGGCAGCTGGACCAAATTGTCACCTGTTGTTCTGTTTTTCTAATTATTCTCACTGTAATTTACTCAGCTGTGCCTATAATTCTCAAGTATGTATGAAGTTAATACAGGAGTTAAAGTTGTTAAGGTCAAGCTAACTGTTTATTTTACTTACAACCATTTGAATAAAAGATAATATTCATTTTTGTGAGAAATTTCAAAGAATAAGAGATTTTAGTACTTTGTAAGGGGAAAAAAGTAAATACTCACATAACAGATTTGTACATTATGTAAGGTACAATTTAGTAGTTCACTGTCTTTTATTCTTGAACCCAAAGTGTTGAATTCAGTATAGTAATTCAATTCAAATTCTGGATTTTTATTCGCTAATATTAATCCATAATTTTAAAAAGTGATGCTTAAAACAAATTAAAACAAAGCTTTGTCTAAAAGAACGTTTCACATACAATTTGCTCTACATGGAAATTTACTTGTTCTTCACCTAATTTATATTTATCATAAAATTATTTTGCAATGTAAAATTCAAATATAGCCATTAAATACTGAAAAACTACACAAAAATATCTCCCCAAAATATCATTGAAGTATCTGATTTAATTCAAAGAGCTAAACAGCCATTTCTTCCTCATCAAACACACACACTCATACACACACATTCACATACAAATATATACTATGTATGTTTGTGATCATTAAAACAATAAACCTGTGACATTCTGGCATTGAATAAGGTGCAATTAAATTCTTTATTTTAAATGCCTAACAGCTATAGAATATCTCAACTTGAGCAGTAGTTGTTTAACCCAGATGCCTATACTTTGTCTTAATTTTGAAAATGTATAGTGCTGAGACAAAAAGAAAAAAAAACTGTGTAGTGAGGCCCTATTTTTGATAAGATAGACCTTAAAGTTTTCCTAATTTCTGTCATAGGACAAAAATTAGTTTAGCAGACTAAAACTTATGCTGAAATGAGATGAAATATTACAATTTTCTGTCTCTGAAATAAGGAAGTTAAAGACATATTTGTGCAAAAGAGAGATCATATTTAATAAGTATTCTTAGCACGATAAAAATGGAGGTATCCTATTTATATCTGATTTAGTTTTTTAGGATGAAAATTACCTAAAACTGCAAATTAGAGCAATAACTTTGTGGTGAACAGTTCTTATTTACTACACACCATTTTCTAGAGCTTCCTTTACTTTATATTTCAGACTTTTCTACTTTCTATTTCACGAAGTTTGTTCCCTGCAGTCTTGGTAATGACTGACAGCTATCATTAAGCACTAATCATTTAAAAGTCAGAAGATTAAAGGTAGAATAGTTTTTCTTTGGGGGAGGGGATATAGTTTTGAACAAGATGGCAGACAGAAACAAATTGTGGAAGCTGTGTTTCGCAAAGAACACACAGCTTTTGAAAATTTCTGTCAAAACAACTGTTGGAAGCAAAACTATATGTAGTTCCAGTTTTCTCAACCAGAGTGTACAGAAGATAGAGACCTATGTGAAATAAAAGCGGCTTGGCCAGCAGAAAGTGTTTAAGCTATAACAAAACTATATTCTTAGCAATTTTCTCTTATTTACATATTTTTGACACATAATGTCAACTGTAGGAAGAAAAGACCACATCTCAATTCCTCATATAATTGAGGAAAACATCAGTAAGCACTAGCTTCAAAAACATGGTAATTGTTTCTCTAGCTTTTGTCCCTTTACAGGTACATAGGAATAAAGAAAAACTCAATTCCAACGTCTTTGAACTTCTTGACAGGTATAGAATATTTGAACATGAGCTGTATTTGTTTAGCCCAGATGTATGACACTGAAATGTGCTACATTAGAAGGCAGACGAATGTGGAAATTTGCAGCACACGGAGATTTGACCATTAGGTAGTCTTGTAACAATACAAAAGTTCACTGTTTGTCCCATGAATGAGGCACTCATTTTATATGCAGGATTTGTGGGAAAGACTGTCTTTCTGAATTATGACTAAAGACAAGTAACACTTGCTGGGTCAGTGAGAAAAGTGTTAGCACTATTGGTGCCACTTCAGAGAATATTAATGTATGGAAATTAAAGAAGTTGGTCTGTCTGAGTCATTTGAGTACTGGGTTAGAATGCCAATGGATAGAAAAAAAAATGACCTTCAAACTCAGGAGATACCTTTAAAAAATGAGAGCAGGGCAGTGGGAGCAGTGAAATAATTATTTACAAGTATTTACTATCACAACAAGAAAACACAATAGATAATCATTCTAAGAAATCATCTTTAGATAGAAATAGAAAACTTTTATATCCAATTTTAGCTTTTCATTTGTTGCAAGAAAAAAACAAATATTATGTTTCTCATTATACAGTTTGACAAAACCCACAATTAATTATAGCTTTAAAAAATTATTAAAATGCCTTTGACCCTATATCTTATTATTGTATATATTACCTATCTAGTTCTAAATTTTTGAAATTAAGATTAATGATTCTTTATTAGTAATTACACTTTTTTGTTTATGAAATGACTCACAAGTAAGATGTAAGTATAATTCTTAAGAGAAAAATATTAATGGCACAACACAATAATTGCCATACAATTTATCAGAGAACTGTAAATACCACACAAGTAATGCACTCTCTGCCATGTGTTTTATGTGGTATTCATCCTCAGTAGAGAAAATACCTGCCTCTATGTTAATATGATAAAAGACATGCCAACAAAGGCCCCATATAAAAGAGTTGAAGTGCATCATGACAATATGCTAGGACAACATAAGGCTGTGTATAATTGGGTGCTAATGTGTGTATGAAATCAAATTCATATAGGCAATTCTCTCTCTTGTGCCCTTAGTCAAATTTTAGCTTTGATTGTTCTAATAGTTCTACTTTGGAAGGAGTGACTGAAAGTCATAGAATGTCTTGCCTCAATCTGCATTTCAAACAAACTAAGCCACAGATATTAACAGAAAAATAATGATAATAAATTAAAATTTACTACTGCTTGTGCATTTTTATCCATTACTTAAGAATGAAGGGATTCCAGGGTGGGCAGGGAGTGGGAATGAAGCAATGGACAGTTTAATATTAGATTTGAAAAAGAGAAAATAAGTGCACTCAGGCTTAATTTTCCATATGATTAAAAAATAAATGTCACATTATAAAATACATGTATCTCTACTAACCTTTGTGAATATTCTTTCTGTCCAATTCAACACTATCATTACCAGGCACAATATCCTCTGAGTGCCAGGACAGTCTGCTAACTTGGAATTCTTCAATTAAGCCTCTTAATTGGACCTACAAGGGCACTGGAATTTAGAATATGAAAGGAATGGACCATTTGGGAATAAAATCTTAAAATAACATCTTACCTAATTATTATTCATATTTCATTGTGAAAGTTACATTTGGGATACTATTACATCAATCTGCATGGTTTACTAAAACACACTTTAGAGGTGCCTGAAAGGCTCTTTATCCTTTAAAGCATCAGTTCAGGGTTTTCCATTTCCCCGGAGATAATTGATGCCAATCCAATGTCACAGAGGAAACAATTTCTTTTTTTATACCAGGTCATGGGTGAATCTAAATGTCATAAGCTGATTTCCCCGTTGATCAATTAAGGTGCTGTACTTGACCCACTTTCAAATATATATATATATATGCATAACGCTAACTTTCCAATATAATTTACATAACAAATATATTGTAAAACTTTAAATTCTCTCTACCTTTAATATTTTACCTCAATGGCATTGTTGAACAGACGGCTTCAGAGCAAATATTTTGTAAAAATATTTATCGGACTAATATACTTTAATTCTTGAGAAACTCCTGTCTGTATGCTTATGTATCAATGAATAACTGCTAAAGTATATTTTTATTTCACTATAATCTACCTTTTCTCCAGAATTAATAAATACAAATGTTTAATACTTTCTAAATTATATTATCTAAATTTATTTAAAACCTTTTACATTTTCAGCATTTCTTATTTTATTTTTGACATTCATAGAAAAGGCATTGCAAATCACTACTTAGATGATAATTGAATAAGATCTATTTCATAAAAAGCAGCATTCTAAAGTCAACTAGAATTTTTGGAATTAATTATGCACACAGATATGGGCTACGTTGATCATATAATTTGTAGTCTAACCCAGGATATTTTAGAGTGAAAACAGGTGCTAATAATATGTACACAGTCATAAAAGTTGTAAACCAGGGGAGAAATATGGTCACATTGGGATGAACAAATGGTTGTGAGGCAAAATATTTGTTTGGTATGTGCACAAACATTTAGAGTAGAATCAGCTTTTCAAGAAAACATATGAATTGAGAAAAATGAAAAAGTGACAGACTATTGCTTTTTCCAGCTTTCAAGGTTTATGACAGAAACACAAAATCAGGACTTTGTGTAAATTATATCGGTGATGATACCGTCTCTTCCCACTCAGTCAATTCATAATATATTCTCATTTTGAAACTATTTTAAAGTAGGGAGGAAATCTTTATCCAATTGTTTTATCCTTCCATTTTTATAATTTTATGGGTGACACTGACAGATAAATGAATTGATCATCAACATTTTAATCAAGGTAATCACTATTATGTGTAGATAATAGAAAATCATGTTCATGGGAATCACAATTGTCATAGCATAAATTAATTATTTATTTAACCCATCCTTCTCTTGAGAAAATGATGGGTCACAATTAACAGAAAAGTAATATTGTGTTCAAAGTAAACAACAGTAATTCATAATAATTCACATTGTCTCAAGATAGACCACATACAACAGTTCCCAAAACATTGTAAACAAAATGTATTGTTTTAAAGAGCATACTTTAAAAAAATCCTTTACACATCTGATACAATGAAATTTCCTAGAAATTCGTATATCTTTTGCAAAAAGACTTTGGTCTCTATCTCATCACGAACATCTAAAAAACAAGTAGAATATTTAATTGAAACTATTACAGGCAATGAGGGGTCTTCAGTAATTTCGTGAAACAGAATTTCACTAAAATTTTTTGTCAAAAAAATAAACGGGATTTTGTGGTAATGCACAAACTCTAATGAAATAACTGACGTAAAGTAATTCGGTGCTATAGATTTGCAACTTACCCCACTATGGTTGGCTGCAGCAAGGCTGCCTCATGCAATGCAGCAGACACATTGTCAGGCACGTGCTTTAGTCTGAATCTGTTTTCTCTTTCCTGCAGGGTGTTGAGTGAAAATGAAAACTCATAATTTATATCAGAGAAAACAGAGATCAATAAGGAGATCAAGAGTTGCACACCTCTCAAATTGTTCACTCTGTTGAGTACTGATAACTTATAGTGGAGAAGTGAAACTGAAGTCAAATGCGGCTTTGAAGTACTCCACTTAACTACACTCAAATGTGATAAATGAGTAGTTCTCATAAGCATAGTACATTGTAGATGATATATATATATATATATATATATATATATATATATATACGTGTATACATATATATGTATGTGTATATATATGGCTCTTGCCCCATAAATTCATAATGATTTATTTTTGAGTATCCAAAGGCCAGAATATGATTTTTGACAGATTATATGTTTAGAAACTCTTACACTGAATAGCTAATTTTAAGACCAGATATTTCTGTCATTTATGGAGGAAGTACATCTAATAACTAGTAGGGTAAGGTTTTTCCAAAGCATATACTTATGCTTGCTTAAAAGAAGCCAGACATGCATTACCAGCGAAAGTTAACACCCTTGTTGTGGCTGATCCTATTCCCATTTGTGGCATTTCTAACCTTCATTACTACACCAACCTTTTTTTTGAGTCAAGGATTGTTTTACATAGGCAGTTTGTCTTCCAATATCTATAGAAAAAAGTTAAGAAAAATATGGTCTTTGCAACATGTGTCATGTTCTAAGCACCAATGAAATATGTGATGAAAGCAGAGTTAGCGCAAGCCACTATAATGGAAACATAAGATTAGTTTGTGAAAGGT
Organism: Homo sapiens; assembly: GCF_000001405.40. NCBI lineage: Eukaryota > Metazoa > Chordata > Mammalia > Primates > Hominidae > Homo > Homo sapiens. Next base: position 103,912,612 of record NC_000005.10, on the reverse strand, counting down.
AAAGCACAGATGGAGTGCAGTGTTCCACGTTTCCTAAATATATTCTAGTCTGTCTACTGAAGTGGGTGCTTCAGGGTACATCCTGACTATAATTTAATCACTTTTGGTAAATGAGTACCACTTATAGTAAATCTGATCATACTCTGCTCTGAAGGATTTTTCCAATCTTTTCATTTGCTGTCAGATCCCTTTTGAAAATAAATTTTCCCACTAAAGACTAACCCTTAAAGTCACCATGACGCTGTACAAGGTTCTCTGTGAAAGAAATATACACTAATTCAAATAGGAGAATTGGCAGTTTATGACATAAAACCATTAGCATTTGAAACCTTTGGCTTACTTCTATGTAGTAACAAATTTTATAAGTTGTTATAAATCACACTTTTTTCAAATGATTGCAGGAACTGCCATTAATTATTATTTTTGTTTTAGTTTACTTTGCTTTTAATTTTGGAAAATTTCAAACATACAAAAAGAGATCAAAAACAAGACAAACCCACATATCCCTATTACATAATATCATTATTTTCAACACATGACCAATATGTATTTTTGATACCCTTACCCACTTGTCACATCCCTGATTTTATATATATACATATAATTTTTTTTTTTTTAGACGGAGTCTCACTCTGTCGCCCAGGCTGAAGTGCAGTGGCATGATCTCGGCTCACTGCAAGCTCCGCCTCCCAGGTTCACGCCATTCTCCTGCCTCAGCCTCCAGAGTAGCTGGGACTACAGGCGCCTGCCACCACGCCGGACTAATTTTATATTTTTAATAGAGACAGGGTTTCACCGTGTTAGCCAGGATGGTCTCAATCTCCTGACTTCGTGATCCACCCGCCTTGGACTCCCAAAGTGGTGGGATTACAGGTGTGAGCCACTGCGCCCGGCCCTGATTATATTTCTGATTACATTATATTTCTAAGGAAATCCTGAACAACATATAATTTTATTCATATCTATCTAGAGAGAGATATATATGTATGGGTAAATATATATATATAGACTTTGTATATAAATGTATGGATTGAATATATACATGGACTAAAAGACTCATATATATGGGTCTCTTTTTTTAAAACATTACCACAACATGATTACTTTTTAAAAATTTTACAGTGATTTCTTAATACCAACAAGTCTCTAGCGTTCGTTTTTAAATTTTTTACTACATATTGACAAATTATAGTTATGTATACTTATGGGATACAAGTAGTGTTATGATTGTTTAATACAATGTGGAAAAATTGAATTAAGCTAATTAACATATACATAACCTCAAGTATTTAACATTTTTTGCAATGACAACATTAGACATGTACTCTCTTTATGATATTATTTACAAAATGTATAGAACTTAAATTTATTCTCATAATGTCTTAATTTTAATGTTTTTTTTTCTTGGATAGAGGTCCAGATAAAGTGCATGTGTTGTTGTTGTTATTGGTTGATATGTGCTTCTTAAGTCTCTTTTAATTTATAGGCTTCCACTCCTCTCTCTCTCTCTCTCTCTCTCTCTCGCAATTTATTTGTTGAAGAAACCAGATTCCTTATGTATCCACTTTCCCATAGTATGGATTTTGCTGACAGCATCCCTGTGGTTCCTTAACACATTCCTCTATCCTCTGTATTTCCTGTAAATTTGAAATTGGATCTAGAGGTTTGATCAAATTCATGTTTAATATTTTTGGCAAGAATACTCCATACATGCTGCTGTAAAGTGTTCTTTAATAATAAAAATATTCACATTTTGACTATAATAAAATTGTGGTTAAAAGCATGGTCTCTGGAGACCGAGAATAAGGAGTCTCATCCTGGTTTTGCCTCACTCTAGAGGTGAAACCTTAGGCAAATGAATCAATCAGTGCTTTACTTTTTTCACCTGTAAGATGGGCCAATAAGTACATCTAACAAAGATTTCTGTAAAATTAAATTATTTCAGATAAAGCACTTTAAATAGTGCTTGGTACATAGTGAGTACTCAATTGGTATTAGCTGTTATTACCAAATAGCTGAAATTAATTATCAGGAGGAATATGCAGAAAAGATTTGCAACAATTTTAATCCATATAGCAGCTAAATTGGCAAGTCTAGTAAGGATGGCTTTTCAATACCTAATATAAAAATTGAACTGTGAGTGGACCTAAAGTTCCCAATATATCAAAGAACTGCTAAGGAAAGATGCAACCTTTTGCTGGGTGTTCAATGATTGAACACCCCACAGGTTACTAGTGATTGAAAGAAATTGCTGCTGACCAGTTCTGTAAAATGCATTGTTTCTTTCCATATATACTTTTCTTGGCTTAACCTCAGAGAATAACCACAAGCATTCTTACTTTACATTTTATTCTTTCTTAAAAACTCTGACAGCATCAAGCGAAGCAGAACAATTCTCTTAGCTAGGCAAAATAAATGAGTTCATCTCTCGCTTTCCAGAGCATTTGTTTACATAGAAAGTGTTCACTCTTTTAGAGACAGGGCATAAATGATTCACACATTCAATCAGTAGTTTACAGAATTTCTAAGGGAACAAAATCACTTAATATGCATTGTTTTAAAATTACAATCTTGAGAATGTCTATTAACTAAGGATTTAGCAAACATTAAGTTATAAAATCCATATGATTGGAAAATGGTGAAGATTTGAAGTCAGATGAGCAATGGAAAATTTAGGCTGGATATTTAAGGAAACTGCCTATTAGCAAGAACCGTTAGATAATGGAATGGTACTTTTCTTAAGCTCCATAAATTTCAAAAGTAAATTGGAAAACATATTGGAAGAAAATGTTCCATCCCACCAGGGGAATAAATGAAATGATCTTTTCATCTTCTTTTTCTAGAAGTTGGCCTGCAAATCAGATGTTTAAAATTTACCTACCCAAACTATGAGCAGCATAAGTCCAATATTAAGCTTAGTCTGAGTTTCATTGGGAAAAGTTCCATTTCCCGATCCTGGGCCAAAAGCTGAATAATACCAATATGGAAATTTGGAGCAAAATCAATTGTTAAAGTCAGATTATGAGATTTTAACTGCCATTCCAGAACTACTTATACAGCCCTTCTATGTTATTTCCACTTGCCAGATCAACACCCAAGGGTCATTTTGACATTAAAAAAAAAAAAAAAAAAAGTCCCAGTTACACATCCAACTGCTGATTTACAAAGCAAAAGCAAAAGGCAACCTGCGAGTTTGGCTTTAAAATCCCGTTTGCCTGAGGGATCTATGGATGAAAGAAATTTTAGCCTACTGTTTAAGGGCTAATATTCCCACATTTCCATATCCCATTTAGGGTGGGTAGACTTTAGCACTTCAGCTTAAGCAGTATCACTTTATATAAGGTGCTTGAGTGGAGTAGGCAGCAAGCTGGAATGGGATAATAAATGGCAGAGAGGCAAAGAGGCTGCTGCTACAGGTAGCCACCTATGCCAGTTGCCAAAGGAAAATGGCTGTGAAAAGCGAGCACATTTATTTCCATGAGCAAAAGATGAGAATTTAATAGTAAAACAGTAAATTGAGTGTCTGTCCTTTTACCTCTTACTAGAATTTCTTTGTTGTCCTTTGCATGGGGAAGGTTAACAACTCAACTTAATTCTTCGCGCCAAGGAACTTTACAGGCTGTCATTTGGTTAAGGTCTAATGGGCCTTCAGGGATTTGATAACTGAATGCTGCGCTCACTGGAGCAGACTGCTCCACAGAGGGCCTGGAAAAGAATGTTTGAGTTGGAGAAAAGGTGCCGCTGCTCCGACTGCTTTTCCACCTGCAAAAACAGAACCTTTGGGGACAGTAGCACTGTAGTTAACGGGAGGCCAGATTCAATCACCCGGGATCCTAGGAATGAGAAAGGTGTTAAAGTAGCCAGCTCTTCTGTTTTGCCAAGGATTTTCCGGCCTTGCTGTTTTTGGCAAAATTTTGAAATATCCCACTTCTCTCACTCTGAGCTTTTCCCTTTCCATTTCTCAGAGATGGTTTTGTATATTGGGATGACTAGTCCAAACAGAAAGACAGAATTTTAAGAGGATGTGAGATTCACACTTTTTGGTTCCCCACATGCCTCTGAACAGCATTTGGCTGCTGTAGAGAGTTGAGGGAGGGACCCAGAAGCAATAAAAGGATCAAGTTGCCAACCACCTCAACCTCAATATTGGAAAGGGAACTCCTAAAACCCCTAGCTGACTAAATCAGATGGAAAATTTCAAGACATTACCAACTGAAAATGCTGCAGCTTTCACTCAGTAGACTTTGAAAGTCCGGTTCATATTTAACCAGGGAGAATTGGTACAAAGTTCCTGATGAGAACACCTTACAACTATTTCTTTCCCAAAATTTCCAGTAAAAACCTATCATCTTCACTAACCTGTAGTGATATAGTGACATAAATCCTTTGATCCAAAGTTTCAAAAATGTTAGTTGTGATTATAAAGCAAACATACAATTTAATTTCTTTTTTCTTGTTTCTTTTTAAAAGTTTTTATTGTAATACAATATATAGAGTATAAAATATGAAATTTTAACAGTTTTAAGTATCCCATTCAGTGGCATTAGTTACATTACAATGTTACACAGCCATTACTACTGTTTCTAAAAGTTTTTTTTTTAATCATCCCAAAGCGAAACTCTGCAAAAAATATTTTTTAAAGGATGACATTCTGCTCATAGCTGCCATAAGTCATGGTGCACACACCTCAAATGAATCATGATTAGTACTCATGTATGTATTTTTAGAAAGGAAAGGAATTGGCTTAAAATAATTATTGGAAAAATATGTGACAACTAATCACTAAACCTGCTCGGTCTATACAGTAGTTTTGATTAATTTTATTTAATTAATCAGGCATTTTGTATAATATAAAATTTCAGTGACAAAGTAAGATTTATGACCTAGATAATCAACCTAACGCTTGAAAAAATAGCTGAAGCAATGTAAAATAAACAAAGGCTAAAAATGTAAAACCTGAACATAAATTCACAAGGCCAGATAAATCAAGGCATGATTAAACTGTAGAATTCTAAATATTATTTTTTTTTAAATTTTCTAAATTAATAATTACATTATTAAACAAATTTAGGTGTGATTTTGAAATAGCCTTAGGTAAAGGCCCAGAATAAAAGTTTAGGGTTCATATATAATGCTGTCTCAGCCACTGATCAAAATTGCCCTGTCTTTCAACAAGCAAAAGTAAAATATGAATTATAGATTTACTAGTTTTAGGCACAGCTTCTCATTTCATTCAATTTTTGCTCATTGATTAGTAAATCCAGTCAATGGCAATGACAATTTGAGAAGTAAATCCCTCCATCAAATCTGAAATCTTGCACATTGCCTCTTTGAAGTTCACCCTTTCTTTTCATCACCATGCATTTCAGTGCTGTGTGAGGTAAGTGCACCATTTATTTTAATCCTGTTGAATGGATGAACTTAAATAACAATGCAAGCCTTTTTCCATATAGTGCTGTAATTCACTTTGAAGTGATAGCATTTTTAGGATTAAGATATATACATTTTGGTTCTTTGACTAGTTGTCCTTTCTTTGTGAACTATATTAATAAGAATTTAAAGCAAGACTAAGACACAGCTGCCTTCTAATGCAAGTCGTAGAGTCATAAACAAAATTCCACTAGAGCAGCCAACCAAGATGAATAACTATTTTGCAGGGAATAAAACTATCATTTAGTAACTACAGACTATGATATTCTCTTTAATCACTTGAGTTAGAGTGACTATCGATAAAATCAGTCTTGAAAATATTTTCATTTATTATCACATTGCCAGTATTCAAATAAAAGAAGTTTGAAGTACTATTGCAAAATAAATGAATAAACATTACATTATTAACTTAATGCTTACTGCATCAGGCAATTAATTATTCCAACCTTTTAAAAAATGTTCTGAGGGATTTTAAAAATAGGCATTGTCAAAAAGACATGCATAAAAGGAAATATGATAGTTATTTAGAACATATGGTATTAATGTAATATAGCTTTCTAAAAAAAAGCTGTTCTAGAAAGAGTTATATACCATACTAATTATGGTATATAACTAATTATGATATATATGGTATATAACTTTTTAGTTCTATACCCATACTAATTATGGTATATAACTCTTTACCTAAATATTGCATACTAATTATGCAATATTTAGATATCGATTTGTTGAGTTACTTTAGATAAAGTTTAACTTCTAATAGTTTCCATTATAGCAACCGTTCAAAAGAAAGTATCTACAGAAGGAAATCTCCTAAAGTACCACCACCTCAAGATAACCATTCTTAATATTTCAGAATATTTCTTCCCATATTTTTAATCTATACTATTACTCATATTTCTCTGATTAAAAATAATATATGCCAGGAGATGAAAAGTTGGATAATAGATACAAAGTAAAACAATAAATAAGTAAATAAAATTTTAAAATGTATATATTTCAACCATCCAAAGATAGACTTTGTAAATAAAGTGGCATATGACTTTGAGTCTATTTTTTAATGTTTATGTTTATATTTTTTCTCCAAATATTTTTTAACATTAATAGGTTTGCTTTTCTGTAAAAGACAACAAAATTCTTAATGCAGAAAAATTCGGTTGAGTGAGAGAACCAAAGATGTAATAAAATCATCCGTAGCCTCACCAACAGAAATGTACTGATCATGTTATCCATGTATTAGCAGTATAACTTCAAATCCTACATGTTGTCATTACCCATAAATAGCTACAAACCTTTTTAATATGATTAAGAATATTTCAAAGCAATATGTAAGGGTCCGCTTAAGGAAGAACAATTAGAACTATTCGGCAATGCTGTCTGGGTAAGCTGTGATATATTGTGAGTTTTATTTTTAGCTTTTGGGCCCTCAGCATCCCCCTATACCTTTCTAACAAACTATTTCCTACCCTATCCTTTCACGTATCTCATTTTTTCTTCTTTCTAACTTTTAATTTAGGTTCAAGGGGTACATGTGCAGGTTTGTTACATGGATAAATTTCAAGTCATGGAAGTTTGGTGTACACAAATTATTTTGTCACCCAAGTAACTAGTATAGTACCCAATAGGTAGTTGTTTGATCATCACCCTCTTTCTACCCTCCACCCTCAAGTAGGCCCTGATGTCTATCTATTGCTCCCTTCATTATGTCCATATGTATTCAGTGTTTTTCTCCTACTTATCAATGAGAACATGAAGTATTTGGTTTTCCATTCCTGTGTGATTTGCTGAGGATAATGGCCTCCAGCTGCATCCATGTTGCTTCAAAGGACATGATTTTCTTCTTTTTAAGGCTGCATAGTATTGCATGGTGTATATATATATATATATATATATACACACACACCATGGAATATATTCCATGGATATATATATACACCATGGAATATAGTCCATGGATCGTATTCCATGGTGTGTGTGTGTGTGTGTGTGTGTGTGTATATATATAAAACATGGAATATATTCCATTGATTCCATGTCTTTGCTATCATGAATAGTGCTTCAGTGAACATACTTGTGCATGTGTCTTTGTAGTAGAATGACTTATATTCCTTTGGGTATATACCCAATAATGGGATTGCTGGGTCAAATGGTAGTTCTGTTTTAAGTTCTTTGAGTTATCTCCAAACTGCTCTCTACAGTGACTGAACTAATTTACATTCCCACCAGCCATGTATAAGTGTTCCCTTTTACTTGTACCCTTGCCAGCATCTGTTTTTTGGTTTTTGTATTTTTTTAACTTTTTACTAATAGCCATTCTGACTGGTATGAGATTGCATCTCATTGTGGTTTTGATTTGCATTTCTCTAATGCAAATTGGAGAAACTAAATACGGGGATGTTGAGAATTTTTTCATATGTCTGTTGGCTTCATGTATGTTTTCTTTTGAGAAGTGTCTGTTCATGTCCTTTGCCCATTTTTTAATGGAGTTGTTTGTTTTTTGCTTGTTGATTTGTTTAAGTTCCATATAGAATCTGGATATTAGACCTTTGTTGGATACATAGTTTGTGAATATTTGCTTCCATTCTCTAGATTGTCTGTTTACTCTGTTGATAGTTTGTTTTGCTGTGCAGAAGCTTTTTAGTTTAATTAGGTCTGACTTGTCAATCTTTGCTCTTGTTGCAATTGCTTTTGGAGTCTTCATCATGAAATGTTTGCCAGGGCCAATGTCCTGAATAGTATTTCCTAGATTTTCTTCTAGGGTTTTTATACTTTTAGGTTTTACTTTTAAGTGTTTAATCCATTGATATGGTTTGGTTCTGTGTCCCCACCCAAATATCATCTTGAATTGTACTCCCATAATTCCCATGTGTTGCAGGAGGGACCCAGTGGGAAATAATTTGAATCATGGGAGCAGTTTCCCCACTACTCTCCTTGTGGTAGTGAATAAGTCTCACGAGATCTGATGGTTTTATTAGGAGTTTCAGCTTTTGCATCTTCTTCATTTTCTCTTGTCACTGCCACGTAAGAAGTGCCTTTCACCTCCAGTCATGATTCTGAGGCCTCCCCAGCCATGTAGAACTGTGAGTTCAATTAAACCTGTTTTTCCTCCCAGTCTCAGGTATTTCTTATCAGCAGCGTGAAAACAGACTAATACAGTAAATTGGTACCAGTAGAGTAGGACATTGCTGAAAAGATACCCCAAAATGTGGAAGTGACTTTGGAACTGAGTAACAGTCAGAGGTTAGAACAGTTTGGAGGGCTCAGAAGAAGACAAAAAAACGTGGGAAAGTTTGGAACCTCCTGGAGATATGTTGAATGGCTTTTACCAAAATGCTGATAGTGATATGAACAATAAGGTCCACCCTGAGAAGGTCTCAGATGGAGATGAAGAGCTTGTTGGGAACTGGAGCAAAGGTGACTCTTGCTATGTTTTAGCAAAGAGACTGGCAGCATTTTGCCCCTGCCCTCAAGATTTGTGTAACTTTGAACTTGAGAGACATGATTTAGGGTACCTAGCAGAAAAAGAAATTTCTTTCTTTTTTTTTTTTTTTTCTGAGACAGAGTCTTGCTCTCTCACCAGACTGGAGTGCAATGGCACAATCTCAACTCACTGCAACCTCCACCTCCTGGGTTCAAGTGATTCCCCTGCCTCAGCTTCCCAAGTAGCTGGGACTACAGGCACACGCCACCACACCCGGCTGATTTTTTGTATTTGTAGAGATGGGGTTTCACCATATTGGCCAGGATGGTCTCAATATCCTGATCTCGTGATCCACTCACCTTGGCCTCCCAAAGTGCTGGGATTACAGGCGTGAGCCACCACGCCTGGCCCAAGAAATTTCTAAGCAGCAAAGCATTGAAGAGGTGACTTGGGTTCTGTTAAAAGCATTCCATTTTAAAAGGGAAACAGAGCATAAATGTTCAGAAAATTTGCAGCCCGATGCTGCAGTAGAAAGAAAAACCCATTTCTGAGGAGAAATTAAAGCTGGCTGCAGAAATTTGTATAAGTAACAAGGAGCCAAATGTTAATCCCCAAGACAATGTGAAAAATGTCTCCAGGGCATGTCAGAGATCTCCGTGGCAGCCCAACCCATCACAGACCCAGAAGCCTAGGAGGAAAAATGGTTTTGTGGGCTGGGCCCATGGTCCCCATGCTGTGTGCAGTCTAGGGACTTGGTACCTTGCATCCCAGCCATGTGGAACTGTAAGTCCAATTAAACCTCTGGTTTTTTTTTTTTTTCCCCAGTCTCGGGTGTGTCTTTAGCAGCAGCATGAAAATGGACTCATACATCCATCTAAAGTTTATTTTTGTATATGGTGAAATGAAGGGGTCCATAAAATCAGATGGTTTTAGGTGTGTGGCTCTGTTAATGTATTATCTAACCTCTTTCATTGGTCTATGTGTCTATTTTTGTACCAGTACCATGTTATTTCAGTTCCTGTAGCCTTGTAGTACAGTTTGAAGTCCAGCTGTTTGATGCCTCTAGATTCCAGCTTTGTTCTTTTTGTTTAGAGTTGCTTTGGCTATTTGGGCCCTTTTTTTGTTCCATATGAATTTTAGAATAGTTGTTTATAAGTCTGTAAAAAATGTCATTGTTACTTTGATAGGAATAACATTGAATATGTAAATTGCTTTCAGTAGTAGGGCCATTTTAACAATATTGATTATTCCTATCCATGAGCATGGAATGTTTTTACATTGGTTTGTCTCATCTCTGATTTCTTTCAGTAGTGATTTGTATTTCTCTGAAGAGACATTTCACCTCGCTGGTTAGCTGTATTCCTAGGTATTTTATTCTTTTTGCCTTTCATTCATCTCTTAGCAACTCAGCCCCATTATTATTCTTCTTTTTCACTTTGCCATTTGGGCTTATGGTGTTCCTCATTCTTACAATACTGCCTTTTGTTGGTGGTGTTGTTTTGCTCTTGCCTTCTGTGTGTGCATGCATATATATGTATTTAAACAATCCAATATCTAGTCTTCCTAGAGGTGTGAGTCAGAAGTTTCCCTAAACCATATGTCTCTTTTTACACCTCCAAGACCATATTCTCTGCATGATAAATTGAGTCATGGACCTAAACAAGGGGAAACAAAACAGGGCCTCAGTTATTAGAATAGACCAGATGATTATCAGAAATAGGGGAAAGTACCAAATTCCTGAAACTTGACTATGAGATCAGAAAATGATCTGCAACATTGCTGACCTTTGCAGAGAGATGGGACTATTACTTTCAAGCTTTGGCTTGTATAAGAAATACACTCTCGTGATAATGGCATTAATCCATTAATGAGGGCAGAGGCCTCATGGCTCAATCATCTCATTAGGCCACACCTCCCAAGACTGTTGCATTGAGGACTCAGTTGGCAACATACTGTTTTTGGAGGAAGCAATCAAACCATAGCATGCACCAAATAGAATGCTCATTGAGCGCTATAAAGGTATAAACAAAGAACATTGCTTCAGAAATACAATGGTTTAGCAGAGGAGGGAAACTAAACTGAGTCTGAAGGATAGTTGTGAGGGGTGGGTGATGATTCCCAAATCTAGGCCTTGAATACTGCCTTGCATTTTAACAAAGAAGCAGACAGCTTTCAAAACAGGAACAAAATCAAGTATGAGAGAATTGGGTATGTCCAAGGAAAAACAAGAATTTCAGGTGATTTATCTTCTGATCTGTGGACATTTGGAGTGAGGAAAATGAGTGTAGTCACAGACTGCATCAGGAATTCAGAGGGTCTGGAGTATTATGTTAAGGAGTGTGCACTGAATTTAGATGACAAATAGAACAACATAGAATAAAAATGAGGTTTGTTTTGTTTATTGGTTTGTTGCAAAGAAAATAAAGCCCAGCAAGTTTAAATGATATACTAAATTCATCTAGCAAATTAGTAGCAGAAAAGTTAAAAATTTGCTAGTGAGTTTTATTATGATGATACCTGTATAAATCTATTTTCACTCTGCTAATAAAGACATATGCAAGACTGGGTAATTTATAAAGAAATAGAGGTTTAATGGACTCACAGTTCCACATGGCTAGGGAGGCCTTACAATCATGGCAGAAGATGAAGGAGGAGCAAAGGCATGTCTTACGTGGTGGCAGGCAAGAGAGAAGTGCTGAGGAAAAGGTAGAAAAGCTCCTTATAAAACCATCAGATCTCACAGGATCTCACTCACTATCATGACAACTGCAGCATGGGAGTAACCGTCCCCATGATTCAATTATGTCCCACTGGATCCCTTCCAGGACACATGGGGATTATAGGAACTGCAATTTAAGATGAGAGTTGGGTGGGGACACAGCCAAGCCATATTAATCCACCGCTGGCCCCTCCCAAATCTCATGTCCTCACATTTCAAAACACAATAATGCTTTCCCAAAAGTCCCCCAAAGTCTTAACTCATTTCAGCATTAACTCAAAAGTTCAAGTGCAAGGTCTCACCTGAGACAAGGCAAGTCCCTTCCACGTATGAGCCTGTAAAATCAAAAGCAAGGTAGTTACTTCCCAAATACAATGGAGGTATAGGAATTAGGTAAATACACCCATTCTAAATGGGAGAAACTGGCCAAAACAAAGGGGCTACAGGCCCCATGCAAGTCCAAAATCCAATAGGACAGTCATTAAACCTTAAAGTTCCAAAACGATCTCCTTTGACTCCATGTCTCAAATCCTGGTCATGCTGATGCAAGAAGTGGGCGTCCCACAGCCTTGGTCAGCTCCGCCCCAATGGCTTTGTGGGCTAAAGCTCCCCTCCTGGCTGCTTTCATGGGCTGGCATTGAGTGTCTGAGGCTTTTCTAGGTGCATGGTGCAAGCTGTTGGCTGACCTACTATAATGGGGTCTGGAGGACAGTAGTCCTCTTCTCACAGCTCCATTAGATAATGCCCTAGTGGGGACTCTGTGTCGGGGCTCCAACTCCACATTTCCCTTCCACACTGCCCTAGCAGAGGTTCTCCATAAGGATTCCACCCCTGCAGCAAACTTCTGCCTGAACATCCAGACGTTTCCATACATCCCCTGAAATCTAGGCATAGGTTCCCAAGCCTCAATTCTTGGTTTCTGTGCACCTATAGGCTCAACACCATGTGGAAGCTGCCAAGGGTTGGGTCTTGCACCTTCTGAAGCCATGGCCCGAGCTATACATTGGCCCCTTTCAGTCATGGCTGGAGCTGCTGGGATGCAGGGAGCCAAGTCCCTAGGCTAAACACAGTAGGGGGGCCCTGAACCTGGCATAGGAAACCATTTTTTCCTCTTAGGCTTCCAGGTTTTGATGGGAGGGGCTGCCATGAAGCATTCTGACATGGCCTGTAGACATTTCCCCATTGTCTTGGTGATTAACATTCAATTCCTTGTTACTTCTGCAAATTTCTGCAGCAGGCTTGAATTTATCCCCAGAAAATGGGTTTTTCTTTTCTTTCACATCATCAGGCTGCAAATTTTCCAAATTTTGTGCCCTGCTTCCTCTTGAATGCTTTGCCACTTAGAAATTTCTTCCCCCAGATACCCTAAATCATCTCTCTCAAGATCAAAGTTCCACAGATCTCTAGGGCAAGGACAAAATACCGCCAGTCCCTTTGCATAGCAAGAGTGAACATTGCTCCAGTTCCCAAAAAGTTACTCATCTCCATCTGAGACCACCTCAGCCTGGACTTTATTGTCTATATCACTATCAGCATTATGGTCAAAGCCATTCAACAAGTCTCTAGAAAGTTCCAAACTTCCCCACATCTTCCTGTTTTCTGAGTCACCCAAGTCTCTAGAAAGATCCAGACTTCCCACATTTTCCTTTCTTCTTCTGAGCCCTCCAAAGTGCTCCAACTTCTGCCTCTTACCCAGTTCCAAAGTCGTTTTCACATTTCTGGGTATCTTTACAGCAGCACCCAACTCTACCAGTACCAACTTACTGTATTACTCTGTTCTCACGCTGCTAATACCTGAGACTGAGTACTCTATAAAGAAGTAGATGTTTAATGGGCTCACAGTTCCACATGGCTGGGGAGCCCTCACAATCATGGTGGAAGGCAAAGGAAGAGCAAAGACACGTCTTACATGGCAGCAGTCAAGAGACAAGTGCTGAGCAAAAGAGGGAAAAGCCCTTTATAAAACCACTAGATCTCATGAGAACTTACTTGCTGTCATGAGAACAGCAGCATGGGGATATCTATCCCCATGATTCAATTACAACCCACCAGGTCCCTCCTAGGACACATGGGGATTATGGGAACCATAATTCAAGATGAGAGTTGGGTGGGGACACAGTCAAACCATGTTAATACCTTAGATAAAAACTGAGAAATTATTATATATTTGGAAGAACAGGTGAAGATGGGAATGCAGATTCAATAAGAGAAAAATTAAGCAGCTTCTTCCCATGGAGAAAAGTTCTATAAATTTATAATTCATGTAAACTTAAGACATTTGCTAATAATGAATTAAATGAGTTAATAAGAAGAATTTTCTCAGAGTACTTAAGATGGCAAATCTTAGAGTTAGACTTTTTGAGTTTGATTCTTGGCTCCATCAATTACTGTGTGATTTTTAAGCATGTGGCTCAGTTTTATATGTCTCTTTCATCATCAGTAAAATTGAGCTAATAAAATCTACTCATGTTGCTGTGGTGAGGATCCACAGGACATAAGTTATGCAAGTACTTAGTAGTACCTGGCTTGATTAATGTTGGCTTTAATGTTGACTACATTTCTTGTTATTTTGTCTCTGGTTCTATTGTCACTTAAAATCCTGAGACTATCACCTTTCTTCTCCCTAGGTTCAGCCTTGCTCTTCCCAATTCGGTCTCTCAAACTATAGCCAGTGAATTTTCTAAAGCTCAGATTTGACCATGTCGCATTTGCCACAACCTCAAGACAAAGTCCGTATTTCTTATGTGACCTGGTCTCTGATGATCTTTCCTGATCATTTGCTATCATTCTCTGCCTAACATTTTAAGATACAGTCGTCTTGAACTCCAGGCCATTTGATTTCTGGCCTCTAGGTTTCTACAGATGTAGTTCTTTGGTATTTTCTCTACCTGGCTAGTCCCTTCCCATCTTTTACCTCTTGGTTTAATCATTGCTTTCACTGAGTTGCCTGATGTTTTAAGAGGGACCTAGCTGCCCTTCCGAGGGGGCCCCAGGGCACTCCTTTCTTATCTCCATCATAACCCTTAGCACACAAGATTGAAATTTCCTGCTTATAGATCTGGATTGTCTACTATATATTCCTTGGGGACAAGGACTACGTTTCATCCACTTCTAGCCTCTGCAGCCAGCACAGCAGCTAACAAAGCCTCTTTCTGGAAAGGGAATGACTATTGGCTAGAGAGGAACATGAGAATAATCTTGGCATTGGTAGAAATCTATATCTTGATCTGAATTGTGGTTACACAAAAGTATAAATGTGTAAAACTTCATCGAGCTGAACTTTTAAAATTGTTTCACATTCTTAATTTAGCTGAAAATATTTGAGTTCTCAACTTTCAAAATGAAAAAAAGTGCCAAAAAGCAAAAATCTCTATGCTACTAGAAGTCAGGATAGTGGTTACCATTGTGGTTAGCTTGTGACTTGAAGGGAGCAAAAGTGGGTATCTGGAAAGTTGGCAATTTTTTTTTTTTTTTACTTAAGTCCTAGTTACCTGAGTATTTTCAGTTCGCAAAAATCCATTGAGTTGTATACTTATGATATATGCACATTTATATAGGTGTATTACATTTGAAAACTTAAAAGAGTGAAGTGAGTGAATAACATATAGATATAGATATATAGATATTATCTATATCTACATCTGTGGCATTGACCTCTTATTTATGATTAGAAAAATAAATTTATTTCTTCAAACTGTGCACCTAGTCCCACATTAGAATCAGCTAAAATAAAATTGAAAAACCTACTTTCTTTCTCTGCTATAGGATCCATTTGTATAGATGAATGTTCATAAGTACAGACTTCTATTATGTATACAAGATAATCATACCTGTATTAGTAACTTTTGCACAATAGTGCATTGCAAATCTTTTCTACAACATAACTCTTTTGGATATTATTTTTAACACATGACTTTTAAGAACAATTACCTAGAATCACTTTTGTTGTAAAGCATTTTCTCAATTATCTTCTTTCATAGATATTCTTAGAATCACAAAAATCTTAACACATTTTTCTTGCCTCAGATGAACTATTGTTTAAAACAAGACTTAAAAAGAAAAGTAATTTAGGTGCTTCTACTAAAGATGTTCTTAAAACATCCCTAATGCTTTTTAAAAAACCAGTTTCACAGACTTTGCCCAATTTCCCTATGGAGCATTTACGCATGATTTGAGTTTTATCTGGTACACCTATTATAACAGCAGGAATTCTTAATATAGGTATACATTTAATAGCCACATTGTGAACAGCATGAATAAAGGAATAACATGACCTCAAATCAAAATATTGGCACAATGCCCTGAGCACCCAAAGGCGAGGAAGGAGCCTTTGACTCCAGGTTTCATAAACGGTACTCAGCAAAATTTCAGTTGACTTATTGCAGTCAAGTCTATGTTGAAAAGCAAACTCATGGTATAAAAAGATATCAGACCACAGAGCAAAAACAAGGAGCTAGGTCTCAATACAAGCACTCTACTACACATCATGTGAATGAATAGCCAAAACTGTAGTGTTATTAAAATAAAATAATATTTATCACAAATTTTTTATATTATTACAGACTTCAAATGACAATATGGCAATTTATCTAAATTTTAAAAATGTTATTTTAAAAAATTCCCTCTATTAGATATGATTCATTTTCCAAATATATATTTTAACAACTTAGAGAGTACTAGGTTTGGAGAAAGATTTTGAGATAGCTTTCCTGTTTCCCAGAAGGTAAGATTTAGAAATACATCAGTCATGGATGTCAATTTATGATGGTTCAAATTGCCAAAGGTATTTGGTAAACTTGTGTCACTGTCAGAGATGTAAAGGTTGCTCAGCAGCTCCAATACAAATCAGTTACAACAGTGTTACACAAATGTGAGAATATGTGGGTGTGTTTATTCATGACAGTTCAATCTTCTGATGTATCAGCATTCAGTTACATAAAACGTTAACAATAGCAATCACAATAACAACATCAGTATAAGATGCCAAATACGATAAATATTTATTCACTTTCAGTATTATTCAAATTTAACAGCTCAGAGCTGTTTTGCAGCTTTGTGATACTCCACCATTCTCAGTCCTGCCTCATTGCACAAGATGGCTGCTTGTGCCCTAGTCATCCTATCCACATCCCAGGAAAAAAGAAAAGGGAATAAGAGAAGGGATATCTCAAAATCCCTTTGAGCATATTTCCTGAAAGTTACATGTAATACTTAGTTTTCATTGATCAAAATATTTTCATTTGTCCATAGTCATTGGTAGGAGGAATCCAGTCTTTGAGGAGGGCAGCAAGGTAGTCAGCTAAATTTGAGAGTTCTTATTATTTGGAAGAGAAGAAAAATTGACATTTAAAGTGGAGAGAATCTTTTTTTTTAACTTTAGAAAATATTAAAACAGATACCTTAGGCTCCTATAAACTAAAATTATAGATAATAACATAATTAACATATAAACAATCAGACTATTATTTACTATAATGCAAAAAAAGTTAAAAGTGTTAATTAAATTTTCACTTTTAAACTATTTTGTTGACATTCATAAATATAAGTGAAGAAATATTTGTATATATCAAAGAACATCCAAAACTTTTAAAAACTGTATAATTATATTCTATTAGTAGTAGGAAGAGAGGAGAGGGCTGTTTTTTTTTTTCTTTTTTAAGTGAAAAGTTAACTTAGAAATAATTTCATCCCACTCCTAAATCAGAATTAATACTCACAGTTGGGAGTTATACTGTCATATTTGAGAGCCACTGATTTGAACATACTATTTCTGGAAATGATTTCTTTTTAGTAATTACTAACAGTTTATGAAAAGATCTGCAATTTTATTTTTCCAAGTGTTCAAGTAATCTTAACTCATCAAAATGCTAAAATCTTGTATATCAAAGGCATCTAAGACTTACTCATGTAAATGGCCTGCCTGTTCTCTGACAGCTGGAACCTCTTAGTACAGCTCTGCAGCCTCAGCCCCACCCCCAGCACTGGCACTGATCTACTTTCTAAGCAGGAATTCTTAGCTCATTGTCCAACTTTAACCTCCACCCTGACCTGGCAGCCAGGTTTTCCTAGCTGAGCATCTGTACTTTACCTAGTCCCAGGGTTTTCTCATACTAGGCTCTTCAGGAATCCTTCCACAGAATACTGCTGAGTCCCCATCAAGACTGAGAATTAATCTTCCATTAATAGGAACCCACTACCTTACCAAGTAGCCTTTTATGCTGTTTGTTTGAACATCCATTCATTTACTTAGTAAATCAACATTGAAAGGTGACTACAAGGTCAGACATGATGCCAGGCCCTGGTAACAAAGATCAAAGACACAATCACCTGCCCTCTTGTGGGACAGGTAGCCGTAATTGTTAAAATGATTTAAAGACTTAGATTCACTTCCCTAAGAATTTCCATTCACTGTTCTTCATTGTTCTTAAGTCTGAATTCTAGTCACATGGAATAAATTTCATTTAGACTTTCACAGATGAGTCCTCCAATCTGGAATATTTTGAATAAGATATTCAAGCTTGTAAAACCCTGTTACTTTAACCTTAAAAGAAGTTGTTTTTAGTTTATTCACTGTCTTTTGGGATAAGTCTCACTTTGAAAATATCCTTCTTCACATGCAGGATTGAGAAATTAATACAGTACAAGAAAACTTTCTAGTATGTTTTACCTCTACTTAACAAAGCTGAGTTATTTCATCTAGAGTAGCATGTCACAATTGTTGGTCCCTCCTCCGAAAAAAAAAAAAATGCAAATATAGGACCTTTACAGTTTGCTTTTAAGCTAGTGATGATTTTAATTTCTGAAAGTTCTAGTCGCCTGAACTTCGGTGCCTTCCTTTAAGGTATCATCTGTGAAACAGTCTGCTATAGTGGGTGTTGAAATTGGATTCACATACTGTTCTTCACTTGCTATGAGAACTTGAGAAAATTAATATTCGAAACCTCAGTTATAAAATCATAAAAACAAGGGCCTTTACCCCTTAGAGTTTGTGAAGGTTACAGCCAATATATTTAAAACACATTGGCTGTCACAGTATAAGAATTTGATATATGTGAAAAACCAAAGTTAGGTGTCTTTTTAGTGATGAATGATTGATATATAGCTTAGGAATTATTCATCAAAATTAGAATTTAAGTTGGATAAAAATTATCCAATATAGTCCTGCTGTTTAATTCAATTCATTAACCACCCAATATGTGTTATGTTTTGTGTTAGGTGCTAGTGATTCAAAAATGAATTATGTATCCTAAAGTCAAGGAGCCCAAAGTCTAGTGAAGAACCTGACATGTATAGAAACGGTTACTCCACGATCACACAAATAATGCTTGACGGGGCAGTACTCCTGACCATCACATCCCATTGCATTGCAAAATACTGTGCTCCTCGCAGTGTTTCTCACAGCATTTAATGAGCATTCAACAAATATTGATTCATGAATGGATACAGGTTTCATACTCAAATATTTTAGGCAAAGAGTAATGTTGGCATTGTTCACATATGATATTTTTAGTTTTGAGCTTTGTGAATTAACTTCTTTTTATATTGCAGATTTACATGCATTTGGTATTTCTTATTTCTTGAAATTTAAATAATGGAGAAAAGGCACCATCAACACCTTCCAGAATAAATGTTTAGAAAGTTGATAAAATAAGGTTAAGTAAATATGTATTTATATAGTATTATAACAACTTTTAAAGGAAGTCGGGTTGGAAAAAATGGTTTGAAGGATATGTACCAAAATAGTTTAAAAAATAATTATCCTGGATAGTGAGATCATGAGAGATTTTGTTAATGTCCTTATACTTTAAAAATTTTTAAATACTTTTCATTGAATGTGTACATTAAAAGAGAGTTATGATAAACTCTAGCAGCAGAAAAGAAACTGGTAAGGTCCCAGGAATATGGACGATGGAAGATTAAGAAGCAACATGAGGAACCTGGGTGTGAGGGGGCCACAAGCTACAGAATAAGATTATCAGTAGAAGGTATTACAATGGTAATAAAGCATAGTTTTTCTACTTCGATAGTATCTAGATCTCTTCACATTTGGGGGCAGGTCATATCTCATTTTGTTATTGAGAAGGTCCATTGGCCAATGGGATAATTAAAGCATATTGACTGTAACCTATCTGCCCAGAATTTAGGTAAAAATATGGGAATGAATCTTGTTGCAACTTTAAAAAAATGAGTGGACTGTCCTCAAGCATAGTAATCTAAGTAATGTATCACAAAAAAATTAATTAATCTCTGAACCATGCACACACAGCTTTGATTTACCAACAAAGCAATGCATTTTCTAAACTCAAGATGTTTGTTTTTAAATACTGTGAGAGTCAGGATGGGACCAGGCTTGGTGGCTAACACCTACAATCTCAGCACTTTGGGAGGGTGAGGTGGGAGGATCTCTCTTGAGGCCAGGAATTTAAGACTAGCCTAGGCAACCTAGTGAGACCTTGTCTATACAGAAAAAAAAAAAAAAAAATTAAAATTAGCTAGGCATGGTAGTGTGCACCTGTAGTCCCAGCTACTCCAGTGGCTGAGATGGGAAGCTCACTTGAGCCAGGAGTTGGAAGCTACAGTGATCTATGATCATTTCACTGCACTCCAGCCTGAGTGACAGAGCAAGATCCTGTCTCAAAACAAGAACAACAACAGAAACATAAAAAATATAAATACAATCAGAGTCAGGATAAATACTTATAGAATTAATGAACAAATTAATCTTTTTATTGTTGCTGTTACCTTAAATCCTTTTTTTTTTTCTTTTTTTTTTTTTTTTGAGACGGAGTCTCGGCTCTGTCCCCCCGGCTGGGGTGCAGTGGCAAGATCTCGGCTCACTACAAGCTCTGCCTCCCAGGTCCACGCCATTCTCCTGCCTCAACCTCCAGAGTAGCTGGGACTACAGGCGCCTGCTACAACGCCCAGCTAATTTTTTGTATTTTTAGTGGAGACGGGGTTTCACTGCGTTAGCCAGGATGGTCTCGATCTCCTGACCTCGTGATCCGCCCGCCTCGGCCTCCCAAAGTGCTGGGATTACAGGTGTGAGCCACCGCGCCCAGCCCTTAAATCCTTTTATCTGAAATAATTTAAAGGTGACAGGTATATAAATTGGCAGAACTACATAATTTTAATTAAAAGTATTATTTGATTTCCCTTGATGAGGCAGAATGTCTTCCTCTAAATTCCCAAAATATCAAATTAATATCTTAATTGTCTAACTTCCGCATTCTCTTTTGTAGTATAGGTGTTTACTTACGCATTTTATTATAATTTCCCTACTGCTAGTTCTGTGAGTTTGTGATCTGTGCCTTATTCATCTGTATATTCCCTAAGAGCAGAGTTAAATTATTTTTTAGAACTGGTTTTATAAAAATACAGTAAGTAAAAGCATTCCCTCAAAATTCTAAGAATATTTTGTGGACTCAATCAACATTTATTAGAGTACTATAAAATATTTTTCATTTTATGAAACTAGGATTGTGGAAACCTGCATTCCAAAGCTCCACCTCACGAGTGGTCTGTGATCAACAAATATCAACCTTTTATCTATTCTCAGTATTTTCTTTGAATACAATGCTTTTTTTGAATACAATGCTTTCTTTCTTCCGTGCAATTGAATTCTGTCATCATCCCTCTGCACATTCCAGATGGGTGGAGCTAGGGAAAGCCTTCATGGAAAGGGTTTCATCTTTCTGAACATTCACCACACTGGTAAGTTCTATAGCAAAGACTTTCTTGGATTTTGTTGAGTTGTAGTTTTCTTTTTAATAATGATATGGTTAATCCATTAAAATAATAATGTTACACCAAATCTGATTTCATATTTCTTTTCCTAAAGTAGAAAATTCTCAAGTTGTTTAGTGAAGTGCTAAATGCTTTATATTGACAGACTACCGCTGTTCAGCAATCTATATTTGCAGCCTGTCAAACGAAAACAATAGTTGGATCCTCTTTGTTGTTCACGGTACTTTAAATTACAAATGATGTTGATTTTAATCGTCTTTGCTCTATTCACTCACAAAGCTGGATGCTGTACAAGTCAGCTCTCAGATTTTGTATAAAATACTTTTTATTGGGCTTAGCACTTGCCAGCACTTTACACCTTCAAAATACTTTGTAAACATTAACTAGTCAATTCTTACAAAAAAAAAAAAAAGTAAGAAGAAAACAAATCCTGATGGTAGGTGTAAATCAGGTCTAGAGAAAAGAGTTTTTCTATAGCTTAAATTTGAAGGCAAGGTATTTATTCGGCTGTTTATTTTTAAACCAATAGAGTATATTTCAGGAAATGATGATCAGTTCTTCACTTTCCATTATAACAAAGCACATAATTTCAATTTTATTAATCATACAAAATATAGAAGTATTAATATTATTAATGACCAGTAGAACGTATGCCATATGACAAAGCTCCTAAATATATTGAATGCAGCTTTGGACCCTACACAAAGAAAATGTTTTGTGACAGTTAATAAAACTCAACTTGTCTCAGAGGATTGACATGTATGGGTCACTGCTTCTTTCTGTCCTGTAAGTAGCAACAGCTTCACTGGTATAGATACAGGTAAGACTAGCTTGGTCCAAACCTAAATGAGTCCCCAAGTTCACATTAAATATATAAAAATATATAGCACAGCAGGGTCAAACTAATGTATTATTTAAAGAGAGCACTATAAATTTTGTGTCTGCTTTTCTAAGTAAAATATATCTTCTGGCTTCATTGGTTCTGCTCTTCCTCCATTCACTTTTATAAAAATTCCCTCATTTTAACCAATGCTTTCAAAAGGAAAAGTTTGTATATTCCTCTTGGAAAATAACATGCTTACTCTGATCATAAAAGAAACTCCATGATAAGCCTAAAATATTATTAATAGTAAATGTTGTATTGAGTATTGATTGGGGATTTTTCAATCATGTCATAATGAAAAGGAAAAAAATTGTAATTTTGCCATTTAAAAATTTGGAAATTGAAAACAGAAAGACAAAGGTTCATATCAAGAAAAAACTTCAAGGCTGAGGTTATGGAGGGAAACAGTTTCAATTTGATAGCTGATTGTGCTGTGACCATAACTCAGAAAGCTGTCTGTGATATATATTAAGGAAAGCCTGCACTATATTTTCAACAATTAAACAACTAGAATGCCATAAAATATACTCTTAAAAAATTTAGACAAATTAAATTTAGCAGAGTTTGAGCAAATAATGATTCACAGATCAAGAAGCACTCAGAACCAGAAGAGGTTCACAGAGCTCGACCCAGCAATGTGGGCAGGCAATATTTATAGACAGAAAAAGAAACTGACATACAGAAATAGATTGGTTATGGCTAGGTGTTTCCCTTATATGAGCCTGGTCTGAATAGTTGGCGGCCTCTGATTAGCTCAAGTGTGGCTGCTGTGATTGGCTGTGACTCAGCTATTTGTTATAAGAATATACTCTTAATTTAGGTTGCAGTTTGTTTACATCCTTAAGTTAGGTTGCAGTTTGCTTATATACTAAGTTAGGTCATAGTTTGCTATCCACAGAGACAGCTTTAGGCCAAATTTAATTTTATTTCACATTAGTCACAATTAAAAGCTATATGCCTAAAGGTTTAGATTTTAATTAGGAAACACTGCAAGTTTACTGATGTATTGAAAATAATGTTTTTACATTCCTTAAGAAATCTTTATCAAGGGAGGACAAGTTAGAGACTGAAACTTGAGATAAGTTACTGAAATTGCAAAATAAAAGCTATGGATAAACCAAAGTGATCTCACAATCTTCAGACTCCTTTCTTCTGTGTAAGCATCACAAGATTTACTTATGATAAATTAAAGGTAATATTATGCACATCCATCAGAGTTTGTGACATATTTAGGACAATTTTTTTTTTTTTTTTTTTGACAGAGTCTCGCTCTGTCTCCCAGGCTGGAGTGCTCGGAGCGCTGCAAGCTCTGCTCACTGCGCTCTGGCACCGCCTCCCGGGTTGTCGCCATTCTCCCGCCTCAGCCTCCCGAGTAGCTGGGACTACAGGCGCCCGCCCCCGCGCTCGGCTAATTTTGTTTTTGTATTTTTAGTAGAGACGGGGTTTCACCGTGTTAGCTAGGATGGTCTGGATCTCCTGACCTCGTGATCCACTCGCCGCGGCCTCCCAGAGTGCTGGGATTACAGGCGTGAGCCACCGCGCACGGCGGACATATTTAGGACAATCTTAAAAAAATGCAAAAAACAAACAAACAAACAAACAAAAAACATATACTAATGCAGTAGGATTTTTACATTGGATTTTTTATCTTGTTAATATCATCAATATTATTACCTTATCATGTTTGGGTATCACTGCAAAAACATTATTTGATTTTTAAGGTAGGGTATTTGTTTTTGCACACATAAAGAAGACTAATGTTCCAAATAGAAAAAAGAAGCTGTAATAAACTTTAATATTAAAGTTTAGGAGAGCAATATTAACATTCTGGAAACTAATCTGTTTCTATGAATTCATTATATGACATCTAAAAGTAAATTTTAGAAATCCCTTTAGACAATATTTTATGTACACATTTTAATTCCTAAATCACTATTTTAAACTTTCCCTTCAGAAATGTATCTCTTCTCAGATGCCAACTCTTTACCATGTACTCAAGAAAGAGGTTAAATAGATCGGATAATAAATCTGGAATTAAGCTGAAAACAAGCGATCACTTAGGATGTGATTTCTGCAGCCCCAAGAAAGACCTCTGACTAAAAATAAATAAATAAAAATACCCTTTCCCTGGTCTCAAATGCCTCAATTTCTACAACTTCGGATTTCTAGGTTGACTATTTTGTTAAGCTGTGAAATTCTGGAGCCACCAAACAATGTTATTTACTTGACAGATTCTGCCTAGTAATTGTCTAAGATACAGATGAAAATTGATCACTAATGAAGACCGTTAACTCAAAACCTGGCCATATCTCGTATAACAAGGTATGGCACAGTTTCTATTTTATAGCTTCCACATATACCTTGATGGGAGATTGTCATTGACATAATAAAATGTGAAACAGCAGGAAAATATTATAAGCCAAAGAGGTAGCCTATTTTAACAACCCGCTGTCAGGAAAATTTTCCGCACATCAGACCTAAATCTCTCCATCAACAGCTAAGTACATTTAAGGGCATTCTCAGTTGTGCTTTTGGCTGATTTCCTCTTTTTCTTATGGTTAGGACTTTATATTTTCAAAGAGCTTTTCAACCACATTTACTAGTGTTTCTTCACAAATATGCCTGCAGTTTAATACCTTTTTCCACTATTTTACAAATCCTGACGTTGGAGCACAGAGATATTAAGAAGTATGTTCAAGGTTACACAGCAAGTTAAAAGCCCAGCAGGGAATAGGTTACACAGCACCTGAGTTTTCAGACTGCTGTTTAGCCAACTGGGCCACTCTCACAGGATGCTCATGACACAATGAATGCAGAAAGAGAGAAAAAAAAACTTGAACTAGAAAATGAAATTATGAAAACAGAAAATGTATTATTATTAAAATCATAATTTCTTTTTCCACAGATATAAATAAACCATGATGCAATGCTTATCATGCAGCCTCTGGGTAGACTTGCAGACTGATTAATCTACCCTTGTCTGTCTTCATACTCTTTTACCCATTTTTATCAGGGCATAAAATAAGTTAGGAAGTAGGTCCTATATCTGATGGCCAAAATGAGGCATGTTCTATTGCCTCATTTTTGGGTCTCATAAATATGGAATTTTTTCAGGGGTATGTCTGAGCTCTTCTGCTCAACCTCCTGCCAGCTCTGTATTTCCCAGTCTTCATGATGGGTATCAAGAAAAGGGAAAATAAGAAAGACTTGGCATTTGAGTTTTGAAGGTTAGAGCTACATATTTGATGATCAAGAGCTCTCAAACTGCACCTGGATACTAATTCTGAATGGAAACTTACAATTGTAAGGTAAGAAATATGACGAAGTGGTGAAACAGCAGAAACCTCAATAACTCCCACATAAAGATGTTTCTATACTTAAATCTAATCGGAGAGGACTCATAATTCCTAAGATTCCTCAGTCAAGAGGCATTCTTGAATGCCCTTAATGTGTCAAGATCTGAGGTAGGTGGTAGGGAACAGCCACAAAAAAAGTTCTATTCAAGAGCAATAACATAATTCTGTTTGAAGTGTCAGAAGAGTCTTCACAGAAGAAACGATATTTGAAGCTGAGACTTGAAGGACACATAAGAGTTAGCCAGATTGAAGAGGATAGGGAGAAGAGTTTTCAGGCTTTGGGGATCAGTACATGCAAAGGAACAAAGGCTAAAAGGGGCATAGGACCCTGAAGTTATCATAAAAGGCCAATAAAGCTACAGGAAGAGACAAAAAGATGACAAGTGAACTTTGAGGGGTAAGCAGGGAACAGGACATGACAGTCCTATAGGTAATGATGAGTATTTTTTTTTTCACTTTATTCTTATGCCACAGAAAGCCCTAATACATTTTAAGAGGGAAATAATACGATTATATTTAAAATTTTTAAAAAATCACTCAGGTTTCTGCATGTATTATCTGTTTTTCATGTTCTTTTCATTTCCATTTGCAGGTGGACAAATCCTTTTTGTGTGAGGAAGATGTGGCTGTTGGGAGAGTCAAGTAATTGAATGACGTGAATTTCCTGGAGTTTCCATAAGTTCCTGTAAATTTAGCCTCCAACTGAAATAAACCAACTGGTACTCTTGTGAAATTCAAAATTGTGCTATCATCAGCTAAGCTGAATGAAAAGAAATTACACATGAAAGTCATAGGCAGCCCTTTTTAAAATTGTATCTTTTATAGAAACATCATTATATGGAACAATTGGAAGAAGCAAATTTATTTAAATGTGCATTTTTAAGGCATTTCAACAAAAGCATAACTAGCAGAAGTACAAAAAATTCTGAATCAGTTAAAAGACTATCCTCAGAATATGCGATTAAAATCCACATACAAGCCATGAAATAAAATTCAGAAGTATGAACTATAGCATAACATACAACTGATATTCCAACCCATTAAAATAATATCTAAGACTAATAAAATACTACTTTAAACAACTTATCAAAGTCATCCATTCTTTTGTAGCATGCCTTTATAGTTGCATCATAGTCATCAAATATAAGTAACATTAAACATTTAATTACAAGTAACTCGTAACTCTTTCAGCCCAGTGCATATGCCCAGCTTTTTATTTAAATTTGTATTTAGTTTCACTTAACCTTTTAACCTTTTGAATTAATAGCAAATATGTCAAGGCATTAATAACTTTTTTTTTTTTTTGAGATGGAGTCTTGCTCTGTCACCCAGGCTGGAGTGCAGTGGCACAATCTTGGCTCACTGCAACCTCCACCTCTGGGTTCAAGTGATTCTCTTGTCTCAGCCTCCCAAGTAGCTGGGACTATAGGCGTGTGTCACCATGCCTGGCTAATTTTTGTATTTTTAGTAGAGATGGGGTTTCACCATATTGGCCAGACTCGTCTCCGCCTCCCAAAGTGCTGGGATTACAGGTGTGAGCCACCACACCCAGCCCTTAATAACATTTTATGTAGATTGTATTTTAACATTTACCAGGCCTAAATAAAATGTCCCTGCTTTGGAAGATATATTTTTTTAAGCATAAAATGATGAATTAGCAATTCCCTATAATAAAGTGATTCATGTTTATTACTTAAAATTTTTCATAGCAATAGAAATTCAAGCAAAACTATCACAATAATCTATTTTAAAAGTCACTTAACAACAATATAAGGATCAGAATTGACTTTTGATGCCTAGCTCCTTGTATTGATTTCCTCAATTATTCTGAACAAGAACAGCCATTAATCAGAAAAGTCTGAAGAACGTTAAGGTCTAGTTTTTCAGACTACTAGAATATTCTAAAATTCCGAAAAAGAAAGAACAAAGATTCTAATTTCAGAGGCTTTTAAAATGCCTAATTTCAGTAGGTCTCAATTGTAAAGATTCCATTTTAACAGCATGGGTAAACTAAAATACGTTTTGCTAGCACCTACTGATGCAGATGTGCAACTGAAGTAAAAGAATATACTTTGAAAAGTGTAAAATGCCATGTAAATAAAAAGTATTATAAATCACATTTCATAAACTCAGTTGATCAAGAAATGTAATTATAGTTTTCTATAAAATAATTTTATTTGGAGTCCAGATTCCTCCCTGTGGTAGAACTTAATCTAGGCAATTCACCACCATCTCCCCATTCTTCTATTTCCTACTTCTGGGATGTGTTCACAGATCAAAAGAATGAGCGCGCAGTGTAAAGGTGTACTTTGCCAGGATCGTTAGGTATGCCCTGAGCATCTACCGAGATGCCTCTGGTCACATAGTGCCTTCAATCTTAGTTCATGCACATTATTCTAAATCATCTGTCTTTCCAAACCATCAAGTCAAGCCCAGCTTTTCCTAATATATTAGTATCCTTCTGTGGTCCATAGGACTATTCTTTGACAAGCACCACTAAAGTCTGTGGAGCCAAGTTTCTGTCTATTCCTCTGCCACTTGTGTGCATCTTCCACCCCTCCCAGGCTATCACAGGTGCCCAGAAACTCTGCCAAGTTTTTCTAAGACCTTCTCTACTCGGGGCTTGTTTCCTGATGCCATGTTGCTACCTCCCTGAGCATTACCCTGAAATGAGGAAAAAATAAAGTCCTGGGACCACTTGTACATGCACCCTACTTAGAATTTCTGTCTCCATTCCTCCGGCTCAGGCTGGGAGATGTAGTGTGAGGCCCTTCTTCTCAGATACCCACCACTGTCTAAACTCTACTATATTTGTCTTGATACCCTCTTACCATGTTGTTATGGAATCTCCTTTAGCCTCAGGGAAAGAAAACCTTGTTCTTATAATAGGTAAGAACTTTAATCTGCCAAATCTATATTATCAAAAAATCCTCTACTTATTAACCTCATTCAACTCAGCAATTCAGGCATAATTGCAATCATTTTAGGCTTCTTTACCCAGGATTGCATTAGATTTCAAGAGGCTGTGCCAGGGCAGGGAGGACAACCATCTCAACAGAGACTTCAGCTACATTTAACTCCAGTAGGTCCACAAACATCAGTCCATGTAGGTACAATTAAACCAGCCATTTTCCAACTGCAGGGCTTCTTCAGACACTCCTGTCCATTCATTTACTTATATGACTTGGCCAGAGACACAGGGGCTCATTCTGTTATTTAGGGCCCATACTGAAGCATGAAACTTCTGCACTCCATCTGTTTATCCCTGACCAAACATGTCTTACAGCCTTCTCTGGGTCCTGACATTGTCTGTGCTTTATGCGGAAAGGGAAGGACGAGTCATCTGTGTCCCCAAATTGCCCCAAAACATTATTGCTTCACCCAGGCCCATTCCTGGCAAGCAATGGCTCCCAACATCTTTTCCTTAGGAATCCATCCTATCTACTTATGTATTATTTTGTGGCACAATTATTCTTCTTCTTGGAGTATAGGACGTAAAAAGGAGCCATAACACTTGGCTATCAATTTGAATTGGCTACTTGAATGTGAAAATTCAGAATTAATGTGCTTTGTTTTCTCTGCTTTCTGTGGTCTTATCCCTTTTCTGAAACAAGGAAGGTGAATGCTGAGCTTCTGAATGAAGAAAGTTTCCGTAGGAGAAGGAAACTGTTAAAAATAAGTTACAGATAACAATTCAAAATATCATGCTATTGCATCATTATTCTCCTCTTTACTCTATGTGGGTTTTAGTTACTCCACTCAGAAACATAAAATTTATTTTGTATTCAAATTGATTAGTCCTTTTATTTTCTTTATGATTTTTACCTTTGGAATTTTTCATGGGATCAGTAACCTGGTTTACAGAAAACAGTATTAAATAGGTTGAGGAAAGCTAGGCTACATTAAGTAAACTGTCTTCCTTTTAGTTCTTTAATATTAAGGAATAAAAATGCATGGCACACACAATAAAGACCACACTAAGTAGATGATAAATATGAAGATTTGTATAAATTATAAGGTTTTATATAAATATTATATTATTATAATCTGAGCTCCTAGGAAATATATATCCTCAGTGATCTAAATGGTATTATCATTGTCAGTAGAAAAGGGAGAGGAAACATTTACCAGTTTGGATAAAATGGAAAAAAAAATATATATATATATAGAAAACTGCATCTTTTTGTTCCAAACACAAACCATCCACAAACACATCAAAAGTGTTCTGATTCCCTACCTGTGCAATAGAATATATAAGAAAATGTAATGTTCCCAGTAATTCAGCGTATAACAAAAGCTATATGTTATTTATCTTTAGCTACCGTTGTTCTTTCAACTTGGTCATAAAATATATAGATCTAGCCATTAGTATATTGTGATTTCTCTGTCTTGACATTGTTATCTTGTATGCAAAATATTCTCATATTGAATGTTATTCCAATGGTATGTTTTTAACATTTGAAAAAGTACAGGACAATGACAGGAAAGCTGGAGTCAAAAATCCCTGAGCAAACAAGGATGTTCACCTACATCTCCAACACTGAATTGAAATTGCAGGCTTGACTAATCATTTGCTATTCCAGTCTTGAGTCTTCCTAATTATAATGATAAAGATAAAGTTAAAAAGCACCTGAAGCACACATAGCAGGACTTTAATTCCAAGACTGCCCTGCTTTTTTTTTTTTTTTAATAGCTTTATAAGTTCAGTGTGCACTTAGCTTTCCATAAGAATCACTTATCTACTAGTTAATTTCCAATCCTCAAGAAATGCAGAGAAATTGGGATGGCCTTAGCATAAATTCTCCTCTTTCACAAGACATAACTAGAAAAAACCCATAGGACAATTGTGGTTTTTGAAATAAAAGTAGTCAAATTACACTGATATATAAAGAAATGGCAATTTATGTTTGATGAGGTATACATCTTTATAGAATGGATTGAAAACGATCAATATTAATGTGATCTAGATTACATGAAACTCCAAATTTATTGTGTAATTACATACTTAAATATCATACCAACACTTTGTTTTGTTCATTTTTAAGGTTATCGTATTTTTATAGAAAAAAAAACTTAAATTTCCTCTTTCTTCCAGAATGTAAGACATCAGACCCTAAAGAACCAAAGTTGTTATTTCTGTGGAAGACCAGCCAACCTATTCTCACAGCTGAAACAATGGATCTGGCCTGCAGAGTGTTAAGGCATTCTCCAAGTTTCAAAACAAGAGTACACCATTTTGAAGGCCTATAAATAGAAAGAATTTTTCAAATATTAATTCAGTAATGACCTCTGTCTTTGGAAAAGATAATTGCAATGTGTTACTGCGAACCAATTTAAACCTGTATTTCTCATTGCATTTAATATTTAATTTTGTTTTTTATCATTATATATCAACAGTTCTTTCTGGAGCAAAGCAATCCTATTTGACTTTTTTTTTTTTTAACCTTATAGTGCACACACACATGTATGTGTAGGGTTATTTAAACAAGGAAACATTTACATCAAAATGTGCAAAGAGTTATCCTGGAATAGAAATGCTGAAAATATATTTTCAAGAAGTTTTAAAATTCTAGGCTGGCCTCAATGTATTCAGTAGCATGCCAGAAACAGAAAAAAAAATTTAATCTCTCCATTTGCTTATTCCTATTAACATATATAGAAAAAAAACTTGCTCTAAACCTAATGCCTATGCGATATGTTTGTTTCCTGATGCTGATGATAAATCATAACCGGGCACTTGGTTATATTTTTTAATGTTCTACATTTCTAGCACTGCTACTGTATTCACAATGAGCTTTATATCTGACAGTAATTTTATTTTCAGGTTCAGTCATATGATGCCTTTCTATAGGAATAGGTTCTATCACAGGAACAAATTATTCAAATCTAGTTTAACGGACTCAGCAATTCTCCTCAGTTTTATCTTGGGCATTTTGTATTCCTTTGCCTAAACCTAGTGGCTATGTAACAATTCAATTACCAAAGTCCTTCATCCAGAAAGTGCTGTTGATTTCCAGTAATTCTTATTCTGTTTGATTTCTTTTTTTTTTCCTCCTAGTTTAACACATGCCAGTTGGTGTCGACTGAGTTAAAAATCTTGAAATAAGCCTGGCACTGTGTCAGTACATAGGTTAAAAAATGAAACAAAAAAATTTAATAAAATATACGCTAGAAATGGAAAATAAGATTAGCAGTGGCATTTCTTGTCATAAGGACATTTTCTGTCTATGCACACAAAATAAAACCAGCTCAGTGTAGCTGAAGAAGAGAGGAAAGAGAGAGGTGGTATAAATTGAAAGACGAAAAGGCAGAGACTGAGTGTACAGAAGCGCGTTGAGAGCATGCAGTCAGCTGGCAAGAAAAGGCAACTCGAAGAGCCTCAGAAGGTAAAACCTCAGTTGGCAGATAAAGTGGGTAAGAAGCAAGTTTTGAAATAAAATAGCAATAGCATAAGCAACTTGAAGGAAGATGAAAAGAGCAAGGTGATAAAAGTATGCAAGAGTCTTTGGAGATTATTAGTAATTTTAGGGAATTACAATGATGAAAAGTTATAAGGGAAAAAGACTTTACATATTCTTTAATAAAAGAAAATTACCTGTCAAAATCTGTCTGCATAGACACTAGTATTAGATTCTTGTTCTTCAAGAAAAAGGCATGTCTGCTGGTCAGGCTGAGGTATCATCTATCCTCTATTTCTCTAAATAATGTTTTTCTGATAAAATATGCAAATACACAATACACATATATATTTTGTGTGTATATTATGTGTATATGTGTGTGTGTGTACATACTTATACATAAAATAAACACTCTGGAACTAAAATTTCAAAGAAAGTCAAAGAAAATAGACAATAGTGGAACTCCACAAAACTTACCAGTAACCTGAAATAGTGTAACAAATTTAAAATTAATTCCCATAAATCTTCTACATACATTAATTATATCTACAAATAATAAATTCATTAAAGATCAGCAATTTTCTGATTAAATTATTCTATACAATAGGTACATTTAGATAAGTCAGATATATATTTGGAGAGGAGACCTGAGAAAACTTCCCTTTGTCAATGTTGATTAAATTCATCAAATAATGAGTTTCTACTTAAAATGTGGCAAGTGCCCACACACCCTCTTAATGATTCCCTTTAGGTATCTGCATACCAAGTAACAGAAATACATATAGGTAACATTTTTGGACATGTCTATCCTATTTTGTACTTTTGTATTCCGTAAAGAATCTTAATAATAGCCTTCTTTAGAAAGAGCACTGTGGATTTCAATACATCATCATAGAAGGTTAATAAAAATAGCTAAAAATTATTCGGCCCTTACTATGAAGCAGATGCCTTTACTGCAGTTGAAAAAACATAGGACTGGGAAGTTACCTCACTCTTCTGCCTCCTTTATGTGTAGATTTCAGGTAGATTATATAAAGTATTTCTACATACCGGCCAGGCATGGTGGCTCACACCTGTAATCTCAAAACTTTGGGAGGCCGAGGCAGGTGGATCACGAGGTCAGGAGTTCAAGACCACCCTGGCCAACATGGTGAACCCCCCTTCTCTACTAAAAATACAAAAATTAGCTGGATGTGGTGGCACCTGCCTGTAGTCCCAGCTACTCAGGAGGCTGAGGCAGGAGAATTGCTTGAACCCAGGAGGTGGAGGTTGCAGTGAGTCAAGATCACGCCACTGCACTCCAGCCTGGGGGACAGAGCAAGACTCTGTCTCAAAAAAAAAGTCTTTCTACATACCAATATGAAAAAAAAATCTTATAGAAAAATCGTCAAAATAGGGATAGGTACTTCTAAGAGAAAATAAATAATTGAAAAGCTAATCAGCACAACCAGTAATCAAGAAAATAAAAAATAAAATAAGATGTAATTATTAGTATTGGTTATATCTGGTTTGGCACTGGTGGAGAGAAATGGTCACCTATACACTGTTGATAGGAGAGTACTAGGGCAGGATGTATCAAACTCAAATGTGAGCATGATGGCAAACAAATAGTCGTGTCTCTAGAAATATACCTGTTAGAAATACTCACTTGTGGGCCAGGCACGGTGGCTCATGCCTGTAATCCCAGCACTTTGGGAGAAGGAGGGGGGCAGATACCTGAGGTCAGGAGTTTGAGACCAGCCTGGCCAACATATAGTGAAACCCCATCTCTGCTAAAAAATGCAAAAATTAGCCTGGTGTGATGGTGCACGTGCCTGTAGTCCCAGCTACTCAGGAGGCTGAGGCAGGAGAATCGCTTGAACCTGGGAGGCAGAGGTTGCAGTGAGCCAAGATCACGTCACTCTACTCCAGCCTGGGTGACAAAGCGAGACTCCATCTTTGAAAAACAAACAAACAAACAAAAAAAAACTCACTTGTGCATTCAGAGATATGAAAAAGAAGTTCATTAAAGCATAATTTATGAATAGCAAAAATATAGACAAAATTCTCAACAATGAAGAAATTATAAATAAAATTGGCATGGACAGGAGACAGGGAAAATACTGGGTAGGAGAGGGTGGTTCCCCCACATAAGCCCCACCCTCAAGCCTGGAAACCACAGCCCTAAGTGAGAACTGGCATTCCTGTTTTCGCACTCAAAAAGTTGCCTTTTGGTCCACCATGCCCCCTATCCTGTACCCATATAAACCCCAAACCCCAAGCTCCAGGAGAAGGCAAGCAGACGAATGGCAGAATAGTGTGGCAGAGAAGGAGAAAAAAAGAAGGAGCATCTATACACCAAGAGGAGATTGGCTGGGAACAAATGGAGAGGAGATGGGCCTCTGGGCAGCCAAACTCCAAGGGAAGATGATCTTCCCACCCATCCCCTTTCCAGCTTCCCATCCATCCTGCTGAGAGCCACCTCCACCACTCAATAAAACCTCTGCATTCATCCTTCAAGTCTGTATGTGACCTGATTCTTCCTGGACGCTGGACAAGGACTTGGAGAGGACACTGAGCTGGTTAACACAAGCTGTCTGTGAATGGCAAAGCTGAGAGAATGCGTTGTAACACATGCCCACTTGGGCTTCAGGAATCACACACACCCACCCCTAGACACTGCCGTGGGGCTGGAGCCCAGACCATTCATCCTGGCTCCTGCACTTCCCTGTCTGCATGCTTCCCCTCCCATAAGGGGTTTGAGCTCACCAAGGCTGAACAGAGAGCCACACCCCTGTTGCATGTCCTGGAACGAAGGCCAGGGAACTCTCCAGTATCAAAATTATATCATATCTCTACTACGGAAAACTATGAATTAATTAAAAAGAACAAAATAAATTGTGCGAAAAGAACTCCAAGATATATTTTAAGTGAAAAAAGAAAATTAAGTAGCAGTAAATAGATAAGAAAATTGCAGTTATATTGGCAGAAGGAAATAGAATTTGCTGTTGAGAGCCCAAAAGTGGGCTTTCATGTTTTAATTCTATATACATCTGGGTTTTGGAATAGCTTATAAAGTATTCTTATATTACAGATATAATTAAAAAGCAATACAAAAGTGAAATTCTTTATGGACCTCCTATTTTTCTTGAGAAGTTATGAGGCTCAATTATACATATAAAATTGTTTTAATTTTTATACTGTACTTCATATGTGTGTTTTAAAATACCTCAAAGAAATTTAAAAATATTTAAAAAAATAGAACTCACCATTTTGGAAAGAGCAGCATATTTAGAATCATAGAACTTTGCTCTTACTCTTTATACAACCTCATAAAAATCTTTGAAATGTGAACCTCACTCTTCCGTTTTCAAAATGCTATCTGTCCTGATGATTTCTCATTTACATAATCATACCGTTCCAGACTCAATTTCTGGAGCCACTGCCAAATTCAAAGGGGTTCTGTAAAATTCATTCTGCAAACAGCAGAGCATTTTATACATTGATAGGTATAGATGTAGATATTTAGTTAAGCTGAGACTATTGGGGAAAAATATAAATAAGCCTGTTTTTGTATTTTTCAATGTAACTCACTACGTATCATATTAGAATCCACAAGCAAAACACAAAATTCAGCTTATACTTAATCTCCTATATTTAGAAATTAATAATGTAATCTGTTTTATAAACTAAAAAGTAGCTATTATAATTGTTTCAGAAAACAGTATTGAAGTTTTTCTGCATTTAATTTAACAAAAAGCTAAAAGAAGAAGAAATGTGTATGTTTTTACTCATAAAAGATTGAGGATCAGTTAGCAGCTTGCCATAAGTACTGTATCACTGTCCAGGGGCAAGGCAATTATAATAAGTAGAAACTATACTTGCGTATTGCTGTAGGGGGAAAATACTTATTAGATTTATTCATAAAATTAAGTACATTTTTAACTTACAGCTGCTGTATTTAAACCTCATGATATGGTTTGGCTGTGTCCCCACCCAAATCTCATCTTGAATTGTAGCTCCCATAATTCCCACGTGTCATGGGAGGGACCCGGTGGGAGGTCATTGAGTCATGGGAGTGGGTCTTTCCCGTGCTGCTCTCATGATAGTGAATAAGTCTCATGAGATCTGATGGTTTTATAAATGGGAGGTCCCCTGCACACACTCTCTTGCCTGCCGCCATGTAAGGTGTCCCTTTGCTCTTCCTCTGTCTTCTGCCATGATTGTGAGGCCTCCCCAACCATGTGGAACTGTGAGACCATTAAACCTCAATCCTTTATAAATTATCCAGTCTTGGGTATGTATTTATTAGTAGCATGAGAACAGACTAACACACCTCATATGTTAAATAAGAAAGATAGATGAGATTAGATAGATAGATGCACACATATAATCAAGGAAATATAAAGATGCAAGTTCATAAATTACATTATACTCAGGAAAAAATAAATAATTTTCATTTGTTTAACATTTACTCAGCACTTTTCACAGAAAATAACCTGACTAATAAGCAATTGCAATGGCTTAAAGGTAACGTGCAAGAATAGTTCTGGTGGTGAAATACGAATGTTTACTTAAGAAAGTGACAATTAGCTCACAAAACAAAAAAAAAGAGAAAGAAAAGAGAAAGAGAATAAGAAAATAGTTTAAAGGTTATAGCAGCTGTGCAAATAAAGAAAATGGTGCAATCAACAGTTCACATCCTTCTGATGGATCATTGAAAAACTTCTATGTAAATAGTTTTGATGTTCAAGCTCCTGTAGAAAATAATGCAGTGAAAAAATGCAAGTAAGAAGCTGTAAAGTATGAAGAATCTTGCAGACACTTTTCTTCCAGCAGATATGGGCCACCGATCAGCTGATTTATATATTTAAAAAATTAATCAGAATTAATGACTTTTAAAAATGACAAATAACCGCAACCTTTGATGGAAAACAGTAAAAGCTGTAAGTGTGATATGCCCTATTGGATCATGGGTACCATGCAAATGACAACACAATGGCCTGGACTTTTAGCCTGAATGCTAAATCAAGTCTCCAAACAGAGAAATTTTTCTCACCTTAAGATTTTTTAATAAAATAAAGTAACAAAAGTTAATGGCCTGCCAGATGTTCACCACAGGGAGTTTGTTTCACGGAAATTGAAGAAGGAACTTAATTTTGAATTTATGGGAACACTTCCCCTCCATTTTCCCTTGTTT
The DNA here is from genome assembly GCF_000001405.40 of Homo sapiens. Taxonomy (NCBI): domain Eukaryota; kingdom Metazoa; phylum Chordata; class Mammalia; order Primates; family Hominidae; genus Homo; species Homo sapiens. Next base: position 103,875,482 of record NC_000005.10, on the reverse strand, counting down.
GTCCCAGGTTGCTTTTCAGCCTTGTTGACCAAAGCCAGAAGTGCCACACTGGGACTCTTTCAGTGCTATTCATCTCTGCATTAGAACAAGATGTGTTTACATTTTTCTTTATTTTTTTTACTTGCCAGGGTACAGCTAGAAGTAGCAGTAAAATTATCCTAAAACCAACAAGTGTTCTGATAATTTTTGATCAGCTCAACAGAAGATGTATCAAATGAATCAATGAAAATATCTTGAAGCATAGTCAGATGTTCAATCTGTAGTATTCTGTGAAGATACTTTGTTTTTCAGCTTCCATATTTAGAGTGTGTGTGTGTGTGTGTGTGTGTGTTGTTTATTTAAGCATTTTGAAAATGAAGTGAAATTAAAACATTGCATTAGGGTGATATTCAAGTTTATATAAGGACATAATAGTAGAAGAATCCATTTTTTTCCAAAGCAGTTTTAGCTTAAAATGTTAGAGACCTATGTGTGTATGCCTTGGGCAGGGGCTGAAGGAGTTGAGAATGAAAGAAGAATAAAAACAATCAGCTAATCCTCAAACTGTAGAACCATGCTTAATAATTATTTAAGGAGAATGTTTAACATCCATTTACATGTGGAAATCTGCACAAAGAGTAGACTCATTACCTACTCTCTTTCTTAGTGGCTCCTAAACTTTGAAATATGCATAAAAATCACCTAAAAATTAGTTAAAATTGTAGACTTCCAGACCCCGCCAAGAGAACTTGAAAGGGAAGTATCTCAGGAGACTTTCCTTCAGACGGTGCATGACCCACAACCTGCAAAACACTGTTTTCTATTCTTATGACAAAAAAGCACAAAAATCTGTTAAGATAATTTTACCTAACAAACAATTGTGGACATCTCTCCTTTCTTTGATATCAACAAAAAAGAGGCCTATAATTTTTGTAAAACATGTATATCATAATAAGTGTTTTATAGTCAACTGAAAGAAAAAATAGTAACCTAATAAATATTTATGGAATAGACAATTGAAAGAATAAATACACAAACAGCTTTACCCAACATATAATCCCCTGGATACTCAAATTTTGCAGCCAGAAATAAAAAATCCCTCCTTCAAATTGATTAACTTTCTGCACAATTTACAATTTAAAAACAACTCTTGTGTTACCTTAAACCAACATAAGCAAAATAATACATTAGTAGGCAGTACATAGTGCTTATGTTTTTTTCATTGGAAAATGTTATCCTAATGTACTCTCTCTTGTTCATTGGTGGTGATAGTAACAAATTGCTCAGTATCCCTGACTGAGGGAAGACATACGAACTGAATGAAGAATGTGTCATCTACCTAACCAATCTTTCACTTTAAGAGCAGTATTTCTCAAAGTTTAGCCATGAGTACAATCTCTTCATAATTTTGGCTGCCATATCCTTGTAAGACATGTTAATATATCATGAAAAAGAACACAGGTATTTGCTGTAGTCACTACCTATTATAGTGTGTGTATATATTATATATAATATTATAATATTAGCACATGGTACCTATGAAAGAAGGACTCTTCCAAATCTTTCCATGTATAGGAAATTCTTAAAATGTTCAAAACACCTTACCCTTAAAGAGCCAAGGACTCATTATCTTCTCCAATGACCTTTGGGAAAGAGTATAGGGAGGTGGTGATGCTACTATGGGGGGTGTATTAATACATATATATAATAATAGATATATCTATAGATTTACTAATTTCACTTATCTCACTAAATCTCCAGTGTGTTTAACTAGCTATATTTTTCTACCTCACATTTAAAATTTTAAAAATCTCAGCTATTAAAGTTTAAAGGTGTTTGTTCATCTACCACCTAAAGTAATCTTATGTCCCAGCAGCAATTCATTCACTACGTTTTGAGAAACTGTGCTTCCAGACTCCAAGTCCTAGAAATAAACAGTCCTTCAGATAATCTCACACTCACCTATGAATGAAGGACTCTTCCAAATCTTTCCATGTATAGGAAATTCTTGAAGTGTTCTAAACACCTTATACTTAAAGAGCCAAGCATTCACTATCTCTTCTCCAATGACCTTTTGAAAAGAGAATAGAGAAGCGGTGACACTAAATGTCTTCATCTACATATTTCACAATGTATTCTCTGTTAAAGGGAAGTCACCAGTCAGATAACAGCAGAGGACTTGGGTCACTGTCTATGTTATTTACAGAAAAAAGTAAAATCTACATGATTCAATTTGCCAAGATAACTCAGGCTAAAATGAGGCGAACATTATCCCCAGATTACTGAAATAATCATCTCTATCTATATATTTTTCTAAGAATAATTGGCCTCAGTGTGATGGCTCACATTTTTTCTAATTTGACTAAGTCTACCTTGTGCTGTATCGGTTTTACTGTGTTTAATTTTACCTAAGTTATTTCTTCTTCCTGCCTGGTTTGAGGACTTAAAAGAAAACAGTTTATTGGGTAAAGTTTTAAAAGTATATAAGAAGGCTATGTATGTTTCTATTAATATATCACAGAATAAAAAACTCAGGGATAAACATGAATAGATTTCCCGCAAACTTTGAAACTATTTCAGGTATTTATTGCATTGTAAATAAGGTCTGCATCTATAGGCATTTGAGGAGGAAATTTCTAATGAGGCAGTATATTTGTTCCTATACATTTGTATCTAATCTCAAAATAATAAATCAGTTCCATCCAGGAATGTGAAAATATGTGAATAATATCAGCATGTTGCCCATGAAATAATATAGTGAATTGAAAAATGAATGCTTAATTAAACCATGATCTATTTGAAATGCTTGCACTTTTTTAACTCACTTAAAATGGGAATTTAATCTCATAAGTGATCCAGCCTTTCCATCGGTCTTTTCAAATTTACCAACCGTTTAGCTCTGTCCGTAGTATAGCACGAATTATAGTCATTTCTGTAATTTACCTTTACATTTTCATTTAAAAGTATTTATTACCTAAATATGACTAAAACTCAACACAATAACTTTATCATGTTATTAGAGTATTTCCATGTCCTACTGCTATTTAAAATATTTAACTTCAGAGTCAGCTATGATTTTACAAAAATCACTTAGTGTATACTGAGAGATCCATATCCTTTCTCAGAGCAAGTATTCAGGAAGCCCACAGTTTCCCTGGAGGAATAAAAGTAACCAAATAATTAAACCACAATGATAATGCAGAAATGTATCAGGTAATAAAGGAAGGTGCATAATGTTTCCACAGCAGTGAAGAGGAAAATAGCTATTCAATTCCTGAGGTTTCCTAGGAAGGTGTTTTAAAATTGACAAGATCAAATAAGTACCTTCTGGTATGACTACTAAAATAAAATGCAAAAGCAGCTATGAATTAACACAGGAGACCATACATGCACCACTAATTACGTGACAAGCCCTTGCTAAGTATTTTACACATAATAATATTTTATTTCATCTTTGTAGCAATGCTGTGAAGTAAATATTATTATTCTCCCATTTTACAGACAATGAAGCTAAGGTTTAAAGAAATTAAGTATATTGCCACAGCTTTGCAGCTAGTTAAGAATGCAATCAGATCTCAAACAAAATTTGTCTGATGCCAACAACTGAAATCTTGACTACTAAGCTGCGCATCAGTTTGTGAACAAGTCCTTTGAAATGATAGGTAGAGTCTAAAGCTGTCTGCTTCAAGCATGGCATCCCTTTGAAATTTTGATCACTTCAATTCCTGTGAACACTGCCTTTACTCAACAACAATAGCACCAACAATACATGTTTATATTAATACTTAAACTTTGGAACCTCTTCAAAAATTATTGGAGCAATACTTTTATACTTTACTTGAAGATAGTGACATTTATCCTGTGGCTTTATTATGCCCCTATGAGACCTCTAAAGTTAGAGAATCTCAGCTAAATGATATACCAGAATTACAAAAAAAAAAAAAAAAAAAAAACTACACACACAATAAAAGAAAATAAAATTTTTACCAAGAAGAGAAAAAAACAAAACAGAGGAAAATGAAGGTGGAAAACATTTGAGGCCATAAATGAAGTTAGTACTGTAATGCCTTATCAACTGTGACTTTGACAATCATGTTTTCATTTTTCTATAAAACATTGTATAGCTGCATAAAATGTTCTAACCGCATGCATATATGTTTACACAGAATAGTTTCAATCTCCTTAAGCAAAAGACTCTACTGAAATTTCACTTCTCTACTTCTGTGGATCACTTGAAAGAGTCTAGGGGATTCTGCAGGTATAAGGCATCAAGTTAAATCCCATGATCTCAATGTGCAGATGAAAGAGTAGAAATACATGTCCTTCAGGACCTTAGTAATTTGTGAACATGCCAAGCAGGTACACAAGCATTTATCTGAGACTTACTAAAAACGCAATCGAGAAAAAGATACATTAACTTTCAAGACAGTAAAAGGTAGCTTGAAGACTTTACAAAGCCATACACTCCACATAATACAAAACTTCTAGGAGAATCTGCCTCAGCAGAATATACCACTTCTATAATATCACCTGAACAAACAAAAGTGATTCCAGAGAAAAGTTCTGTGTGTGTGTGTGTGTGTGTGTGTGTATGTGTGTGTATAGGTGTGTCTAACTAGTGCTTTTGTTTTGATGAGATGGATAAATTTAAAGCAGGTATTTAACTCAGATTGATCTATTTTATTTTGGAAGTGGATTTTTACTAGAATTTTTATTTACTGAGGTTTAATTTTTAGTATTTTAAATGTGATGTTTTTGCAGTCTCTCATTTTTGTCAACTGTAGTTTCACCACACACAATACTTTTCTGTAGTGTGTTACCTGTGGCTGGCAATGGATTACTGTGCAAAAAACAGATGCCAGGACTACACGGTATGCTTAGTAGATGTGTAACATGGATTTGGACCCAAGATTTTGAAAATGCAATCGATTACATGATTCACAACATCTGGAAGATAATAATCAGACACTGACAGTCAGGACATTCTTTCTCTTCCATACTGGATTTCTCATCCAGGCTCAAAGCATCTGGAGTCATCTCTGACATCTTTCTACTTCAGGTCCCATATTTAATAATCAAGTCCCGTAGTTCCACTGTCATGGATCTCTCAGATCAATTTCTTCCTTTCTATTCTCATTGCCACCACCATATTTCAGACTTGCATTACTAACAATCTGCTCTCTCACAATACAGGCTTCACACTAATCAATCCTGAAAATGCCATCAGGTTAATCTTCATAAAATGCAATTCTGGACATGTCACTCACCTGCTCAAAAATTTTCAACAGCTCCCCAGTGCTAGAGAACAAAGTCTATGCTTCTTAGCTTAGAATTCAATGTTCCCTGTTTTATTATTATCGGTGGATGTTTATTTTCTTCTTAGGAGGTAGGATCGTTTTTTTCCTTTGTGTGTAGAGAGTAACTGACAGAGATTTATACACAGAAGTATGTATTTATTTCTGTAGATTCTACCATGATTCACACACGTCTCCCTTTCTCAATTCCATCTTACATTGAATTATCATAGGAGTGTGCTTGTATATTTATAATTTCCTTTGTACTATGGTATTTATTACTTCAGTATTTTTTTCTATTATGTTTTTCAGAATTAAGTATCAGAGACAGTCTCTCAAAAGCAGCCATCCCTGCTTTACGTTGTTGTCAAAAAACAGACTTTATTACTTATCTGTGGAGTATAAAGTCCTTGAGGTCAGAGATTAAACCTAATCGTAGTCCTCCTAAACCTTTACTTCTTTCTCCAATTTTTCATTGACCTGGTATGAGCACAACAACTGTGTTCACTGACTGCTGAATGTCCAGGCACAGAAAAATCAGGTAAAAGAAAAAAAAAGTGCCAGTGATATTTTCAAACATCCTATTTGTCTGAACAAATTCTTTTACTTGGGTGTGAGTTAGATTATACTGCTGCATTCACAATCCCCCTACTCGGGTTGTTTGTCAGTGCTGCCTCTCTCTGCACAAAGAATGATTACAGATGAATCTCCACATGGGTGATTTAGATGGGAGATCACTTATCAGACCACTTGTATTCAATTCAGAACTAAATATACTATTGGGGCGCCATAAATGTTAAATAGCACTAAAAATAATAATAACTAACCTCTTCTTAGTACATGTGCTCCTGAGTACACACACTTGAATTTTTTCCAATTACAATTCAAGAACATTGCAGGTCCCTTTATTCAGGACCATTATTCAGGCACGTCTGGAAATGTTTTATTCAGGTTGTACATCTCTTCTCCACAATCTTTGGTTTAGAATTCAGCTCTCTAATAATGAGTGGAAATTGGGATCTGAAAGAGAAAAACACTATTTTCTTAAATGATGAATGCTACAGGCACACATTGTTTTAATCTGAAAAAAAATAAATAAAAGCCTGAAACCTTTTCCTAGACTGCTAAAATGCTGGAACTTCGAAAATAAAGAGAAAAGGCAAATTAAAATAAAATTCAGCTCTTTTTTTTAAATGAGTGATCACATCTGTAACATTACAGGAGAATAACATGACTAACATCAAAAAATGAGCTGAGAGCATTTTAGCAATAGTCTATAGGCAAATGCATAACCTGAGTAGACATGCATTGCTGGTATAAGTAAAAGTAGAAAATATCTGTTTTCGTGGTGGTCGTTGTGATTATCATTGTTTCTGGTGATAATATAGATAAGGCCTGATCCTAGAGGACAGCTTTGCTCAACCCTTTCCGTGGGCTGTACTTTACTCTCTTATACATACCTGAGGGCAGTCGTGGCAGCCCCATAAGCACTGTAATGAGATCTGAGCAAGAAAGACTTCAAAATAAATCAACTTTGTTTCTCCCCAGCTCAGAAAGTTGTGGCAACTCATTGCGAGACTTCCCTGTTTTTAACTGTGGAGCAGGCTGTTTTGCTTTGACTCCTTCATCAACCCTAGTCTAACACATAACTGCTTGGCCATTCTTGGAAAAATGAAAATAAAATCAGCCAGTCATGGAGCGAGCATCTGGGTATTGTAAGTTCAGAGAGCTTTGGGAGTCCAGCTGAAGCAATGGGGAACTCACAGCTGAATGGCTGCTCTTTAATGGAGAAGTGCAGGACGATGGTGGCAGAAGCCATGTCAGATAAGCATCTCAATGGGGAAATCGGCCAGCCAGACAATGACTTGCCCAGAAAATAGGGACATATTTAGTACCACCTTGTGTTTAAATGACCACTATGACAAGAGCTGTTAAGCATTAAGCAGGTGTGTGCTATCCGTGATTGCATTTGGATCTCCCAACTTAGTAGTGTCAGTAGAACTAATGACTGAGACAGATAAAGTGGCATACTTCCTGCATGGATTAAGATTCTGTAAGCAAGCCAAAATAAAGTTCTGCACACCTGCCACATTTGAGAAAACAGAGTCATAATTCCTAAGATGCTTATCTAAACTTGCTGGTCTTAAATTCTCAAATGGATCAGCTCAGAAAGATTTCCGATATTTGTAGGTTAGAGAAAAATCACAAAAACTTCTGTAAGCATTTATCTGTTCTGAATCTCTTACTCATGCTAGCTTCAAAATTACTTTTGCTATGACTCCTGCATGTGTGATCTGATAAGATCACTGACATAAATTAATTACTGTGAAATGGAACAAAACAATGACTTAGAATGAATAAAACATTGGTTAAAAAAAAAAAAAACTCCTAATTCCAATGCTCTATACTTGACTTAGTTACATTTTAAAAATAAATACATAAGCTCTATTTGGCAGGTGAAATAAAAGCTTAACTTGAGAGCGATTTTGACATTTCCCCTCAGATTTTTAAGCTACTTTGTAAACATTATATTTTCTTTGTTTTTTTAGATCCTATATAAGAAAGATTGTAATTGCACCATTTCTGAAAAAATTTTCTCAGCTCAGTAATTCAAAAAATCTTCTGCTCTATTCAAAGTGTTTGCTATCCATTATACGATATAAAATGATAAATAAGATAATTTGGCATTGATAAATTGATAAGATAATTGGCATAAATAAGATAAATAAGGCATTGGTCTATATCATCAGAAAACTTATTCTATGAGTGGAAAGTACATGTTCAGAAAAACAAAGATTTTATATATATATATGGAATTAAATATCATATGAGAAACAAAATAAATAATGGAATGGAAAAAATATAAATTAAAAATTATTTTTCAAAATTTAAGACAAATCCGGGACAGATGAAAAAATTTGAACAGGGACAAAAGGAAAGCCCTTCTCAGAAAAAAGAATAAGTAATATTAAAATAGATACCATAAAATGAAGTTATTTTTATGGGTTGGTTAGGGGCTCAGTTTGACTAGAACAAAGGATTCATGAAGAGAAAGTAGTTAGTTACCTTCATGTACTTGATACTGTTCTAGATACTTTGCATAAAACTGAATAAAATGCACTAATTCCCTGCTTCCACAGCAATTAACATTTTGGAGTTATGAAAACATCTTTGTACATGTGTCTTTAGCATAGAATGAATTTTGGATGAAAATTTTCAAAATCAAAACAATTAAATGCATGCCTGTAATCCCAGCACTTTGGGAGGCTGAGGTGGGCGGATCACGAGGTCAGGAGATTGAGATCCTCCTGGCTAGCACGTCTCTACTAAAAATACAAAAAAATTAGCCAGGCGTGTTGGCGGGTGCCTGTAGTCCCAGCTACTCGGGAGGCTGAGGCAGGAGAATGGCGTGAACCCGGGAGGCAGAGCTTGCAGTGAGCCAAGATCACGCCACGCCAGAGAGGTTTACAATAATTTTGGCTTTTGGTATCATGTTTTAATATGGCTTACTAATGTCAATACTTACATAATTTACCTATATTTCCTCTAGTACTATAAAAATATTTTCACATTTAAATCATCGGCAATTTATTCCGTGTGATGTAGGAGTCAAATTTGTTTTTCTAAGAGGTGAGCCCCCTACTTTCACACCATTAATTGATTAATCCATCACTTTTCCTCAATTATTCATTCTCAAATAGTAAGTTCTTCTGTATAACAGCATTCTTTCTCTAAGATATAAGGTATAATATTTTTAAATAGTTCATTAAAACCATTTTTGCTGGCTTTAATACCATATGCCTCCCCGAATATTTCAGTAAATCCTGCTAGTATTATGACTGCTATGACTCATTTCTTACTAATCTAAAAGAATTCTGAAACTTTCTTCTATTTTTTCATAAAAGCTGATGATTTCAAAATCCACTATATGTTTTTTGTGTTTAAATATCTTACTCTCTAATATTCATAATTTATTTCATTTTCTGATCTGATTACATTGGCAAAATCTTTTCCTGGATATAGCTAGAAAAAGGTATAGTAGCTGTTGACAGACTTCTACCTATAATTTAAAATTCATGCTATTTGGATAAACCCTGGGAGCTAACAAACACCTCCATATCCCCATTAAACAGAATCTTAGCAGGTGTCTATTATGGCTAAGTCATATTCTTGGATGAACGATTAACAGTAGCACCCTATATTCTACACTGATGGAAAGTAAAGAATTGCCAAGTGATAAATAATACTATTAGGAACAGAATGGGAAAATGAAGGCAGAGGTAGGTAAATGGTTAGCCATTGTCTTCTTTTTCCATAGTATCCAAATAATGAGGTCTTTTTTTTTCTCCCCAAGGTTTTAGTATGAAGATTTTCAAATTTTTATTAAAACAGGTAGCTGATTTTGGAAGAATTCAAATGACTATTCTTAAATTACTAAATCTAGTCCAGAAGCCATGTTGCACAGAGAAACGTATCAGAGTCATCTGGGAACCTTTCAAACTGGACACACACACACACACACACACACACACACACGCACACACACACCTCATCCACTTCATACTCATAGAGACCTTACTATGCCTCCCACTTTCCATTAAAATGCTACAGAATGGCTGGGTGCGGTGGCTCACGCCTGTAATCCCAGCACTTTGGGAGGCCAAGGCAAGTGGATCACAAGGTCAAGAGATCGAAACCATCTCGGCCAACACAGTGAAACCCCATCTCTACTAAAAATACAAAAATTAGCTGGGCACAGTGGCATGCACCTGTAGTCCCTGCTACTTGGGAGGCCGAGGCAGAAGAATCGCTTGAACCTGAGAAGCAGAGGTTGCAGTGAGCCGAGATAGCACCATTGCACCCCAGCCTGGTGACAGGGCAAGACTCCATCTCAGAAAAAAAAAAAAAAAAAAAAAAAACCACTATGAATAAACCATTGCTTCTGATGGAAGTGGATCAAATGTTGGGGGTGTGTTAAGAATCACTTCTGTATTAACTAAGAAATTGAAAAACACTTCTATTTTAACTAAGAGTTTAATCACTGAATTACTCAATAAACATGTCTTGAGTAACTACCACCTGCTCAGCACCTAGCCTCTAGGAACACAACAGTGTAAGATTTAGACATGGTATTAAATAAAGCTGCAAGTTCAGGATGGAAAGATATATGCTAGGAAAAAAATAGATCATTATGGGACTATTGAGAAAGAATACTAATCTGGTTTTGGCAAGTGAGGGAAGGATGTCCAGTGGTATTGGTATCCATGTTGAAACCTAAACATTGAAATAAATGAGTGAGGCAAAAACAGAAGAAATTTCCTAACAGAGGCAACAGTCTATATAAACACTCTGAAGTGAGAGATTGAACTGTCTTTGAAGAAATAAAAGAAAAAAATTTTTAGAATGACCGGAGTGTAGAATTCAAGTTGAAGAAAGGAGGGAAAACCGAGAGAGTTACTGAGATAAAACCTGAGGCTAGGAAAGTAAACAGGAGTCAGATAATAAAAACCCTACTAAGCCCTGTAAGGCATTTGGATTCTACCAGAGTGCATGGAAGATAAGGTAAAAATTTGAATCAGGAAAGTTACCTCAGTTCCTTCTTTAGAGAAAAAAAAAAACCCTTTGACTAAATGAGCAGAGCATATGAGAGAGAGAGAGCAAGTCTAGAGTCATGGAAATAAGTTAATAAATAAAATTGTTTTATGTTGACTTCCGATCAAAAGTGCAAGTAAATATTAAACAACTGGAACTCTTGCTAGCCATTGATTACTATGTGAATTATCTAGTTAAAACACAGTGTCTTGTTATACTTAATAATTGCACTATTTATAATCTAAATTGTTTACTATCTAAGGTTTAACACTCAGAGAATTGATTAAATTGGGTAACTCCTCTCTTGGATAGAAGCAATAACCTTCAATGGAATGCTAACTACCTCTGAGAATTATGTTTAACTCAGACCTTCATTGCCATAGGCAGAAGTAATTGATTTTAGGCCGGGTAAACTGGTTCTTAATACATATGCCCACAGGGAAAATGTTATTTTAATAAGATGCTTCTATAAGCCACATGCTACTTAAAACAAAAGGTTTTCTCTTTGTCTTCATAAGCAAAAATTGAAAGACCCTTGTTTGTCCTTAAGTTCGTAGTAAACAACCATGAAGTAACTTAATACTGAGTCGCAGTCTGCAAAGTATCTTTGCCAATTCAGCTATTTACTTTAAAAAAACAAAACAAAACAAAACTGTAACTTTCCTAGAAAAATAAATCTATGTTTAACATTCTTGAATACCACTAATTAGGATACCTAAATCTACTCTTATTGGTCCTTCAGCAGTTGTTCTTTTATTTCGTTATCCATTGTTTTGCTCTAACTCTACCCCACAACTAAAATTAAAGTATACAAAATAATTGGAAACTGTTAATAAAGCAAGAGATTATGGCAAATAAATAGAGAGTCTTTAAGAAATGTGAAATGACTGATTCATATGAGCAGCCAAATCCTGATGTTGATTTACAGATTTCATCTAATGGAGTATAACCACTAGAGATTGCTCAAGACTATCAACTGAATAGTGGAGAAAAAATGTTTCATGTGTATTTCTATACATGTTTCTATACCATCCATTAAAATTTTTAATTTTGGTCTATGTTTTGCATCTCATAATATATTAATATCACATATTATATCAAATTTATTTATAAATACACAAAAGTTCATATGTTTACGCCTAAACCACCAGTATAGCAATGTGAATATTATCTAATCAAATTTACCATCTATTTTTACTACTGTATAGCCCCTGGTTTACAAAAGCCCACTTTACTCTTTTAGACATATTTATAAGATTAAACATTTATTTAAAAAAAAAATAGTTGCTTTAGGCCGGGCGTGGCGGCTCACGCCTGTAATCCCAGCACTTTGGGAGGCCGAGGTAGGCGGATCCCGAGTTCAGGAGATCGAGACCATCCTGGCTAACACGGTGAAACCCTGTCTCTACCGAAAAAAATACAAAAAATTAGCCGGGCGTGATGGCGGGTGCCTGTGGTTCCAGCAACTCTGGAAGCTGAGGCAGCAGAATGGCGTGAACCTGGGAGGCGGAGCTTGCAGTGAGCCGAGATGGCACCACTGCACTCCAGCATAGGCGACAGAGCAAGACTCCGTCTCAAAATAAAAAAATAAAAAATAAAAAATAAAGTTACTTTAAATTTTCAAGTTGTGGCTGGTATTTTCATCCTTTAAAAATAATTTTTGCAAACTTAATTTTTCTCAAACCATTGGTAGTAATAAGCTTATTTTATGTGGCACACAGATTTTTTAAAATTGTATTAATTATGCATTTATGTTACTGTCAGTTGGGGAAATAGAGCTAGTGCACAAACTGCATGATTTCATAAATGTAATATTAACATTATTTTCTTGACAATATTTAAATAAATGTAAAATAAAACAGCAAAAAAAAAATATATTTGAAATGTGTGTCCGTGTGTGTAGACAGATGGAAAAAAGCAATCCAAGTACAAAAGCACAAATGGCACTTTGATAATGCAAAATTTACAAGGTGGTTATGCTTATCTAGGCTAAGAATGAACAAACCTGCCAACAGTCTTCATACCCCTTGCTGAGTTGGGAATTTGCCAGATTAGAAAAATTCATGACTGTGGACCCTTTGACTTTTTTTTTTTTTTTTAAGACAGAATCTTGCTCTGTTGCCAGGCTGGAATGCAGTGGCCCAATCTCGGCTCACTGCAACCTCTACCTCCCTGGTTCAAGTGATTCTCCTGTCTCAGCCTCCCGAGTAGCTGGGACTGCAGGCATGGGCCACCACGCCTGGCTAATTTTGTATTTTTAGTATATACGGGGTTTCTCCATGTTGGTCAGGCTGGTTTTGAACTCCTGATCTCAGGTGATCCACCCGCCTTGGCCTCCCAAAGTACTGGGATTACAGGTGTGAGCCGCCACGCCTGGCCAACTTTTATGAGGGTTGCTGGCAGAAGGACCACATCAGCACTTGAGGTTTTGTACTTCTACCAAAGAAGAAATCGCTTTCTGCTTGAGTTATGTATCTCTGTGTTCTATGCTTAGGGTTGAGGTTTGGAAACACTCTTCTAGCCAGAGGGTCTTGCTGGGATATTTATAGCTATTATTTAAATGTAGAAATTAGTTAAGATATTTCAAACCATCTTTTCTGAATCCCAATTAATAATGACATTTAATTGAACATATCATGAGTATGTATCCTTACTGCTTGTAATGGTTAATTTTATGTGTCAGTTTGACTGGCCTACAGGGTGCTTTGATATTTGATCAAACATTATTTTAGGTGTGTCTGTAAGGGTCTTTTCAGATGAGACTAACATTTTAATTGATAGACTGAGTAAAGCAGATTGCTCCCATAATATGAGTAGGCCTCATCTGATCAATTGAAGGCCCGAATAGAACAAAAGACTGACTTTCCCCCCAAGTAAGAGAGAATTATTTCCTCCCATTGGCCTTTGAACTGGGGCCTCAGCCTTTTCCTGCCTTCATACTTTAACTTAATCATCAGATCTTCCTGGGTCTTAAGCCTGCTGATTCACCCTGCAGATCATGGGACTAGCCAACCTCCATAATTGTGTGAGTGCCAATTCCTTACAATCAATCTTTTTCTGTATGTGTATATCCTATTGATTCTAGTTCTCTGGTATATTAGTCAGGGTCCTCTAGAGGGACAGAACCAATAGGATAGATGTATATATGAACGGGAGTTTATTAAGGAGTATTGACCCACACGACTACAAGGTGAAGTCTCACAATAGGCTGTCTGCAAGCTCAGGAGCAAGGAAGCCAATCTGAGTCCTCAAACCTCAAAAGCAGGGAAGCCAACAGTGCAGCCTTCAGTCTGTGGCTGAAGGCCTGAGACCCCCTGGAAAAAAATCACTGGTGTAAGTCCAAGAGTCCAAAAGCTGAAGAATTTGGAGTCTGATGTTGGAGGGCAGGAAGAATTCAGCATAGGAGAAAGATGATGGCCAGAAGACTCAGCAAGTCAGCTTTATCCTAGCCATGCTGGCAGCTGATTAGATGGTGCCCACCCACATTGCAGGTGGGTCTGCCTCTCCCAGTCCACTTACTCAAATGTTAAACTCCTTTGGCAACACCCTGACAGACACACCCAGGAATAATACTTTGCATCCTTCAATGCAATCAAGTTGACAATATTAACCATCACAATGGGAGAACCCTGACTGATATACCCTTATAAAGGAGGACTGTAGACAACACTTTTATTCTAACATGAGGACTAGATCAGTTTAGGCTTCATATGTTAACCAGTGAGAAAAACAACATGAAAAGAGCAATTATCTCTCAGCACAACATGATAACTTTGATAACACCTGCACATTTGTATAAAATGCTCAATTTAAAAAGCAAATAATTATTGAGCCAGCCAAAGGTTGTCAGTCTCATTAATAATTGTATTTTTAATTTTCTCTTCACTTAATGATTTACTTTCTTGAGCTTCTAATCTTGAAAGTGCACTTTAATAGAGCCATAGAGAGTGGTGTTAAAGAGATGGCACATTTACCATTGTGCAGTAACATAAAATCAATGGCAGCTAGTCATACAGGCTTTTTCAATTTCCATCACACATGGTACGCAGACCTTGGTTCAGTGGATAATCCAATTGTAAACAGGGACTCACCGTTAACAACTTTAGGAAATAGGATTAGCAATTTCTAATTTCAAAGCAAACCTATTTCATTTTTGTCCTCTAAATAAAAACAATGTGTTCAGAGATTTAGCTTTTCAGCTTTCAGAGCTCCTCAGAAACAAAAATGTTGCGAACACATTATTTATTGTACTGATGCCACTAATAGAAACCATCCAGTATATGTTTCTAATAGCCTTTTAATTGTTTGGTACTAAAAAAATAAAATAATAACAGATTGAAGCTTAACTGATGAAACTTAAAATTTGAATTGAAAAGTAAAATTTAACCAAACATCCAAAAACTAGAAGTCTTGGTAGTGTCCTCTACTAGAGGTAATCTGGAGAAAAATAAAAGGCTTATGTATTATTAGAAAGCTTTGTTTCCAAAACAAAGGTTTTATTTCCAAACAAAGGTAAAATTTTAGGAATCCGGTTTGTCTCAACACACAGTTAAATTGAATCAATGATTTTCTAATTTTTGTGAATTATTTATTGTACCATTCTAAACCTATTTTCCTGTGAATTCCTTCACTGGAACATTGCCTCAGTGGAAATCTCTACCTTTACACTAAATTACAGATTCCTCCCAGCTCCCTCTTACAAAGAACAGAGAATGTTGGCCTTTATCTGCTTTTAGAATAGGAAAGCATCACCATATTGGGCCACAGAGACTCTGTCAATACTAATCTCTGGCTTTTAAAATGTCCATGC